>NC_000004.12:11197916-11822916 GCF_000001405.40 Homo sapiens
CATTATTAGAATGACAATAATAACATGAAGAGCTCTGAAATTTGACCCTGGAGACACTGAGATCACCTGAAATTATTTGCAATATTTCGTGTTCTGTGCAGTCTTTTCCTGTCTCAGTAGGAAAACTTATTAAGAGAGACACAAATCCCTGTTGAAAAAGTTTGTGAAGCAAGTCATGTGCTTACAAGCCCCATGAAGATATGACTAAGAGAGGATTATGTCAAATAAACTATAGTCAGGCTTCCTACAAAGCATCTCAAAGATTCTACAACTTCCGAATTCCTCCTTTCTGTTTCTCCCAAGAACTCTAGTTTCTGAATTTCTCACCTCTCTCTCCCCCTCCCATAAACACACACATGCGGACACACACACACACACACACACACATCACACACACCTTTAAAACTACTCCTTCCATCTAGCGTTTTACCTTGAGATTAAGCACAGTGTGTAGAGGATAGGAAAATATTTTGAAGTCTAAACTGTTGCATTCGAATCCCATCTACACAGTTCCTATCTATGTGGCCTTGCTCGGTGTAACTAAAATCTCTGCACATCAGTAGCGTCATCTGTGAAATGGGAACTATGAAAGTCCCTTGTAGGGTCCCCAGTTCCTCCCACTTTTTTTCTGTGTACTGACTAAAAATCACAGAGTGCCTTGACCTCTCTGTGACATAGCCCGCTGCAAATTCTTCCCAGCAGGCTCGAACTCAAACCAGGGCCTCGAACATTCTCCAGGCACTAAACATTCCCAAGGTCTTAAACATTCCCAGACACTACAAACATTCACAGGCATCTAGGTTGTTGCCCAAAACACTATAAGAATCTAGCCACAGCCCCAAGCAAATTCCAGCGTACAGAGCTCATATAAGCTCTACGCACTGACCCCTTGCTGCACACCTACCTGGGTAGAACATGCCTTTTCTCTCGTGGTTCATCACAAGGTTTGCTGTGACCCACTCTGTATGTAAGTTCCTTTAATAAATGCCTTGGACGGATCACCCTGGCTGTTAGTGCTTCATTTTTTGGAATCTCAACCGGCCCCATCTTGAGATTGTTTGTGGCACTGTCTTGTAGGAATTCTCCTGTTGTTGCTTTTGGGTGGTTCCAGCTGCAGGTTTAGTGGAATATTCCTATTTTGCTGGCTTCACCCACATGAGTGAATGCGGGTGAAGCCCTCGGAGCAGTGCGTGGCATGTAGTCAACATGCCTTAACTGCGAACCACCTTGATGCTACCCAAGAAACGTCATCATGAGCAGAGCTTGCTGTTGCAAGTTCAGAGGAGTGATGACTTTTCTTATGAGGAATGTTTAGGCACTATTTTTGGCTGAATTGTGTCTTCCCAAAATATATATGTTGGAGTTCTAACCTCCAGCGCCTCAGAGTGTGACTGTGTTTGAAGATAGGATCCATAAGGAGGTAATTGAATTAAAATAGGGTCATTAGGGTAAGCCCTAATCTAAGATGACTGGTGCCCTTGTAAGAAGAGGTTAGGACACAGACATATATAGAAGAAATGTCACACGAGAACACGGGGAAAAGGTTGCTGCTGTATGCAAACTAAGGAGAGAGGTCTTGGAAGAAGCCAGCACAACTGGCATCTTGATCTCAGACCCCTAGCCTCTAGAACTGCAAGAAATTAAATTTTCATTGTTTAAGCCACTCAGTCTGTAAGATGTTGTTATGGCAGGCCTAGGAAACTAACACAAGCACCAAGGTTTCTGTTTTTTAATTCTCTTTTTGAGAAAAAAATAATACACAGTGAAGTGTACAAAACATAAATGTAGAGCTTTCTAAATATTATAAAGCTAAAGCACATATAACCACCTTCCAGGGTCTCCTTCCTTTATCTTCTTTTAAATGAACAATGCCATTTGTTTTTGTTTTTATTATCATTTAAAAAGTTTTCTGGCTGAGTGCAATGGCTCACACGTGTAATCCCAGCACTTTGGGAGGCTGAGGCTGGCGGATCACGAGATCAGGAGATCGAGACCATCCTGGCCAACATGGTGAAACACTGTCTCTACTAAAAATACAAAAATTAGCTGGGTGTGGTGGTGCGCGCCTGTAGTCCCAGCTACATGGAAGGCTGAGGCAGGAGAATCGCTTGACCCCAGGAGGTGGAGGTTGCAGTGAGCCGAGATCATGCCATTGCACTCCAGCCCGAGCGACAACAAGATTCCATCTCAAAAAAAAAAAAAAATTTCTTTTTTTTTTTTTTTTTCTTGATTGAGCTTTTATGATTAACCAGGCTGGAAACATAGACTTAAAAAAGAATAGCATTTGAATAAATAAAATAGAGATGTGTAACAAGAAAGGTTCTACTACTTTCACTTTCTTCCTTTTTAGGGTTCCTTGAATCCTTCATTGTGTGTGGTTATTGCTTGATCTTCATTTTGCAATCTACAATTAAGTTCTCTGAAAGTGCAGGGTAACAGGTAAAGAGGAAAGAAGCAAAGTTGAAGTTTCTGCCCGTCTCTATAATTCAGTTTCTAGAAAAAGATTCATAAACAACTATTAATTTTGAATCTGGCTTTATTCATTACATTCACAAGTTTCATGTACACTGTTGCATAGGCCTTTATTTTATTCATTTTCTTTGCTGTGTAAAATGCCATTTTATAAGTACAGTGTATTTATACATTCAACTATTAATGGACACTTATGTTTTTTCTGATCTGTGTTATTGATAATCAGATTTCAATAATTTTGTTCAAGCATGCATTCTGAGTGCACATGCGATCAGTTTTCTAGGGTATATACTTGGAAATGGGATTGATTGCCAGGTCACTAGATAAGGCCAAGAATTTTCCAAAATAGTTTTCTCAAGAGACACTCTCTTCTTCAGTGAGTTAAATGTTCCTCCCCAACAGTTGATATTGTTTTTTCTTTCTCTTTTAGCCATTTTGGTGGGGACATAATATCTCTCTCTGGTTTAATTTGCATTTCCCTGAGTAATAATGAGATTGAACACCTTTCTATGTTTTTATTAGCCATTTGAATTTTCTCTTTAATTAAATGTCCATTCACATCTTAATACTTCTCTTTTGTTTTTCATCTTTTATTGACTGATCATCTGCCTTTATAGATTCCAGAAACAAGTAACTCTTCAGTTATATGTGTTGCAAAAATGCTCTCCCTTTCTGTGGCTTACCTTTTTCATTCTTTAGTGATATATTTTAGTAATAGAAATTCTTACTTTTAATGCAGTTAGTCTTAACAATCTCTCTTTTGTTTGCATCGTGGTTAAGAAAGGATTCTCTGCCCTGAATCCATTAAGCTATTTCTCAAGATTGTCTTCCAAAAGTATTATTTTGATATCATTCACATTTAGGTTTTAGGGTGGATTGGAATTTTGTCCAGAAAAGTTTCACTCCTCTGCCCCTTCCCTTAAGGGTGCACAGACCTGACTGATAGAATGCAAGTGGGGGTGACATGAGCAAGGAAAGCTTTACATGTGCTTGTAGGGTGCTTCCTTGTCCCCAGCTTGGGTAGCAGGTGATGGAAGGAGGATGGCAGATGTATGAAACACAGCTGGAGTTGACCCACATCCTGGATACGAACCCAGCAACCTTAGCCAAGAGAAGCCACCACCACCACCTGTAGAACTGAGCTAGAAATGTATTACTGCTATTAGGCACTTAGTTTTATGGTGATTTGTTTGCTATGCTATTGTAGCAATAGCCAAGTGACAGCGCATCTGAATCCAGCACCAGGTAGATTGGGGCCTGTCAGGGACTCTACCCCTATAGTCCTTACAGGTCATCCAAGTCACCAATATTACAACTTCATCTCTTACTTTCCTCTTCCAGGATAGAAACTTGGCCCAAGATAAAGGCAACTCAATGCTAGGCTCACATGTCTGGGTTCTAGACCTTTGTTGAACTTGGCTTGGTAATTCCTCACCAACTTTTTAGCCTTGTGATGCCTAAGATGATTTTTAATAGGCTTTATTTTATAGAGCAGTTTTAGGTTTACAGCAAATTTGAAAGAAAAATATAAAGAGTTCCTATATACCCCTAGCCACCACATATGTATAGCCTACCTCATTATCAATATCCCCCACCAGAGCGAAATATTTGTTACAATTGATGAACTTACACTGATACATCATTATCACTCAAAGATGATAGTTTATATGAGGGTCCACTATTGGTGTGGTACATCATATGGATTTGGACAAATGTATAATGACATGTATCCACTTCCATAGAATCACACAGAGCAGTTTCGCTGCACTAATAATTTTCTTTGCTCTGTCCATCCATCCCTCCTGCCTCTTTAACCCTTGGCAACCACCTACTTTTCTGCTTTCTCCATAGTTTGGACATTTCCAGAATGTCATATAGTTGTAATCACACAGTAAGAAGTCTTCAGATTGACTTACTTCAGTAAGTAATATACATTCACATTTCCTCCATGCCTTTTCATGCTTGTTTGTTCATTTCTTTTCGATGTTGAATAATATTCCATTGTCTGCATGTACTACAGTTTATTTATCTATTCATTCACCTACTGAAGGTCATCTTGTTTGCTTTCAAATTTGAGCAATTATAAATAAGCTGCAATAAACATCTATGTGAAGATTTTTGTGTGAATGTAAGTTTTCAATTCTTTGGGGGTGAATGCATAGGAGTATGATTTTTGGATCTTATGGTAAGAATATGTTTAGTTTTGTAAAAATCTGCCAAATTGTCTTCAAAGTGGACTACCATTTTGTATTCCCACGAGCAATGAAGAATTCCCAGTGCTCCACATTCTCACCAGAATTTGGTGCTGTCAGTTTTTTAGATTTTGGTCATTCTGATAGGTGTGCGATGGTATCTCATTGTTTTAATTTGCATTTCCCTGATGATATATGATGTGGAGCATCTTTTTATAAGCTTATTTGCTTTCTCTATATCTTCTTTGGTGAGGCATCTGTTAAGGTCTTTGGCCCTTTTATTAATTGGGTTGCTTGCTTTCTTCTTGTTGATGAATTTTTAAATTCTAATTTCAAGCTTTCTTCATTGTTTTTATGGAGATTATTTATTTCAATTACCTAGCCCATTGCTACTAGAAGAGCAAATAAGGAGGAATAGCTCTTTCACTTGTTTTGGAAGAACATCTTAAAACAGATCCCTCAAAAAACTAACCATGTGGCCATCCATTGTTTTGTCATATATTTCTAATGGGACTCTGCCTCCCTTCTCTCTCAAATATTTTCACTCTGGTTATGCCAGAGAAATCCTTCTGGCATGTGAACATGTCATGATCTCTGCTCATTACAACCTCAACACTCCCACTACATATGGTTGAAGTCAGCTTTTGAGGCACATTGTTCACAACTTGTAGCTCTACAGTTTGCCCCTGAGCTATATTTCTAGCCTCATCCCACACAGGTTTTTTTTAGTGCATTCTTTATCCACCAAAACAATTACTTATACTGTCTCCTCCCACCCCCCACAGGAAACCAGGATACATTCTCAGATCTCTGTGCCATATAGTGATTCTACATCTGAAGTAAGTTCCCATCATTTTATAGTTGGTGAACTTCAAGGCTTAGTTTAAATATTGCATCACCTTTGAAGATCTCCCTTCATCTGAAGGCCAAATTTCCATTCCTTTTATCCACGTTGCATTGTGAACATTTGTTTTTATAAGTAGTGTTTTGTTTTGATTGCTATGGCCCATAGCTATTTTCCCCAGTTTGGTGGTCTAAAGAGGAAAAGAGAAATTGCAGAGAGAATTAAATGCAGTGAATTAGTTACACAAATAATGAAAGAGGTAAGGAACCTAAGAGAGGGTGATAAGGAACCCACAGATTAGCATCAGCGCGAGTCTGGAGTCACAGAGGTGAGCGGTGTCTGGGGGTTGAAACCTCCAGTGGAAGCTGAGCCCAAGATGGCCCTGTCCACTGGAGCTGGAGTTCAGGGCCTCCAGCTGCTGCCAGGGGTGTTAACTAAGGTGGGGAAGAAGGTGGGAGTGAGAACACTCTGACTTTCCCTTTGTCTCACTCTCCTGTCTAGTGAAGGTGAGCCTCCTGTCAAACTCAGCTGGACGTATACAGATGTGGAGGCAGATGAGTCTCCCTGTACCATATGAAAAAAAGGAAAGGGATGGATTAAAAACACAGGAGAACAGAGCAGGCACATTATCTCTGGTGGCATCTCCCAGGCATTCTATCATTCTTATTATGGAATTGGGGTCTAAAACAAGGTAAAATTCACATTCAGTAAAATGTAGCCACATTAAATGTGCAGATTGAACATTTTTATGTGTATATACAGCTATGCAGCCACCACCCAGATCAAGGTATTCGGTATATCTGTTATCCCACAAGGCCCCTCTTACTCTTTCCAAATCGAACACAGTCACCGGAAGTCAACATTCTTCTGGCTTCTATTTCTATAGACTCTTTTGCTTATTATTCAATATCACATAAATAGTGTCAAACAATGTGTGTATCACTTTGTCTGGTATCTTTGGTCTAATGAACAGTTTTTGAGACTCATCCAGATTGTCACATGTATCAATAACTTTTTTTATTGCTGTGTAGTATTCCATTGTCTGGATATAATACAACTTACTTCATTCCCCTTTTGATAGAAATTTGAATGAATTCTGGTTTTTAACTATCGTAAGTATAGCCACTGTGAAAATTGTTATACATCTATTTTGGTGGATGTTTCAGTTTGCATTCTCCAGAAACAAATGCTGAGATGAGGATAAGAATGCAGGAAGTTTATTATGAAAAGAAAAGGAGAAAAATGAACAAAAACAGAACTGGAAGTGGGGAAGTTTGGTATTATATCTTCCAAAAAGGCTTAAAAGAATCCATCAACAGAATCACCCAGGCCTTAAGTTTTCCTTATAAGAGGGTTTTAATTAAAAATAAAATTTCTTAATAGATATAATGCTATTGGTATTTATTAAATACTTTTTCCCTGTTTTAATAATGTTTTTTATAAATTTATCCCATTTCTGAAAATATTCAAGTACATTTTTATACAATTGTATATGATATTGTCTTATTATAATTTTAATATCTGTGGAATATATATGATGTCCCCCTTTTCATTCCTAATATTGGTAATTAATATTTTCTCTCTTTTTTTCTTGATGATTCCAAGGGCTTGTCAATTTAATGCATTTCTTCAGAGAATCATTTTTAGATAATGGCTACTTTTTAATAAATAAGTACTATCTAAATCTGAAATTTAAAAATGGTAGTATTATCTGATTTATAAATATTAGAGATTCATAACAAAAAATATGAAAAAACATTGGTGTGGAAGAGACATGAGATTGTTTCTATGCTTGATAACCATAGTCATAAAGCTTGATCTTTTGAAAGTACGTATTGTATTAATTTGAAAATAAAAATAATTATTCAATGAAATGATGAATCTTAATAGTATTTCCCTTATAGGCTGTTGTGAGAATTAAAGAAGATAAAGCATTCACAGTGCTTAGCATAATATAGGATTTCAATAAATCATAGCCATTTTATATGATATTTTTTACATAAACATAAAAACATTAATGCAAATCTACATATGAGAAAAATTTTACCTCCCAAACACATTACATAGTGTTTATTTGTCTTTGTTCTCTTTCAATTTTTACTCCTCCAGACACATAATTTTCACATAGCAAGAAAAATAATTTACATGTGTGTTTGTATTCTTAAACATCATATCAATTAAACTTTTCATGTCTCAATAGTTATGTTAGTCAGTGTTTTATCTCCCAGTTGACAAATGTGCCACAACTTATTCATAATTGTCCTATTGAAGAATATTTCCATATTTTTTGGCTATTGTAAATGGTGCTTCAATAAACACTTTTAAATATACAGTACTTTTGGCTTTAGGATAATTTTATTCATCTGAATTCTCAGAAGTGAAATGACTACTTCAAATGATATGACTGTACACATTGTCATTAATAATTAACTTCCATGTTTCTTTCCAAAACAGTTTTGACAATTTATATCACCAGTAATATCTGAATATATTGATTTCAGCAAAACTTTGACAGCATTGCCTGTCATCAGCATTTTAATTTTGTGTTAACTTTAGAAATTTGATAAAAATAATATGCTATATTCAAACCAGAAAATTGGCTAACATGGCTCAATGGACTAGATTATTATTATTATTAATATCTATAATTTCCTTGACATTAATTATCTTAAGGCATATTTATTTCTAGCACTTTTAGCGACGAATTGTAGAAGAAACACAAGTTATTTCCCATCCTAAAATTTCCTGGCCTACTTAATGGGAGGTCCCAAGCAGCTTAAAGGAGGTACATACCTTTGTGCATTATTTTTTCTCCCCTTTCCTTTCAGCAACTTTACTTTGTCTTGAACATAGGTCTTTTGTTTTCTCTAATTTCTGCTAGGTGGGTGTGTTACATCTGTCTATGAAGCTATCTACATATCCATCCAGATTTTTGAAAAGTCCACTTTTAAGGACAAGCTATTTTTCAGACACATCACAAACTGGTATAATCTTTCAAAAGAATTTTTTTTCCAAAACCAGAGAGTAAAAGAAAGACAAACAGTTCAAGTCATTTTATAAGGCCAATAAAACCTTCATAGCAAAGCTTGATGAAGACATTAAAAGAAAGGAAAATTATAGATCAGGATCTCATGAACATAAATACAAAGTTGTAGAGAAATCATTAGCAGTTTGAATCTTGAAAAATGTAAAAAGGATGACATGACAATAAAGTAAGGATTATTCCAAGAATGTAATATTTTAATATCAAAAAATTAGAAACAAAAAAGCAAAAATGTACAAAAATTATATAAATCTTAAAAGAGATGAACAGTGCATTTGATAAAACTATATGTGTTCATAATTAACACCCCTAAAAATGGGTGGAAAGAAGTATTTACACAATCTTAGAGTATCTTAAAGTAAATAAATCTAGAGCAAACATACTTCATATACTCAATAATTAAGTTGAAAATTTTCTCCTTGAAATAAAAAATGAGATAAGATACTTATAATCACAACTTTTATTCAGTATTTTACTGGAAGTCCTAGCCAATGTAATAAGGGAGGAAAATTAAATAAATTGTTTAGGATTGAAAAGGAAGCAATAAAATTCTTATTATGTGTAGGCAGCATGATTTTATACAGACAGAATATCCAAAGGAATCTATGAAGCAATTATTAGGATTAATAAATACACTTAGCAAACCCTCTGTATAAAAAGTTATTAGAAAAATTGATTGCATTTCATATATCAGAAAGACATGGAAAAGAAAAATTAAAAGATACCATTTATAGCAATATCACAAATCATCAAATGCTTAGCATGACAGTTTTTTGCTATTGACTCTTGGTTTTAAATTCATTTTTCCATTACGTGTACTTGGACTCTGTATGTCATATTCTGATTTGCCTTCTGACTTCTTCCTGTTACACCCATGCAAGTTGTCTATAAGTGGAGCCTTTTTCAATTTGAGGGGTATTCATTAAAGAATTGACAATATATTTGTTTGTTTAACCCTGTGAAAGCCAAAGAAAACATTTCTACGAGATGACATTTTCAGCAGTCTGGAATTTGCGATACCCAGGTAAAGCTCTTATTAAGTCTTAATTAGGCTAAGGCCATGTCCTCCTAAAGGAATATTTTGCCTCCGGACTTTCTTTTCCCATGAGCATCTTCCCCTCTATTACTGGTGTCACTATCTCCTAGCACATCCATGGAAACCAGTCATACCCCTGCCACGCGGCATTCAGGATGAAGCCTGAGCTCCTTAACTAGGCATCCAAGGCTTTTCAACATGTGATGCAAACCAACTCCCTCTCTCCCAACTCATCATCCCCTATCCCTTCCCACAGCTTGCTCCATATGTTGCAGAATACTTAGCATTCACTGAAAAACACTTTCTCATGCTTCTACTGCATTGTGATATCATTGCACAATTTCTTGTTTCTGGAGTGTCATTTCCTATCTTTCTACTTGTTATTCCTCTACTGTATTAATTAACTTTCAGGCTGCTATGAAGAAATATCGGAGACTGAGTAATTTATAAAACAAAGAGGTTTAACTGACTCACAGTTCCGCATGGCTGGGGAGGCCTCAGGAAACTTACAATCATGGTGGAAGGAGAAGAAAACATGTCCTTCTTCACATGGCAGCAGGAGAGAGAAGTGATGAGGGAATGGGGAAAAGCCCTGTATAAAACCATCAGATCCCATGAGAACTCACTCACTATTACAAGGACAGCATGGGGGAACTGCTCCCATGATCTAGTCACCTCCCAAAAGGTCCCTCCCCCAACACATGGGGACATGGGGATTACAATTTAATTTATAATTCAAGATGAGATTTGGGTGGGGACAAAGAGTCAGACCATATCACTTACCAAGTCTTCCTTGATGAGCATCCCTTACCAGCTATTGCAGAACTGTATCTTCATCCTCCATGATACTTTTCAAGTAAATCTTCTACAGCGCTTTCTGTACTGTCTATTGTTTACTTATGCCCTTATTTTGCTAGCTATATTCAGAGTTCCCTGAAGGTAAGGAACTGTGTCTTATTAATCATGCTATATTATTATTACTGTGATCTATAATAAATAAATACTGATTTATTGATTAAAATGAGAAATAACATCATTTTATGGATCCTGCTGGTCTGTTCTAAATAAATGAAACTAGGTATGTGTGTCTGTGTATGGGTGTGTGACTTTCTTAATCTTTTTGTAAGTAAAGAAGCTGGAGAGGGATGTTTCTTGGACTTTTTAATCTCAGTTCAGTTCATTTTCATGGAGGATGACCAAAAAAACCAATTTCAATTCAACATGTATCAGTGCTCTGTGGATCTAATTTTTGTTGTTCCAGAGTTTTACACCTTGCACCCCAAACTGAATTTCAGTTTTCTGGCACGTCTATCCCTTTGATATTCTTCTGTCCTCCTTCAGTTAGAGTTTACAAAGTTGTGTGGTTTTGATTCATTAATGGCTTGCTTTATGAAGGGGGCTTACTGTGTTCAAACTATTATTTTTTTTTTTCTTGGACTAACTTTCCAAGGTTTGGGAAAATTAAGCCAATACTTTAAGAATGAAAACTTCAGGCTTACTACATTTTCTCTCCTTTTGTATTTCCAATGTTAAAGAAAACTCTATATTCTCCCCACTCACCTAGAGAGTTTTCCTGTGTCAGAGGGCAATCAGTACTTAAGTCTGCCTCAAACAAATCAAGGTAGAGTCACAAGAAAAACTTTGACCAGGAAGAAAAAAAAAATGAGAGATCTAGTCCCATGAAATTCCCAATTCAAATGCAAATGAAGTACATTGGATCTGTCAGACCTCTTGGGTTCTAGGCCCAGCTCTGCCACCAATGTACTGTAAGGGACAAGTCAGAAAGCTCAAGTCCTTCATAAATAAAACAAACGTGTTGAATTCAGGATGTTACGTGCCTTTCTAATTTAAAATCCTACTATTTTATGATTTGCATCTCAGATAAATGTTTATATAAAAACTTTAATGTCAGTGTATTTGGAGAAGCCACTTGGATAGATTATAAGGAGCACAAAATATTGTATTCCTAAGATTTGAGTTTGATTCCTGACTGCTATCATCAAGATATGGAGCTTTGGACTGTCTACATAAACTCTCATATAAAATCAAGATAATACCTCTTGTCTTGCCTATCACATGAGGGACATTTAAGATTGAAAGGAGAAGTTGGAGGTGGTGGCCCATGTGTAGTCCCAGCTACTCAGGAGGCTGAGGCTGGAGCATTGCTTATGGCCAGGAGTTTGAGGCTGCAGTGTGCTATGATTACGTCTATGAATAGCTACTGCACTTAGCCTGGGCAACATAGTGAGATCCCATCTAAAAAAATGAAGGGAAAATAATGAACTCTTTAAGCCACACTGTGCTGCCTATGCCTACAATGACATACCTGGACTCTTGGCCTGGAACTGTCAGCCCCTATCAATCCAATCCTTGAGAGCACGGCTGCTCCTGTTTCTGGCTGTTTGCAGAGCATTTGTGTGGCAGCCAGGACAGCTGGGCCCTTAATAAATACTTTGGTTGATGCTGCCTTGCTGTGCCAACAGCCCAAATGGGCAATGTACAAGCTCAGGGACTTCCATATCACTTGGCAGCTGTTTGGAAAATCCGCCCCCTCCCATTTCAGAACTCAGGACATTTTTATAGCAATTCCTGGCAGGATGGCAATATTAAAAAAAAAAGAAATATGCCGCATCTCATTTCTCAAAAAACCACTTTGCCGTCACATCCTGTAATCCCTGCAATGCGTGGGCCTGGCAGTCAGCTGTGACTTTATGTTGCTGTGAAACTGGAAGCTTATAGAAGCTGCCTAATGATTTTTATTTTTCCCCTTTGTCAACCTACATAAAAATCAGATTAAGATTAAAACTGGCCAAGTCATATTCTCAAGCAATGTAAATAAAGTATTTATAAATAAATTAAATAGGTCTCGTCTCTCCCAAATTGAACTGGTCTTATTCTGAAGCTTAAGTTGTCAGCAGAAATGCCAATCTCACCTCATTCCCTGCTTGCACACCCAGAACCACTGGGACCTTTGCAGAACACACAAACAAGATAATCCAAGGTCATTATGGAATAATCTGCTACAATTTTCTTGAACACAGTAGGTCTGAACAAAATTTATTTTGTTCAGGTTCTACACAATGGTGGGAAAATAATGTGTACATTTAAAACTGTCTGTGGGGTCAGATTGTATTTCTGGCACTTACTAGCTGTGTCATCTTAGTAAAGTCAAACATCTGAGAGCATTTTCCGTGAAGTGTACTATGTCTACTAATGCTTAAGAGTCATTGGTTTTCTTCATGAGCAGAACGAACTTTGGAAATTGTATTGTTGACTCCATGGAGGCATCATGTGAGGACATAGAAAATGGGACTGTCTTAAGACACTGAAACAGAAAATAAAGCCCTTGTGAATTAAAGAAGTATGTGTATGTGTGTCTGTTCACACATGCACATTGTGGACTGTCGTTGAAAGGGAGAAAATAGATGGGTTTCTAGAAACACAAATTAAGGTAAATGAGAAATAACTCAACAGTAAAAAAGACTTTTAGGCTAAATAAATACAGAACTGATTTGCAAACATGTAGAGAGGATCATTCTACATGGATTCTTGAAGAATGAATTATTTCTAATAAAACAATTACTATCTTTGGTGGAGCTAATGGGTGAGATAGATCAGAGATGTGTAGGAAGGAAAAGTATTTTTTTAATTCAACAGGGCATTTGGAAAGTTTTTGTATAATATATTTTTGGAAAAAATTATATGGAGTAAATAGAAAAATAAATAGGATTTATACGCTTGGTCACAATGTAAAAGAAAAAAAGCAAATTTTAACATAATATTTACTCAGTGTTAGACACTGTTTTGAGAACCTTACTTGTGTCATCTCACTTATTTCTTAGTATGGTTGCATGACGTAGGTATTTCTATGATGTCATTTTACATGAGGTGACGCTGAGGTCCACAGTGGTTGTCAAGGTCATCCTGCGGATAAGGGCCAGAACTGGCATTTGAACCCAGGCCTCTCAAATTCATGACTTACATAGCTCTCCACTGCACCCTGATTCTCTCCCCATGTGGCATCCTTAATGGACCAAGTTACATGAGAGAATAGATGGGCTGAATTTTTGGCCCCTAGAATTCAAATCTTGAAGTCCTAACCATAGTAACTCAGAGAGTGACCTCATTGGTAGAGAGGGTCTTCACAGGAGGAATCAAGTTAAAATGAGGGCATTAGGTTGGGCCCCAATCCACACGACTGGTGTCCTTACAAAAAGGGGACAAAGGGACAAGAAGAATGCCACATGCAGATGAAGACAGAAATTGGGGTGATGTATCTGCAAGCCAAGGAACACCAAAAGTTGCCAGTAGACAAATAGAAGCTAGAGGATGAGCACAAAACAGATTATCCCACACAGCCCTCAGAAGGAACCACCCCCGCAAACACCTTGATTTTGGACTTCTGGCTTCAGAACTCTGAGATAATCAATTTCTCTTGTTTAAGCCTCCCAGTCTGTGGCACGTTGTTATGGCAGCCTTAGCAAAGTATCAGGTTGGTGCAAAAGTAATCATGGTTTTTGCCATTAAAAACTGTGATTACAGGCAGGCACAGTGGCTCACACCTGTAATCCCAGCACTTTGGGAGGCCGAGGCAGGTGGATCACCTGAGGTCAGGAGTTCGAGACCAGCCTGCCCAACATGGTGAAAGCCATCTCTACTAAAAACACAAAAATTAGCCAGCAGTGGCGGTACATGCCTGTAATCCCAGCTACTCAGTAGGCTGAGGTGGGAGAATTGCTTGAACCTGGGAGGTGGAGGTTGCAGTGAGCCAAGATTGTGTCACTGCGCTCCAAAGCCTGAGTGACTGAATGAGACTCTGTCTCAAAAATAAGTAAATAAATAAATAAAAATAAAATAAAAACAGTGATTACTTTTGCACCAACCTAATAATATACAGTAGACCTTCCTTATCCCCAGTTTTACTTTCTGCAATTTCACTTACCTGTGGTCAACTGCGGTCCAAAAATACTAAATAAAAAATTCCAGACACAAACAGTTTAACTCATAAGTTTTAAATTACATACTTTTCTGAGCAGCTTGATGAAATCTCAAGCTGTCTTGCTCTATCCCACCTAGGACATGCATCTACCCCTTTGTCCAGTGTCTCCACACTGTCTAAGCTTCGTGCCCACCGTGTCACTTGGTAGCCATCTCAGTTATCAGAGCCACTGTCACTTTATCACAGTGCTTGTGTGCAAGTAGTTCCTATTTTACTTAATAATGGCCCGAAGCACAAAAGTAGTGATGCCGACAATTTTGATATGTCAATGAGAAGCCATAAAGCATTTCCTTTAAGTAAAAAGTGAAAGTTATTGATGGAATAAAGAAAGAAAAAGATCAATTTCTGAGAGCACGAAGATCTATAGTAGGAGCAAATCTCTTATCCATGAAATTGTGAGGAAGAAAAAAGAAGTTTGGGCTAGTTTTGCTATTGCACCTCATACTCCAAATGTTACAGCCAGAGCACATGATAACTTTTTTTTCTTAGATGAAGTCTTGCTCTGTTGCCCAGGCTGGAGTGCAATGGCACAATCTCAGCCCACTGCAACCTCTGCCTCCTGGGTACAAGCGATTCTCTTGCCTCAGCCTCCTGAGTAGCTGGGACTACAGGCACACACTACCATGCCCAGCTAGTTTTTTCATTTTAAGTAGAGACGAGGTTTCACCATATTGGTCAGGCTGGTCTCGAACTCCTGACCTCAGGTGATCCACCCGCCTCGGCCCCCCAAAGTGCTGGAATTACAGGCATGAACCACCTTGCCCGGCCCTGATAACTTTTATTACAGTATGTTTTCATAATTGTTGTTTTTTATTAGTTATTGTTGTTAATTCTTACTGTGTCTAATTTATAAATTAAGCTTTCCCATAGGTTTGTATGTATAGGAAGAAACAGTATAAATAGGGTTTTGTATTATCCGAGGTTTTAGATATTCAGTAGGGGTCTGAAAATGTATCCCTCCTGGATAAGACTGGTCTACAGTGTAAGTGTCTAGGGGATCTTGAATCTCTTTCCCCACCCACATTGCTGCGAATATGTTGAATGAAGACACATGAGACTTGATGTTTCCCTATGGGTATGTGATGAAGCTGAGTGAAGCTGACCAGATGAAATCAAGTCAAGACAAAATCAACAATTGGATGGGAATTGAGAGAAATACAGATTAAAATATATAGGTATTTGCTCTGTAATAAGTACGCTACATCCAAAAGTAAAGTCAATGGCCCAAAAGTTAGCACATTTTTGTTTGTTCTCACAGAAAAATGGTGTCTGGACCAAGAAGGTGTCAATCCTACTTTGCTCTGTACTAAGGAGGCCACATCTACAGAGCTTATTCTCTTCCAGGGCCCCTTTCTGAGGTGTCTTGCTCAAGGTGAATATAAAGGACAGTACAGGGACTCAAGACAAGATGGACTCCTCCATTCATTTAATTATTCATTCAAGTTCATTCCTGCATTTGCTCATCAAAAATGTATTGAGTTCTTTCCAAAAACTGGGAGTACAAAGATGAATAAGATTGTTTCTACTCACAAAACATTTACAGCCCAGTGTGCAGCAAGCCTGGTTTGTTGTTACTCAGCCACTAATGCCACTTTCTTTCTTGCTAACTAGTTTTCATGGTTAGCAATATCCCCAGCTCATGATTCCTACCCCACAGCCAGAAGTGACTGGGGGACAATTTAAAATCTTCAGATAGCCTTGTGATTCCTTATACAAGGGATGAAGTAAGAAGACAGAAATCTGAGATCACTCCTTTCTTCTGCTTTTCACCTTGTTGGGGGCTATGATATCTGGAATTATGTAGATTCATTTTGGAATAATAAGGTTAAGAGAAGTAAGACAAACTTCACAAGCCATGAAAGGCAAAGAAGAAAGCTAGAACAACCTTGGTTATGGATGACAACGTTATGTTGCCACAATAACCCTGAGCTTGCCTACCTCTATCATGTTTGTTAAGTAAATAAATATACACTGGGCTTAAAGCAATGTTTGTTGGACTTTGTATCCTTGCAGCCGGAAGCACTCTTAGCAGATCCAGACTGTGAATGTAGGTGTATCACAGGTATTGGAAGAAGAGAGATGCTAGGGGCACATTCAGAATTCTATGGTGACTGGAGAAAAAGGACTGGCTCTGAGCTAGGTCCCAAAATAAAAATAGTAGAAACAACTCAATACGTACACTGGAAAAGTGAAAATTCAGATAGCCTGCAAGAGTTTTCATCCAATATAAGAAGGCATTTCATGCACAGGTGGTGTCTGACTTATTTTTCAGGTTCTCAGGAAATAAACTTGGATCAATGGGTGAATGAATGGAAGGGTGGTGGATACAATATCGAGAAATAAAGTGGACTCAAAATAAGAGAAGTGTCTCTAAAAGGTGGCCTTAAAACACAGTGTTTCTCTATCCTGAGTTGGCCAGGCACTACATGATGGAGATATGATGGAAGTAATTCAAGCACCTATTGGAGACTTAACTACAATTATTTTGAGAAATTCTGCATAGTAATACTGTATTCGTCCATTTTCACACTGCTATAAAGAACTACCTGAGACTGTGTAATTTACAAAGTAAAGAGGTTTAATTGACTCACAGTTCCAAATGGCTGGGGGTTGGGGGGCGCCTCAAGAAACTTACAATCACGGCAGAAGGCGAAGAGGAAGCAAGGCATCACTTACACGGTGGTGGAGAGAAAGAGAGCAAGGGGGGAACTGCCAAACTCTTTAAAACCATTAGATCTAGTGCGAACTCACTCACTGTCAGTAGAACAGCATGGGGGCAACTGCCCCCACTATCCAATCACCTCCTACCAGTTCCCTCCCTCTACACATGGGGATTACAATTTGAGATGAAATTTGGGTGGGGACACAGAGCCAAACAATATCAGGGATAAAGGATTTGGTCTTTGTCAGTTGCTAAGAATTAACTACTTATCCCTGCAAATGATTGCACTAATTTCATTAGATATACTCTCTGCAGCAGCAGAATCACATTTTCAGGGAGAAAGCTAAAAACAACAACAATAGCAAAAAAAAAAAAAAAAAAAAAAAAAAAAACGATATCCAGATGTTGAGACACTGCACTGTTTTGCTGCAAGGCAGTTCATATTTTTGTTATATATTTCATTCTGTCTACATGAAAGTGTGTGTGTATGAAGGTAGAAGGTGATTCAGGCTTATGATCTCGATGTGGACTATAATTTTCATAAAGCTTTTAAATTGTTTTATTTGAACTAAAGGAAACACTGAGCTGAAACACATTTCTTTTATATTCAGTTATGGCATAGGACTATCTCTCTGAAGGCTTCTCACACAAAGCATTTTATTCAAAGAGCTGAAAGGTGACAGGTGCAAACAAATTACTTTTGGGAAAAAAAAAAAAGAAAAAGAAAGTGAACCTCCAAGTCAATAGAAGTGTAGCTCATAGGAAGAGTTCTACTTTATTTTTGTGGTGATTGTTGTTCATATAATAACATTTGCCATTGCTATGATTTTATACCAGAATTAGAAGGAGAAACAATATCACTTTTTTCAGTCACCTGGTCACTAAAATCTGGCCTTTAAATCCATAAAAACGTGAACTGGGAGCATTTACAACTGTCACAGTATTCATCAAAAGCACCTGCCAAGCTCTTTCTGTTTATCCATAAATTATACATACATTGTGTTTGTGCGACATTGAATTTTCTGGAGTGGAGCACCCCTAGAAGCACTTTTGACACTTGAATAAAATACCTTTGATCAGTGCAGAATACTTTGCTGGCAAGAAAGGAAAATGGGGAAAAGATGAAGAGATGCTTCTATGATTTGTCTAAGCAAAGGGAAGACAGGGACACTATCTTTCTAATTATTAACAGAGCAGAAGGACTGATCACAAAGAGGAGACAATGCATACAGTGAATGTGGGCTTTCCAGCAACTTATCACGGGAAAAAAAAAATTACACAGTATCATTTCTGCAAACCCAACCTGTCTCTCAGCAATAGGAAAAGTAGGAGAGAAGACCAGGAAAATTAATAGGGAGCCAAAAATTGTCCTCAAAGTACTGCAAAGCACCACACAATAATATGAACCATAGTGAATTGGTAAATTGTCATAAAAACAGAAAACTCTTCTATGCTAAAAATATTCTTTTAGATTGATTTAGTGACTTTTGTAATGAGAGCTCCTGGTAGCAAGCAACCAATTGCTACACTGGCTGTTTTGCAGAAAGAACATTGACAACTCTGGTATCAGTTTCCATGGCATGTGACAGGGTGCACCTCTCACTAAGATGCTAGACATAAAACTCATATGAGCCATTGGTTCAAATCACAGTCCTGCCTCTAATGAACTGAGGGGCAGCTGGCACATCTTCTAATCTTTCTAACCCTTATTCCCCTCTTCTGTAATATGGTGACAATAACTTCTTTGCTATGAATATCATTACCTGAAGTAACATTTATTTTTCAGTTATAAAATAGGTGCTTAGCAAGTATTCCTTCCTTTCTTTTCCATTAGAAATGCTGTGAGTTTAGCATCATAGTAATTAATTTGGGTTTATCGTAGGCTACTTCGTTTACTCTACAGAGTATAGTAATGCCCATCTTCAATTTATAGTATCTGTGACCCCTACTTTCAACAATGTTGGTTAAGAGGCAGATGGCCTAGGTTTGAATCCCAGCTCTAATACTTGAACAAGTTTTGCTTGCTTGTGTCACTTTGGGCAAACTTAACCTTTCTGCGCCTCCATTCTCTCATCTGTAAAATGGGAATGAGTACTTTCTTCATAGAGCTGTTAGGATTCTGTAACTTAATACCTGTGATGGCAGTGTCTGCAGCAGGGAGGTGTGGCTGGGGCTGCACACTCCATGCAGCTGCCTGTGTGCTGCCACAGCTACCCAAACCATGGCTGCAGACCCAGGCCTCCTGCTCAATGGAAAGGCAGGAGTCCCACCCTCTTGGGAGGAGCTATAGCCACCCAAACTGCAGCTGCGAATCTAAGCTCCCCTGTGCTCTTGCGGGGGACCTGGAGCAGGCAGGATCTGCTTTCTTGGGTGCAGCTGCAAGACACCTGACCTGTGGTTGCAGACCTGGGCCTGCTGCCCCATGGAGCAGGTGGGAGTCGGAACAAGCAAGAACCCTTCCCCTTCTGAGTTGTTGGGGCAGGAGCTCTCTGGGTGCAGCTGTGGCCACCCTCCCAGAAGCAGTGTGACCTGCCTGCTCCCAATTCACCTTCCTCCATGATTGCAAGCTTCCTGAGGCCTCCCCAGAAGCTGAGCAGATGTCAGCACAGTGCTTCCTGTAAAACCTACAGAACTGTGATCCAATTAAGCCTTTTGTTAAAAAAAAAATTACCTAGTGTCAGGTATTTCTTTATAGCAATGTGAGAATGGCCTAACAATCTTACAAAGAAGGGAGATTTATTTCAAACTGAAAGATTAAGGACAACTTCTCCCAGAAAGAGGACAGATGGATAAAGAAAAATTAACTTCCAAAGCCAAACTGTTTGCTGCAGACTAAAATCACTCTGAGCTATTATGACAGTCACAGAAGCCTTCTTGGAGGAGGTGGCATATTTCTTGAATGATGAAAGATAAGAAGGAGTTGTAATGATAGAGAGGTCTATGACGTTGGACATTTAAGACTCTGAGTAATGATCCGTCAGCTCTCTTTGACACCCAACCCTGCCACTTCAGATGTTTTGGGCAAGTCACTTTCACACTGATAAGCCTCTTTCCCACTTTTATCAAGGGGGTAACACCACCTGCCTCACAGGGTTGTGTTGAGCACTTCTGGGCGGTCAAAATGAGAAAACATATGTAAGAATACCTGGTTTGTCCAGTCTCTGTTTCCCAGCCACCATTTCTAAATCATTCTCCTGGCGGGGAGCAAGTTCTCTCCAGCATGTAGTTATCAGCCTCAGAGAGGACTCAGATCACATCAAATTCTTTATGTGGTCAATAAACAAAATAAAATTGCCCATTATCCTACATATACCAGAAGAACAAAGAATACATTGTTAAGTTTACCTTGTTCTCCTATTACTATGTTTTTCTTATGCAATGACCACTGAGCTGTGTAACTACTGATGATTATAGAACAGACAATAAAGCTTATTAGTGTAACAGCCTGTGAGGAACAGCAGGAGAAAAAGGTCGACACTAAATGCTCTAACAGTATCCCTGGGATTGTAATTTCAAAATTAGGCCATTGAAGGTGAGAGTCAGTTCTATTGTGCTTTGATTGGCAGAGTATTTAACGCTAGGCTCAGAAGAGATATGATGAAGAAACAATTCATTTTAATATATAGTAGGATCACATGAAAAATATCTGGAGTGTTGAGGGAAAAAAACCTCAAAATGATGTTCTAAAATATAATTGTCTCGCATGAGACCTAGGCGCCCCTGCTGGTGAAAGAGGAGAAACGTGGGTGGTGTGACCAGACATGGTGGAGGCAGACATTACAATTTCCAGGGTGGCTATTGTAGGACAGGCATGCTAGGCCCTGGAACTGGGGAGATGAGCATAATCTCAGCTATTAAACATAATGTGATCATTGCTCCAACAGAGGGGGTGCAGAGAAAGGAGTGTTTAAGACCTGAACGTTTAGTCCAAGGTTCCAGGCTCACCAAGACTTCCATGGATAAGCTGCAAATGGTGGACGTGTCTATAGCTGGAGTGAATATCACCCTCCAAACTCAGGTTTGCAAAAATAGCCCTATTACTAACTTTTTTTTTTATAAAATCAAATAAAACCGATACTGTAAAGTTGATGGAAATGTCTGCTAGTCATCTGATCAACCCCTTACTGGGCATCATGAAATTCCCAGCTACTCTCATAGGGATCTACATACTGAGGAAGGTCTCTGTGCCTTCAGATCTTTGGCTTACACAGGTCACTGCAAATATGCTCACTGTCCAAAGCCTGAACTTCTTTTCAAGGTTGTGTTTCTTTTGCTTCTGTGCCAAGCGTGGGCACTGGGGTTTTTCCCGAAGGTGAGAACTGCTAATACAGCTCTACCTCCCTCGTGAACCAGACCACATTACCCTCTGAAGTTCCTATTTCTTCCAAGATCCCACAACTTATGGGACTATAATTCCATGAAGAGGGTGGCTTGTAAATTTCTCCCACCTGCAGAATCAACTTTTTCCAATTCAAGCCCTCCACGTGAACTTTTATGTATGTCACCTTGTGCACAGGTTCAAAAGCTTTTGGATTTACATCTTGGTAGATATCTGTTAGAGTCGATCAAACCCACATCTTAAATTGATGAGATATTAGTACAGTGCTCTCAAAGGCAGTTGCCTGAGTCTACCATTTTCATTCAGTGTGTGATTTTTCCCATTCTCTAGCATTCTTGACAATGCTGGCTGTCATCAGAATTTGTAAGATTTCTATCCAATTGGAAGGTGTATGAAGTGGCTTTCTTGGTGTGATTCTGATTTTTATTTCCCTGATTAGCAGAAAGGTTGAATATTTTTTCATGAATTTGCTTCCTGGCTGTTCAGAAGTATCTTTTCTATACTGTGAAAATTAATTATTCTATTATTTTTTGTTGTTAACATTTTCATGAGAATTTGTAAAAACTCTTTATAAATTTAGAAAACTAACAATTTGGTAGTTATAGGAATCAGCAATTACTTCCCTCAGTCTTTAATTAAACTGAAAGTTTTAAAGTAGAAAAATTCCTTTGTGATTTGCGTTCTTTGAGTCTTTTAAAATAGATCTTTTTCTACCCTGAGGTCTTCAAGATTTCCTCCCACATTTGCTTCTATAAGTATTAACACATTGGATCTTTAAAAAATATGTCTGGTATTGATTTTTATTTATGGTGTGAGATAAGGAATTAATGATCTTTCTTCCACTGCCAGCACAATCAATTGACTATGATGTTTTCATCATATAGTACCTTATCATCTAGAAAATATAGATGGAGAGCTGCTTTACTGATCACTCTTCATTTCTGTCCATTCATTTGTCTGCAAGTATCCATTTGTTTTGGATAGTATGATTTTGAAAAATCATATCTCATAGGACATTTCTTCTTCTCTCATTCTTTGCATCAAACCTATTACAGGCTTTGTGGAACTATATTATTACATAAATAATAGTAATGACTTGATCATTTCCATTAAAAACTCGTTGAAGTTGTATTGCATTTATAATTAATTTAAGAGAACTGACATTTTAAAATATTGAATCTTTACTTTCATGGACATTTTAATAGCTCTCCATTGAATGATGTATTTTTAACATCATTCAGTAATATTTTATAATTTCTCTGTAAGGTTATTTTATATTTTTATTAAATTTGTCACTGAGAACCTTATGATTTGTTGTTATAGTGAATGAGTTGTTTTCATTACAAATTTCTAAATAATTATGATAGGGTATAAAATGCTACTCATTTTCATATGCTAAACTTATTTACAACAACCTAGTAATCTTTTTAGTTTTAGTAGTTTGTTTGTAGCTTTGCCTGCATTTTTATATATCCCTTCATTTCCAATTCTTATATTCATAGTTCTTTTTCCTCTTTGTTTTAGAGAAGAGACCCAATACTAAATATGTGGTGATTGCCAAAATTCTTGTTCCATTAATTTAAATGCTTCTAAATTTTATCATCATGCACAATCTTTGCTAAAAGTCTTCAATCGATGTTAATTTACAACACTCTTTTATAGACTTAATATTCTAAAACCTTTGTTTTTAAAAAATAAAGCTTGATTTTTCCAAATATTTCTCTGCGTCTATTTAGATTACATACTTTTTCTCTAGCTTATTTCCTGATGTTGAGCCATCCTTGAATTTCTAAGATAAACTATACTTGGTCAGGGAGCATTCATTTGTATTTGCTGGGTTTAGTGTGCTATAATTTTTTCAGGATTTTACATTATAATTCATTAGGTAAATGAATTTATCATTTTTCTTTCTGAAATGTCCTTGTGTGATTTAGAGATCAAGATTATACTAACTAGATTGAGTTTGGGATTTCTCCTAAGACTTGCCTGTAGCACCTTGCTATCTTTTTATTTGGCAGAGAAGGACTTTTGTTACTGATTCAACTTATTGAATCTCATTTGGATTACTCAGATTTTCTATTTCTTCTTAAGTCTATTATGAAATGTCTCAACCTTGTCAATGTTCACATTTTGGGCTGAATAATTCTTTATTGTTTAGGGCTGTCTGTGTGCACCGTAGGTTGTTTGGTGGTACACCTGGACTCTACCCACTAGATGCCAGTAACACCTTCATATTCCTACCCAAGTGGTGACAACCACAAATTTCTCCAGATAATTGCCAAATGTCCCCTGGGGACAAAATTGCCCCTGATTGGGAACCACAGGTATGACCCAAATAATGATAGCATTTATCTGTTAGGATTGATTTGAGAATTTGAAGACATGTAAATTGATCAAATTATTTTCTGATACATCAAAAATATTTAATACAAGTTAGTATTTTCTATTGTAATTAGTTTTTCAAGACTGAGTTATCAAGGTTGGTCCTCTGGATGAGAAGAATGGTAGTCTCCCCATTGTTTGAAAGTCACTTAAATTATTGACACCTTTTTTGCCTGGCAGATGACAAAAATGAGAACCCAGTTTGTGTTTTATCAGTATTTTTTTTATATTTATATGCATGAAGTACATACAGCTTATGATTCAAAGTGGTCAAAGCTGTAAACAGTCAGAGTATACTCAATTAATTGGCCTGGGAAGGATTCTTCCAAGGGCTAACTCTTAACAGAGAAAACGTGGACTTTCAGAAATGTAAATTCTGCTATGGGATCCTGAGAATGTGACTCGTTGTATTGGAAGGACAAATGCAAAAATTAAAGGTCGTCATAGAAATCCTTGTCTATTAAGGGTGCTGTCAGATAAATTCATAACTGCTAAGGCAATGCCAACTGCATCACTGTCCATTTTATCATTGTGCTGTATTTTTATAAATCTCTGTGAAATATAGTTTCTTTTCAACATAGGGCTGGTTTACAAAAATTTGGGGTTATGGACACAACCTTATGGGATGGGAGGACACATGGTATAAAGTAAATACCATAGTCCTTGCACAAGGTTTTAATTTATGCCCTGTCACTTGTCTGGAACTTTGGGAAAGTACTGAAACTTTATGGTCTTCCATTTGCCCAGTTGTGCCAAGGGGCAAGAATTGAAATGTTTTTACTTCTGAAAATTCTGTTTGTCTGAAGGCATAATCAGAAAGGATAACATCTGTCTGTCACAGTGGATAAAATAAGATAATTTGGAGGGTGCTCCCCAGCGCTAGTGTCTTTAAGAAAGATTATGGAAGCCAGTGACCTGGAAGTCATCTGGCTTTGTTGCATCCTGGCTGTGTGACCTTGGTCAGCTTAACCTGTCTGTGTACTACCTTCAGCTCTGTCCCGTGGAGGCACTCTTAGTTTCTAGCCTCCAGTGCTACCATGAAGATCCAGTAGTGTCAGTTATAGAAGTCCTTAGAATGGTGTCTCACAAATGTAAGTGTTCAACCTATTAGCTTCAATCATTATAATTATTGTTGTTCTTACTGTTGGCAACTGTGAGGCCCCTTTGCTTCCACTGCACACTCGGGGGGTGTGGAGCATGCATTTTTAACAATTACAAATTGCCTGTACTCTTCAAGGCATGTCACACTATTAAGAGCCTTTACTCTGATTCCAATTTTGAGCAACCTGTTTTCCCAACATTCAGTGGCCATTGTGTGCTTTCCCTTTGAAAGCTAAATAACAGACATCAGCGTCTAAAAGATTCAGAAAAACAGAGGCACTTTAAGTTCCCAGTTTTATGAGCTTCCATCAGTGTGACAAAAGTAGCTCCCAGATTTCCATTCTGTTCTCTGTTCCCTTCCCCAGCAGGGGTTGGGGCAACTGCTGGAGCAGGGAGCCAGCAGAGCTATACGCTGTCACCCATCGAAAGATGGATCGCTCTCTTTTGTGCTCTGAAAGCTCAGGTT
Source organism: Homo sapiens (assembly GCF_000001405.40). Taxonomy (NCBI): domain Eukaryota; kingdom Metazoa; phylum Chordata; class Mammalia; order Primates; family Hominidae; genus Homo; species Homo sapiens. Next base: position 11,223,453 of record NC_000004.12, read on the forward strand.
GTCTGCCTCCCGGATGGGTCAAGCAGGCTCCGCCAGCTTCCAGGGTTTAGAACAAAGACTACATGTCACACAGGAAGAATCATAGAGAGCTCTGATGTGGAAACCTGAGATCTACAGCCTTTTGAGAGGAACTCAGCATGGAAACCCCATAGTGTCCTATGGGAAGCAGAGACAGCGCCAAGCTGAACCCAACTGGGATTTCATGAATGAGGCGGCTTCCTCTTCTCGCCTGCTGTGGCTCGCAGCTGGCAGAGTTCCTGGGCTCTGGGTAAACAGGACTGTCTTGAAAAAGCTTCTGTGAGATAGGTGATGATCAATGGACTGCTTCAGAACTTCAAGAGCGTTGGTCAGATATCTGTACGTCTTTCTAGGGTAATTTCCTAACAATATTTTTAGCTTGCTAGGGAAGATGGTGATGCTTAAATAAGAGGCACTGATTTGCACAAAGGACATTTCTAATGGAAAGTTATTCAACAAGTTCGTGTAAGGAAAATGGATCTGTATACCCATAACAAAAAGGCTTTTCCTATTCCCTTATCTTTAGACGTTTCCTAGGAAATGCACTTGCATGGTATGGAGTAGTGAAAACAGTCCAGGATGGAACACCTCGGTCCTATTATATGTTCGGCCATAAATGATGTGACCTGGCGGAGTTTTTTCTTAACCCAGTGTCTCTCTCTGTACAGAGGTGATATTTATGCAATGGCTGTCACAACGTGGACTCAAAACCCAAACAAGGGAACGGATGTGAGATGCGTAAAAGCATATTAGCCCCTCCCATTTACAATTTATAATGACAATCCTAGACAGCTATATGCTAATAGCTTGGTACTGACATTTGGAACCTAAAAATGAAGCAGATAACTTGCTTCCCAACTTTTGACTTCTGTCTTGATGCCCCCCTCCCCATGAAATTGACATTACGGTCTTCAGTGCCATAATGTTCTGAAATGGCCATGTTGGCGTTATGCAGTGGGCTTATTTCCATAAAGTTTTATGACAGATTCAAGGCATTTATGGGTTCACTTTGCTATGACAAGCAGTTTTTATACATGATTAGAATTTTCAATAATTTATTCCTTGGCAAATTCTTTGCAGGGCCCCTCCTTCCCTCACACCTTGGCTTGATATCTCTACATACGTTTGTTTACTCAGGTGATGGATGCAAATCTTTAATAGGTTTGGTAAACAGTTTTTTTTTTTTTCCAGAATTAAAATTCCTGCTCATAAAGAAGAATATTTCTGAAAAGACCTGAGGCAAGTTACCCAACCAAATCCTCCCTATTCTTAACACATTTCTTAATGTGGTTAAATGTTGTTCCAGTCTTTGTATTTAGAGTATTGCCAAGCCCCTAATTTTGTGACTGGTCTTCTTAAGTGCTCCTTTGGGAAGGATCCAGTTATTCTTTCTTCTCCTCCACTTCCTCTGAGAGTGTGAAGTCTGCTTGTCTGCTAAACCCCTGCTACTATGCACGTTACTCAGAATAGATCAGAGAATATTTACTTAGTCGATTTTTCCTGAAGGGACAGAGACACTAACTTGTTAAACTTTGTGTCCTTAGCATAGTACCTGGCACATAAAGGCACATAAAGGGGACCGTTAAATATTTGCTGAATGAATTAATGACTGAATAAGTGATTGCTAGCTCCATTTATCTGATTACTCAGTGTGTCAGTTTGAGTCCATGGAGAGGCAGATGCCAAGGCAGAATTGTATGCAGAAGGGATTTACTGGGGGAGATTTGTGAATGACAAAGGGTGAAGGATCACCAGTAAGTGGGGAGAGCAATGGTCAGACCACATCAATGGTCACATATTTGTGAAAGGAAATGGGAAGGAAGGATTCGGTGGGAAGAGCCTCAGTCCACTGGACAGGGGTCTGAGAAAGTGAGTCCAGCTGATGCAAGCCCCTGAGTGGAAGGTCCTCAAAAGTGTCCTGCACGAGGAGAAATGGGCCAGAACCAGCATCACTGTCAGGTTCAGTCATTGGCAGGGATGAATCTGAAGGGAGCTTCGTTTCAGCATTCACAGCGGCTGCAGCTGGGTGGCCTGTTGGTCACCCACACTCCTGCAGCTGGGGCTCCTGGAGGCAGATCCAGCAGGGGACGTCCACAGCCACAGAAGTACATCCCGGTGGAGCACAGACCCACTTCTCCATGTGGGTTCCTAAGTCCCTCCTCTAGCTGGGGCAGTTTAGACTTGTGTCCAGTAGTTCCTGAAATGCGTGGGTGTTTCCCTTCCCCCAGGACACAATCTCCCTACAGATGGCTATAGGTACCTTGGGAGGGGACTGGAGAAATACTACAGGGTGTACTGGCTGCAGTGCTGCAGAGTCCTTGTTCCTAGCAAATTGGTTACCTCTTCACTCCATGGGCTGGTTTTACAGTTGGTCTCAGGGCCTGGGACTGAGCCAGGGATCATGGCATTTTATTAGACTGACCGCTTCCATTTCCTCCTCCTCTCTTCTTGCTTTTTTGTTGTTGTTATTTGCATATAGATGCCAATAGCATTCTTGTTAACTGACCACCTATTTTACTCCGAGGGACATCATATTCTATTAACTATTCCCACTACTGCAGATCAAATCCCCTTGGTTGCCCCTATGATCTTGACCATCATTACAGTAATCACATCCCCTGGCTTCTGGCTAGTAAATGCTACCACCTGCATCTCTTACTTCAAGGCTCCATCATCCCCAGGACATTAACAAGCCCATCTGAGATCACCCCTCCAACTCTCAGCCTTGGCCTACAGAGGAGAGCCACCGCTTGATGTCTTAGTGAAGTTCTTAGTAGTGTATCCTTGATGTCCTTAGCAAATGGTGTTTCCCCTGATTTCCTCTGGAATATAATATGTGGTGGGTCTTATGGCCTCATATAATACATTGATTCATCAGGCCCATCCCTCCAGCCCCTTTATTTCTTCTTCCACCACCCTCCAAGGCAACTCAAACATTTCCACTTTGCTTAACTTGGGCCAACTTAGTTATGTTTGTGCCATATCCCCTGGGGTCCATGCCAGGGCGTTAAATCCCATATCCTAAAAGTGTGCCACCAATTCAAAACTTTGTACATATCCAGGCTTAAGTTCGGGCCTTCTGTTGAAGTATTCTCCAAATACAACCCTAGTGGCATCCATCTGACTCCTGCTGGTGCACGCAGGGTAATTCTTATAGCTGCTTTGGCATGTGCTCTCTCTCCTCCCATGTCAGACTGAGCACGTCCCAGTTGACTTATATTAGGGTTTAACCCTAGTTATCAATCAGGTTGCAGGGGAAGGGAGTGGGGGTATCCACTGGAGGTAGGAGGCACCTGCCTTGAGGTCTATGCAACGTAGTCTAGCCCAGCAGAAGTGCTAGCTCTTATTGAAAATGACAAGTGAGTCATACGCTGTGAGGGTCCAGAGGGTTTTGAACCTTAGACCCTTAAGATTTCCACTTACATGTTCCTTTTCCACATTTCAGGGACCAAGGTTTTTGCTTCCAAGGCCCTAAGCTTAGCATAACAGACCTGTCTTGGCTCAGCATTTAACTGTCTATGGAACGGTGTGACTCTGTCAAGTCCTGAATTTGCTTTTCTATTGCAGGAAATAAGAGCCTCTCTATACACCATCTAAGTGCTCCTTTGGCTCTACACTCTCCTTTTTATAATATATTTTAATCCCTCAATAGGGCATTTACACAACTTAACTATAACCAGCTGATTCTACCCTTCTTATAAGCATGGTGTATGCCATATGTTCCCAATACCTGAACATTACATTTGCAAATGGGGTCCCTCCATCAAGATATTGTCCTAAAACACTACCAATGAAATATTCAGGAACTAGGATGCCATATTATGCTAGGGTCTATCTGTGCTGCATATCTGTATGGATGGCATGGTCTTAGCCAGCCAGTCAGTCACACAGGCGGTAACCAATCCCCATCTCACCGGCTGCTTTCTCAGATCGTTTCTGATTTACAGGTTAGTTCATGTTCCCTGAGAAATGGAAACTGAGACAGGACTGTGAGATTTATTGTTTGAAACACCTGTGAAGGGGCAAAGGGAAGTAAGCCAGAAGGGCAGGGAGAACGTTCAGACTGTGATGCAGGTCTGGCACCTATGATGAGAGAGGGAGCAGGAAGAAGACTGCATAAGAGGAGTCTCAGATTGTAGCACTGGTCTATGAATGCTTTGCCAAGGCAAATGGCAAGTTGTCCAGCCAGTGTCACCATTGGAGGTATCCGACATTCCATGAGCCAGAACTACAGTCTCCACTCTATTTGCCCCAGTCATTGGCTCTGAGCAGCTCTGGGGAAGCCTGCCCTCGGCACACACATGGTGGAGGAGCGAAAGGTGTACCAGCCAAGGCTGTCATTCAGCTACTTCTTCCCCAAGCAAATGACCTGAACAGCACATTGTCATGGCTTCCTCATTTACTCCTTGGGATGGACATTTTATAAAATGTGGTGGGAAGATCCTCTTTCCAAAATTGTGTCAGAGTCAAACAACATGATCAGAGGAAAAGCTGCTTTTTGTCCTGCCACAAAAAGTTCCAATCCTATTGGTGCATCTCAAGAATGTCATCATCCTACACACTGGAGAGCAGCACCTGGCCCAAGGAGCCTATTTGTAAGGCCTGTAATTATGCAAGCACATTGTATTTATCTATTTTATGCATGATGAGACTGAGTAATGGGAAGGGAGGAGAGCAGGACACATGCAGAAGTACGACATGTTTTTATGTAGATGTCAAAGCCATGTTTGGCTATTGGCTATTCATGTGGAAGTGGTGGGAGTTTATTGTAAGACCTGTTAAATAAGAGAGACATTGTATTCCTTCTCTACTTACAGCTCATCATTAACTAGCTAAGAAGATTCAAGGAAGCAAAAGTGCTACTTGTTAAAAACCTATTTTGTGCCAGGGATATCATTAGATAATTTTTCAAGTATTTTTGCTTTGAAATATCATAAGGTATCATAAGAGGTACATGTTAGCATCATTCAACAAATGAAGAAATAGAGATGAAAAGAGATGAAGTGACCTATCTGAACTCCCCTACCATGTAAATGGCAATACACAAGGAATTAAACAGCTTAGTTTTCACTAGTGTTTATATTACATGGAATTTGTATATGCATAATGTGGTCAGTTACTTGCAATCATGAAGTATTAAAACATACCGAAATATCAGCAATCATTTTATCTATCAGGAGTTGGCAAACTTTTTCAGTAAAGGGCCATGCAGTAAATATTTTAGCCTCTGTGGAACTGACAGTCTCTGTCATAACTACCCAACTCTGATGTTGTAATGCAAAGACAGCCACAGACAAAAATGTAGATGAATAGATATGGCTGTGTTCCAAAAACAACTGTATTTACACAACTAGGCAGCAGGCTGGTTGGCTCAAGGGCCATAGTTTGCTTACCTCTGCTTTAGATTAAAAAGTAAATAAAACTAAAACTAAATCCACTATGGTTCAGCAAGTTTAAATAACTTGTCCATGATCACATTTATTAGAAATTACTTGCAAAGCCAATACTAAAATCGGGGTTTTCCTCCCAGAGTATGAGGATTTCACTGCACCAAACTTTTCATCTAGGATTTTCAATTCTGTGGTAGGAAAGCAGATACTTGAGGAGAAAGAGGAAAAAGAGACGAGAGTAAAAAGCAGGGTATAGAGCCTTGAATGCCACACTAAGAAGGCATTGGAGACACACTGCAGGTTTACAGCAGTTTGGCAATGATTGATTGGGAATGTTCGAAGCCAGACATAGAAGGATACATTCTAGATGTGTCTGCAGCAGTGTGGATGGTGACCCCGAATAGTGAGCAGTCAGAAGGGACTGTGTGGTGGCTTAATGCAGTAGGATACAGATGGCATAGCAGGGGAAGAAACTGTGGATATTGCTGACTGATTGGGGGCAGGGATACAGGGTTTGCCTGGAGAGGGGTAAGCAGCAGGATGGGCACAGTGGAGAGAGAGAACTGTGGCCACTTGTCTGCATGACAGATACAATGGCAGCTCCATGAACAAAACAGAAAATTAAAAGTTGCTGAGCTGGAGGAAAACTACATGGCTGCTTTCTTGTGTTATCCTCATGTGGGCCAAGAGAAAAATATCTTTCTCTTGTTTCTTTTTATAAGAGCGCTGATTCCATTCCTGTGAGCACGACCCTCATGAACTAATTATCTTCCTGAGCCCCACCTCCTAATACCATCCCACTGAAGGATAAGATTTCAACACGCAAACCTTGGAGAGACACAAACAGTCCGTAGCAGCTGGGATCCACACCCACGCAGTCTAATCGAAGAGCCTGCAGGCCCTCCTTATATATTTTTTTTCTTGTATTGAGTGTTTCACATTTCATTCTTTGACGGGATCAATTACAGTACATTTCAGACAGTTTGTTATATATGCTTCCCTTCTGGGGAAGAAAGGTCACATTCCTTCCCACCCCTCTGAGTCCACTGCCCCTTCACACTTCACCCTATTCTTCTGCCAACCCTGTCCACCCTCTTGAGGAGGGGTCTCTCAAAGTTTCACTATGAAAGGGGGGCAGATGCAGGCCTTGATTTGCAACCATACTCCCTCGTGGTTCCAGTGTAGTATAGCAGCACTATCACCTGCTGGTCTTTGGATGGAATTTAATTCAGACACTGCTTTGGATAATTGTAATTCAAGTGAGTGGTTCTTATTCAAGTCCGGGGGGCAAACAGTTCTATGAGTGTAGCAACATCTTATTTTCATGGTATCACTAGCACCTAGCACAGTCCCAGGTTCTGGGAAATAAGAGATGCTGAATAAATCTTTGTTAAATGGACAAGCATATGGATGAGTGATTCTCAAACAGCATAAGTATTATAACAGATACAAAATGCAATCAAAACACAGGACCATCCAATTCATTCCATTTCCCAGGGGAAGGGTAGAAAAGAAATATTGAATAATAAAATAAAGTAACTTTAGAGTTGGATGTTCAAAAATGAATAAGTGTTAATGAGATGAGAACTGTATTCTAGAATCCTATAAATGTGTACCTCATGCAATTAGAAGGTGAGAGAAAGCAAGAGCAACAGGGTGACTTGCATCTACTCTATAGTGAATATTTGCAGGTGCCAGCTTAATCCTCATCATAGCCCTTTGAGATGGGTTTTCAAATCCTTTCAGTTTTGACAACAGGGAAACTGAGGCTTACAGAAGCAAAGCCATTTTTCCAGGGTTGTGCCGTTGGTACAGAGCAAAGCTGATCTTTGAATCCAGCTGAGTCTGACTTCAAAATATATATATATATAAAAATATGTGTATGTATATGTATATATACATATACACACAGAGTTTGAGGTTCCAACTGAATGCAGCAAGAAGTTTGTTTGGGGACCTAATCAGAGACAAAAGTAGGAAAATAAATCATTGTAACTCTGCAGCAGTTCTCAAATGCTGTTTTCCTTGAGAATTTGTGTGATGAAGTCACAAAATGGGAGATTCTATCTGAAGTTTGAGTTATTACAAAAGCTTTTATAAGACAGAAGCCATTTGCATCACACTTCAAAAAGTTAATAGGCCTTCATGTCTCCGGAAACTACCAGAATTTGCATAGCAATGGCTGGTGGCTGACTTAAGCAAAGTTTATGATGCCTTGGCCCCAGGTTTCCCAGCTTTCCCTGAAGATCACTGGCTAAAAGCAGATTAGAGAATGGCAAGCTAGCCCTCCAAACACAGCCAGCCCACCTGCCTCTCCGATAGGCAGTCATCAGACAGCAAGACCTTAATCTGCTTTAGAAAAAAAAAAAAAAGTGTGGCCTAAACAGATTGGCATTTGCCTTTAAAGAAAATTGGAAAGAAATGGCTCTTCAGGCCACACTAACTGGGCATGCAATGCATTTGCCCCTATGTACATCCCCACATCTCAGGGCTAATGTGGGAATTTCTATTTTGTGGGCTAGCCCTTGTGCGGCTCTGGCTGGGGTTCTCTTTCTCCACTCTGACCTGGGCACCCTGTCTGTTCTGTGTGCAACCTACACTTTCACCTGGCAGCCATTTGTCCAGATGGCTTTCCCATTCATTTTTTGTTTGTCTATTTGTTTGTTTGAAACAAACAAATAGACAAACTTTGTCATCCAGGCAGGAGGGCAGTGGCACGATATTGGCTCACTGCAACCTTCATCTCTCAGGTTCAAGTGATTCTCGTGCCTCAGCCTCCTGAGTAGCTGGGTTTACAGGTGCACACCACCATGCCTGGCTAATTTTTGTATTTTTAGTGGAGACAGGGTTTTGCCATGTTGGTCAGGCTGGTCACCAACTCCTGGCCTCAAGCGATCCACCCGCCTTGGCCTCCCAAAGTGCTGGGATTATAGGCGTGAGCCACTGCGCCCAGCCCCATTCATCTTTATCAGTGCACCTAGAAGAGTTGGGCATCCCACTGCTCTAGGTCGTGGCTCTCATTCCCACTGCACTTCAGACACCCTGAGAACAGAATGAAAAACAGAAACCAAGTGCTTAAGGGTCAAGAGTTTGTGCAAGACCATAGACCTTCACAGTTCTTTCTTTCAAAGGACACATAGCTTAATAAGAGGAGAGAAATTTAATGACAAATAAGGGTACACAGTGCTAATCAAAGTCCTTTAGTCAAAAACACTCTAACACGTTGGATAAAGGAGCCTGTCCGTAGTAGCCTCTCTTCCTGCAGCCAACATTAAAACTGCTTCCTCAGAGGAAGAGGATAAATAAGTGCCAGACAGTCAGTCCTTTGAACTTCAGCCAATATAAATATCATGCCGCTGTCATGAAAATAAACTTATTTGCTTAATCCACTTCCTCTTGATAATAAACAACTTAGCCCAAGGCCTAGTGTATAGAGTTATGTTTAGCACTAGCAGAGAAGCTGGTAAAAAAACTTTCTCTCTCAAGAAATAATCTCCATACATTTCCTAGGGAAGTTCTGTTTTGCGTGTGTGTAATCTTGGGAGGAGCTCTGAAAGCATCCAGTTCAGCTCTTCATCTAATGAGACATTTTTCTCAGACCTTCACTACACACTAAAGAGAAGGAAAGATGTGAAGCCAGGAGGCGGCGGTTGTAGTGAGCCGAGATCGCGCCACTGCACTCCAGCCTGGGCGACAGAGTGAGACTCCGTCTCAAAAAAAAAAAAGAGAAGGAAAGATGGAAGGGACTAGAAAATCCTGAGAAAAGACCCAACGCCTCACATATTTGATGTCCAAAAGGACATCCAGAAGAATAGGTACTCTTATTCTGTCCTCTAACTGGATCTCACCTGTCCAGTCCAATCTTTGTTTCTTGTTCTCTCACGATGTAGAGGCTTTACCACACAACGCATTCTGAAATAAGCAGTAATCCCTCAGGCCCTGCGTGAAAACAAAAACTGGTTTGTAAATCTGAGTCAAGAGATAATTATTGTTTGAACACACACAATGAGGACCTATGTAAAAATGGAAAGCAAGCTTGTCTTTGACACATCTCAGTGGAAAACAGCATCATGTTATGAAACAAGTATGGGCTTTGGGGTCAGAGAAACTTAAGTTGGTTGTTTGCCTTCTTATTACATTGACTCGGTCAATCATTTAAATTTTCTAAACCTTGGGTCCTTGTTTGTAAGAGGAGAATAATAAGTTCAGCTTATGAAGTTATTGGGAGCTTTGAGTGAAATGCTGTAGTAGCTGCTTATAAATGCGATTTCTTTCCTCCCTTCCCCTGGTATGCTTGTTTCCTTGACCCTCCCTCTGAGTGTGCGTATACAAGCTTTTCCATTTTCTCCTAAAACCAACAAATTAGGAGAAAAGGGTGTTTTCTCAGGCAGGAGTCATTTTACTTTGTGTGCAAAAGTCTCCAAGGTTCAGTCCCTGTGGAGCAAATCATCCCTCTGAGTTTGGGAATGGCTTTATGCAACAGAGGCGTGTGAGATGGCTTTTAGAAATCTAGTGGCTGCAAGGTGGAAAATGGCCAGCTTCATGGCCCCACTCCCTGCTTCCTGTCACTTGAGCCTGTGCAGATTCCCCACACCTACAATTAGCAACTGGCGGCCTTTAAAAGCGCCTCGCCTCACTGTGCTTTTTACCTGTCTCTCACGGGAGACCTAAATGTGCTGTGACGCTAATAAACCTGGAATTATTCCATTTTATCAAGTTGTCGGCTGACAGTGAGGATGAGAAATCATGAAAAACCAACCACCACATTATTCGTTATCTTTGGGACCAGCTTGAAGGGTCTGACCATCTCCTTGGCTGTGCTTTACATTCCTAACGTAAGCATCAAATGGACTTTAGTTTTCGTGTATTTCTTTTTTCATTTTACTATTGAGTTTAATTATTGTATCTACCATTATAAAAATGCTTGCTTTTGATGGGTGTGTTAGTCTCATATTGGCACTTTATTATGCTTCTTTGCTAAGTCAATTTCAGGTGTGTTGGATTTCACTATCTGAAATCAAAGTGTACGTTTTGCACATATCCATATTATTTCAGTGTATCCCTCAATTCTGAACATCAGCAATATAATGCCGCATGAAACAATCCTTTATCTCTCTCTAATACAATTGTCCCTGTGAACAGTGATCCACAGTATATATGTGTTCTGTTCTATCCTTAGCCCGATGACCTCTGTCTCCCCAGGAGCAGCCTTCTCGTCATTGGCATCAGTGCAATACTGAATGACAGATTAGAGAGAGGATCTTCAGAGATTATTACTGCGATTCTCAAGTAACAGCATGGCTGGGAAACACCAACCCTGGTCCCATACTGCCTACGTTTACATTAATGCCACCACTTTGTGGCTGTGCAACAATGGGCAAGTTATTGAATCTTCTTTTTCATCACTTGTGATATGAAGAAAACATTATATCTACTTCCAAAGATTGTTGGGAAGAATTAACAAGCTATGCACTTTCATTGTAAAAGTGCCTGGATCAAAGGACTCACTCAATACGTGCTAATAGCTATTTTTTAATTTGCACGTAAGAAGACTGAGGTTCACCAAGGGCAAGATATCTCCTCCAAAGTCACATTACAAATTAGGGGATGAATCCATACTAAGAAATAGGTTTCTAAATAATCACTTTTTAACCATTCTCCATTTGTCTGTGACACTTCACTTACAATCTAAAATATCCTTTGCCCTTATGAACTTCACAAAATAATCCTTCATCCTGAAAATAAATATATCTCTGCTCCAGCTATATTTGGGTATATTGGTTATAATCTTAAAGAGAACAAAGTCCAGTGGTAAATATTGATGAGGAAACAGAGTTTTCTACACCTTGTGGCTGGTGTTATAACAAAATATGAAAATGGAAGTCCCAGTAAGGACTGTAGTGGTTCCTTCCACCTGAATAGGTCAATGTGGGAATGGCACTGAAAGAGTCACAGAAGAGATGACACATAAATCCTCGTGAATAATGTGTCTGAGTTCGACAGAAGGAAAATAATATGGTCAGGGAAGGGCATTGTGAATCTACTCATTATTCATGCATGCATGAATGCAAAAAATATTTATTGAACATTACAATTATCCCACTAGGACAGGCTACCTTCATCTTTTATTTGAGTTACTGCAATTTCTCCCTTAACTCGTCTCCCTTCATACAAACCTTACTCCTAGCTTATAAACAGAGGGATGTTTTGAAAATGCAAATTTAATCACAATATAATCAAACCCACATACAAGGGATGATCTCCCTTCCCTCCCCTCCCCTCCCCTCCCCTCTCCCTCCCTTCCCTTCCCATTTGATACCACTGCTCAAATTCCTAAGTTCAAAATGTCCTACATTCGGGGGAGGAGCCAAGATGGCCGAATAGCAACAGCTCCGGTCTACAGCTCCCAGCGTGACCAACACAGAAGACGGGTGATTTCTGCATTTCCATCTGAGGTACCGGGTTCATCTCACTAGGGAGTGCCAGACTGTGCTCACTAGTGGGCGCAGGCCAGTGGGTGCGCGCACGGTGTGCGAGCCGAAGCAGGGTGAGGCATTGCCTCACCTGGGAAGCGCAAGGGGTCAGGGAGTTCCCTTTCCCAGTCAAAGAAAGGGGTGACGGATGCACCTGGAAAATCGGGTCACTCCCACCCGAATATTGCGCTTTTCAGACCGGCTTAAAAAACGGCGCACCACGAGACTATATCCCACACCTGGCTTGGAGGGTCCTACACCCACGGAATCTCGCTGATTGCTAGCACAGCAGTCTGAGATCAAACTGCAAGGCAGCAGCCAGGCTGGGGGAGGGGCGCCCGCCATTGCCCAGGCTTGATTAGGTAAACAAAGCAGCCAGGAAGCTCGAACTGGGTGGAGCCCACCACAGCTCAAGGAGGCCTGCCTGCCTCTGTAGGCTCCACCTCTGGGGGCAGGGCACAGACAAACAAAAAGACAGCAGTAACCTCTGCAGACTTAAATGTCCCTGTCTGACAGCTTTGAAGAGAGCAGTGGTTCTCCCAGCACGCAGCTGGAGATCTGAGAACTGGCAGACTGCCTCTTCAAGTGGGTCCCTGACCCCTGACCCCCGAGCAGCCTAACTGGGAGGCACCCCCGAGCAGGCGCACACTGACACCTCACACGGCAGGGTATTCCAACAGACCTGCAGCTGAGGGTCCTGCCTGTTAGAAGGAAAACTAACAAACAGAAAGGACATCCACACCAAAAACCCATCTGTACATCACCATCATCAAAGACCAAAAGTAGAGAAAACCACAAAGATGGGGAAAAAACAGAACAGAAAAACTGGAAGCTCTAAAAATCAGAGCACATCTACTCCTCCAAAGGAACGCAGCTCCTCACCAGCAACAGAACAAAGCTGGATGGAGAATGACTTTGACGAGCTGAGAGAAGAAGGCTTCAGACGATCAAATTACTCTGAGCTACGGGAGGACATTCAAACCAAAGGCAAAGAAGTTGAAAACTTTGAAAAAAATTTAGAAGAATGTATAACTAGAATAACCAATACAGAGAAGTGCTTAAAGGAGCTGATGGAGCTGAAAACCAAGGCTCGAGAACTACGTGAAGAATGCAGAAGCCTCAGGAGCCAATGCGATCAACTGGAAGAAAGGGTGTCAGCAATGGAAGATAAAATGAATGAAATGAAGCGAGAAGGGAAGTTTAGAGAAAAAAGAATAGAAAGAAATGAGCAAAGCCTCCAAGAAATATGGGACTATGTGAAAAGACCAAATCTACGTCTGATTGGTGTACCTGAAAGTGATGGGGAGAATGGAACCAAGTTGGAAAACACTCTGCAGGATATTATCCAGGAAAACTTCCCCAATCTAGCAAGGCAGGCCAACGTTCAGATCCAGGAAATACAGAGAACGCCACAAAGATACTCCTCGAGAAGAGCAACTCCAAGACACATAATTGTCAGATTCACCAAAGTTGAAATGAAGGAAAAAATGTTAAGGGCAGCCAGAGAGAAAGGTCGGGTTACCCTCAAAGGGAAGCCCATCAGACTAACAGCAGATCTCTCAGCAGAAACCCTACAAGCCAGAAGAGAGTGGGGGCCAATATTCAACATTCTTAAAGAAAAGAATTTTCAACCCAGAATTTCATATCCAGCCAAGCTAAGCTTCATAAGTGAAGGAGAAATAAAATACTTTACAGACAAGCAAATGCTGAGAGATTTTGTGACCACCAGACCTGCCCTAAAAGAGCTCCTGAGGGAAGCGCTAAACATGGAAAGGAACAACCAGTACCAGCCGCTGCAAAATCATGCCAAAACGTAAAGACCATCGAGACTAGGAAGAAACTGCATCAACTAACGAGCAAGATAACCAGCTAACATCATAATGACAGGATCAAATTCACACATAACAATATTAACTTTAAATGTAAATGGACTAAATGCTCCAATTAAAAGACACAGACTGGCAAATTGGATAAAGAGTCAAGACCCATCAGTGTGCTGTATTCAGGAAACCCATCTCACGTGCAGACACACACATAGGCTCAAAATAAAAGGATGGAGGAAGATCTACCAAGCCAATGGAAAACAAAAAAAGGCAGGGGTTGCAATCCTAGTCTCTGATAAAACAGACTTTAAACCAACAAAGATCAAAAGAGACAAAGAAGGCCATTACATAATGGTAAAGGGATCAATTCAACAAGAAGAGCTAACTATCCTAAATATATATGCACCCAATACAGGAGCACCCAGATTCATAAAGCAAGTCCTGAGTGACCTACAAAGAGCCTTAGACTCCCACACAATAATAATGGGAGACTTTAACACCCCACTGTCAACATTAGACAGATCAATGAGGCAGAAAGTCAACAAGCATACCCAGGAATTGAACTCAGCTCTGCACCAAGCAGACCTAATAGACATCTACAGAACTCTCCACCCCAAATCAACAGAATATACATTTTTTTTCAGCACCACACCACACCTATTCCAAAATTGACCACATACTGGGAAGTAAAGCTCTCCTCAGCAAATGTAAAAGAACAGAAATTATAACAAACTATCTCTCAGACCACAGTGCAATCAAACTAGAACTCAGGATTAAGAATCTCACTCAAAGCCGCTCAACTACATGGAAACTGAACAACCTGCTCCTGAATGACTACTGGGTACATAACGAAATGAAGGCAGAAATAAAGATGTTCTTTGAAACCAACAAGAACAAAGACACAACATACCAGAATCTCTGGGATGCATTCAAAGCAGTGTGTAGAGGGAAATTTATACCACTAAATGCCCACAAGAGAAAGCAGGAAAGATCCAAAATTGACACCCTAACATCACAATGAAAAGAACTAGAAAAGCAAGAGCAAACACATTCAAAAGCTAGCAGAAGGCAAGAAATAACTAAAATCAGAGCAGAACTGAAGGAAATAGAGACACAAAAAACCCTTCAAAAAATCAATGAATCCAGGAGCTGGTTTTTTGAAAGGATCAACAAAATTGATAGACCGCTAGCAAGACTAATAAAGAAAAAAAGAGAGAAGAATCAAATAGATACAATAAAAAATGATAAAGGGGATATCACCACCGATCCCACAGAAATACAAACTACCATCAGAGAATACTACAAACACCTCTACGCAAATAAACTAGAAAATCTAGAAGAAATGGATAAATTCCTCGACACATACACTCTCCCAAGACTAAACCAGGAAGAAGTTGAATCTCTTAATAGACCAATAACAGGAGCTGAAATTGTGGCAATAATCAATAGCTTACCAACCAAAAAGAGTCCAGGACCAGATGGATTCACAGCCGAATTCTACCAGAGGTACAAGGAGGAACTGGTTCCATTCCTTCTGAAACTATTCCAATCAATAGAAAAAGAGGGAATCCTCCCTAACTCATTTTATGAGGCCAGCATCATCCTGATACCAAAGCCGGGCAGAGACACAACAAAAAAAGAGAATTTTAGACCAATATCCTTGATGAACATTGATGCAAAAATCCTCAATAAAATACTGGCAAACTGAATCCAGCAGCACATCAAAAAGCTTATCCACCATGATCAAGTGGGCTTCATCCCTGGGATGCAAGGCAGGTTCAATATATGCAAATCAATAAATGTAATCCAGCATATAAACAGAGCCAAAGACAAAAACCACATGATTATCTCAATAGATGCAGAAAAAGCCTTTGACAAAATTCAACAACCCTTCATGCTAAAAACTCTCAATAAATTAGGTATTGATGGGACGTATTTCAAAATAATAAAAGCTATCTATGACAAACCCACAGCCAATATCATACTGAATGGGCAAAAACTGGAAGCATTCCCTTTGAAAACTGGCACAAGACAGGGATGCCCTCTCTCACCACTGCTATTCAACATAGTGTTGGAAGTTCTGGCCAAGGCAATTAGGCAGGAGAAGGAAATAAAGGGTATTTGATTAGGAAAAGAGGAAGTCAAATTGTCCCTGTTTGCAGACGACGTGATTGTATATCTAGAAAACCCCATCGTCTCAGCCCAAAATCTTTTTAAGCTGATAAGCAACTTCAGCAAAGTCTCAGGATACAAAATCAATGTGCAAAAATCACAAGCATTCTTATACACCAACAACAGACAAACAGAGAGCCAAATCATGAGTGAACTCCCATTCACAATTGCTTCAAAGAGAATAAAATACCTAGGAATCCAACTTACAAGGGATGTGAAGGACCTCTTCAAGGAGAACTACAAACCACTGCTCAAGGACATAAAAGAGGATACAAACAAATGGAAGAACATTCCATGCTCATGGGTAGGAAGAATCAATATCGTGAAAATGGCCATACTGCCCAAGGTCATTTACAGATTCAATGCCATCCCCATCAAGCTACCAATGCCTTTCTTCACAGAATTGGAAAAAACTACTTTAAAGTTCATATGGAACCAAAAAAGAGCCCGCATCGCCAAGTCAATCCTAAGCCAAAAGTACAAAGCTGGAGGCATCACACTACCTGACTTCAAACTATACTACAAGGCTACAGTAACCAAAACAGCATGGTACTGGTACCAAAACAGAGATTTAGATCAATGGAACAGAACAGAGCCCTCAGAAATAATGCCGCATATCTACAACTATCTGATCTTTGACAAACCTGAGAAAAACAAGCAATGGGGTAAGGATTCCCTATTTAATAAATGGTGCTGGGAAAACTGGCTAGCCATATGGAGAAAGCTGAAACTGGATCCCTTCCTTACACCTTATACAAAAATCAATTCAAGATGGATTAAAGATTTAAACGTTAGACCTAAAACCATAAAAACCCTAGAAGAAAACCTAGGCATTACCATTCAGGACATAGGCATGGGCAAGGACTTCATGTCCAAAACACCAAAAGCAATGGCAACACAAGACAAAATTGACAAATGGGATCTAATTAAACTCAAGAGCTTCTGCACAGCAAAAGAAACTACCATCAGAGTGAACAGGCAACCTACAAAATGGGAGAACATTTTCGCAACCTACTCATCTGACAAAGGGCTAATATCCAGAATCTACAATGAACTCAAACAAATTTGCAAGAAAAAAACAAACAGCCCCATCAAAAAGTGGGCGAAGGACATGAACAGACACTTATCAAAAGAAGACATTTATGCAGCCAAAAAACACATGAAAAAATGCTCATCATCACTGGCCATCAGAGAAATGCAAATCAAAACCGCTATGAGATATCATCTCACACCAGTTAGAATGGCAATCATTAAAAAGTCAGGAAACAACAGGTGCTGGAGAGGATGTGGAGAAATAGGAACACTTTTACATTGTCGGTGGGACTGTAAACTAGTTCAACCATTGTGGAAGTCAGTGTGGCGATTCCTCAGGGATCTAGAACTAGAAATACCATTTGACCCAGCCATCCCATTACTGGGTATATACCCAAATGACTATAAATCATGCTGCTATAAAGACACATGGGCACGTATGTTTATTGCGGCATTATTCACAATAGCAAAGACTTGGAACCAACCCAAATGTCCAACAGTGATAGACTGGATTAAGAAAATGTGGCACATATACACCATGGAATACTATGCAGCCATAAAAAATGATGAGTTCATGTCCTTTGTAGGGACATGGATGAAATTGGAAATCATCATTCTCAGTAAACTATCGCAAGAACAAAAAACCAAGCACCGCATATTCTCGCTCATAGGTGGGAATTGAACAATGAGATCACATGGTCACAGGAAGGGGAATATCACACTGTGGGGACTGTGGTGGGGTGGGGGGAGGGGGGAGGGATAGCATTGGGAGATATACCTAATGCTAGATGACGAGTTAGTGGGTGCAGCGCACCAGCATGGCACATGTATACATATGTAACTAACCTGCACAATGTGCACATGTACCCTAAAACTTAAAGTATAAAAAAAAAATGTCCTACATTATCTATCTGGCTACTGCTTTTCTTACAGACTTCTCTCACTCTGTCTGCCCCTTTCTCTATGAGGTCCACCAGGACTTTGTTCGATTTTACTAAAATCCTCACTTTTTAAGGACATCTGGCCTCAGAGCCCAGGTCACATTCCCTTATTATAAGCTCTGGTGGCCCCATATGCCTTACACATTTAGAGTGTACTTTCTGAATTGAACTAGACCTTAATATGTTTGCTTTCTGGGGGATAGGTGGCAGTCTTTCCTAGAAACATATGGGCTGCATTTATTTGCTATTGATCTTCAAATGCCTAGTACACTGAATGGGACACAGAAGGTACTCTATGAAGTTTTGATGATGAGATAAGCCCTGTGCCTGGTAAGGGCTGTGGCCATAATATCAGTTCTCATGAGAAGATTGATTAAATAAGTAAATTTATTAAGGATAATGGGAGACAGCTTCCTATTAGAGAAGGAACTTTAAACAAGGAAAGAAAGGCTAAAGTGAACCTTGCGGTGCTGTATTAGAAAAGGAATTTTTGTATTGAACTTATGATTTTAAATATAGATAGAAAGTAGATGTTAATGTGTGTGTGGTAACACACAAATACATTCCTTAGTTCCATCCACTGAGAGGGCCTGGGAACCTTAGCATTTCCCCTGGAAGGCCTGCTCAATAACAATAAGCACACCTAGCACTCAGCTTTTGGCTTCTAAAGGTCCATTTTCAATGGAAAGTAACCATCGCTTGTTGGAAAATATCTGATTCCAGGACTAGAGCAAGGGAAGTAGAAGATTAGTCAGAGACAGCTTATGTGACAAAGTCAGGAAGTACTCAACAAATGATGGGGACACATCAAGGGACACAGAAACCAAGTTGAAGGGGATCCCACTGGGCATATCAGGGAAAACTTGAGCATCAAAATAATAGTGATAGTAAGGGATTATAACCCATTGGATTAGCTAGGAAACCAAAAGTACATAGTAATTTAAAAGGTAAACAAATAAAAGTTTAATAAGAAGTGGAACAGTCTCAAAGTAACTTCCTGAATTATTATTTTTAATTTCCAAAGGTAAAACTGTGGCTTCATAGTGACAAAGCATGGCAGAAACTGAGTTAATCAAGAAACTTTTTAAAAGTCCTGATTAATGGAAAAAATGGAAACAGTTTCTTCTGATAAGAGGCAGTAAGAACATAAGACCAATTCATTGGTATTCTTGCCAGAAATACATAACCCAAATCATGAAGAAAAGCCAAACAAACCTAAATCGAAGTACATTCTACAAAACAGCTGGCCTTAGATCTTCAAAAGTGGGAAGGTTGAGTGCATGGGATGTTTGTCTTTCTGTTTCTGGCTTATTTCACTTAACATAGTGATGTCTAGTTCCATCGTCTCATGGAGGCAGAGAGTAGAATGATAGATACCAGGGCCTGGAAAGAACGTGGGTTTGTCGGTGGGGGAGGGGGAATGAAAAGAGGTGGGTTAATGGCTAAAAACATATATTTAGATAGAAGGAATAAATTCTAGCATTTGATAGTAGAATGGGGTGACTATAGTCAGCTACAATGTATTATATATTTCAATATAGCTAGAAGTGAGGATTTGAAATATCAACACATCAAAATGATAAGTGCTTGAGGGGATGGTTATCCTAAATAAACTGACCTGATCGTTACACATTCTATTCAATAACAAAATATCACCTGTACCCCGTAAAAATTCATATTATGCATCAATTAAAAAAGTGTCAAGGTTATGAAAGCCCAGCCAAGACTGAAAAAGTCTTATGGAGTGAAGGAGACAAACAAGACATGACAAATGACTGCAACTCTTTATTATGAAATGAATACTTTAGCTACAAAGGACTACGGGGAACATTTGAATGGTGGCATGTGAGGGTTAGATGGCAATAACGCCTCAGTGTTAATTTTTTTTTTCTTTTTGAGGCAGGGTCCTGCTCAGTCACCTAGGCAGGTATATAGTGGTATGATCATAGCTCACTGCAATCTCAACCTCCTGGACTCAAGAGATCCTCCTGCCTCAGCCTCCTGAGTAGCTAGGACTACAGGCCCACGCCACCACATGCACATAATTGTTTACAATTTTTTTTTTGTAGATATGGGGGTCTTACTCTGTTGCCCAGGCTGGTCTGGAGCTGCTGGCCTCAAGTTACCTCCCCACCTCTGCCCACTGTTAATTTCTTCATTTGAATGTTTGTGTTGTGGCTATCTTTCTTGGTAGAATAAAATATTCAGTGATAATGGAGCACCATTCCAGCAACTTATCAACTATTTTGAGGGAAAAAATGTTTATTATACTGTATATGTTAGTTTGAGATCGTTTCTAAACGAAAAGAAATAAATAATGAAGATACTCCCAAAACAATGAAAAAGAAAGAAAGGAGAAATAAAGGAACAAAGGAAGGAAGGGAAGGAGGGAGAAACAAGGGCGAAATGAAAGAACAAAAGAAAGAATGCTAATGAAGGCAGGAAGACAGCCCTAGATCAGGGTGAAAAACCCATAGGCCAAATCCATCTGCCCTCTATTTTTATTGTGTTTCATGAACTAAGAATGAGTTTTACATTTTTTACTGGCTAAAAAAATGAAAAGAATCATAATATTCTTGTCATTATTATTAAAATCATCACAATTATTATTAAAATAATAAAATATTATATGAAATAATTATATTCCATATAATATACAAACATTATATGACACTCAGATTTCAGCATCCATACATACAGTTTATTGGAAAACAACCACGTTCATTTATTTGCATATTGTCTATGACTGTTTTCATACAAGACAGAGCTGAGTAGTTGGAAGAAAGACCGTATCTAGTGCTTCATTGCTTCACACTCCTGTTTGCCCACAGTTAATGTCAGTGATACAATTATACCTCCACAGAGTTTTGAGTTCCATGTGCATCACCATACTATTTTACTTAACTCCCAGAGCACACTCATCTTCTCAAAATATGAAGGGAAAAGTGGACTCTGAATGTTGCATTTTTAAGGCTCAGTGGAGTGTGGATTATTTTACCATTAAATTAGCTGTCAAAACATTGTGTTTCTTATATAATGATGCCATATGTGTGCTAAAAAGTATAATCTACATCAACATTTTCAGACCAAGCACTCATCATATTCCCAACTAACTCACAGGAAAGCAGCAATTAGAAAAAAAAGAACATTTGAAACTGAGTAGCTTATAACAACAAATGTTCTTCACGAAAATAACAAATGAAAATGAAGTTTCAACCAAAGTAAATTTTTGAGTGCCTTATTTGTTAGCCAAGCAACCCAAAACACTTACCAATCATGAGTTAATTAAATTGTATTTCATTGCAGCAGTGGAAGGAATGTATCCAGAGAGAATAAACTTTAGGTTGGTAGGCTCTGGAGAGGATAGTGGATGGAAGAGATGATGTTGGGAGCAACATCAGTAGCTAGTTAAGAAGCTCTGCAAATGCATTTCACTGGTTTTCTTGGCTCTTGATAAGTCTACAGATGCTACCGATATTGCTTACTAGTTGTTGTTTATTTGAGAAAATAAACTCATCTGTGATGAGTTTTAAGAACTGAAGAATTCACCTCTATCATTAGCTGTATGGAAAAACTGCAGGAGAGGATATTTTCAAGGAAGTAGTGAAAACACGAATTCAGTGAAACTGATTTGGAATCTGCTAAGTTTGGTTACACCTGATGGTAAAAATTGCATGTGAAGTAGAAGAGTTAACTTGGACAAATTTATGCAGCTCATGAAAATGTAAATATCTAAATCCTATGTCAATTCCTTGTATTATTCATCAATATGTACTTTGTGAAAGAAATTTGAACTATAATGTGTTATTGAATGCGTAATGTCAACAGTGAACTTCACCTGCTCTAATGGATTTAACCATTGTATCTTCAGGTCTGCGTTTGTTTTTTTGTTTTGTTTTGTTTTGTTTTGTTGGTTTTTTTTTTTTGTCAGCAATAAAACCTGAATATTTTGAATTTTTCTACCACACAGCAGTTCAATGGCTTAAAGTTTTACTACAATTGTTTTGAGTTCAGGACCAAGATTTCAAATCTTTTGAACAAGAAAATCTACCCTCAACCACTACTGTATAACATTGAATGGATTTATAAATTAGTTTTTGCAGTGGTAACATTGATAATTTGTTGAAATGAATTTAACATAAAATTAAAGATGAAACAGTGATGTCTAAAACTTACTCTGTGGTAGTAAAATCATTTCAATGACAATTAATGTTGTTTGGCTCACAAGTAATGTTAACTGGCTTTTTAACATCCCCTGTCATCAGAACTTAACAGAAATGGGAATATCATTATCCCCTCACAAATTTGCAACAGCTAAATTTTCTGAGCTCAAACCACAGTTCTAGCAATGTCTTTCAGACAACATCGTAAGTACAGGAGAATTTTATTTTATTTTTAATTTTGATGTTTTATTTACTGTAGATTTTTGGCATTGATTTTCAGGGGTTTTTTCTCTTTTTTTTTTTTTATTATACTTTAAGTTCAGGGGTACATGTGCAGAATGTGCTGGTTTGTTACATAGGTATACACGTGCCATGGTGGTTTGCTGCACCCATCAACCCATCATCTATATTAGGTATTTCTCCTAATGCTATCCCTCCCCTGGTCCCTCACCCCCTGACAGTATCTGATGTGTGATATTCCCCTCCCTGTGTCCATGTATTCTCATTGTTCAACTCCCACTTATGAGTGAGAACATGTGATGTTTGGTTTTCTGTTTTTCTGTTAGTTTGCTGAGAATGATGGTTTCCAGCTTCATCCATATCCCTGCAAAGGACCTGAACTCATCCTTTTTATGGCTGCATAGTATTCCATGGTGTATATGTACCACACTTTCTTTATCCAGTCTATCATTGATGAGAATTTGGATTGGTCCCAAGCCTTTGCTATTGTGTACAGTGCCACAATAAACATACATGTACATGTGTCTTTATAGTAGAATGATTTATAATCCTTTGAGTACATACCCAGTAATGGGATTGCTACATCAAATGATATTTCTGGTTCTAGATCCTTGAAGAATTGCCACACTGTCTTCCACAATGGTTGAACTAATTTACACTCCTACCAACAGTATAAAAGCGTTCCTATTTCTCCACATCCTTTCCAGCATCTGTTGTTTCCTGACTGGCATGAGATGGTACCTTATTGTGGTTTTGATTTGCATTTCTTTAATGACCAGTAATGATGAGCTTTTTTTCATATGTTTATTGGCTGCAACAATGTCTTCTTTTGAGAAGTGTCTGTTCATATCTTTTGCCCACTTTTTGATGGGGTTGTTTGTTTTTTCCTTGTAAATTTGTTTAAGTTCTTTGTAGATTCCGAATATTAACGCTTTTTCAGATGGATAGACTGCAAAAATTTTCTCTTCTTCTGTAGGTTGCCTATTCACTCTGATGATAGTTTCTTTTGCTGTGCAGAAGCTCTTTAGTTTAATTATATCCCATTTGTCAATTTTGGTTTTTGTTACCATTGCTTTTGGTGTTTTAGTCATGACGTCTTTGCCCATGCCTATGTTCTGAATGGTATTGCCTAGGTTTTCTTCTAGATTTTTATGGTTTCAGGTCTTACGTTTAAGTCTTAATCCATCTTGAGTTAATTTTTATATAAGATGTAAGGAAGGGGTCCAGTTTCAGTTTTCTGCATATGGCTAGTCAGTCTTCCCAACACCATTTATTAAATAGGGAATCCTTTTCCCATTGTTTGTTTTTGTCAGGTTTGTCAAAGATCAGATGGTTGCAGATGTGTGGTGTTATTTCCGAGGCCTCTGTTCTGTTCCGTTGGTCTATATATCTGTTTTGGTACGAGTACCATGCTGTTTTGGTTACTGTAGCCTTGTAGTATAGTTTGAAGTCAGGCAGCATGATGCCTCCAGGTTTGTTCTTTTTGCTTAGAATTGTCTTGGCTATGTGGGCTTTTTTTTGGCTCCATATGAAATTTAAAGTATTTTTTTTGTTTGTAATTCTTGAAGAAAGTCAATAGTAGTTTGATGGGAATAGCATTGAATCTATAAATTACTTTGGGCAGTATGGCCATTTTCATGATATTGATTCTTCCTATTCATGAGCATGGAATGTTTTCCATTTGTTTATTTTTAATAGAGGGGGTCTTACTCTGTTGCCTAAGCTGAAGTTGAGTGGTGCAATCATAGCTCACTATAACTTTGAAATCCTGAACTCAAGAGATCCTCTTGCCTCAGCCTCCCAAGTAGCTAGAACTACAGGTATGCACCACCACTCCTGCCTAAGTTTTATATTTTTTTGTAGAGACTGGGTCTTGCTATGTTGCCCGGGCTGAACTTAAACTCCTGGCCTCAAATTATCCTCCTGTCTTGGTCTCCCAAAGTATTGGAATTACAGGGCCGAATCACTGTACCTGGCAT
This sequence comes from Homo sapiens, assembly GCF_000001405.40. Taxonomy (NCBI): domain Eukaryota; kingdom Metazoa; phylum Chordata; class Mammalia; order Primates; family Hominidae; genus Homo; species Homo sapiens. The sequence continues at coordinate 11,247,684 of NC_000004.12, forward strand.
AAATTTTTATATTCCAAAACCTATTTAAATGTTTAGTTGAGGAGCTTCCACCTAACCTTCAATTGAAAGTGATTAATCTGTAATGTAATGGCACATAAAAAGGCAAATATAGAAAATAATCTAATAAAATTCTGGGTTTTCCAAATGATGAATATGCCAATCATGCGATTGTGGACTGATATCAATATTTGATAGTACCTAATTGTAAAAAATAAAGTTTTTAAAGATCAAATGTGTAAAACTTTACTACAGGCCAGCATTAACAGATGAACATTTACAATTGATTTGATGACAGGAAAGAAAATCTTTGAATCCCATTAAGTGAAATATTACCCCACCCTCCCCCTAAAAATCATTATTTTTCATAGGCCTGTATTAGAAAAAAGTACTCAATTATATTTTTTAATTTCATCAATATAAAATGTTAGGCAACTGTTTTTCATTTTGTTGTATAGTTACCTGATCATATCCTTGATTTTGCATCTTGAACCACAAAGTGTAAAAATATTTCCTATCTGGGTCTGATAGCCTGAAACCTAGCACCATATATCTTTGAATAAATTTAATATTTCTTGATTATGGTAATTATATTGTGAAATATAGAAGAAGTACTTTACTTTTACAGGACAAATGCTACAATATTTAGAGATAACATGTTATCATGCCTGCAATTGTTCAGCAAAGGAAAGGCGAGTGTGATAACCTATGTGAAAATTGTGAATCTACATGAGTGTTGTACATGTGTGTTCTATATTTTCAATCTCTGCAATTTTAAAATTTTCCAAATAAAATCAGGGAAGAGAAAAACTCTTCTTTGACCATGCTAAGTAACTCCCAGTCATGTACTAGGCAACTTTGCTATTTTATTTTAATATTACTTATTATAACACAATATATTTTGGTTGTTGTTTAAATTCCTTGATTTACTTGCTTATCCTCTACGGGATAACGTAAGGTAGTTGAGAGTGGGGACAATGTTATTTTATTCTTTATCCCCAATAGCTATAACAGCACTGGCACATTGGACACACTCAAAACACTTGTTGAAGAAACAAAATAAAAGAAAATGCAAAAAGTAGAAAACAAATGACTCAATGAAGGACAGTACATCACTCACAGGTGCTCAGAAACCTTAAAGACAGCCCACTTGCCCCTGCCACTTATTCCTCCAGCCACCGAATGAATTGTACTCTGGCCCCAGTTTCTGACCTGCTCTCACTCCCCATTCCTGGCTTTCCTTGATGCTTCCATTCTGGTTACTGACTCTGGTCTTAATTTTGTCTAGGTCAATTGCAGTAGATATCTAGAATCTCTGATGTTTGAACCTAAAATTTCTCTTACAGTTGGCCTCCTGTTCTTACAGTGACTGATGCTTCTTAGTTGCATCCCTCAGAATCATCCTTAATTACAGGCCTGTCCTGCCTCATTCTTGTTTCTGGGGATGGGGAGAATGTCCTCTTTCAGGCCCTGGGCCAGTCACAGTAGTGACAGTCTTTTAGCTTCCTTTATTTGTCCCCAAAATTTCTCAAGGTAGGTATCATAACCTCCATCCTGTTGGCGAGAAAACTGAAACACATGAAGATTACCTATCTTTTCTGAGATTATGTTAAGTGAGGGACGAAGGCAGCGCTAAATCCCAAGTCCCTTTAAGGCAATGTTTTTGGGTGTGCTTTTCCCTCTACCATATTGGTGGTTGCTTATTTCATTCTTCCCTGTAGAGGAAGCTGTTGGCAGGGATATTCTTTCCTGTACTGTGTGAATAATTCTAAGAACAGTGACAGAGTCTCATTGAAATCATTGGTACCAAGCCCTACTGGAAAACTGTATCTGACTCACAATTAATCCTCAGACCCCTCCATGAAGGATTTGTTGAGTTAATATGACTCAACAGCCTAAACTTTAAACATTGCACTTTCTTAAAATGTCACCACTATAAGTATGTGCAACTATTATGTGCCCATAATAGTTAAGAATAAAACATTGAAATAAATAAAATATCCTTACTGATTTGCACCAGTACAGTAATGAGTAAATTCATCTCTCAAGGGCCGGGCACAGTGGTTCACACCTGTAATCCCAGCACTTTGGGAGGCCGAGTCGGGCAGATCACAATGTCAAGAGATGGAGACCATGCTGGCCAAAATAGTGAAGCCCAGTCTCTACTAAAAATACAAAAATTAGCTGGGTGTGGTGGCATGTGCCTGTAGTCCCAGCTACTCGGGAGGCTGAGGCAGGAGAATCGCTTGAACCCAGGAAGTGGGGGTTGCAGTGAGCCGAGATTGTGCCACTGCACTCCAGCCTGGCAACAGAGTGAGACTGTCTCAGAAAAAAAAAAAAAAAAAAAAAGTAAAACAGCTCCTCAATTCCTCAGTTTCCTGGGATTCTGTGTTAGATGCAGTGTAGTTTATGTTTCTTCTCCTTCCTTTGTAACCAGCAGGCACACTGGCTCCCTCACTATTCTTGGACCATGACAGGCATGTCTTCCTCTCAGAGCCTTTCTCTGAAGAGCTTCTCTGCACTTCACTGAGGTCTTGACTCAACTAGCACAACTTCAATCACCCACCAGTTCTACCCTTTGGAACTCTCTGCTCTCATATTCACTCTCACATCTTCCTACCTTGCTTTATTTTTTCATGTCACTTATATCCTGTCATTTTCATTAATTACATGTTATCTGCTCCCCCAGTAGAATGTAACTGTGGCAAGGACTCTGTTCTGTTCACTCTGATGCCTCAGCATCTAATACAATGACAGGCACATAGTAGTTGCTCAATAAATTGTACATTGATTCATGTTTAATGGATGATTTTTAAATTAACTGATAAATATGTCCCTGTCATCCTAACCTTGTACAAGCATGTGTGGTGTAATGCAGCATTTTTCAGTTCTTTCTAAGCCATGCTCCACTTTGAAAAACTTGAACATCATGGGGCCCTGATTTTTCTAACCTCTCCTGAGATTGGAGTCATGCATAGGTGTCTTCTGCACCTGAATTAGCCCTGACCCACAGAATACATGATCTACTTTCCAAGCCCTGAAAGAAAATAAGATTAGTTTCAGTTTCACTTGCTTCTACTAGTATTGAAACAATTTTGAATTTGCATAGTTATATTAGTATATAATATAAAAACATCATCTCATATTATTATAGTGGATAGCTCTTTCCCCATTTGGTATGTTCTTACCCAGAAAATCTAAAATTCCCATTTTCTTCCTCTCTTCTTCTTGATCCATACACTACAATAAATTTCTACTAAATTTTAAGTCATTGTTTTTTCAAGTGTTTAATGAGGACAGTAGATCCACCAGCAGAATTATTGTGAGAATGAGGAATAATATTCATAAAGTACTTGGCAAAGAACAAACTTCAACAAATAGCTTCTGGCTGCCTCTCTTACCAAATGATTAGCATTGCCCTTAGAACTATATTTGCCTCACTAAACTGGTCTGGAAATATACCATTTTGCTCTTAAGCAAATGTTTTCACAGCAAAGCAAAGAGAGCTGCAACAAGAGCCTCTTTCTATTATTTGCAAGGTTGCTTGGCCAGGTTGCCTTCATTATCAACTCCATCAGGCCTGAGGTCAATGTGCACATTTTGCCACCTGCTGATGCCCCATCTCTGTAGGCTGCAAGAGAAACAAGACAGCCATAGTTTGTTTGATTTTGTATCACATTCAGGTAATCCTTCAATATTGAGACTGCTCATAATTGAATGTTTTGCTACTAGGCTTGAGTTATCAAACAATAAAAGGGATACAGGGCTCAGGCGAGATTGTGACAAATTATAGGAGCCATCTTCTTGGGTTGATTGCTTTTGTATTTAATTGTATGCTAATTATTAGTTTTACAAGACGGATACCTAAAGAAATAGCAAAGTAACAGGAAAAAATGTAAAAGACAACACATGAATATATATGTCAGTCTCACAGGGCAATTTACCAAATTAAAAGACAGAAAAATAAACTGTGCATGAATACCTTTAGGGAACATAGTTGGCATGGTTGCCTGGAAATGTAAGTGTATTGAAATACAGAATCTGTTTTATCAGAAGTAGACTCTGATAAAAGAATGGGTTCCCAACCCAGTTGAGATAATGCAAGAAGGAAACCCACCTGTGCTGGTAGAGGTGAGGTTGGCAAATTACCTTCCTTGTCACTTGTTGTCAGTCATCTGCCTAAGGCATAGAGAGAATCCAAGCATTCCTCCACTATTAAGATCCATTGACCCTCCTACCTTAATAATTAAGTTTAGACCCATTGGCATGAACCCACTTACAACTCAGTGTCCTTTTCACCACGTTTGTCCACACTCAGAGTGTTTGTGGCCATTCTGGACTCATCTTTTCTCCTCTGGACCAAATGCTCTTGTCTTAGCCTTGGGCTGTTGGCTGTGTCTGGATGATTTCCCACCTGCCCCTCCTCAGCCCTTTTACTCTGTATCTAAAATGCCCACTGGAGAGTCAGCACTCATGTCATCTCCAAGGGAGGAGAGAGCTTTGTTAAGTCCTCAAGTAGCTAGCTCTCTCTCTCTGAATTGCACAGTTTCATGGTCCTATAGCTAATGGGGCTTCTACCATTCTCTGCTGCTAAGGTTTGAGCTCCTGGAGAACACATGCCTTCCTGCTCTGCTCTCGGTATGAACAACAGCCCACTGGGGGCACTCAGCAGGTGCTTATCACAAGGCTTCTTAGCAGAACCAGACACGCCCTCTAGAGCTGGAGTACAAAATCCTGCCAACCCAAATCTAATCCTTCTCCCCACACTCTTATCTCAAAAGGAAAACACAAAAGACAATTGAAACTTTGATTATCCCACTGCCAAGTCCGTCTTCCCCCCCAGGATGGACACTCCTCAAGGCTGGTCACTCCATCTTCACCCTCAGGCTCACCTCAGTGGTCTCATTGCCCTTTCTTCCTGGGTACTTTCTCATCTTTGAACCCTTGGTCCTAATCAATCTGTCTAAAATCTTCTTTCCCAACTCATCTTATTGAGTTAGTCCTTTAAGTTTCTGCTCAAAAGCATCTGTTTTAGGTGGGGGCCCACAGAAGTCTACTCAAAAGTGAGGATTTACTTGCAAGGGATTTCTTAAGAAAAGTCTTGAAGCAAAGAACCAAAGGGTATGTAGAAAGCAGAAAGTGAAGGGCAGGAATCCATGCAAGACCAAGGGCTCAGGCAAAGTCTCAGAGAGGACTGGCTCTGGGCTGTTCCAGAGCAAAATTCTCAACTGTAAAGTGTGCCTCTGAGTCTTCCTACCAAGCAAAGAAATTGGGTTTGCACAACCCGGCATCTGTCCATTACTGGCCTGAGAGGACTCCTGAGAGGACTCCTGAGAGGACTAAGTTCCCAGGTACTTCCTGTTACCTTGCCTACAGGTAGCTCAATGGCATTTCCTCCAAGAAAAGGTGTTGGTGTTAGAAGCCAAAGAAGACTTGGGAAGACCTTGAAGGCACACTAAAGAAGCAAACAAACCAATTAACGACCAAGAAAATACCTAAATAAAAAAGGAATGTGAGGGGATCTGGAAGGAGCACCAACACTGTCTGCTACAAGTTCCTTGTATTTTTCCTTGACATTTGGTAACTAACTGACAAGTGGATCCAGGTATGATGGAGCTGGCTTGCACCACAGTGCCAGGAGCACTTGGCACACAATTCTTCCAGTGCCAGCAGCACTTGGCACATAATTCTTCCAGCTCTGCTCTAAATACCATGGCCTTCAACCTCCTTAAAGACATTTCTCTCTCCATCAATTATCCTTTTAATTTAACTTCTCCTCTCTATTGCCTTTTTGATCTCGACATGGAAAGATGTTCAAGGAGTTCCTCCATGTCTAAAACTAAAGAAAAGCAAAAGGGATGGAGGGGAGAGAGAGAGAGAGAGAGAGAGAGAGAATGGGAGGGAGAGAAGAAGGGATAGGAAGAGGAGGGGGGGAGAGAGAGAAAGAGAGGGAGAGAGAGGAAAGAGAGAGAGATGCCTTTGACTCTAAAATCTTTTATTGCTGAGATTATGGAAAGTCCAATCCTCACTTTCTTGATTTTCTCCTCCTCTGTTCCATTTGCAACCTCCTAATATCAAGGTCCTTTTACCCTCCATGGAACTGGCTCTGCCTCCCTTAAGGTTGCCTATCGCTAAGTTCAGGAAAGCCTGCCTGTATTCCTATGCAGGTGTCATGTGTTTACTGCCTCTTCTCCCTTTCTTGAAGTTCCTCTTGGCCTTGCTTTCCTGACACCACTTTCCCTGTTCCTTCTCCTGCTTTGGTCATCATGTTTCATGTGTCTAGGATGAGTGAGGACTGAGCAAAACTTCAGGAGCACAGGCAGGAAAAAAGAAGAATGATCAATTAAGGTTCCTTGCCTCACTAGAAGTGATCCCTTTGGCATGAGCCCACACCAGATGTCCAGCAGAGGGTAAAGCTGGCAGATGTGAGAAGTGAGCTCCTAGGCATGGCAGAGTGTGGGTGCTGTAAGAGGTCTGACATCTCCTTCAAGTCAAGCCATCCTCACTCCACTCAGCCCATTATTTTCTTGCCATTCTTGGCACTACATTAACAAGTAAAGGGGCCACTTAATGAACATCAAAATCTTTTAGCTGTGGCTGAACTGAGGAACTATCAGGATAATCTTCTGAGAGAAAGCAGAAGACTACACGTGCCATGTTGCTGCCTATTTTGTTATCTGCGTCAACGTCAAAGAAATTTCCATGTTGGTTTTCTGTGGCCCTTTAATTACACAAATCCACAAATTACACTAATACATTAACTGGATACACACACACACACATAGATAGACTGATTTTTAAGGAATTCATTCAGATGATTGTGGAGGCTTTGCAAATTCAAAATCCAGAGTGCGGGCTGGCAGTTTGGAGACTCAGATGAGCTGCAGTAGAGTCCATTGGTCATCTTTTGGCAGAATTCCTCCTTACTCAAAGGAGGTCATTGCTGGTTCTTTTCAGGCCTTCAGCTGGTTAGGTGAGATCCACTGACAATATGGAGTGTCATCTTCTATACTCAAAGTCCACAGATTTAAATATTAGTCTCATCCCAAAAATCTAAAAAAAATGCCTGACCAAACATCTGGACTCCAGGGCCCAGCCAAGTTAATACGTAAAATTAGCATCACATACATGCAAAATCATGTTCACTCAGATGCTGTCCCACCTCTGAGGGCTTGGAAGAATGGGTGTCCCATAGTCACCACCACACTGGGCCTAGACCTGTGCTGTGACCCATAGGACTTTCTATCAATGGTTTTTGAGAGAATGACTGGACAAAGACATCAAGAAAGAACAAAAAGCAATGTGAACTGGGAGAATACTTGGAGATGAGAGTTCAGAAAAACAGTACAACTCAGTGGTAAAACTAAGAACTCTAAGGAGAGATAATCTGTTTTAAATTCTAGGACCACCATTTAAAGCTGTATAACCTTGGGCAAGTTACTTAACTCCACTATGCCTTAGTTTCCTCTTCTGTAAAATGGTATCATAGAAGTAACTACCATGTAGAGTTAGCATGGAGATTAAGTGAATTAAAATATGTAAAGCTTTTAGAACATAGTACATTTTCTGGCAGTAGTAAGCACTGTGTGATATTTTCTATTATTTTATTTACATTGTTTGAAGGTACTAAACTATAATCACTAACACCATTTATAAAAGTACAGCAAGACCTACTATCTATGCTTTGCAGTTGATAAAGTGGCTATGTCTACCGTATTTTATTTAATTCTCCCAAAGATTTAAAAAGGCATGTCTTACTGTTAGATACTAGGGTAGCAGAAACACTAGGGCAGGATTTGAACTCAAGGCTTTAACTGTCCCTTCTGAGCCCTTTCTCACAATGAATTCCACCCAGCCCATGACACTGGTCTGCAATAAATCAGAGGACATCGGAGCAGCCTATCAATTTAACATCCTTTGGTTTGAGGATTAAGGGAGTGCTTCCAAAGAAGACAGCTCCATATGCTAAGCTGCTTCACCCACCTCATTTTGGCAGGTTGACTTTTGATCATCAGAGTCAAATGCTGCTGGCCAAGAATTCAGTACGTATGGGCTGCATTTAGGACTTCTTGTCTCAGAGAAGGATGCGGCTTCCTTTCTCTTTAGCAGCTCATCCTTGGCTCCTGGCAATCAGCAGACCTTGCATACGTCTTTAGAAAGGGGAGCCATGCCCATGAGAGGAAGTTAGGTTTAATCCAGATGTCCCATTCAGCTTACAGTATGGCTTTATTCATGTCCCCTCCAGGCTGGAATGAACATTAAATGTCATCCAGATTTTGGACAACATGTCTGGAGACACAGCTAAGAGAGCAGCTATAAAGTGGGGTTGATTAAAGAACATCTCCGTGGGGCTGCTTGAACGCTGAGTATGGACTCTGGCAAAACAGTGTTCCAATCTCTGTTAAAACATATTCCTGCTCTTCCTTTCTCTACTTCTTTTTGCACCTTCTGCTTCACCCAAAAAACTCTACATATTGGTCTGACCCAAATAGCATTTTCATATATGACTGATGAGTATCTTACTACACTAACTGAGTCGACAAGAATATCACATTTATTTATCATTCCTTTAAATCATGTTAAATCTGACTCTAAGTCACTAGTTGTGAACTGGTGGAAGAATTCGTTATTAGTAGTAGTCATTATTCTCTGAAGATTTCAAAATTATTCTGGAGGCTTTCATGGTGCCTACAAAATAGGAAATAGGGTTTTCAATTATGATTCTTGCTGATATCCTTGTGCCTCAGTCTACAAAGTCCTTAAAGCAGAAAGATCAAGTGGCATCTAGCCCAGGGGGCACAGAAATCTTTGCTGTGTTTCAGGCCTGTGCTCCCAGGATACATGCCACACCATTTCTCTCTAAGGTCTTGCCATCCTGTGAGCCCCTCTAGCTTCACAGATCTGATATACTCAGAGTCTGCCTTCTCTGTTGACTTCTTAGCCTTAGAGGAAATCGCAGTCAATGTTTCCTCCTCCTTCCTTGTCTCCCTCTGTGATTTCCGTGGAAGAACTTAGCCAAGCCTTGTGGAAAATAAGCACCAAAATGAGGGATTGTTTGTAATCAACTGCCTATGCCTTGTCACACATTTTGCTCTGGCTGCCATAGAAAAATACTATAAACTAGGTGGCTTAAATAACAGCAACTGATTTTCTCATAGTTCTGTAGGATAGAAGTTCAAGATAAAGGTTCTGGTTAATTCAGATTGTGAGAAGGGCTCTCTTCCTGGATTACACGTGGCCACCTTCTTGCTATGTTCTCACACAGCCTTTCCTTGCTGTCTGTGCTCAGAGAGCAGATCCTGTGGTGTCTCTTCTAATAAAGACACAAGTCCTATCAGATCAGGGCTCCACCTTTATTACCTCATTTAAAGCAATTTACCTGCTTTATATGCAATTGCCTCCAAATTACCTCCAAATATAGCTCCCTTCTCATTGGAAGACGTGTGGTGACTTCTAAGCTCTTTGTGTTTCAGACTAGAAACAATAATTCTTCAATTATGTTTTTATAGTTATTATTTTAATGTTAGCTTATCTGAACGGAATGGAGGCTCCATGAGAGCTGGGGTTTTGTTGGAGCTATATTCTCAAGGATTGTACAGTATATGGAAATAGTAATAGCTTAATATGTGCTAAATATCGTGACTCTCACAGTCAAAAAAGTACCACACTTGTGAGTTTGTGTATGTGTATGTGTGCACTTTGCAGTCAGGGAAAGCTGGGCTTAATTTCTGAGTCCATGCATGGGTAACTTTGGATTTGCTACTTAACTTCTTCAACTTTCCTTTTCCTAGTCTATAAAGAGCAGTTTTTAACCTTTGCCTCACTAGGTGGCTGTGTGGTTAAATCAGATTATGTGCTTTTTGCTATTAAGTTGTAGGTGTTTTTTAGGTATTTTGAAGAGTAACTTTCATCAGATGCTTGATGGCCAAATATGTTCATTCCATAGCTTGCTTTTTTTTATTTATTCTGGTGATTGTTTTATTTGCTATTATAAATAAACTGTTATGAATAAATAAGCATATTAGTTTAATTCATTCCCACTGTTCTATTTTTGCTTCTGTTGCTTGTTCTAAGAAATCATTGCCTAGACCAATGTCATAAAACTTTTCCTGGCCGGGAGCGGTGGCTCACGCCTGTAATCCCAGCACTTTGGGAGGTCGAGGCGGGCGGATCATGAGGTCAGGAGATGGAGACCATCCTGGCTAACACGGTGAAACCCCATCTCTACTAAAAATACAAAAGAATTAGCCAGGCGTGGCGGTGGGCGCCTGTAGTCCCAGCTACTCAGGAGGCTGAGGTAGGAGAATGGCGTGAACCCGGGAGGCGGAGCTTGCAGTGAGCCCAGATTGCGCCAGTGCACTCCAGACTGGGCGACAGAGTGAGACTCCGTCTCAACAAAAAAAGAAAAAGAAAAAAAAAATTTCCTTTATGTTTTCTTCTAGTAGCTTAATAGCTTTAAAGGATTTGAATAGATATGTTTCCAAAGAAGACATACAAATGGCCAAAAGATATATGAAAAGATGGTCAATATCACTAATCATCTGAAAAATGCAAATCACAATCATAATGAGATCTCATCTTAAGCCTGTTAAGATAACTATTATTAAAAAAGGAAATGAAAAAAAGATAAATGTTGGAGATGATGAAATTATATCCCTTGTACTTTGTTGGTGGGAAAGCAAAATGCTGTAGCTGCTGTGAAAAGCAGTATGAAGATTCTTCGGGCCGGGTGCAGTGGCTCACGTCTGTAATACTAACGCTTTGGTAGGCTGGGTAGGCAGATAACTTGAGCTCAGGAGTTTCACCTGGACAACATGGTGAAACTTTGTCTCTACTAAAAATAGAAAAAAAATAGCTGGGTGTGGTATTGGGAGGCTGAGGTGGGAGGATTGCTTGAGCCTGGGAGGGAGAGGTTGCAGTGAGCTGGGATCATGCCAGTGCACCCCAGCCTGGGGGACAGAGCAAGACTCTGTCTCCAAAAAAAATTGTTCAAATAATTAAAAATGGACTTATCCTTAGATCCAGCAATTCTACCTCTGGGTATTTATCCAAAATAATTGAAAGCAGGATCTTGAAAAAAATATCTGCACTCCTATGTTCATTGCAGCATCATTCACAATAACCAAGATATGGAAACAACCTAATTGTACATGTGATACATATACAAATGGAATGCTATTCAGCCTTAAAAATAAGGAAATCCTGCCATTTGTGACAACATGTATATACCTGGAGGAAATTATGCTAAATAAAATAAACTAGACAAAGAAAGGCAAATACTGCATGAATTCATCTGTATGTGGAATCCGAAAGAGTCAAACTCGTAGAAGCAGAGAATAGAATGGTGGCTGCTGGGAGGGAGGAGTGAGGAGTTATTGTTGAGCAGGTATAAAGTTTTACTCACAAATGATGAATAAGTCCTAGAGATCTGCTGTGCATCATAGCACCTATAGATAACAACACAGTATTTACACTTAAAAATGTATTAAGAGAGTAGTTCCCATGTTAAGTGTTCTTAACACAATAGTAAAAAAAATAGGCAACAATGTCTAGTTCAGGAGTGAATAAATCTGATCCATGACTCGGTTTTGTAAATAAAGTTTTATTGGGACATACAGGATTGCCAAAAGAAGATATGTTCTAAAAATAACTGATGTCTCACCTTGATATTTTCCCCAATTAATACTATCCCCTGACAAACTGGCCTTGGGCTTCAGTTTGTTCCATAGATATGAAAAGTGACCTCATTTATTTATAACGTACTTTCTCAATCTGGGGAAGAAAGGGAAGTAATTGGATTTATAATGATTCATAAGATCATTGGAAGGTTTGCAATTATCTTCTGTTTCTTATTTCAATCAAGGTAAATAAATTGAGTCTAGATAGGTGAATGTCTTTATACTGCTTACTAACCTGGCATTAATGATCTATTGGGAAAGTTAATTTGGGTTGCAAATAATGAGCTTATTTAGCAGGCTTTTTGGTCAACCTGTTTCTTTCATTATTTCATCCTCTGCATTATTTGGGAAACAGTGAATAATTGAGAAATGATGTCAACAATGCATTCACCACGTGGGGCTGGTGAGGCATGATAAGGAAGGAGGGTGAACAATGTCCAAGCCATCAGGACCCTGGTCAGACATCTCCTAAGGGGCCCCAGCAAGGCTGTGAAATCATCTCCCTAGCCCCAGAAAAAGATTCTGGCACCAACAGCACTTGAGCTGAAGAATCAAAAGGTGTCGATTCCAATACAATAAAAGGAGCCAACTTGGAAATCTTGACAGGTAATGAGATACTCACCTCCGCCAAGGTGAACAGATGGCCTCCTTCAGAGGACACAGCACAATTGTCACCAAAAACAGAGCCTCAGACTGTGTGAAAAGAAAGTGGCTCTCCAACCCTGGTTCCCTGGGAAAACAGGATGGCTCATGTTTGAGATGAGAGGAAGGGAGGGGAAACATGAGAAAGAGAGATTGTTTGCAGAAATGGATAGCTGGGGAGATAACCCTCTCTTTGGTCTAGGTTTTCTAAGAAGTGGTGTCATTGTGTATTCACTGCTGAAATGAAAAGACCGTCACACCTGGCAGAAATACAGGGATTTGGGGATTTAAAGAAAGAACATCAGAATAATGTGTGTTTGTTTTGTTCCTAACATATGAAGTATCCAAATCCTTTCTGGGTCTTGACACATAAAATTAGTTACATATGTATTTTTTCCCTATCAAATGACTACAAATATAATTAAATCTACATTTTGTTTTAATCCTCTTCAGAATCGGACTTTATCCCAACAGATTGCTTTGAAAAAAACACTATTGAATAGACGAGTCATGGGATCTTGGATAAAACAGTGATAAAAGGATCTAAAATTTCCACACAGGAGGATTCCAGACTCAGGAGTACCTGAGACTTGACATCTTCATCTTTTTTTTTTTTTTTTTTTTTTTTTGAGATGGTGTCTCACTTTGTTGCCCAGGCTGGAGTGCACTGGTTCAATCTCGGCTCACTGCAGCCTCTGCCTCCCGGGTTCAAGTGATTCTCATGCCTCAACCTCCTGAGTAACTGGGATTATACATGCATGCCACCATGCCTGGCTAATTTTTAGTATTTTTTTCTTTTTTTTTTTTGAGCCGGAGTCTCGCTCTGTCGCCCAGGCTGGAGTGCAGTGGCGCGATCTCTGCTCACTGCAAGCTCCGCCTCCCGGGTTCACGCCATTCTCCTGCTTCAGCCTCCCGAGTAGCTGGGATTACAGGCGCCCGCCACCGCGCCCGGCTAATTTTTTGTATTTTTAGTAGAGACGGGGTTTCATCGTGTTAGCCAGAATGGTCTCGATCTCCTGACCTCGTGATCCACCCGCCTCGGCCTCCCAACGTGCTGGGATTACAGACGTGAGCCACCGCGCCCGGCCTATTTTTAGTATTTTTAATAGATACAGGGTTTCACTATGTTGGCCAGGCTTGTCACAAACTCCTGACCTCAAGTGATCCACCCGCCTTGGCCTCCCAAAGTCTTGGGCGTGAGCCACTGCACCTGGCCAACAACTTCATCCTTTTTGAGGGCTCCTCTTGCTGCTCCTCTTAGGAAGCCAGGCTGGTCATATTTCACCAATGAGTGCCATGCACTGTATTCGTGCCTGCAAATTCAGGAGTGGTGGCTGAATGTGGCCCATCCTAATGTATTTAGGATGGTAACTGCTACAGTGTGGTAAGACACTCTACCCCAGGGTCCTTGTTGAGGGATTTCTCCTAAGCAAACATCATATTTCCAGTTTTTCCTCTCCTCATACTCCTTGGGGAGGGGAATGGGGGTGGTAGGCTGAATTACTTAATTGGTAAATTTGGGAAGAATCACCTGGGGTTGGTTAGCTTTGACCTCTGCTTTCCTCTTAGGAGCTGGCTGCCCCTAGAGAGCATGGACTCTCTTCTGCTGCTCATGCTGCAGCACTTGCTTGGCCAAGCTGCTCTGCTGTGCTGCAGGGAATAGATGGGTCAATCTGCCACTGAATCCTGAAGCTCAGAATGTGAGCTTGGCTCATCCTTGAAGCTACATCCTTCAGGATGGCCTCAATAGTTAATGAAGGTGATAACTGAACATTAAAAAAAACACACATTATTTCCCAAACTATTTTAACACAGGCAAGGAGGAAAATATATTTATTTATTTTTTAAATTAATAAACCTCTTTTTTAAAAACCCCAGCAGTAATCAACAGTAATGTAAGTACTATCTGAAGGAAAACTCAAGGGGGAAGAGCTTATATTTTTAGAGACCCTGCTACATACCTGGTACTCAGTATCCATACGCTATCTCAACTAGCCCTCACTATGTCCTATAAAGTAGGTTAGGAAAGCAAGGACATGTACCACTGGCTGACATGACTGATCCCAATTACCAAGGGGAAGACGGGTTGCTGCTCCACAATGGAGAGTCAGGGCTGTGTCTAGTGCCCTGGGGATTCCCTAATGCTCCTCTCTGTATTTCCATGTCTAATAGTTGAGGATGCAGACCCTTCAAAAATGAGAGTGTGGCTCACTCTACAAGATAAAAAACAAAACAGAACAAAAACCAAACAAGCAAACAACAACAACAACGATACACACACACACACACAAAAAAACACACTGAGTAGCTGAGGTCCTGGCTGAGAGCAAAGGAAACTTGGAAAGGCTGATGGAAAAAAAAAGTTGTCAATACCCACTGTAACTTTGTGACCAGTTACAGAAACAAAGGCTTTAGAAACTAGGCATGTTTTATTCCTTGCTTGTGCGCATGTGTTCATGAGAAAGTGTATACTCACACACACACGCATATCTCTGCACACACATTTATATATACATATAGAGACATATTGGCATATGTAACCTCATATTACATCTCTCTCCTCTTCCACCTCATTATTTTATACACATTTTATTGGAGATTAAATTTGTCATTTTAGTTATTTAACCAAATTAATTGGATGCTAACACAATGGACTCTTTAGGCAAGAAATATTCAGATGAGGCCAGGATTGCATTATTTCCCTAGCTTTTCTCTCTGGACCCTACTCACCTAGAAGTTCTTCCCAACTGGAATACACTCCCCATCAAGTCTTTGCACTGCATTCTCAATAGTGCCTATGAAGATCAGGTACTCAAGGAATTTTGGCCAGAAGTAAGGAAAGGAGAAAGAAAGGGAGAAAAAGAAGGAAGAGGGAAAGGGAGAAGAAAGAAAAAAACAGTTTATAGACAGAAAATAACAATAGAATATAAATTTTGTAATGTTGTTTGAATGCACAGGATACTATAGACCTATCAACATAAAGAGAAAATGTCAGTTTATCTCTAACATGACATTCATAAATTCTGAGAAGTTACCACCACCTCATTATGTCTTTCTTTTGCTCCCCTTATTTTCACTTTTCTTTTTATTTTATTGTATATATTTAAGTTCTACAAAACATGATGTTTTGATGTACATAAATAGAGTGAAATTATTATAACCAAGAAAGTTAACGTATCCGTCGTTACACATAATGTGTGTGTGTTTGTGTTAAAAAGAGAAATCTACTGTTTTAGCAAATTTCCAGTGTACAATAGGATATTATTAACTATAGTCTTCATGCGATACCTTAGATCTCTAGGCTTCTTTCTCCTCATAACTGCAACTTTGTATTCCTTGTACTATCTCTCCACAGCCCATCTCTCACCCTTGGTAATCACCTTTCTACTCTGCTCTCAACTTTTGTTTACATTCCAGATAAATGAGATCATGCAGTATCTTTCTTTCTGTCTGGTTTATTCCACTTAGCATAATGTCCTCCAGTTTCATTTATGTCCCCCCAAATGATAGGATCTTCTTTTATATTTAAGGCTGAATAACACTTCATTGTATTTTTTGCATATTATCTCTCTCATTCTCTTGAGAGTAATTGGACCTTTTCATTCCCTTCTTCGAATTTCAAACTGTCTTTCACATTGTCTCTTCTTTTTGTCTAGGCACCCCAGGATATCACCTACTGCACTCCAAGTAGTTTTCTTCTATTTATTTGCCAGTTTCTACATTCGTCTCTGTTAAATTGGCTGTTTAAACCATCACTCAAAATCGGTTTTGGTTATTATTTCAATGATTGCATTTTTCATTTTTGTTTCTATTTAGTTATTTTAATGTATACATTAGTGTTCTCTTTCAGCAATGTTTGTATTTCATAGGTTATCCAATAGTTCTACTCTCTAAAGTTTGGGGAATTTAATTCTGTCGAAGTTTTTGCTGGGTCTGCACTTTGTCTCCTTGACTGGAATATAAGTTCCTCTGAGGAATTTTTTTTTTTTTTAATTTTTTCTTCTTTGCTGTTATCCTAGTGCCAAGATCAATGCCTGGCACAGAATTGGTCTTGATAAGCATTTGTTGAAATGCTAAAAATTGGACTATTTCTTGGTGGATTTTGTACTTTTGTGATGTGAACCCACATTCAGCTGGATATTACATGTGGTCTCTTGAGTGGCCTTGGTAAGGATATGCATTGAATTTGCCGTTGCCAGACACCCCAGAGTATCACCAGCCTGGGACCACATTTTGGTCTAATTTATTAGCTGAAGGAGCTAGTATAAATTTAATTCTCAAACATCCACAAGAGCAGAGTTATAGCAAAAAATCTCAGGTGAGATTTTTTTCTTCTATATACAGTCCTGGCCAAAATAAAAGATAGACAAGGATGTTTTTAAGTCAATTTTAAGTGTGAGGACAGATATGATGTCAATTAATTGTGGCAAAGCCATTTGAGGGTCTTGGCTTTATGTTTGAGTCCCAGCCCCAATGTCTTTCTTTGCTGAGACTTCAAAACAACTTCTCAACTCTTCTTTCCTCTCTGTCCCATCAGAGAGCTGAGCCCCACACCTGCAACCCTGTTTTTTAATTCTTTATTTTTTGTCTGTGGTTTACTTTCTTAAGGGCTCAGCTATATGTTTAAAGACTGCTTGTTAAGATCTGCTCAGTATTTCTGAATGATATTACTAAGTGGGATGTCAGTTTCATGCATTATATTCCTAGACATATAGTGTTCTTTGCTCAAGTCTTTTTCATTAGAAGTTATTATTGTACTTAAAATTTATTTTTATCAAAGTTATACATAGTAGGCTTTTAAAGAAAAGAGAATTCCCATGCTCTCATACCTCCCTATTCTCAATTACTATTCTCCAAAGGCAATACTTTAATCTATTTTAGCTGTTTCTTCTGGCATTTATCTCCATAGTTCTAAGCACAAGTATTTTTGCTGTGATGGCAAATATATTACCAAAAAGGCTGAGAGTTCCAGAAGTTGAGGGCTAAAAATAACAGATTTATGAGCAAACTAGGGTTGAGGGCAGACCACTCAAAACTTTGAAATGTGGAGCATCAACTACATATCAAACGTAATAAAATGAGTCACACAAATAAATCTCCAGTGTCATTTTCATCCAGCAACACAGTGCTTGGATCCTGTGCAGCCTACCACACTGGAGCTCTTATTCTCTTCTTCAAAATGTTAATACTTGGGGGCATCTGCTTCTAATAGAGACCAGTTTCATCAAAATTAAAAATCTTTCTCAAGGGGTAGACTTCATCATCAATCTTTTCCTAATACAGAGAGAAATGACCTTGTACGTTCTTCATCAACATCTCCTCAGCTTCCCCCTACACCTTCAGTTAATGGAAATTGTAGTAATTATTAAAGGCACTAAAATGTCACAATTTTTCCTGAAGGAAGGCACTTCAATAAAAGTTTTCATCTTTTTCTTTCTTAAGATCTTTGCATATTGCTAACGCTTTCCTCTTAAATTTTAAGAAAGTTTACCTTTGATAAATTCCAAATAACTACTGAAAAAAACTCTCCCATGGACCAACAGAATCTCTGCATATATGAGTGAAAAACACATACAAAGCAATTCTTATTCCAGAGACACATGTTGCAGGAGAACAGACTGGCCATGATTTGCTTTATGGCCTTTGATATTATCTATTGATATGCTACAGAGGGAGATGAAATACCATGTCCCTTCTTATCCTAAACATAGACCTCCACCAACTCCATCTCTTTCATCAGCTCAACATAGTTTTAGCAGCTGTTTCACATAAAACAGTATTCAGCACTTACAGTCTTTAGCTTATGCAAACTTCATTACATTTTCTTTCCATATAGTTCACTTTTCTAAGCCCAAATTGTTTTGTTCCTTATATGCTTTTTTGAGAGAAAACAAATGAACTATTAATTTAACACCCAACATTATGACAGACCGTACAATGTTTTTCGGGTATAATCAAATTCGGTAACATTTAGTGTAGCTTATCGCAATAGGAAGTAACCTGCGAGACTACTGTTTGCTTGTCGGTTTTGGTTTTGTTTCTTGTGAGATATTCCCCATTGCACTCTCAGCCACTCTGCCACAGTCTGAGCGGTTGCCACCCAGACCTGCTGCACTGCCATTTTGGGGGGATCCCCCCTCACTGCTGGGATCCCCTTCACCTGTCCTCTGTGTGGCTATCTTATTTGGGGGAATTTGTCTTTTTTGGTTTATTATCTCCAATGGATTCACTTTTTAAAATCCTGGGAGCTTAAATATTTGAGAACTTTAAAAATGCCTTCTACTATCACACTCAAAAGATAGGTTAGCTGGTTATAGAATTCCATTTCTGTCAGAATTTTAAAGTCATTGTACTATTGTTTCTAATATTGCTTTGGAGGAGTCTGATGCCATTCTGATTCCTAATTCTCTCTGTGTGTCTTCTACATTCTTTCTGAAAACTTTTAAGACATTGTCTAAATCTATTTTCTGAAATTTCACAATGATGTGCCTTCTTATAGATTTTCTTCCTTTTTGCAGGGAGAGAGGATGTGGTAAGCTGTTTTAAATATTAAAGTATATACCATTTAATTTTAGGTGTTTTCTGATTTTCTCCTTAGAAAACTTCTTCCTTCTATTTTTCTCTGCTTCTTCTTCCCAGAACTTATGCTAATCAGTTGTAGAAGCTCTTGAAACCATCTAAATTTCTAAACTTTTCTTCACCATTTTTCATCTTATTATCTTTTTGCTATGCTTTTAGGCAATTTTCTTTAACCTTATTTCTTAGCCAGTTTATTGAAAATTTTAATTGCTGCTATTAACATTTCAGTTTCCTATATAATTTTTTCTTTGAATGTTCATATTTTTACAGCTTCCTGATCTTGTTTCATATGCAGTATCTTATTTTATCTAAGAATCCAAATGATAGATTTTTATGCTGCTTACATGTTTCTGCTTTCATCAAATTCATTTTTTTAAAACTGTGTTTCTTATTATGACATCGTTCTTTGATCTTAGAGTCTTCCTTCAAATGTCTGTTGACTCTTATTCTTGTTTAAAGTGAAGAGTTCAAAATTTTGATGGAAAGCTCTTCATGCCCGTGCCTACTGTTGACTGGAACACTGCAGCCAATTAATCAGGCAACATTACCATTTCACTACTGGCCTTCCAAGTGGTAACATCCATAGAAATTTATCTTCTCTCGGTCTATTTCTTCAAGCAACAATCGTCTAATGTTCTGCCACAGTGGTAGGAGCCTGACTGTAAGTGTTCTCTGAGATGAGCAAGGTCAGGAGCCTGAGCATCTCTTTTCTTTTTCCGTTGACTTCCTCCTAATCCCCTTATTTCCATCCGGACCTCCCTCCTGCTCTCAGCTGTACGTAATGGCACCTTCTCCAAAGAGAAAGTCTTCTGTCAGTTGCCTCACTACACTTGTCGGCAGGTGAACTGGGGCATGCAATTGCTCCTTGTGTAGTCTTTTAAACAGTCTTCCTACTTTATCCCCAAGAAAAGTCCCATCATTTAAGGCACATGGAGCCTCCAGTTTATGAAACATTTCATTTGGAGTTTAGCTTGTTTCCTGTTGCGTCTCTCCTTGCTTCTCCCCCGACATCAGTTCCACTGTGTTGGCTCTCAGTCTTCTCAGCTTTGCCAAGTCAGCTGCCACCAACCCATGTGAGTTGCCACTTCCAAAATTTTGTTGATATCCCTCAACTGCTGCTTCTATTGTGTGCTCTTTTAATTTGGGGTTTACATTCCTCTGCCATCACTTATTCCAGCTTCTGGGGAGAGTAAGCAGGCTTTTACATGTTGAATTCATCTTGTTGAGCTTGAAGTCTTGGTTTGCATCTTGAATGATGATCATTAAGAAATCAGAAACAAGAGTAAATACTCCATTTTGTACCCATCCATCTGATCTGACACTCTAGGACTACTCTTCTGTCTCCATCAAATTTCTTTTGACGATATTTGATCTCCTTTGTTGGTGTAACACCCAGGTTTTACAAATATATACAACACCCTTCTACTCACAGACATCATTACAAGTAGCACCTTCTCTGGGCATGTCCTAGCATTGTGGAGAGGAAGCAGTGCCTACAGAACGCTGATCATTTCTTTCTATTTTTTGCCCTCTTGCTAATATTTTCTTTATTTTTCTTGACTTTATTATTATTTTTTTTAGCCAAAAAATGTCACCTGGTCAACTTTAGCATGAGTTTTCTCCCTACCCAACCTACAATGAGTAGCCAGTATGGCAATTTTGTGCCAATTATACAGAAGCACTACTTCCTCAAGTCATGTTATTCCATTCTGCCTATAAACTACATTACAACTCTACACATCAACAATGACTACCAGGTAAACGAAGCCACAGAGGTTGTGCAATACATAATTTGTACTGTAAGCAGCAACCCTGACCCTACTCAACTTAACAGCTCTTATTATAAGACTTCATAAATAGAGTGTGGCTTTTCTATCTTCCAGTTTCCTTCTACTGAGGAGCTTAGGACAAGAGCACATTGGAGCAGATTTTCTATTTGTTTCTGCTGATTACAGCCTGGGATTCGGCATAAGTACAAAGCACCTCATTTACTTTTATCTTAATAGCAGGTTGGCATTTAGCTCATGAGGGCCAGGTTAATGCCTTTAGAAGTCTTAACACTGTAATATGATGTATCCACCTTTCTCATGGGTAATTTAAATAATAATCATATTAAATTGTAAAGTAAGTATAAGAAAGTCCAGAAAAGTCCTCCTTTATATTGTGAACACTGCTTTTTTTTTTCTTTTTAAAGGAAAGAGTGCCCTGCCCCTACCCCTTCTTTCCATCCTGAATAAATACTACTGGTGACCTCCTGAAGTACTCAAGGTCAGCTTATACCTTTGGTTTCAATCTTTTCCCCAAAGGGACTCTGTTCTTTCTTCCAATTTCCAGGTCATCATCCTATATAGGTGAAATGATCAGATTTGTTTTTCCTAGTATTATTATAGCTCAGATTTGCAGAGTGAATGCTCTTATTTTTTTCTCCAACTTTGCATCAGTCACCAAGGCCTAGAAGGAATTTTATGCTCCTTGGATATAAATATTTTTACTTGTATCTTATAGTTATTTTAATATCATTTTTTACTTTTCTAACATTTATTAAGTGTCTAAAATATACTAGGTTCCACATAGGCTGCTTATACTTATTATATTATTTAATCTTCAAAATTATCCCTCAAAAGAGAGACGAAAGAACTGAGGTTTCCTCTAAGGTATGTAAGATCAGTCAAATACCTTTCACAATATTCATGGGGCTAGTAAGTAGTATTCTTGAAACCTGGTCTGTCCTCTTCCATGACATTAAAATGGGACCTTGTTAAACTTTTAGATCACTCATTTACAAAATGAGAAGCATGAATGAGATTATAATAAAGATTGATGATAATATCATCAGTAACAAGAAGGTGGTATTTATTGACTCTGTCTATCTGTCTATCTATCTATCTATTCATCTATCTATCTATGAGACAAGGTCCTGTTCTATCATCCAAGCTGGAGTGTAGTGGTGATCATAAATCACTGTAGCTTCAGACTCCTGTGCTCAAGCAATCTTCCTCCTTCAGCCACCTGGATAGCTAGGACTACAGGTGCGGGCCACCACACCCAGCTAATTTTCATCTTTTTTGTAGAGATAGGGTCTCACTATATTGTCCAGCTTGGTCTCAAACTCCTGGCCTCAAGTAATCCTCCTGCCACAGCCTCCCAAATTGCTGGGATTACAGGCATGAGACACCCTGCCCAGCAGACACTATGTATTTGTTACACATTCCCTCTAACTTTCCCAAGAATACTTCATGGAAAGCAATAATATCCCTATTTTACAGAAGAGTAGGCAAAGTTCATTTTTGAGTCCTCTTCTATATCCATAGCCTCCTAATTTATTTTAATAAGCCTTAAAATGAATA
Source organism: Homo sapiens (assembly GCF_000001405.40). Taxonomy (NCBI): domain Eukaryota; kingdom Metazoa; phylum Chordata; class Mammalia; order Primates; family Hominidae; genus Homo; species Homo sapiens. Next base: position 11,269,927 of record NC_000004.12, read on the forward strand.
CTGTAGAATAGTATGAAATATATAGACTACTATAAAACAATCAAATGTAAATTCTACAGATAGTACAGATGGAGAGAGGTTTATGATGGCCATGAAGGCTTTGGTAAGAGGAAGATATTTAGAAATGGGAAGAAACAGTTGGGACTTGAATGCATAAGCATGTATTTTATGAGGCATAAAGACAAGATTTCTTAACACCGAGGTCTATGTAGAGTTAATTAATGTATACTCAGAGGAAAGGGCCCTCAAAAATTAATAGAATATTAAAATTATCTCACTATTGAGCTATGTTCTTCAAGCTAGTATCTCTCCATTTTCAGGTTTGCTTCGAAGGAATTCAGTGCATAAAATTTTAAATGCCAAATTCTTTCTAGAAACTTTGTACTAGTTCTGTATGCATGTCTATCTTGTGATCCATTTCACGATTAGTCTAGTAGTTAATGATAGCATCTGAAAGTGCTGATATGAAACATGAAATTTCTTTTTGTAACACCTCATCAGGTGTTTAGGACAAGTCTACAGGGAAGAAATTAATTATCTCTGCAGCTCGTGACACTTATAAAAAAGAAACACTTCAGGAAGAGTATTTAATTCCTTCTCTTGGTAATTTATGGGAGACCCTTAAAGACCTCTGAATCAACTGAGTTGGATGAAAGAAAACTCTTCTGTATATATATATATATATATATTTTTTTTTTAGTACACCATTCTGCAAGTTCTCCCATGAATCGATTTTTATGGAATGTAGCCTTTGATAGTGTATTACCCATCACTCTCAACACACATACATGCACGCGCACCTTTTTAGAGCTTTGTTAGCAGTCTTAAGAAATTATCAAAATAAAATGCAATTAACAGGGCAAAGCATATCATAAGCATACTAGGTTTAGCATGCATGGATTCTGTAATTATCCATTCTTCTCAAATTTCCCAAATTAGGATGTAGAATTAGTCTAAATTAACAGCTAAATAGGGAAAGCCACTTGTTGGATCATGGCATAGTACCATCTCTGGGTATCTAAGAATCTATGGTGCATTCTTAGGTGGGTGTGGTCTCCTTGTTTTAATTTAAAATCTTCAACATGTTTTCTTCAGATTAAATAAAAAATATCCCCTGTGTCTTATATTAGTCATGGTTCTTTAGAGGGAGAGAACTAATAGGATATATGTATATAAGAAAGGGAGTTTATTAAGGAGAAATTGACTCACATGATCACAAGGTAAAGTGCCGTGATAGGCCATCTGCAAATTGAGGAGGAAGGAAGCCAGTGTTGGATCAGTCTGAGTCCCACAACCTCAAAAGTAGGGAAGCTGACAGTGCAGCCTTCAGTCTGTGGCCAAAGGCCCGAGAGCCCCTGGCAAATTGCCGGTGTAAGTCCAAGAGTTCACAAGGTGAAAAACCTGGAGTCTGATGTTCAAGGGCAAGAAGCACCCAGCACAGGGTGGAAGGCTGGAAGACTAAGCAAGTCTGCTCTCCCGTCTTCTCCTGCCTGCTTTGTTTTAGTCCCACTGGCAGCTGATTAGATGGTGCTTACCCAGATTGAGGGTGCGTCTGCCCTTCCCAGTTCACTGACTCAAAGGTTAGTCTCCTTTGGCAACACCCTCACAGACACATCCAGGAACAACACTTTGCTTCCTTCAATCCAATCAAGTTGACAGTCAATATTAACCATCACATGTCTGTTTTGCATAAAACTTTATTTTCTTCCTCTTTGATATGCTTTTATTTTCTGCTTTTTGATGATTTTTTTTTTACCATTAGTAACTGAAGACCCACTTCTACCTTTCAGAGACTTTGTAATCATGCACCCATCTATTGCCTCCGATAGTACCTGAGTGATCTTGATTTCCTATGAATGCCAAGGCATAGAGCTGTCCTCCCATAGGATAAATGCCCTCCCTCTCTCATTCCTTTGGAACAAAAAAGCACCCTGTGTTAGCTTACTGTGGCTGTGATAATAAAATGCTAAAAACTGGGTGTCTTAAAAAGTAGAAATTTATCTTCTCACAGTTCTGGAGGCCAGAAGTCCAAGATCAAGGTGTCAGCAGGCTTACTTTCTTTTGAGTCTTCTGGCCTTGGTTTGCAGATGGCTGCCTTCTCCCTGTGTCCCTCCCTGGCCATCTTCTCCTTGTGTCCCTCTTGTAGATGGCCATCTTCTCCCTGTGCCTATATGTGTCAATGTCCTAATCTCCTCTTTGTATTAGGACATCAGTCTTATTGAATTAGGACCCTACCCACACAACCTCCTTTTACCCTAGTTACCTCTTTAAAGGCACTATCTCCAAATGCAGTCAGATTATGAGGACCTGGAAGTTAGAATTTCGACACATAAATTTTGAGAGAAAACAACTTAGCCTATAATACTGTGGTAATGCTATGGTCTTGAAAATTCACAAGGTACAGTTATATAATAGAGGCTCTTATCAATTTGGTAACAAATATTTAACTATTTTTCTTTAATTTTTTTATCTTTAGTAAACTTCTGTGGCTTTTTCCTGCAACATTCTTTAAAATTTCTTGGGGAAAATGTTACAAGGAACACACTTTGAGAAATCCTGCCATCCTGTCCAGACATGCTGGACTAAGGTCAGTTAGACACATAGTATGTTCATTCTGACTCTGTGTTGGAGAGTTGGGTTCACAAAGTTTTGGAACAACCAAAATTCAAAGATGTCATCTTTGAAAAGAAAAGTAGAATTGGGCACATCACCAAATGAAATCTCAGAAAAATGGTTATCAAACCCAATGTGCATTTGTACTCTTGTGTTGTCTCAGACATTTCTCTTTTTCATAGTCTTATTTCATCTGCCAGCAAATTCTGAACATGACCAATGTTTTACCATTGCCTTTGTTCCCATTCTGTTCCACACCATTCTAACCAGTATTTCTACTTTGGTACTTGCACCTCTTCAGTCTGTTTTCATGCAAGCAACCAGAGAGTGCTTGCAAGTGTCATTCAGATGCCATCACACTCCACTGCACACTTATTTTACAAATCCATTTCTCACCTGTAGTAGAAGCCAAAGTTCTTGCAATGGTTCTGGTAGTCGTATGCTCTCTGACCACCATGACCTTTCTGGGCTCAGGCTCTACCTGTTCCTCCACTCCAGCCGGCTGGGCTCCTCTCTGCCTCTTGAACATCAGACACGCTGTCACTCCTGGGCTTTTGCACATGCACTTTCTATACCAGGAATATTGTTCTTTTCACATACACATGCACTTGCTTCCTCACATCCTACAGGGTTTTTTTGAATGTCACCTTCCCAATGAGGCCTTCTGTGACAACCCCTTGAAAAGCAGAACCCTTCAGCATGCCCGATTTGCCTTTCCTGAATTATTTTTCTCAATCTACGTTTCAAGAGGGCATGCATGTTTTATTCATTCATGTCTTTCTGTTACCTAAAACATTCACCAGCATATAGTTGAAGCTCAATAACTCCTTTTTTTGAGTGAACTGATTAACTTTGTTTGAATTGCAAATGTTCCCATTCTATTATGCTGCATATCATCTACTGATTCATTCATTCATTTGCAACAAAGGAGTGTCTATTATGTATCTGATGCTCTGGTTCTATAATGGTGAAGGAAACAAACATAATTGTGAATGGAATTTACTTGTCAATTGAAATACATAAGTCATTTTTAGTTGTTTTGTTTTTGTAAATTTTTGGTTCTCACCCTAACAACACTAAAAATCTTGTTTTATATAAAATTACAGCCAATATTGTTAGGGTGTAACTTCTTTGCTATGCAATTTGTTGAGGATCTTATATGCATTTTTTTATTTAATCCCTCAAAACCTATGACATATGTAACATTAGGATCACCATTTAACAGATGAAAAGGCAGACACCTCAAAACAGTAATTTCTCCCATAGTGTCTTATAACTCTTAAGTGGTAGAGCTCAGATTTTAATTCACATAAACTGTATCCACAAATCAGAATTCTTTTTTTGCCTTCCCTTTACTTGTAGTCTGGATATTTTTGAAAAAATATACTAATATCCACTGCTCTCAAACATTGAATCAGAAATATCTTTTTGAGCTCTTACTATTCTCCTATACAAACAAGAGGGACAGGCCATTGACCTCCTGGGCTTTGTATTATGGTGAAAGCATCAGATAGTTAAACTTAAAAAAAAAAAAACAGAAACAATACATAAGTAAACAGATGAATGAACGAATATATAAGAAGCTAAAACACAGCAACATGATAGGGAATAATCCAGTGGCCTCTTCAGATTTGATGGTCTGGAGAGCACCTCTGGGAAAATGACATTTAATTTGACACCTGAAGACCAAAAAGAGCATGCCATGTGATTTCAGAAAAGACTTTGCAAGCAAAAAGATTAGCTAATACAAAGATCCTTATGTTGAAATACATTTGACCTACTTGAAAGGCAGGGGATGGCCAGTAGAGCTGGAAGGGTGTAGCTAGCAATGAGCAGTAAGGAATAATGGTGTAAAGGTGGGCAAGGACCCCGTGACACAGACCTTTGTAAGGATAAACAAGGAGTTTGGATTTTGTTCAGCATCAGTAATGGATTTTGCAGAAGAGTGGAAGCAAGAGAGCAACTTGGAGACCACTGCAATAATCCATTAGGGAACGAAACGTGGCTCAGTTCAGAATGGAGGCAGTGGAGATAGAGCTAAGTCAAGGACATGCTTTGGAAGTCAATCTATAGGACTTGCTGAAAGAAGGCAAGTTGGGGGTGAGGGAAAGGGGGTATGCTCAAGAGTAGCTTTGAGGTTTTGGCTCTCAGCGTGGCTGACAATGTCATTCCTGTGATGCAGAAGACTGGGGTAGGCAAAGGATCGGGACATGGTAAAAAGAGATAACGAGTTCCGTTTGGGGCTTGGTAGGTTTGAGGTATGCACTAACCAGCTGTGTAGAATATATTTTATTTGACCCTCCCACTGATTCTCCTGTCTTTTCCATCAGGCTTGTTATCCTGGGAGACTGACCATGGTATCATGGACCTCCATGCTCTGTCTCTTCCAGTTGGTTTTATCCAATAGAAAGTGCCAGAATATTAGACAATGGAACGTGAGTGAAAGCAGGACATAGATCACCCAGGCTCCTTGCTTGTGTGGCCTGCAAGGGTTAACTGCATTCCTCTTCTGAAGGCCACAGCTCCCAGCTGATGATTCTTTCCTCTGTTTCTTTCTACATATACTGTAGCCACTTCTGTTCTCCTCTTGCCTTTTCGGGTCTCATGGTCTAAGTGCTCCCCTTATTGCTAGTTCAGGGTTTTGTCTTGTCCCTTGTTGGTTTTCCTGAACTCCACCTAACCTTTGGAAGTATAGTCCTTTTAGTTTAAAACATGGTCACGTATGCAGAATTTAAATTGTGGATTGACATGTGCCATCTCTTTGCTACTGTGCCCCCAAGTAATACAAGAATGAACTGGAAAAGCCAAGCATGCTCAGGAGTTACAGTGAGGGGTGAAGACTGGAGTTCAGGGTTTGAAGGTCATTCATTTATAAATGATGCTGCAAGTCATGACATTGGGTTAGCTCACCCAGGATAAATTTTCTGCACCCTTAAGATCTACTCTCAGCAGAGCTCACTGCTTTTTAGCTAGAGGTGCAATGAGCACACTGGCTTGCTATCTCTTCCATTTCCCCCTGGGCTTCCTCTAACAAAGGCAGTGACAAGCTATTAACAGGGCTCCCCTTCCAAACTTCCATTTCAAGTCAAGTTTTACCAAAGTCATTATCTCTTTAATTTGCTCCCTGGGATGCTTGCTCACAAATAAGTAGCACCCGCAAGTGGGATGGAGCCTGCTTTCATCTGCTTTCTATTTTAAAATGTATTTTTTTCTTCTTGAGGATGATAGTTATATTGACAAATCTTCCATATGGGATAAAGTGTGTGCATCAGATTCATCAAGGATTCCATTAAAGCTCTGCCAGTGAGGTCAGTTACCCAGCAAAGCATGATAATGGATTTGGTTTCAATAGACCAAGTATTCAAATTCAGGTGAAAGCTGGCAGACAGGCAATTAATATTTTACACAGAGGTGTTTTGGTTATTAATAACACACTGAACATAAAAGGCAACTAAAAATCCCCAACATTCCATTGCAAAGGGAACGGCTGAAAGCCAATTTCCGAAGGGTGAAAGTAGCTTCTGGGGGCTCCGGATTAATTACATGCGATCTATCTCTCTAATTACCACGGGAAGTGGTAGCTTCTATTATTTAATTGAAGTTGTTGTTGCTTAATTTTTTTTTTTATTTTCTAAGGAACAATTAATAGCATGAGAAGAGGCAAGCATTAGCTTTGTGGAGCTTTATTTGGGCTTCCTAGAACCCAATCCTATGCAGTTTTCTAGGCAAAATTTATAACTTGCCTCCTCCACGACGGGTACCTGAATTCTTGTAGCAGGTACAAGAATCTTTTATCTGAGTTTCTGTAGAACCTATTAGAACCATACCATCAGGTTAAGAATTTTCAACATGTTGTCACCTCCTTGGAATTCTAGGTTCCTTGGACCCACTGTTTAAAATCGTTAATGTAGAACTTGGTTGAATTCTAAATTGGAAATCTTGATTTTGTATTCCAAAGACTACCTCTGAATGCATCTTTCTTTTTCTTTTCTTTTTTTTTTTTTTTTTTTTTTTTTTTTGTGAGACGGAGTCTCGCTCTGTTGCACAGGCCGGACTGCAGTGACACTGTCTCCGCTCACTGCAAGCTCCACCTCCCGGGTTCACGCCATTCTCCTGCCTCAGCCTCTGGAGTAGCTGAGACTACAGGCGTCCACCACCATGCCCGGCTAATTTTTTGTATTTTTAGTAGAGACGGGGTTTCACCATGCTAGCCAGGATTGTCTCGATCTCCTGACCTCGTGATCCACCCGCCTCGGCCTCCCAAAGTGCTGGGATTACAGGGGTGAGCCACCGCGCCCAGCCCGCATTGTTCTTTTTTGACAGTTGCAGAAAACCCTTTATTATGGTTTTTATAATCCCCAAATTACCTCCCTTCTGATACCTAGGAAAACTAGACTTCTGAAAGGTCAGACACTGACAGAAATTTCAGAGATTTTCCAATCCAAATCCCACACTTTCCTGACGTGAAAACAGAAGCAAAGGACAACAAACAAAAAATAATCAGCCCAGATTTATTAAGCTTAGTAACAGAGCCTGTATTTTGGAATCAAAATCTCCTCATTAGGAAACTGAGTTTCATTTTCCTACCTAAGGAATGTTTGTCCATTGATAAAATAGTGATTGACAAAGTTTAGATTGGTGCTTCTCAAACGTCAGTATTCACATAGCTCTCAGAGGGATCGTGTTAAAATGCAGATTCTGATTTGGTGCGCCCCAGTGAAGCCTGAGATTCTGCTTTTTAACAAGCTCCTAGATGACGCTGATGCTACCAGTCCACAAACCACTCTTTGAAAAGCAAAGATTTTTAAAAGGCTCAATGCAGATTAGAATAATATGACGCCTATAGGGGGCAACTGTTCATTTTGTACTACTTTCCAGAATTATTTCCTTCATCTTCTGACACTAGCATCTAAGTTTTATCGACCCAGCCCTTCCTTCTCTCCCGCAAACTGTTAATCTAAGGTCCTCAAGTCCATCCAATGCTTTCCTACCTCCCAGCTCCAGGAATACGCTAGTGGTGGAAGAGTCATCTTGGGATCAGGTGTTTGCTTGTAGGCCACGGGTGGGCTTTTAGTTCACGTGTGGGCTTGTAGGCACACCTGGCAAATGAGTACATTCTACACCCTTGGGCTTATTGATTATTTTTTCAATGGGCATATGATGCAACCCATGTAGATCAGAGACATTACAAAGTGTGTTAGTGTTATTGAGGAACACACAATGATTTTTCTCTGGACTCATTGAGAGCCACAGTAGCCATAACATTGTTTAAAAATGTGTGCCCAGAAAAGAATTCAGTACCTAGGCATGTAGGTCTAGAGAGGGAGAAAGGGTTTGCATTCTGATGACACCATTGAACGCCTGCATCCAGGTGACCATTGAACACCTGCATCCAGGTGACCATTGAGTGCCTGCATCCAGGTGACCATAAAGTGCCTGCATCCAGGTGACCATAGAATGCCTGCATCCAGGTGACCATTGAGTGCCTGCATCCAGGTGACCATTGAATGCCTGCATCCAATTGACTATTGAGTGCCTGCATCCAGGTGACCATTGAATGCCTGCATCCAATTGACTATTGAGTGCCTGCATCCAGGTGACCATTGAATGCCTGCATCCAATTGACTATGAGTGCCTGCATCCAGGTGACCATTGAATGCCTGCATCCAAATGACTATTGAGTGCCTGCATCCAGGTGACCATTGAACACCTGCATCCAGGTGACCATTGAGTGCCTGCATCCAGCTGGCCATTGAATCCCTGCATCCAGGTGGCCATTGAATGCCTGCATCCAGATGACCATAGAATGCCTGCATCCAGGTGACCATAGAGTGCCTGCATCCAGGTGACCATAGAATGCTTGCATCCAGGTGACCATTGAGTGCCTGCATCCAGGTGACCATAAAGTGCCTGCATCCAGGTGACCATAGAATGCCTGCATCCAGGTGACCATTGAGTGCCTGCATCCAGGTGACCATTGAATGCCTGCATCCAATTGACTATTGAGTGCCTGCATCCAGGTGACCATTGAATGCCTGCATCCAATTGACTATTGAATGCCTGCATCCAGGTGACCATTGAATGCCTGCATCCAATTGACTATTGAGTGCCTGCATCCAGGTGACCATTGAACACCTGCATCCAGGTGACCATTGAGTGCCTGCATCCAGGTGGCCATTGAATGCCTGCATCCAGGTGGCCATTGAATGCCTGCATCCAGATGACCATAGAATGACTGCATCCAGGTGACCATTGAGTGCCTGCATCCAGGTGACCATAGAGTGCCTGCATCCAGGTGACCATAGAGTGCCTGCATCCAGGTGACCATTGAACGCCTGCATCCAGGTGACCATTGAGTGCCTGCATCCAGGTGACCATTGAATGCCTGTATCCAGGTGGCCATTGAATGACTGCATCCAGGTGGCCATAGAATGCCTGCATCCAGGTGACCATTGAATGCCTGCATCCAGGTGACCATTGAGTGCCTGCATCCAGGTGACCATTGAATATCTGAATGCAGTTGTACCTGATGCTAGCTTAACCTCCTCGACCTTTCTGTTTTATGAGCCAATAACTTCCCAATTTTTTCTTGAATTGAACTTCTGCCATTTGTAACCAGAAGAATCTTGTTTAATATAGTTTCTGTCAGGAAGGATTAGGAAAGGTAACTTAAAAAAAGTCAAACAGTCGAACAGTTTAGAGAAATGGAAATTTGTTAACAAGCTACTCTGAAACCTCTGAACTCCTAGAAACTGAAGATTCTCAGGCGTCCCAGAAAACTTCACTGAGCCCCAGCTACTTACACAGGCAGAGGCAATCAAAGGCTTTGAGCTCTCTCATTCCTGAGCTCCCTGCCTGTCCATCCTGAAAGGAGTTCCAGAGAGAGTTTCTCCTACCCATGGTCCTACATAGAGGGTGCATTGCCTTTAATTCCTGTACATTCTTTTTACATCATAAACCCTTCATAGGACAGGACCATGTCATCAGGCATACTTGGGTTCGAAGCCTGCCCTTGCCTCTTGCCATCTGCATGACCTTAACAGTCAACTTCACATCCCAGAGCCTCCCATGTCATATCAGCAGGACAAGGACAGGAAATCTGTCCTTGCCCGGCTACTGAGCAGATTAAATGAGATGCTCTGAGTGGAGTTGGAGTTGATTATATATCAGTCTCTTTCTCTTATTCTTCTCATTTCATTATCCAGGCATTTGTCTTTCTCCCCCACTTTTTTTTTCTGATATGCCCATTCTGATTGGGAACTCCCTTTAACTTTTTTGGGAACCTTTTGCTGGCTCCAGTATCTCTACTGCCAACCAGAGACCCACACATCCCCCATTTCTCTCCATTGATCATTTCCTTGCAAAAATACCAGGGTCCCTACACTCAGAGGGCTTAGTTATAAGTTTAAACAACTCAAGGTTAATGCTGAGGGTGAATCAAAAGTATGCATATTATGAGGCTATAAAAATACGTTTTTCAAAAGGACGCTGTAATAATATTAGCTGGTAATTCCTCTTTGGAGTCAGCTAAAATCTCTGCCTAGAATTTGAGTGGCTGCTGGCAGCTGGAGCCCCTCCCAATGCATCCACGCTTGCTAGCCCATCAACATGGAAGACATCGAGAAGGTTGTGGGAAAACACTTAGCATTTCTTGGGAAAATGAGGGAACATACTGATAACCTTTAGCCAACATGCATAGGGCAGTGTGGCCACTCTCCATTCTTCAATCGACTTCACTGTCTGGCTGGTCTCTCAACATTGTACCACTAAGGACAACGAGGAGTTGAAACCTAGAGAAATGAGCCCCATAGGAGCTTCACTTGCTCCTTTCTGTTTCTTTGTTTTGTTTTGGAAATATGACACACCAAGAAGCAGTGTGTGTGCTTAAGGAGCAGTGGCTTGCTGAACATCCTGTACAGTGACGCTTCACAGTTCAGAACCTCTTTTTCAGAAATGCATCTTAAGTCCAATTCAATGCAAAAACCCTAAAAGTGTAATCTCATCTGCTCACCAGGGTTGCCTCTAAAGTAAAATGCCTTATCCATGGTGAGAGATGCTCCCAGAGAGATATTTTAGGATGAGGAGAAAACCAGAGGAGCAGCAAGAAGGAACACATGAAGACAGACGGGGATGGACGAGGAGCACAAAGACTATGTTCCAATCCTGGTTCAGTTAATAGTAAAATGCTTTTCTAGTTGGTCTCTGTTTCACTCTTGCTTCTCCATTGTTCACATACATTTACTCTTATAAAATGGAAATTTGATCCTGCAGTTTCCCTGCTTAAAACCCTCAAATGATTTCCCCTTATATTGGTGTCAAACCCCAACTCTTTGTGGCTTCCTGCATTCTGGACTCAATGTTTTCATCTACTTTTTGAATACAGCAGCCTTATTTCACCATAGATCTTTGCACTTGCTTCATGAAATGCATTTTCCCTAGAACTCTGCATGATCACCTGTTTCTCCACATTCAGGTCCTCATGTTATTATTACTTCTTTCAAAATGGTTTCTCTGACCTCCCTACATAACACAATGCAGCCCCCACCCATTCTCTGTTACATCTTTCTGTTGTATTTTGTGCCAGGTAGCGTTTGACAGAAATGATCTCGTTTATTCATTCTTTCCTTCTTTTCATTCTGTCTTTCTTTTCATTGTGCCTCCCATGAAATAGTTAATAAATATCTATGAATGGCCGAATTAGTCGTGTGGCTTCATATAAACTACTTAATCTCTCTAGTTCTCAGTGTCTACATTTATAAATTCAAGACATTCTAAAAGGAAGTCCTTCAATATATGAACTCTCTACCCTTTGGGCTTGAATTTAAGATTTGAGATTGTGATAGATAAAATTCTTCAACAATGAGACAAGGGATTAGCCCTTGAGTGGCTAAAAATCTGGTGACATTAACCCAACTAAGAAAAAATTAGTTAAAATATTGATAACTCTAATTAAGTCCATAGTTACATGCTGCCAGTGTATTCACATGATAAAGAAGGCAAATGTCATTCTAAACAAGTGGATGTCTAGCAAACTTCATGGAACAGAACATACTGGAACTGAGCCTTGGAGGATGAGCCAGATATGGACAAACATTCCACATTATTAATGTACTTTTAGATCCCATTCTTCTCTGGACTTGGGGTGCTAGCACATGGTGTTATGGCAAAGCATGGAGTCCAGCTGAATTGCCAGTTTTGTGACCTTTAGTTAGTGGTTTATCTACTTGAACCTGTGTCTTCTTCTCAGAATGGGATTAATGGTATCAACTACAAAGTGTTGGAGAACTTGATTAAATTGTATTACACAACACATTTCATGATGCCTGTGAGCATGTGAAACAGTGACTCATCCTATTAGGCTCTCCTCAAATATTAAATATTTTTAAAAGAAGGGGGAAAATGTGGGAGTAAATGTTTCAAGTTTCTAGTCACCATAAGTTTTGGGCAATACACTTCCTGTATAATTTTACGAGTCACTTCACATTCTTTCACATTTATCCATGCCAGGTTTGGTGTTGGAGACTAGGTGACCCTTAGAAGCTCATAGTCATGAAAGGAATTTACACATACCTCCTTTCTATAAACTTCAATATATTGAGGTAAGTGCAAACACAGAGGTTCTTCTAATGTCGGAAATTCTCAAGGATAAGCCCTAAGACCTTCAGAAATGTCTCAAGTTTGGGAATATTACTAGGAAAAATACCATTTCTCCCATAAATGATTGGTAAGATAACCAAAATGTTTTTTGTCTCAGAAGTGTCCTCTAAAAAGGACTAAACCTGGTACATGCTGTATTCTAAGAAAGAACTCAAACTGTTTCAAACATCTTTTTTACTTTATCTTCACCACCAGCAATAGAGGATGCCCTTCTTTTCTAGTCATTTTTCAAGAAGAAAAGTCTAAATCACTTGTGACAGGGCTAGCAGGGCTGGAAGTAGGATGAGTCAAGTGAGGCCAGGTCATGCAAGTGTAGTCTGGTCTTGCCTGCCTTTAAAATATGACATTTTGTTTAGCTTGGGTTTTTTGGCATTAATTTTGCTTTTTAGATACCATATTAAATATATCAAAATAAAATATAAATATATTATGTATCTTATTACTGAGATTTTTGGAACTCCTTAAATTTTGCTCTTAAGGCAGATCTCTTGCTCATAGTCTTCCCCATAGTCCGATTCCTGCGGGGTAGATATATGACTGTGAGTAGAGAAAGCAGATCTGGGCTCAGTAGAGACAGCAATCAGTCAGTTGGACTCAGATGATAATGAACTGAGTAGATGCTGCACCAGGAAAGTTTTATCCTGTATTAGTGTGTTTTCACATTGTTTATAAAGATATACCCAAGACTGGGGAATTTACAAAAGGCAGTGGTTTAATTGGACTCACAGTTCCACGTGGCTAGGGAGGCCTCACGATCATGGTGGAAGGCAAGGAGGAGCAAGTCACACTTTACGTGGATGGGGGCAGGCAAAGGCAGAGCTAGTGCAGGGAATCCCACTTTTAAAACTATCAGATCTGGTAAGACTCATTCACTATCACGAGAACAGCACAGGAAAGACCCACCACCATAATTCAATCATCTCCCACCATGTCTCTCTCATAATATGTGGGAATTATGGGAGCTACAACATAAGATCTGGATGGGGACACAGAGCCAAACAATATCATTCTGCCCCAGGCCCTTCCGAATTTCATATCTTCACATTTCAAAACCTATCATGCCTTTCCAACAGTCCCATGAAGTCTCAACACATTTCAGCACTAAATCAAAAGTCCATAGTCCAAAGTCTCATCCAAGACAAGGCAAGTCTTTTCTGCCTGTGAGCTTATAAAATCAAAAGCAAGTTAGTTAGTTCCTAGATACAATGGGGGTACAGGCTTTGGGTAAATACAACCATTCCAAATGGGAGAAACTGGCCAAACAAAGGAGCTATAGGCCCCAGACAAGTCCTAAATCCAGTGGGGCAGTCAAATCTTAAAGCTCCAAAATGATCTCCTTTGACTCTGTGTCTTACATCCAGGTCACGCTGATGCAACAGGTAGATTCCCATAGTCTTCAGCAGCTTTGCCCCCGTGGAATTGCAGGGTACAGCCTCCCTCCTGGCTGCTTTCACGGGCTGGCATTGAGTGTCTGTGGCTTTTCTAGTGTCTGTGGGTTTTCTAGGCACACGGTGCAAGATGTTGGTGGATCTACCATTCTGGGTTCTGGAGGATGGTGGCCTCTTCTCACCCCTTCACTAAGCAGTGCCCCCTGTAGTAACTCTGTGTGGGGCTTCGATCCCACATTTCCCTTCTGCACTGTCCTAGCAGAGGTTCTCCATGAGACCCCCACCCCCATAGCAAACTTCTGCCTGGACATCCAGGTGTTTCCATACATGGTCTGAAATCTAGGTGGAGGTTCCCAAACCTCAGTTCTTGACTTCTATGCACTGGCAGGCTCAACATCACATGGAAGCTGCCAAGGCTTTAGACTTGAAGGCTGAAGCCATGGCCCAAGGTCTACATTGCCCCCTTTCAGCATGGCTGAAGTGACTGGGATGCAGGGCACCAAGTACCTAGGTTTCACACAGCACGGGGACTCTGGACCCAGCCCACAAAACCACTTTTTACTCCTAGGCCTCCAGGCCTGTAATGGGAGGGGCTACAGTGAAGACCTTGACATGCCCTGGATGCATTTTCCTCGCTGTCTTGGGAATTAACATTTGGCTCCTTGTTATTTATGCAAATTTCTGCAGCTGGCTTGAATTTCTCCTCATGAAATGTGACTTTCATGAAATCGGAAAATGTGATTTGCTTTTCTACCACATTGTCCTGTTGCAAATTTTCCAAACTTTTATGTTCTGCTTCCCTTATGTAACTGAATGCCTTTAACAACACCCAAGTCACATCTTTAATGCTTTGCTGCTTAGAAAGTTCTTCTACTAGATACCCTAAATCATCTCCCTCAAGTTCAAAGTTCCATAAATGTCTAGGGTAGGTTCAAATGCCACCATTGTCTTTGCTAAAATGTAACAAGAGTCACCTTTGCTCCAGTTCCCAACAAGTTCCTCATTTCCCTCTGAGACCAACTCAGCCTGGACCTTATTATTCATATCACTATCAGCATTTTTGTCAAAGTCATTCAACAAGTCTCTAGGAAGTTACAAACTTTCCCACATTTTCCTGTATTCTTCTGAGCCCTCCAAATTGTTCCAACCTCTGCCTGTTACCCATTTTCAAAGTCATTTCCACATTTTCAGGTATCTTTTCAGCAACACCCCACTCTACTCTTACTAATTTACTCTATTAGTCTGTTTTAACACTGCTGATAAAGACATATCTGAGACTGGGTAAATTACAAAAGAAAGAGGTTAAACAGAGAACTTACAGTTCCACGTGACTCGGGAGGCCTCACAATCATGGCAGAAGGCAAGGAGGAGCAAGTCACAGCTTCTGTGGATGGCAACAGGCAAAGAGAGGGCCTATTCAGGGCAACTCCTGTTTTTAAAACCATCAGATCTCATGAGACCGATTCACTATCACGAGAACAGCATTGGAAAAGACCTGCCCCATAATTTAATCATCTCCCATCTGGTCCCTCCCACAACACGTGGGAATTATGGGAGCCACTAGGTGAGATTTGGGTGGGGACACAGATCCAAACCCATATCATATCCTCATCACATTATGTTTAAGCCCAATGATAATTCCTCAAGGAGGTGATTCACCTCCATTTTAGAGATAAGGCACATAGTAGGCACTCAAAAATATGTGTCAAATAAATAATAATCATAGTAGTAGCGGTGTTGTTTAGTAGTGTCTAACATTTTTGAGAGCTTAACATGTGTCACGGACTTTACTGTAAGTTTTATATCCATCCTCTCACAGCAACTTAAAGGCCACCAGAAACTAATGTAGCTCTTCAAGGTGACACAATTAAAACATGGAAAAACTAGGGTTTGAACCAAGTTAGGGTTGCCAGGTAAAATATAGGCAGTCCATTTAAATTTGAATTCCAGATAAACTGTGTAACTGAAAATATATATGGTTTTTACATAAAACGATATAAAAACCATATGTATTTATATATTTAAGACTATTTTTATACATAGCAACATATCTAGTTTACATGTATAGTTTTATATATAGCTTATATATAAACTAGAAACTAGAAATAGAATCATATATAAATATATATAACTATATATAGATATATAAACAAATATATAACTATATAAATACATAGACATATAACTATAAAACTATATAAACTAGGTATATAAGTATATATAGTACAAAACTATATATATATAAACTCTCTATATATACACACATTATATGTATGTATGTATTTTTAATACAGTAGGCCCATATATGTGCATATGTGTAGATAGATATAGATAGATAGATAGTAAGAACCAGCTAGAGTAATTTGTATATATACATATATGTGTATATATATATACACATATATAACTGTATATATAGTATAAAACTATATATAAACTCTCTCTATATATATACACACGTATTATCTGTATGTATGTATTTTTACCACAGTTGTTCCCAAGTATCCATGGGTTCAGCATTTGTGGATTCAACCAGCCACAGAATGAAAATATTTGACAAAACTGAATTTGTAGTAAACATACACAGACATCATTTGTTATTATTACCTAAACAATACAGTAAACAACCATTTACAGGACATCTACACTGTATTATGTATTATAAGTAATCTAGAGTTGATTTAAAATTTACTGGAGGATATGTGTAGGTTATATGTAAATTCTACACCATTTTATGTAAGGAACTTGAGCATACATAGATTTTGGTGGATCCGGAACCAATTTCCCACAGACACCAAGAGATGATTTGGTAAGTATGATATGCAATATTTGGGATATACTTATACTATAATAATTATTCATTGTTTATCTGAAATTCAACTTACACTAAACAGTCTACTTTTATTCACGAAACCTGGCAACCCTAAACACAGGAGAAAAATGATCATGCTTAGGTATTATATTCCCCAGAGATTCAGAGTCTGACCCTCTAAGATCACATCCAGAGTGGAGAAAATGTGTTTTTGAACCCACGTTTCTGTCTTCTAACTTCCCACTGTTAACCATTAAACAGATGGTCATACATCTTTTTTGTTTTGCTTTTTTTTACAAAGACAGGCTTTGTTTGCTGCCTGTTGTTTCCTGACAATTATTATTTCCCCTTTCACTTTCAAAAGTGCCTCAGATTTGTTTCATAACTTATATGGCTACCTTTTCACTACCTTACTTCTGCTTAATAACCACTCACCGTATATGAATCAAATTTATGTGATAGACAACACATTCCAATGTCACTGACATTGGAAGTCACTTAAAATTAGTTCAAACTGTGATGTCTAGATACCTAAATGCCTACATGTTCTACACTGTGCAGCTCAACATTCCCCTGCTCTGGCTTCCTTTGTTGTCTCTGTCCATTAAATGGGGAACTGAGTCAGGTTATTTTCCAGCCTTACTTCTCTGGTTTCATGCTAACCTGTGTCTTGAGTGGGTGGTGCACCTAATTCTATCCCATTCTGCCTCCTCCGGGGAGCTTTTCCCAGCCTGTTCCCTGGTCTGATTCTGTGCTCCTCATCTGTGTTCCTTTCTCTTGGAGTTGTAACTGCCCTTCCTACATGCCTCTGTAGTTGTCCCTCTGGTTGTGAATTTCCCAAGGGTGATGGCTCTCACTTGTTTGCTGCTATGGCAGTCCAGTGCCTACAATGTAGCAGTTCCCAATAAATCTCTGCTGAATGAATCAAAGAGTGACTACATGGATACATAAAGAAAGACCCAAAGAAGAGAAAGAATGCCTGGGAGAATCATTGAGCATTTAGAACTCCTGGATTCTCTGCACATCTGGTCCTGGTGCAGGCATCCGACTGGGCAACTTGGAGGAAGCAGCTTAAAGGCATTATCGCTCCCTGGCCCGCATCACCGACTCCACATGGTCTATCTCCCAAAATCTGCAAGGGGTTTCTCTGAGCATCTCCCTTCTCACTGAGTTAGAAACAGAAATGGCAATAACACTCACAAACAAAATAGCAATCCAGTCTCCCCACTGCTGGCCACATATTGTGACTCCTTCAGGATCAATCTCTCAGAGAGAGCGCATCTGTCACAATTTTTCTGCTAGGCCCATAAACAAAGGGTGTCACGTTGAAAAATGATGCACCTTCTCCTGCGATAGGCCAGAATCCGGTAGCCGAGGTGGCCGGGCCATTTCATGATGAGACCTATGCTCAGCCATCCAAGTGCCCACGTGGCCAGACCTGTAGCTAAGATAGTTCAGAATCCCTTTTCTTTTCCTGGTGATAGCCAACATCTGCCGTGCGTTCCAATGTGGCAGGTCCTGTTTATTTCTCCTGTGTGCGTGGTGTGCCTTTAACAAGGATCTTTCATTTTCATAGCAATTCTATGAAGTAGGTACAATTATTATAACCTCCATTTGACAGGTGAAAAAGCTGAGGCACAGAGAGTTAAGTCACTTGTTCAATCACCCAGTTAATGCAGGGTAGAGCCTGCCCAGACTGACCACAGGACTGAGCCTGCACCATACTTAATGCTAGTTTCAAGGACCTTTACAAGCAGCCTCCTAGTTGATGTTTTCTATCTGTAACTCCCACAAATCTCTCTTGAGTTATTTATTTTAAGCCCACTTTTCCAGATGAGAACATTGGGATTCAGTGAAGTTAAATAAATTGTACAAGGTCGTAAAACTAATTTGTGACAGTTTTAGAATTCATACCCAGAAATGTGTGACACCAAAGCTTGTGCTCGCTCTATGTGTGTGTTTACGTGTCTATACTCAAGATTTAAAAATCAATCAATTCAAAAATTTGTCTCAACTCCCCCATCTGTGAACAGAGATTTTTATACTCCATGATCATGAATGAATCTTTTAAATCTAATATTCTCTGGTTTGATTATAAGCATGTATTCACTGAGCATCTGTTTTCTGGCATCCTCAGAAGAAATGAATAGGATCTATGCCCTCTAGAAAACTAACCCATTCAAATATATGAATGATACTGTCATGTCACAGAACCTAACTGAAGTATAACCTCAGAACCCAGGGACAGGGTCAAGAAGAGAAAATAACAGAGGATTTATTCACTCAGCTATTTTTTGAAAATATGCCTGTTTGGGCCAAGCATTTTGCTAGGTACTGGGAGTAAAATTGCAAATAAGATAGATAAAGATCTTTCCCTCATGTAGCTCACTACTTAGTGAAAGGCAAACATGGAAAGGGATGAGAATCCCTTGTCAGGAGCATTCTACTTGCAGGAGTGGGATTCAAGCAAAGACTTCATGGAAAACAAACCAAGCTTCCACAGTTCCTAAAAGATATATAGCCAGTCCAAGGGTGAGGATGGATGGAGAAGAATGGACAACCAGTGTTCCAGCCCAAGTGAACATCATGGGTCAAGCAGCATGGAGAAATATCAAAAGCCAAGGCTACAGGTACAAGCATGGGCCAATTCATACAGGACCTTGTAAGCTGCACCAAAGAGCTGGAATTTTGTTTTTGTTCTAAGAGCAATGAGACTGATTATCTGCAAAATATGAGTGAAGATCATTACCAAAAGGCACTTAGCACTTGTGTGCTCTTGGGGAGGTTACATAACTTTTCTTGCCTTAGTTTTATAAGACCTTCCTTCTAGAAATCATGGACAGAATCCTCATAGAGTTTAGCACAGTGTCTGAGCATCCGGTAGTCTCAGCTATTTTTTTTTTTCATTATAATTTGATCACCATGATTACCTTAGTAGATGGGTGTGATCATCTGAATTTTGCCATAGAGGAACCTAAGAGTATCTAAGGAACTAGAATGATAGTTACTACACAATTGAAAGACGTTAAAAGCTAGAAGTATTCACAGGAATCTTCTCTTTAGCTTCCTCTATACCTGTGTCTAAAGATAGCTTCCAAGCTGGTCATGGTGCCTCATGCCTGTAATCCCAAAGCTTTGGGAGGCTAAGTAAGGAGGATTGCTTGAGGCCAGGAGTTCAAAACAGTCTGAGCAATATAATGAGACCGCATCTCTATAAAAATATTTAAAAATTAGCTGGGCATGGTGGTGTGTGCCTGTAGTCCTAGCTACTCAGGAGGCTGAGGTGGGAGGATTGTTTAAACCCATGAGTTTGATGTTACAGTGAGCAATGGTTGCTCCACTGCACTCGCCTGAGCATTTGTACTGTTGCTAAAAAAAGGGGAAAAATGGTGGCTTCTCTTCTAGATATGTTTGAATAGAAATGGAGAGCAGGGCATTAGCTCCACTTGGGCCAGAAGATTGCCTGTTGAGGAGCCAGGGAAAGGAAATCAGTCTCTGGTAACAGGACAGCTGCACTCCTGGGGCCAAGCCCCAGGCAGCGCTGCCCACCCATGAGGAAGAGGGCTGATAGCACAGATGTAAAGGAAAAGAAGCAAGTCTCCAGGGTGTCAAGAAAGAGGCTGCTCAGATTCTGATAATAAGAATCTAAATAGTAACACATGGCTCCAAGGACAATTCATTCAATGTCCAGAACTTTAATGGAAATAGGCCCTGAAGACATTCAATATCTTTTGATCTGATTCTATGGCTACCACATAAGCCCCAGCAACAGGCTTCCATGGAGCTGGGTGCCAGGTGCCATGTATGAAAACTAGATAACTCGTATTAGTAATGATGATGAGGGTGATGGTAACTCTATGGATCACTTCTCATGTGCCCCAAAACTGGCTGAGTGTTTTTATCATTATGAATCTTCACAGTCACTGCCCTTCAAGAGCTCACAAAGAACAGCAAATGGACAAGAGACAGTGAAGAGCAAAAGACCCACAGCAGAGGGTCTGAGTTCGATTCCTGGCTCCAGCAGCAGCTTGGTCTGGGCTCTGACCCCTACCCTCACCTCTCCTACATGGGTAAGAGCTACATGTTAAGAGCTTTCTGCTACCCACCCTATTTCTTGACTCCATGTCTACATTTATGCTGTTCTGAGAGGCAGAGATAATCTTCACTTTATGGAAGAGAAAACTAAGGTTTAGGGAAATGCAATGAAACGTAATCATTAATATTCTCAATATTGTATTAACATGGTTAGAATTGCCAGGACCAGTATTTTAACTGTGGACCAAGGGATTCTATCTGCCATGAGCATTCCATGGTTCTGGGCTTCCTAAGGAGTGAGGTGATGGCCAGTCCTGGGGAAAGAAGACAGTGGTGAGGGCCCACGTAGCAGGCGAGTGGGCCGGTCTAACTGGAAGAGATGCGTGAGCAGGGCTTCCAAAAGGCTGAAAAATTTAGGCCCTGTTTCCATCCTGTGTCTTTTACAGGATTCAAATGCAAAAGCCCCAGTTTCTCATCATTTCCTGTATCTCCCATAAGGAATCCCTGCGCCATGTAGTAAAACAACATGACCCCTTGAGTTCAGCTTTATCTCCATGATTTCCAGATCTACAAAAAATGGGAGAAAAATAATAACTACATTTTGCTTATACCCAGTGTGGCCCCTAGACCAGCAGCATTGATATCACCTGGGCATTTGTTAGAAACACAGAATCACAGGTCCTACCTGCTGGCTTAGAAACTGCATCTTATCAACATCCCGGGTAGCCCTCGTGAACATCAAGGTTGGAGAAGTGTTGCATTAGTCCACTGCTGTGGTTCAAACGTGTTCCATAAAAAAAGCATGTGTTGGAAACTTAATCCTCCTTAGGTCATGAGGGCTCTGCCTGCATGAATGAATGACGGCTGTTATTTCAGGAGTGGGTTAGTTTGCATAGGAGTAGGTTGCTGATAACAGGATAAGTTTGACCCCCTTCCTTTTGCATTCTCATGTGGGTGTCCTCTCACCTGCCCACCTTCTGCCATAGCGTGACACAGCTCAAAAGCCCTGGCAAGATCCTGGCACCTTAATATTGGATTTTCCATTCTCCAGAACTGTGATAAATAAATTTATGTTCTTTATAAATTACCCAGTCTGTGGTATACTAACAATTCAAAATAGACTAAGACAAGCACTTTTCTCTAAGTGTAGGTCACCTTCATTGGAATCATCTGAGAGTTCCTTAAAATGCAGATTCCTTGCATCTGCTAATTGAGAGTCCCATGCAAGAGTCCTGGAATCTGGATTTTCCCAAGTTTCTAGATGGTTGGTAAGGCATCCTAAAGAGAGGAGACTATGTCTAACTCACTAGGCGTATCCATGCTGACAGCAGCCTCAAGAAATGTGGTTGGTGGACTCCCTAAGCACAGATTGAATTGAAAAAGGGCTGAATCCCTCCCTTCCAGGGCTGCAGCAAGAATTAATGGAGAAAACTGATGCAAAAGTGAAAATTCCCTCATAAACTGTAAAGCCCTGTGCACATGCAAAGGAGTGTTTCTACTGTGCTACGACCATTGCCTGGCACAGGGATCCTAATAGGCCTAGCAAACTGATTTTAGGATTAGACTGATGAAGAAAAAGTTATGAGGGGCAGAGGGAGTAAGAGAGAAACAAAAAGGCAGAGAAAATCGGATTTGAAAATAAGTGTGTGTGTGTGTGTGTGTGTGTGTGTGTGTTTGAGTGACAGATAGACTGTGGTGGCAAGGAGAGAGAGAGAGAGAGAAAATCAGAAGCAAAGAAAGGAGGTTGAAGAGACTGAGGCAAGAACTTGGAGAAGAGAGCCGAGTCTGTATCATGCAGGGTGGCATTTAGAAAAGGCCTCCTGCGTGCAAGGGTATGCACTTAATAAAAAATATTTTTAAATAAACTGGAACTGATTTTGAGGAGCCACATTATATAACATCTGTTTGAGTCCTTAAATCCTAACCAGAACCAATGCCTTAGAAGATGGATTATTACTGACAAGCCTGAACTTTATTGCTCAGAAGAAGCCAATTTTTTCAAAACCAGAAAGCCCAAGGTGGCCTCTGAGCCTGGACACACACTCTGGGTGACCTTTCATTTTTCAAGTGCCCAGGCTGGAGCCACCATTCCCAGCTTTTGATGTACTCCCAGGTCCTCAGGCTGCTGCCCGGGCCTTGTCCCATCTCTGAAGCCAGATGGCAAGCAGTCCATCTCTCCCTCCGAAAACTTTCTGGAACACTGTGGGCTCCTCTTTGCTGAAACCATACCCAGGGAAGCATCACTTACTTCTTTCTCTGGCACTCTCAGGTGTTCTCATATTCATGGACTCATTTTCCTGCATGCTGTGCTAAACTCTTGAGAATAAGTCCTCTTAGGTCATTGACAGAGGGTCATTTGTCAGTTAAGTGCCCAGTGACTAGCACCATATTTGGTGCTGAGGATTACAAGCCTTTTTTGTGTGTCTATGTGATGGAGTCTTGCTCTGTTGCCCAGGCTGGAGTGCAATAGGCTCACTGCAACCTCCACCACTGGGATTCAAGTGACTCTCCTGCCTCAGCCTCCTGAGTAGCTGGGATTACAGGGTTTTTTTGTTTTGTTTTTTTTTTTTTTGTAATTTTTGTATTTTTAGTAGAGACAGGTTTTGCTGTGTTAGCCAGGCTGGTCTCAAACTCCTGACCTCAAGTGATTCACCTGCCTCGGCTCCCAAAGTGCTGGGATTACAGGTGTGAGCCCCTGTGCCTGGCCTACATGCTTATTTGAGGAGTAAAGAATGAATAAATGGGCTGGGCACAGTGGCTCATGCCTGTAATCCTATCACTTTGGGAGTCCCAGGTGGGCAGATCAACTGAGTTCAGGAGTTCAAGACCAGCCTGGCCAACATGGTGAAACCCCATCTCTACTAAAATATAGAAATTAGCCGGACATGATGGCGGGTGCCTGTAATCCCATCTACTCTGGAGACCGAGACGGGAGAATTGCTTGAACCCGGGAGACGGTGGTTGCAGTGAGCTGAGATCACACCACTGCACTCCAGCCTGGATGGCTAAGTGAGGCTCCGTCTCAAAATAAATAAATAAATAAATAAATAAATAAATAAATAAATAAATAAATAAATGAAAAAATAATGTCCTATTGGATGGAGATAATAGTTCACACTCAGAGGCAGATATCTTATTAGATAGTATGGTGTTTCCTACTAAGATTCCATCTCAACATCTGAAATTGTCTCCTCCTATCCTCATAAAAGCAGCCAGCTTCTCCAAGGACTGCAAACAGAACATAGGCACTACTACTTCTCCTACTAAGTAAAATATTTTTAAATTAGCTGGGCCCAGTGGCTCACATCTGTAATCCTAGCACTTTGGGAGGCTGAGGCAGGAGGATCACTTGAGCCCAAGAGTTCAAGACCAGCTTGGACAATGTACAGAAACCCTGTCTCTACAAAAATTAAAAATATAGTAAATAAATGAATAAATAAATAAATCTTTCCAAATCCCCTGTAACCTGTAACTGCAGACCACACCACTTACCAAGTTGTAAAACTGTCACTTAAAAAGCAAACAAAGAAACAAGCAAAAATGCCCTGCCATAAAGAAGTGTCTGAGAGCAGAACTTGAGAGCTAAAAGGCCAGCCTCTGTATTTTGCTTGTCTTTCTGGAAAGAGCACACTATGAATCAGCTAACCCAGTATGCAAGTACTCTGTCAACGCAGAGATAAGTCATCTCAGGCAAGTTGTTTAACATTACTCTCTAGGGTTCAGATTTTTTCTTCTATAAAATGTGGATAAAGGTAGTTACCTTCTAGCATTATGTAAACCTCCCTGCATAGCATCTGGCACAAAGTATATGTTCAGTAAATCCAGTTTTGTTCTCAGTGCTCAGGCTCTCACCTGCGTGTTTTTGCACATGGTGTTCCTTCTTCTTGCAATTCCCAGCCTATTTTGCCTTCCCTTGCAAAGTTCTTCCTTTTCAAGACCCAGATCAAAAGCCACCTACTTACGCATTCAAAGGTACCCTCCTTGCAAGGGGAAGTACAATCTTCAAATTGCAGTAAGAAAACAAGGCGTCCTGCTTTCCCGAGGGTACAGCCATTGATCTTCAAAGAATCTGATCAGCTGCTTACCTTGCCAGTGGGGCATCATTTTGAAGTGATTTTCTGTGAGAGATCACGCTGTATTGATCTGGTGGGAGGCCAGAGGCCCTGAATATTAAAAAGTAGGTGTTGGGGTGTTGCGGTGAGGAGAGTTGGAAGTTTCCTATTTTATCACTTCCCTGGAGGATCTGACAGCCCGGAGCTTAGGGGCAACATGAATGTGGTGGGGCTTCAGCTTTGCTGGGAGCCAGAGAGGTCCTCTCCTCCTCCCTCATTTGCTGTATCAGGTGGATTCTAGATTGCAGTTGGTGGTGCTTGTCATTCTGGTGTGGAAGTCACACCCATTAAAGATGGCCCAACAAAGGTTTATGGTCAGCTCAGGGCCCTGCCCTCTACTCACCTGAGAAACCAAGCAGAATCTAAAGCTGGCACACTCAGCATCTTTGATGTGTTTACTTACACACTTTATTATTTATTTTATTTCTTTATTATTTTGAGGCAGAGTCTTGCTGTGTTGCCCAGGCTGGAGTGCAGTGGCAAGATCTCGGCTCACTATAACCTCTGCCTTTTAGGTTCAAGTGATTCTCATGCCTCAGCCTCTCAAGTAGTTGGGACTACAGTCATGTCCCCAGCTAATTTTGGTATTTTTAGTAAAGACAGGGTTTTACCATGTTGACCAGGCTGATCTTGAACTCCTAACCTCATGTGATCTGCCCTCCTCAGCCTCCCAAAGTGTTGAGATTATAGGCATGAGCCATCGCACTCGGCCTACTCACTTACTTAACTATTAATATCTTTGTATTTATCCCATTCATGATGCTGTCTAGAATGGAAGCCACACACAAAAATGATTAAATACAGTTCCTGGCCTCGGGAGGTGTATGGATTTGCTAGGTCACAATTAGCACGGCATTTAACAGAAAACAGAACAACAGCAAGAGTTGAGGCTTTAGCGTAAGAACCATTGTGGACAAATCCTTCTGTCAGGTACTCTCTATGACCTTAGTGAGTTATTGAACCTCTCTGAGCTTCCATCTTCTGAGCTGTAAATGGGGGTAAATGTACAAATGTTACTGAGCTGTCTCACGGAAATTGGAGCTGGCCTATGCAAATGTCTGGCAGGTGGAAGGTGTAAAATATAATGCAGTGACTATTAGCAATGCTGCAGACCTTCCCCTGAAATGTTCCTATCTCTCCTCCATCTCCACTATCTCCTGAAAGGGGAAGGGAAGAGGCATTTGAATCTTCTCTGTGTTTCACATACCCTAGTGTAACAGGGAAACAGCAAAGGAATGAACATAACTATCTCTATTTTTGTTTAAGGGGCCTTTACCCCTTCCTGTACGTAGGCTGCAGTAATTTTAGGGCACTGAGAACTGAGATACTATGCAAAAACAACAATTACGTAGTTTTTAAAACTAAGTCTGAGATTAACACGGAAGTATGTAAACAAACATATTTGTTAAAGATTTATGGAAACATTGTGACCTGACCAAGGACAAAGAAGTTTCTAACCTCCTTGGATTCTCACTGCCATCCAGATATCTGTGGTTGTTGGTTACCCCTTGATCCCAACCCGCTTTTCTTCCCCCTGACCTTAACATTAAAAGAGCCTGAATTTTGCACTGACTGAAGATGGTATTTTAGAATGCTGGTTCACCATCTTCTTGGTTTGCTGGTTCTCTGAATAAATCGGCTTTTCCTTCCACCAATCCTCGTCTCGAGCCTGGCTTTCAAGTAGCCCAACATGGATGTGGTTACAGTAGCAGGTACTTTACAAAGATAGGATGTTTTCTAATCTACCTAGAAATTCAGTGAGGTAGGTATCATTTCAAGTTCATAGGTGAGAAATTTGAGGATGGAGAATGTCTCTCTCTCTTTCCCTTTCTTTCATTTCTTTCTTTCTTTCTTTCTTTCTTTCTTTTTCTTTCTTTCCTTCCTTCCTTCTTCCTTCCTTTTCCTTCCTTCCTTCTTTTCTTCCTTCCTTCCTTCTTTCCTTTCTTCCTCCCTCCTTTCCTTTTTCTTTTTCTTTCTTTCTTTCTTCCTTTTTCTCGCTCTCCTTCTCTCTTTCTTTCTTTCCTTCTTTTTTTTATTTGACAGAATTTCTCTGTTTTGCCCAAGCTGAAGTGCAGTGACGCAATCTCGGCTCCCTGCAACCTCTGCCTTCGGGTTTCAAGCGATTCTCCTGCTTTAGCCACCTGAGTAGTTGGGATTACAAGCACCTGCCACCACGCCTGGCTAATTTTTTTTCATTGTTTTTAGTAGAGACAGGGTTTCACCATCTTGGCCAGGCTGGTCTCGAACTCCTCACCTTGTGATCCGCCCACCTCAGCCTCCCAAAGTGCTGGGATTACAGGAGTGAGCCACCACGCCCGTACCAAAAATGTCTGTTTCTTAACCAAGGTCACACAACTAAGGATTATCCAGGCAGGAATTAATTAGTACCTGATGTATTCCATTATGAAAAGTGTGCTCGTTCTACTCTCCCATACTGGGGGTAATAAGGAAGGTATATTGATATCACTCAGAGACAGCATTGTGCCATGGTTAAATGCATAGACTCTGAATCCCAGCTCCAACACGTGCTAGTCATGTGACTTTGGGCAGGTTCCTGAATTTTCCTCTTCCTCAGTTTCTTTTTATTCATAAACTGGAGATTCTAAATCAATGTTGATAAGGTGCTTGGAATAGTGGCTGATACCTTATAAATGTTATATAAATGTTTGCTAATTACAGAAGTAGAAACATAGGACAATGAAATCTCAGGCCTGACTTATTCATTCAGTAACAGAACTATAACTGGACTCCAGGTCTCCAAATCGTGGGCCTCATATACATAGGTGCTTAATAATAGCTGTTGAATAAACTGATGATTCATTTGAATCAAAAGGGGAAAGTGACTCAGTTAAGTAGGAGGTGCCAGGCTCACAGACCTGGGAGGAAGACCAGGGATTATTTCTCATTATAAAGACGGAAAAATTGAGAGTCAGGAATGTTAAGTGTCATGCCCAAGTCTCCTTGCTAGTAAAGGGCAGAACTGCGGTGACCTGATTCTAAGGCTACCGTTCTTGCCTTGGGCCAAGCAGCCTTTCAGGAAACCCAGATAGTTAATATGTGAATTCTCCCTCTCTCCCAAATCATCATGAGTATCGAATGAATTCAGGCCTGTGTGAGTTACTTTCAGCAATAACATCTCTTTTTAAAATGTTGCATTTGCATCTTTTATCTGCAAGACTCTGATTAATTATAAAAACTGATAAAATTTTGGTTCATAGTGACAGGATGTGTGCTGCATAATTAGAATGGGGTGAATCACACCAGATGGGGCATCACACAAGTCTGCGTAAAAAAAGATGAACCACAAAGGGCAAATAGAAAGTGACAAAAGTAAATGCAGAAACCATAGCTGAAAATAAAAGGTGTCTCAGAGTAATTGCTGGCTCCAGAGCTCATTCCCACGTCTGCACTGCCACTCTTGCTACAGATATCCTTGCATTTATTCACCTAACATGTATAAATGAGAGGATCATTAATCATGCATTCATATTATTATTTAGAACTATTTATTGTCCTTTGTTCTTAAAGCAAAATGACCTTATTTCAAATAGGAGGGAAAGTAAAATTTTTATGAAGTCTTTATTATATCTGCTCAGTTAAAATAATAATAAATTTCCTATTAATAATACTTGCCTGATATATAAAAATTCAAAAAAGGCATTCATAGCAAACTCTTATTTTTGAGGGGGGTGTGTTGAATATTCTTCAAATACAATATTTTTATTTGCTCTTTACTACTCCATGATAGTAATACAGCATAATTTACTCAGTTTTCTCTATGGTAAATTTTGGTAATTTCTAATTTGGAAAAGTAATGATTAGTGGGCTCAGTTTTGTGCTTTGAATTAATTGGCAGATTTTTAAAAACTAAGATTATGAAAATCAGATAATCTAAATTGTACACACTGTTCTATGACTGTTGACAGTCATATTGTTGAAGGATGTTGTTAGCTAAATTACATGAAACCAAAATAACCATTAATAAATTTTCATATGTTAGTATTCAAATCCAGGAATTACAACACCCTGAAATTACCAAAAGCTCAAATAATAATAACACAAAGTGGAGGGAAAAGGAAGAAACATGAGCTTTGGAATCAGACCAAGCCAAGCGTGATCCAGTCACACAGCCAAGTAACTGACATGCAGTCCTTCTTTTCTCTTACCCTGTTAATGCAGACACTGAACTACCTTTCCCCAGGAATATACAGATAATGATAGCCCAACCTGCTGTTTATTAACCTTTGTTTTTTCTACATAATTATATGGTCTCCTTTTTAATTTGCATATGTGAACACAATGTAAAATAGCTAATTGTGTTTGTTACTAATTGCATTTTTAATTCACTATCACAAAGATTCTGCCTTAGCCAACACAACAGAAGTGCTATTATAGAACAATTATCACTTCTAATGTGTCAAGACCCAGGAAAATAAGGCACTTCAGACATCATGGACCCTTACACTTCCCTTAATGTTCTGGATGTGCCCTTGTCCTCGAGTCAAGGTTTATGCCATTTCCTCAAGTTTGCCTGGTGACAGTCTCTCCTCTTTCACAACTCAGCTCAAGCCTCAGTCCCTCAGGGAAGATTTTCAGGCCCCTGGATAGAAATAGTCACATTTTTCTACGTGCTACCGTGGCACCACACAATTGCTGGTCTGAACATCAAACTCACTTTCCCGGACTTGTCTGTGCATGTCCATACCCTCTGCTCACCTGTGTGCTCCTGGAAGGCTGATATGGTTTGGCTGTGTCCCCACCCAAATTTCATCTTGAACTGTAGCTCCCATAATTCCCACGTGTTGTGGGAGGGACCTGGTGGGAGATAATTGAATCATGGGGGCGGTTTGGTTTTCCCCATACTGCTCTCATGGCAGCGAATAAGCCTCACAAGATCTAATGGTTTGATAAAGGGAAACCCCTTTCGCTTGGTTCTCATTCTCTCTCTTCCCTGCAGCCATGTAAGATGTGCCTTTTGCCTTCTGCCATGATTACAAGGCCTCCCCAGCCGTGTAGAACTGCGAACACATTACATCTCTTTTTCTTTATAAATTATCCAGTCTTGGATATGTCTTTATCAGCAGTGTGAGAATGGACTAATACAAATGCATAAACAGGTACCTTAGCCATAGCCTCTCCAGAGGGCCAGATGCAGGGTCTTGTATAGAATGGTGTGCATAGGTGCTTTCGGCTTGCAGTGAAGAAGTTGTGGGACTTTTCTTGCGGCCATATTAAGCATTCTTGTTTTGCATATTGCTTTGTAACAGGACATACACATGGCAAAGTCTTCTAAGAATGCTTTTATTTCTACTTCTATACAACAGAAAAAAGTTGAAAGTGCTCGTGGAAAATGATAGTGTCAGTAGTGATGTTTGCAGGCATTGTTGGGGGAAGGCTGCTAATGGAGTTTATAAAAGACCTCCATCTGTCTGCCCATGGCAATGCCACTAAACGCTTTTCAAAACTCAGTGTTATCCCAGAATGTCAGAGACAGAACTCCTCAGACAGCATCCTGAGATGTAGGCTGGAACACTGCCGGCCCCTACCCCCGACTCTGTCACGAAAAATGCTGAAATGGTTATCACATTATAAATTAATTTTTAACACAAGTCTGTTTTATTTTGAGCTTGTATAAAATTCCCAGTAGGTTTATGAAGTCTGGATTAATCATCAAGTCCTCCCCTATAATTTTCTAATTAATTCCACAAGAGACCCTGCTTTGATAAATTTAAAGACTTCATTGTATTTAGTTAATTAAGAAATTGAAGGCATAGATTTTATCATTACTATAGACAGCCCCAGCTGACCTATAGTGGTGTTTGACTAGCTGCTATGAACCTAGAAAAATTGGGTCCTGACAACAACCTCCTTGGTAAACAGTGAGTGATCCCAGAAACAGAGTTGAACCTGGCAGAGAACAAAAGTTCCATATTACATTAAAGTAGATGCAGGAAAACTGCAAAGTTTCATTTCCAAGCAAGAAAAAAGAATGGTCTGAATGTTGCTCACTGTGTGTGGTGTATAATCTGTAATACTAACGAGTAAGAGCTTCACAATGAAAATGATCCAGATTTGAATTCTCATTCACCATGGCACCAGCTGTGATCCTGAGCAAGTTACTAAACCTCTCTGAAACTTTTTAAATGTAGCACTTGGTGCATTGTTAAAGATAATAAAACATGACAATTATCATTATTATCATCATTATTATTTACAGATGCTTTCACAATAATTGCTTAATCCTAAAAAATACTAGAAAATCGAGTCAAATTATCTCTTTTAGAAATGAAGAAACAAAGCCTCAAATCATTAATGGAACATTTCTAATGTCACACAGCTAACAAGAGGGGAACATGGAATTCAAACCCAGTGTCTTTCAATTAGCTCATGTCTCTCAAGGAATATTAGTAATGTTAGTAAACATAGTTAGCGTTAAAGAGATGATTTTACGTCTCACACAGTAACCTATTTATGGAAATTGATATCAATCTCTTACTTTGAAATATAAAGTTTCCTTTTTAAATAAATATATGTATATAAAAAAGTCAGTTGAGCTGAAGACAGATGTCTTAAGTAAATCATTGTCTGGGTGGCACATGTGTATTTGTTATCTGTTGTTACATAACAGATTACTCCCAAACTTAGCCACTTAACAAACATTTATTGTCTCGGTTTATGTGAGCCAGGAATCTGTGTAGGGTGTGGCTTGGTGGATGTTCCTAGTTCAGAGTCTCTCATGGGGCTAGTATCAAAGTGTCAGTGTCCATAGGGTTGGGCCTTTGTCCTTCCAAGTCTCACCCATCCCCCTCTGCCCTCTTCCCCAGTCCTGGACCTGCAGGTTTAGCTTCCAACCTCTCTCTACATGGTTGCCTGCAGGGCTCTGGGTTGTGCTGGCTGTTGGCTGAAGACGTCAGTACCTTGCCACATAGGCATCTCCATCAGACCCCTCACAACATGCAGCTCATTCTATTCATGAGAAGTGCGTCATTAAATCCATCCCACATGCACAAAGGAGGGAGTTACCAAAAGGCAGGGGTCATCTTAGGGGCTGCCCACCACACACCTGTGTATGAAGAAAGTTACAACAATTACATTCTAGTCATTACGTGCAAATTACTAAAGTTTGGGAATGCACTTACTAAACATATCATCTCCAAAAAGGAAGATTATCTCAGAAAACGAGTTCTGCCTTTAATCCTGACTCTGGCATTTAGAAACCTGGCTGTGTAGCAGGTTTTTTAACTGCACTTCCAGCCCTGATGCTCCTGTTTCCTCTTCTGCCTGTCTTGGCATGTTGTGTAAAGACACAAACACACAGACCCACCATTTCAGGAGAGCTCAACTTTCCCAAACAATTCCTATATTCCTTTACCTCTGAGTGTCTGTTCATGCCCATCCCAGTGTTTATTTAGAATGACTTTTCCCACCATTTTACTCCATCCCAATATTTTCTGACTGTTAAAACTCTACATATCCCCAAAGGCCTCGTTCAAAAACTCCATTTTCTTCATGGAGCCGTTCCCAGCCAGAAGGGAATTCCTCCTGCTTGTTCCTAGAGCAGCATCCCTGTCTCTCTGTAATACCATTTATTCCATTCTGCTTTGAGACAGACATCAAAAGACAAACAACTAACGCCTCCTAAATGGGCATATTCTCTGCAGCACGGATGTAAAGAACTAAGTGTCATCATCTTCATTTTAGCATGAAAATGTGAAGTGTACAAAGTGTGGTAACCAGTCTTGACCCCCGGTGATGCTTTCCTGGGGATACTCATGCTGGTGTATGGGGCATCCAGGCTGTCCCATGTGACTGATAGGATACAGCAAAGGTAAACGTGTGACTTATGGGGCTAGGTCATCTTTGAAATTGCTCACTCTGGAAAAAGCCAGCCATTGTGTCCTCAGGATGCACTCAAATAGGCTGGGGAGAAGTTCAAGTGGTAAAAACCTCAGTCCTCCCTCTAACAGGGGCCACATGAGACAGCTAGGCTGAAAATGGATTTCTAGCCACACTTAAGCCTTTACTACTACCCTGGCCAATATCTGATAAACTCATGAAAAATCTGAGCTAGAAAAGTTGACCTCAAATTCCTGACCCACTGAAGTAGTGAAAGAAAATAACTGCGTATTTTTTCTTTGAACCATGAAGTTTTGGGGCAATCAGCTATGCACCAATATGTACCTAATATGCAAAACTGAAGAAACTTGCCTGAGGCAAGTAAGCAAGTCACAGTGGCCTCTTCATCAGTAAGGGAGAAAAAAAAATCTCCTGCCTTTTCTCCTTTCTTCAGTCACTAGTTACACCCAACTAGGTTCAGCTTTGTGTAAAGATATCTTCAATATCTGTCTGAAATTCTACTTCCCCTTTGAACTGTGATGGAGGGAGAAAGGGTACATTGTAAATGTTGGTATGTAGCAGAGTATAAAGTCCCCATCACTCCACATAAGGCATCACAGGGACTTTTGATTCTCTGGAAGAAGCCAGAGAGATCCAGCCAAACTCCAGTGCTGAACAGGCAACCCAGGTCCAGAGGATGAAATAACTTTCCTAAATTCCCACAGTTGCTTCGTCATAGAATCCAGTATAAATTATAGGTCTCCTAACACCCAGCGTATGTTTTTTGAAGGAAGATCAAGTATCAAAAGTCAAATCAAAGACCCCTTTAATTTCCATCCCTTCCCTTTATTCTCAGGCTTTGAAATGTTTATGTCTTGTAAGTTTGCATGCACTCAGGAATACTCAGCCTACACTATTTTATCATGGATAAATGTGAGGTTTTCACTGGGGACATATAATAGAAATAGTTGAAGGAAGCCTGAATTGCTCTCTTTGGGAGCCCCTTAATGTACTCAAGTCCAGGTTTGAGGAATATTAACCTTGAACCAATTTTGGTATCCTGTTGGATTTTCTACAGCAGCATTTGATCCTTTTGATCCTGTCTTCATTATTATTATTATTATTATTATTATTATTATTATTATTATTATTATTGCTTGAAACCCTCTTTCTTCTACCTTGTCTTCCTGGACATCCTTCTTCCTTGTTCTTCTCCCGACTTTCTGGCCATTCCCTCTCAGTCTCCTGGCCTGGATTCACTTCCTCTGCCAGCCACTTCATTGTTGGCATAATCCAGGGTTTTGTCCTTCACTTTTCTTTTCTCTCATGCATAAAAAGCTTTCCTTTCTTATTTTCTTCAAGAACACTTACTCTTTCATCAAAATAGAGAATAGATGTCACTTTCTTTGCAGTGTTTTCTGCAACCTCCCCTAGAATAAATCCTTCTCTCCTCTCTGCTAGCTTTTTATCATTTTCTTGCTTCTACCAAGGCATTTATCACACTCAGAAGTTATCTGCAGACATGTCTGTCTCCTTTACTAAACCCTGAGCTATGTTAGCTTAGGTCCTAGACTTATTCATCTTGGCATCAGCAATGCCCAGTCCAGAGCCCAGAATCTAGCAAACACTCAATAAGTACTCAATGAATGGGACTGAACCAATCATTAAGATGGAAACATTAGGTAAATGTCTTCGGATGTGCCCCTATAAACAACTATGGCTTCTGTTTTCCCAATACAATTGTATTTACCAAAACAACTTCAGGAGAAGGAGTAGTGCTCACATCCTAAGTCAAACCTGTTAAAAACATAGCAGTCACTTTATTAGGCATACAACTGAATGGAGAGAGAAAATTCCACCTGCGTGATGGTCACTGGGGAAATCACGATTCAAAATTGCTGGAAGCAAGAAACAGAGGAAGAAGAATTTAAAGTCCCTCAAAGACTCTTAAACACAGTTCAGGAAATGCCATTACTCTAAATTGGTGAAGTATAACATATTGATTAGTATGTATATCCACCAACGGAGTGAGAGAATTAGCATATGATTACTTCAGTGTTCCCCAAGTCTATTCCACAGAGCCCTAATGCTACAAAGTGTTTCTCGGGGGAGGAAAAATAATGTTTCTCTGGACAATTAAGTCTAGAGAATGCAACAGATGATACTGTCTTGTTTCCATTTCATATATCACATTTGCATGACAAAGTCATTGAGAAGCCTTTCAGTAAAGAAATATATTTAAGTTTGTTTAAGCGTTTTTCAAACTTGCTGAACTGCAGCATTGTTTCTCTCCTACCAACTATTATCACCCTGTGGAAATAATATTCTGTGCAGACACTTGGGGAAATGCTTGCCTAGCTCCAGAACGCCTAATTTTGGTCCATATCATTTGCTTGGAGTTGTCAGTTTTGGAGATACCTATGCAGCCTGCAGCCATTTCTCTTCAAACAGATCTAAATGAGTGGGTGAATATAACCTCCACATTAGTAACCATATTAGGCCATCCCTGACCCATAGGCAGTGCTTAGTTAGATTAGTAGAAAGGGTCATATTCTTTTCCTTTCAAATCAAGACTCGGAAGTTCTAGGTCGAACTCAGATGGTTAGGTTGAGCTAGGGCTATCGGGATTCTTTCTCTCCATATTTACTCGGAAGCATCTTTCTCTCCATATGTACTCAGAAGCATCTTTCTCTCCATATGCACTTGGAAGCAGATAAAGGTGACCCTCAGAAAGAAGTCAAGCAAATGATTAATCAGATCCTTGGAAAGAAGCAGGACTGAGAGAACTCGAGTTCCCCAAGAGAGGAAGGGACTTCATTCTATTGGCATTCTGACCCCCATGAAGTCCAGCTAAACTTCCCCCTCAAGGATATTATAAAATACCCCTGCACACCCTCACGGAGAGCCTCTTTTGTATCAGATGCTATTTTTTAGAAAAATTATTAACCTAGAACTGAAGAGTCTTAACTAATATATTGGATGAGAAATAGATGCATATGAGTTCAACAATCATTTATTAAGTGCCTATTATGTGTCAAGCCCTACACTGTGTGTTATGAGGCTTGAGAAAGTAAAAAAAAAAAAAAAAAAAAAAAAAAAAGCCTTTGTCCTGTAAAAGTTTACTAGTTTACTAACGGGAGATATATTCCCAGGAGCAGATTTAACTAGAATCTGGCAATTGCTAGATAAAGGTGTGTTAAAGAACACTTATCTAACACATGATGGGTATAGGCAAAAAAAAAAAAAAAAAAAATAGTTTCCTGAAATATGCAGTTCTTAAGATAAAACTTGAAGCTTGAGTTGTCCAGGTAAAAAAAGAACATCAAGGGCATTTTAGACAGGAGGCATTGCTTATGCCAGGGTGTCTATGTGTGAAGCAGTTATGAGCATGCAGAGGAAAAACATTGATGATTATGGCTAGAGCTTGGAGAACGGGAGACCTAGCCAGAGACGTGTAAATAAGGGAAGAAGAGCCATCCTAGATATTAGGATGTTGCCACGTCAAAGAAAAAGCAGGTTCCAAGCAGAAAGGAAACATAGTCAGGTTTGCATGTCGGAAAGGCGTTTTTAGTAATTGCAAGTAAAATGATTTTGATGTGAGCAAGACAGAAGGCAGAGAGACCAGGTAACTGACGGACAGTAGGAATGGACAGACAGATGAAAATCAATCATGGAATAATAAATTAAAATTAATTAATAAAAAGTTAGTGAAGAAAATGTCCTTAGAGACATAACTGGTACTTAGGAATTACTCTTCTCCAACCCTCAAAGTATAGATTCTTTTGCTTCAGTATGAACTATGTATTTTCCAGCAACTCTGCACTCCTGTCCTCTAGATAAATCTGTTGTGTAAAGCCGAAGTGGATCTAAAATCAATGGTATTGAGTTACCAGGTCCCCATGCTCACCCTGTCAATGGAACTGGGAGTTAGGAGATGAGACATTCTTGCAGGAAAAAGATTTCTCTCCTTGGGCAGGTCCCATGGCCTCTGCAGGTCTGAGTTCTTCATCTTTAAAAAGGGTTAATTGGATTAGATCAGTTGTTGCAAAAATTTTATCCTATAGTAGATCTTCTTACCAGTGGAAAATGTTCATAAAAATCCTATGTTTAAAAACAGGTGTTAGTGGAGCCACATTATCTGAGGGAGAGAGGAGAAAGCCCCAAATCCTGTTCTTCAGCACCTGCAGTGGGCTCTGAGATAGCTGAACAGAATCCTAGAAGTTCTGGAAAAGACTATTTAAAAACAAAAGCATCTCTGCCATCCAGTTTAGCCTTTTGTATAACCTCTTTATGTTTCATCAGTGGCTGTTTTATCTACATGAGCTGGTCTCTGGCCTCCAGGGTATGTGATTTGCCTCGAAGAGCTCCTAACATGGGCAGGAGGAGTTTTAGTTATTAATTATAATTGTGTTTTCCCAATATGTTGAGATGTATTGAAAGGAATATTTCTCAATAGAATACCTGTAAAGTATGCTACTAAAGGAATACCTGAGTCCCAGCATGGAAAGGATATCACACTGAAAAACTGTCCTGGACTGAAGCCTGGACTTCAAGTTACCTCTGGTTTGACCTTCGGGCAACTTAGGAACTGCTCAGCCTCAGGGAGTCCTTCCGTTCCTGGGGTTAAATAATGCCAGCCCAGGCTTCTCCAGGTTTCCTATGAAAGTGCAAATAGCATGATATTTGTGAAAGGGATTTTTATTCTACAAATGCTAACAATTTTTATTAAAAAAATCTGTCAATGCTCATGACATTCTGTGATGAAATCAGAACACCAAAATGAAAATTTTATTAACAAAACAAGCAAACATCCACACTACATATTAAATTATCATCACGGCAAAATGATCAATGCCAAGCCATATGGTGAGGCGATTCGAACGTGGCGTAATTGTATGAAAATTGCTGGAGAGCTAGCCCTGGGTTGATAAAATGAGTCCAATAACTGTTTTCTCATTTTGTTGGGAGTGCTTTCCTATTCTCGCAGTAACGCGCCTCCACATTTTCTCTGTTGCACTTGATAAGGGCAAATTGGCACTGTGGGATGGAACAGAGCTTTGTTCCATCCCACAGTTCAGCCTCCAATTGACTGGAAGAGTTGTAAAAATTGTTTTCCCTTTGTTCAGAGACACTTATCAAGGCCCAACAAGGAAGGTAATATGGGCCACTCGCCAGGCAGACAAATCTCTCGAAACAGACAGCACCAAGCCCCCCAGCTTAAAGAAATTGTGAGACTTTGCCAGTCCTGGAAAATAAAGAACTTTCTGAAGCAGATTGCTTAATAAGGGGTACCCAACAGAGTAATTTAGTGAAGTATTTCAAAGAGCTATTCAGTTGTGGTATTGTAACCTCACAGTGTTTGTGGGAAAAGCAGCTTACTGCACAATATTCTGCTTGATTTGTGGCTGCTTTTCCTTCTAATATACTCAGTACCTGACAGGTAACCTTCATTAGAATTATAATTTTTAAAATCATTACCAAATCTCCAAACCTCAGGATTGAAAATAATCTTAAAAAGAAACAAATAAACACTATTTCCAACCAGTCACCAGAGAATACGAGTTCCACTGGCAACCAGCTATATTTTCTCACTTCCACCTGTGGACACTGGAGCCTCACTACCTATTAAAAAAGTATAAGTCCACTCATATCACTGCACTTAGGCTCCTAAGCCTGAAATGCTTTCTTTTCATCTTTACCTCTGATATGGTTTGGCTCTGTGTCCCCACCCAAATCTCATCTTGTAGCTCCCATAATTCCCATGCATTGTGGGAACAACTTAGTGGGAGATGATTGAATCATGAGGGTGGGTCTTTCTCATGCTGTTCTCGTGTTAGTGAATGAATCTCACAAGATTTGATGGTTTAAAAAATGGAGTTTCTCTGTACAAGTTCTCTCTTTGCCTGCTGCTCTCTATGTAAGATGTGACTTGCTCCTCCTTGCCTTCCACCATGATTGTGAGAACTCCTCAGCCACATGGAACTGTGAGATGAATTAAAACCTCTTTGCGGCTGGACGCAGTGGCTCACGCCTTTAATCCCAACACTGTGGGAGGCCAAGTAGGGCAGATCACCTGAGGTCAGGAGTTCGAGACCAGCCTGGCTAACACGGCAAAACCTCGTCTCTACTAAAAACAAAAATTAACTGGGCATGGTAGCAGGTGCCTGTAATCCCAGCTACTTGGGAGGCTGAGGCAGGAGAATCTCTTGAACCTGGGAGGCGGAGGTTGCAGTGAGCTGAGATTGCACCATTGCACTCCAGCATAGGCAAGAAGGATGAAGGTTCTTCTCAAAAAATAAAATAAAATAAAGTAAAATAAAATAAAATAAAATAAAACCTTTTTCTTTTGAAAATTTCTCAGTCTCATGTCTGTCTTTATCATCAGCATGAAAACGGACTAATACAGCCTTCTAGAATGGTGGGTAGTTGGAGCTGGAAGGAACATTATACCCATGTAGCCCAGTGCTCATGTTTTGTATCAGAGAGAACTGAGGCACAAAGAAAGTAAGTAAGTAATTTGTTAAGGTCAAATAGCTAGGAAGTAGGACAGATGGATGATAACAACAACAACAATAGTAGTGACATCAACAATGGTGCTAGGTTTTGATCTATTGTTTTTCTACATTCTAGTTGGCTTTATCTCATTTTCCATATAAAATGATACATTAGAAACTGTGCTAGGGAAAGAGTCAGTAGAACACTCATAATCCCTATTCTCCCTAAGTGACTTGAGAGACAACTTAATCTTTCTGCCTTCGATTTTCCTGTTTCAAATTGAGAATAAAGAAATGCATACAGTATTTATAAAAGTGCCTATTGTGAACCAGGTGGATAAATCTTATTAGACCCAAAAGGTAAGTATTATTGGCTCTATTTTACAGGTAAAGTCATGGAAGAACAAGGGTTTTAGGTGATTTGCTCAAAATTCTTCAGCCCAAAGAGCTCAAAGGAAGATTAAGAAGCCAAGTCTGTCTGAAGTCAGAAACTGCAGAATCACCACAGAGAAGGCCCAGGCAGACATCAGTCAACTGAAGACCAGGCTTACATATTTGGGGGAAGGATTTCTTTAAGCACTTTGTTTTCAAAGGTTGCCAAACAAAACCAAGCAATAGTAATGTACTATTATAAAGAAAGCCTTTATTAAATGACTCTCAGTGTCAAAATAGGTGTTGAAGTTGGCAGCTTCTGCCTGGATCTCTCCAGAAATGAAATATAACAACAGACAAAGCAGAGCTGGTGATTTCAGAGCTGCAAGGATATTCGTGCAAACCACTTTCACTACTTTTTTTCTGTCTACCAGCTTCTGGTGTGCCTCTGCTCCCAACAGTAGCAATTAGAGGGCTGCCCTCAGACTACCAGGACCCTCATTACCTGCATACATAACAACGCATAGAACCAGAAGTATCTGTGAATGTATACCAACTCCTCCTCATGACTTAACCAGTGATGAGGGCAGGAGTATAAATACCCCAGTCCTCTTGCTCTGATTCAGAAACTCTGAGAGTGACTATCACTGTTTTCACTGTTTCCAAGGCTCCCTTCTGGGATGGAGCCCAAGTCACCCTCCAAAGGTTGATATTGCATACTTGATATGACGGATTTCCTTGGTCTCTTTCTGTCTTCATTTTACTTTCTGTTTCTCCATTCTCCACTTACATGTACTTCATCAAATCAGGAGCTGCTTCTTGGAAACCAACTTAAGATGCTAGAGCAGCACATCCATTGTTTGATGCCCTGATTGTTATCAAGTTTGTCCTTACATTTAGTAAAACTGAAACTCCTAATAACTCTCACCCAACAGATCTATTCTGTCCTCCAACATAACAGAGTACACATCGAATTCCCATCCACGTGTATGGCTTTCAGATGGTTCATGGTGCCTATAGGTGCCTTTTAGTCTTTTTCAATCACAAGAGACTTGAATGAGAATGATGGCTCAGCACTCACATCATCACAAGCTAAAAATAAAGAGTTGTTATTGCCATTTCTTCATCTGTGATCTAGGACAGAATAGGAGAAAAGGAAAAAAAAATGTCTACCATCTTATCAAAGGAGTTAGAACCCCTCTGGGCTCCCTTCCAAAATCAGAGAAATAACACTACTAACAGCAATTAATACATGCTATTTATTAAGCTCTTACTATATTCCAGAGGGTACTCAGTAGTTTACATATAATATCTCATGTTATCTTCTCAAAAATAGTTATTATTGTCATTGTTTCTGGTTTACAGATGAGGAAATAGAAGTACAGAGAAAGTATGCTGTTTACCCTATGTTCTATACAAAATATTGGAGCTGGGATTTGAACCCAGTCAGTTTGACACCATAGCCCACAGTCTAAATCATTACAAATCACTATGAATGCTCTGTGTAAAAAGGAGATAATAATTACACCTGTTGTAATGCATTGAATTATTACACATATTTATCACATAGAGCTTGAGAGTATAGTAGAGGACTAAAACTTTTACACAAGATCTTTGTTTTAGCTTGCAAAATGGTCCACATTTTCAGCTTTTCCCCTCAAGAGATTAAATGCTTTGGCCAATGAGACATTGAAAAGTGGATCTAAACAGAGGCTTAAAAATGCTTACATATTAGAACTTCTCTTTCTTGCTGCTCCTTATAATGTTGAGACTGTGATGTAAAGAAGCCTTTGTCCTCATACTGGAAGATGGAAGCCCCATGGAAGAAAGTCCATCCCTCTCAGCTGAGTCCTCCTTAGCATGAACAGCCTATGACATCTGAGTTAGGTCATCCTATACTAGAGTTTCTCTACCTCCCTGCTATTAATATTTTGGGCCTGAAGTGTTTTTTTTCTTCAGAATCTTGTCCTGTGCATTGTAGAGTGACTAGCAGAATCCCTGGCCTTTATACACCAGATGCCAATAAAATCCCCCAGTTATGACAAGCAAAAGTGTGTCCAGACATTGCCAAATGTCCCCTGGTGGTGTTGGAAGTAGGTATATAAATTGGCTCATTTGAAAACTACTAATCTAGACCATCGAATCCCAGATGATGCAACACAGACCTGACTCAAATAATTGCTTAGCTGACTCAAATAATTTAAAGAAAAAAAATACATGAATATTTTACATTTTGGGTTGTTTCTCATCAAGAGCTAACCAATACAGTCTCTGTAAGAGAGACAACATGTGTTTGCCACGCGATTTTCTCTCCCTGGATACACAGAAAGACTACATTTTCCAGACTTCTTTTTATGCAGGTGGAGACCACGTAATTAAGTGTCTTCCAACTGGAACGTGAGCAGAAGCCATATGTCACCCTGACTCAGACAAAACATAGTGGTACATGTTCTCCATACTCCTTTCTTCTATCTGTTGGCCTGTAAGAAAATAACTGCAATATTGGCAGAGTTGTAAGATACAAGTCTGAATACATGGATAACCACTTAAGAATATTTTGCCCAAGAGAGCTGCCTAATCTGTGTTATACTGTTGCATGAGTGAGAATTAAACCTATACCATCTTAAACTATGAAATTTAGGGTTTACTTATTATCACAGCAAAACTTAGCCTCCATATGTTTTTCTGACATACATTATATGTTGGAAATATCAAAACTCATTTATCTTTTAAGATGGGGATAGGGATAGTTTGTATTAGATTTGTAAGTAAATGATTATGTTTTCTTCAATACCTTTAACCTAATATGCCAACTACTAGAGTGCAAATCCCAGCTTTTGCACTGAATCTTTCAATAAATGTTTACTAAGTGGCTACTAATTTTCAACAACTATATCAAAAACTGAGCTGGGGAAGGCAGCTACATTAAAAGAAATTTCAGAAAACAAGTCAACCACTACATGGATGAATCTATAAATCATGTGCCTGGAGAACTTTAAAGAATCAGTCAATAACTCTCTGGAGAAATCAAAAAAGGCTTCATGGGGGAAGTGATATTATACATGGATATAAAATAAAATTAGGATTTTAACAGACAATAAAGGGAAGACTACACAGGAACAATCACAGCAGAAGTGCATTCTGGGCAGAAGGAGATCAATGACAAAATAAACAGGAATGTGAAAAACCTACTGGCTTGGGGAAAATGTTGAGGACAACAGGTTCATTCATTTAGAAGTCTACATTGTGCTTATGTATTGTGTGTTATGAGCTAGCCAAAAAAAGTAATGACTTAATAACACAACCATTTTGTTTTATCTCATGATTGTGTTGGTGAGGAATTTGGGCAGGGCTTGGTTGGATGACTGTCCTGCTCCCTGTGCTGCTGATGGAGGTTATTCAAATCTCTTTGGCTGGTGGATGGGCTATAGAGTCCAAGATGACTCTACTCACATGGCTCATGTTCTGATGGGCTTGGCTCAAAGTCTGGGTTCAGCTAAGACTGCTGACTTGAGCACCAACACCTAGCATCTCCAGTATGGTAGTCAGTCTCAGAAAAGTCGGACTCTTTAAACAGTATCTAGGGTTCCCAGATAGAATGTTCTAAGAGGCAGAAAGTGAAAGATTCCACTCTCTTAATCCAGAGCCTGGAAACTGTCACAGATTCTTTTGTCCATATTCTGTGGTCAAAGAGAAAGGATCAAATACCCAACTTCTCAACTCAAATACCTCACTTCACAGTGCAACTCAATGCAAAGAGAGTCAAATAATTTGTCGGTCAAGAGCAGTGGTCTTAATGTCTCTGTCAAGATGACAACATGTTCTTTCCTACTGAAGTCTACTAGTAAGAACATTAATGCCCAAAAGCTTTTTCCTGACCTTCTTAGATGAACTCCCAGTATAAAGAAGATCCCTGGGAGAAGGAACCAGTGTCAGATATGGAATTGAAAGGTGAATAAGAGTCTAATTAGGCAATTTGGCAGGAGAGACACCCAAATAGCGGATGTTCAGAAGACTGAGAATATTTAGTGAAGCAGAAAGGTAAAGACATAGTGAGAAGGTGGGGGTCACCAGAAGAAAAGTGATTGAAATGATAACTGAGAAGTGGTAGTGAGTATGTGTACTTTCAGGTTGGGGACATTACTACAGAAGGTATGTGTGGGAAGAAGTTGTGGGGTGTTGCTAAGAGTTTTACTTAAGAGCAGGGCCAAATCTGACCTCTGTTTTAGTAAATAAAATATTATTGGAACATAGCCACACCCTCTCATTCATATCGGGTTTGTGACTGCCTTAGCAATACAATGATAGAGTTGAGTAGTTGCAACACAGAAACCTTGGCCCATAAAACCTAAGATATTTACTTTTTGACCCTTTATAGAAAACGTTTGCTGACCCTTGATTTAAAGATTATTCTGGTAGCAATGGCCTTCTAACCACTGGCCTGTTCTAGGAGCAGGAGTGCGGGAAGATGAATTGTGGGCTATCACAACATTCTTGCTGAGTGACGTCATAATATGGATCCAGCAATAGTACTAAAAGGAGCTGGAAAAAGGAGATGTAGTGGAGATATGATTGACATAATTCTGTGTCTAGCTGGGTGAATTTATGTGTGTTTGCTTGTATGTCTGTGTATGCATGTACATACTTGCATGGGAAGGACAGCCAGGGAACACGGAAAAGGAGCTGTCAAAGAAAGTAAGTTTCATTCACTGCTGGGTGATACTGATGCTATTAACAAAAATGGTGGGGATTTGGGGCACAGGAGGAGAGGCTGTGGGGCAAAGTGGTGAATCTGTTTTTCTTTCCCTCTAATTGATATCATTATTTGGACATTAGCTAAGAC
Source organism: Homo sapiens (assembly GCF_000001405.40). Taxonomy (NCBI): domain Eukaryota; kingdom Metazoa; phylum Chordata; class Mammalia; order Primates; family Hominidae; genus Homo; species Homo sapiens. The sequence goes on from NC_000004.12 coordinate 11,314,089, forward strand.
AGGTGTTATAATCATGAGTTCCTTCTGAGGCCAAAGAGAATAATTGTGAAAGAAGAAATCCAGCTTTAAGATGTTCAAATGTTTAATTCGTTTCACCAGTTCAAAACCACCTGATTGTCAGAAGGATTTTCTACTAATCTCTCTTGGAACAGCTTACAGTTTCTGACTGGGTAATGCCATATTTTGCCTCAGAATCTTTTTTCTTGTTTCTTCTTCTGCCTAAACTGCTGGGAAACCTCCGCCTAACTTCAACTAATCCCTTAGGGTTGAGTTTAAATATTGCTTCCTCCAACAGAAAGGCTTTTACAAATTCATGGGCTAGATTAGATACCACTGGATAGCACACCATATTTTCCCCTGCTTTGCTGTTCTAGATGACTTGTCTGTTATTGCTCTCTGCTGCTTCCTTGGGCCCCTGTAGCTCTGAGCTGGTAGAGAGTTGGGGCTATGTAAATATGTTTTGCACCCTTTCTTTATATATATGAAACACAGTGGTTATTAGTGGCAATACAGACTTGATGCAACAATAAATAATAAAGCCAGCTTTTAATAACAATTTATAGCATCAAGCCCCAGACTAAGGGTTTTCTATGAATTACCCCAATCTTCAAATCAACCACCTACAGTAGACACCATTGTTGTGCTCACTTTAGAAATAATGAGGCTAAGGCTCCTGGAAGTTGAGAATCTTAATCTTACTTAAGGTAACACAGATGTTCAATGGCACAGCCAATCCAAGTCTGTATGACTCCACACCCGACATGATTAATCATTATAACTATCTGCCTTTGAATGGATACATTAACGTATGAAAGATAGAAGGGAAGGGGGAAGAAAGAGGAAAGGAAGAAAAGAAGGAGAAATAAATAAAATAAGAAAGGAATGTGTAATCCCAGCACTTTGGGAGACTGAGGCGGGCGGATCACCTGAAGTCAGGAGTTCGAAACCAGCCTGGCCAACATAGTGAAACCCTGTCTCTGCTAAAAGTACAAAAAGTAGCCAGACATGGCGGCAGTTGCCTTTAATCCCAGCTACTCAGGAGGCTGAGGCAGGAGAATCACTTGAGTCCAGGAGGCAGAGGTTGCAGTGAGCCATGCCACTGCACTCCAGCCTAGGTGACAAGAGCAAGACTCCATCTAAAAAAAAGGAAAAGAAAGGAATGAAGGAAGGGAAAGAGGAAAAAGGGAGATCAAACTATTGGTTTTGTACTAGGAAAATTTTATAATATGTTGTCACCAATAATGGTGTGTCTATCTGTAGGCAGAAACACAAGTAACACTTACTTAGGACATTGCTGGAAATGTTTTACATAGTTACTCATTTATTCCTTGCAATAACAACTCAGTGAAGGGCATTGAATTGTCACTGTATTATGTCCAGAATTTGACCACTGCAGAGCTTCTCCCTTGCCACCACCTTCATCCAAGCCACCGTCATCTCTTGCTTGGATCGGGGCTGCAAGTCCCTGTTCCTGAGCTTGTTCTCCTCTAGTCTACCTAAGAGACAGAGTGATGCTTTGAAAATACAAACCACATCATCTTAGTCATCCTTTAAAGCACTCCAGTGGTTCCCCGATCTTACTTGGTGTGAAAAACAGTTATTTCATGGTGGGTCACGCCTCTAATCCCAGCACTTTAGGAGGCGGAGACAGGATGGTCCCTTGAGTCCTGGAGTTCAAGAACAGCCTGGGCAACACAGGGAGACCCCACTTCTACAAAAAATTGAAAATTAGCTGGGTGTGGTAGCGCAAGCCAGTAGTCCCAGCTATTCAAGGGCTGAGGTGAGAGGATCGCTTGAGCCCTGGAGGTTGAGGTTGCAGTGAGCCATGACTGCACCACTGCACTCCAGCTTGGGTGAGAGAGTGAGAACTTGTCTCAAAAATAAATAGACACATGAATGAATGAATGAATGAATGAATACATAAATAAATAAATGAAACTGTTAATTCAGCAGGCCCTGGGTACTTTTGCTGCCATCTCCAATTCCATTTCCAAGCCCCTTCCCTTTGTTTGTTCAGCTTAGCCATGCAGGTCTCTCCCTGCTCTTTTCAAATGTTCCCTGTGTCTTCCTGTGCATTTACTGTTCCCTCTGGGTAGAATGCTGTTCCTACAAACATCTACAGGACTTACTGCCATATCGCCCTATGCCTTGACTAAAATGCCACCCTGCTGAAGAAGTCTTCCTGAGACACTGACTATAACATTGCAATACTCCTTTCTTCCCATTCCTACATGTTTGCATTAGTCCGTTTTCATGCTGCTGATAGAGACATACCCAAGACTGGGAAATTTACAAAAGAAAGAAGTTTAATTGGACTTACAGTTCCACGTGGCTGGGAAAGCCTCACAGTCATGGGAGAAGGCAAGGAGGAGCAAGTCATGTCTTACATGGATGGCAGAAGGCAAAGAGAGAGTTTCGGCAGGGGAACCCCTCTTTTTAAAACTATGAGACCTCAAGAGACTCATTCACTATCATGAGAACAGTGCAGGAAAGGCTCAATCCCATAATCCAAATCACCTCCTACTGGGTTCCTCCCTTGACATGTGGGAATTGTGGGAGTTACAATTCAAGATGAGATTTGAGTGGAAACAGAGCCAAACCACATCATTCTGCCCCTGACCCCTCCCAAATTTCATATCTTCACATTTCAAAACCAGTCCTGTCTTCCCAACAATCCCCCAAAGTCTTAACTAATTTCAGCATTAACTCAAAAGTCCACAGTCCAACATCTCATCTGAGATAAGGCAAGTTCCTTTCACCTATGAGCCTGTAAAATCAAAAGTAAGTTAGTTACTTCCTATATACAATGGGGGTATAGGCATTGGGTAAATGCAGCCATTCCAAATGGGAGAAATTGGCCAAAACAAAGGGGCCACAGGCCCCATGCAAGTCCATAATCCAGCTGGGTAGTCAAATCTTAAAGCTCCAAAAAGATTTCCTTTGACTCCATGTCTCACATCCAGGTCACACTGATGCAAGAGGCAGGCTCCCATGGCTTTGAGCAGCTTTGCCCCTGAGGCTTTGCAGGGTATTTCCCCACTCCTGGCTGCTTTCACAGGCTGGTGTTGAGTGTCTGTGGCTTTTCCAGGTGCATGGTGCAAGCTGTTGGTGGATCCACCATTCTAGGGTCTGGAGGATAGTGACCCTCTTCTCACAGCTTCACTAGGTGGTGGCCCAGTAAGGACTCTGTGTTGGGGCTCCGACCCCACATTTCCCTTCCACACTGTCCTAGCAGAGGTTCTTCATGAGGGCCCTGCCTGTACAGTAAACTTCTGCCTCAACATCCAGGCATTTCCATACATTCTCTGAAATCTAGGCAGAGGTTCCCAAACCTCAATTCTTGACTTCTATGCAATTGCAGGCTCAACACCATATGGAGGCTGCCAAGGCTTGAGGCTTGCACCCTCTGAAGCCACGGCCTGAGCTCTACATTGGCCCCCTTCAGCCATGGTTGGAACAGCTGGGATGCCAGGCACCAAGTACCTGGGCTTGGGGAGGGACCTGGTGGGAAATAATTTGAATCATGGTGGTGGTTTCCCCCATGCTGTTTTCGTTGTAGTGAATAAGTCACACGAGATCTGATGGTTTTATTAGGGGTTTCCGGTTTTGCATCTTCTTCATTTTATCTTCTCGCTGCCATGTAACAAGTGCCTTTCACTTCCCACTATGATTTTGAGGCCTTTCTAGCCATGTAGAACTGTAAGTTCAATTAATCCCCTCTTTCTTCCCAGTCTCAGATATGTCTTTACCAGCAGTGTGAAAACGGACTAATATGGTATATTTGTTTGTTGTCACTAACTCTGATCTTAGGGGTCCTTGAGAGAGCCTCTTTGCTTCCCAGGATGAGTTTCCCATTCTGTATTATTTTTTCTAGGGGTGAGTGAGCAGCCTCATGACACTGCTTGACATGTTGCCTTGAAGAGCTTGTGTGCTGTCTCCATGAAGGCTGTTGACTGTGAAACAGATTTTAACTTATCACACAACTGGATGAGGAATTTATGGCTAGCTAAATTTCTCAAAAAGTAAAATTTTGGTACCAAACCCTCCCACCTTCTCAGCATGAAAATGGACTAATACAGTAAATTGGTACCAGGAGTGGGTGTTGCTGAAAAGATACCTGAAAATGTGGAAACGACTTTGGAACTGGGTAACAGGCAGTTGTTGGAACATTTGGAGGGCTCAGAAGAAGATAGGAAAATGTAGGAAACTTTGGAACTTCCTAGAGACTTGTTGAATGGCTTTGACACAAATGCTGATAGTGATATGAACAATAAAATCCAGGCTGAGGTGGTCTTAGATAGAAATGAGGAACTTGTTGGGAACTGGAGCAAAGGTGACTCTTGTTATGTTTTAGCAAAGCGACTGGCGGCGTCTTGCCCCTGCCCTAGAGACTTGTGGAACTTTGAACTTGAGAGAGATGATTTAGGGTGTCAGGTGGAAGGAATTTCTAAGCAGCAAAGCATTCAAGTGGTGACTTGGGTACTATTAAAGGCAAAAAGTAAAATTTTGGTACTAAACCCTCCCACCTTCTCAAGTGATTTTCTATATTCCCTGAAGTCTTGTGTTTTTACTTAGAAGATAGGGATGGGGAATGGGGTAAAGAAAATTCCAGGTAAGTGCAACCAAAGTAAAGAGAAAATAAATAACGTAATAATCGAACAACATCTTCCTTACAAACTGATCCTGCCCAAGAATTCATTTGACTATACCAGGGTGCAGAAATAAGGGGAGGTAATTCACATGAACATGATAACGTCTGACCACATCTTGCCTAAGAGAAAATCCTCCCTGATGAAGGGGCTCAAACCACAAACACAGACCTAGAAACATAATTACTACAGAGGCTGTGTTTACATTTGATAATGATGTGCATGGAAATAGTGTGCCCTGGGAGTTTAGAACTCAGACAAACAAACAAGGATTATTAATCTGGCAAAATGATGGTTCTCAGTTTTGTAAGAGTTAGGGTTTTCCCTTCTGTTGGTTGGCTGAGAATGAGGAGCTCAAGAAAGATAGGATTAAGGCCTCTCCTGATCTACTTGGTAATAGACAATACTGCAGCCTCTTAAGGATTTGGATCACAATCAGACCCACCCATTATCCTCCCAGCATAGCTAGAGAAGCTCGATCCATCTGCTATTATAAAGAACTCTTTCACACCGGGATGTGACCCAGGGTCACTCCGCCCTGGTGCAGGAGTGACTGAGCCCAGTGGGCTCACATGGGCCTCATGCTACAGATTCCATATACACACTTTTATCTATGCCTGCCTTTGGTGAGTTGGAGGTTCTCTGTCTATCCCTTATTTACCTTGAGCCAAGAGCACTCCAATCACTTTACACACAATCAACTATTTTATTATTCACTCAATTCTAGCAAGGAGGGGGCTGGTTTCCTCACTTGACCTAGGAGGAAATGGAAGCACCAAGGGGTTAAATTGTTTTCTCAGGTTTAACCACTTTATATGTGATGGAGTTAGGAAATGAACACCGAACACTGTAACTCTAAAGCTAGACTTTAACTGTTAGTCTCTGCGTTCTCCTCTTAGGTCTGATAGTCAATCTTTAAACCCTGACTACCTAATCCAGTTGCAATAATCCCTTCCTGTAGAACTAGATTTTGCTTTGTAAATCTCTGACAGACCTGGTTTGGGCTTACCTAACCTGAAGTGTAGACACAATACACCCTGCATTCACTTACTAAGGATTCCATGAAAAAGTACCACAAACTGAGGTCTTAAACCACAGAAATCTATTACTTTTAACTAATGATATCTGCAAAGACCTTATTTCTAAATGCATTCAGATTCTGATGTTCCTGGTACACATAAATTTTGAGGGGACACTATTCAACTCACTACAGATCTGTTACGGATTAAATTGTTTTGCCCCAACATTCATACATATGTGATGTCATTTATGTGAGACAACAAATGTCTGTTGTTTAAATCACCTAGTTTGTAGTACTTTGTTAAGGCAGCCCTAAGAAGTAAATACAGATATAACATGTATGTACATTTTAGATTAGAAAAGTCCAACAGTTTTTGCCAGAGGACTACAGAACAAGGACTAGTTAAAACTAGAAGAAAACTTATACTAGAGAAAACTCAAAGATTCCAAGAACTGTCTCATAATCATGCTGTGTCCTGACTCTTCATATTCCTAAGGACTAGAAAAACAACAGAGAATAACAATGAAACTAAGAATTTTTTTAAAGATATGATTAACAAATCCTTAGCAAAGCTAACTAAGGAAAAAGGGAGAAGATTCAAACAAATAAAATTATAAAGGACAGAGTAGACATTACTACCGATACCACAGAGTAGATCATAAGAGACTACTATGAACAATTGTATGCCAATAAATTAGACAAGCTAGAAGAAATCTGTAAATTGCTAGAAACATATAACCTCCAAAAACTGAATCATGATGAAATAGAAAATCTAACAGAGCAACTGTGAGTAAGAAGATTGAAACAGTAAGCAAAATCTCTTAACAAAGAAAAACCCAGGAGCTAAAATCTTCATTGCTGAATTCTGACAAACATTTAAAGAAGAATTAACGTCAATCTTTCTCAAACACTTCCCAAAAATGAAAGAGGAACAAACATCTCCAAGCTCATCTTATGAAGCCAGAATTACCTTAATACCAAAGTCAAATAATAATACCACAAGAAACAAAAATATGGGCCAATGTCTATAATGAACATAAATGCAATAATTTTCAACAAAATTCCAATAAACTAAAATCACCAGCACATTGAATATCATACACCATGATGACATGGGATTTATCTCTGGGAAGCAAGGATCCTTAAATATACACAAATCAATAAATGTGATATAACACGTTAAAAGATAAAGAATACAAATTGTATGACTTCAATGTAAGTCTCTCTTCAAATTGTAAAACTACGGAAAGAAAACATAGGCAAACAGCTTATTGACATTGGTCTGAGCAACGTTTTTTTTGGGGGGGGGGATTTTTGACCCCAAAAAACTTAGGTAACAGAAGCAAAAATAGACGAATGAGATTGCATCAATCTAAAAAGTTCCTGCACAGCAAATGAATCAATCAGTAGAGTGAAGAGACAACCTATGGAATGGGAGAACTATTTGCAAGCAATAATCTGATAAGGAGTTAATATCCACAATATATAGGTAACTCAAACGACTCACTAGCAAGAAAAAATAAATAAAATAAAAATAAGCAAAGGACCCAAAAATACATTTCTCAAAGGAAGACAAACAAATGGCCAACAGATTAATGAAAAGATGTTCAATATCACTATTTATCAGGAAAATGTAAGAATGGCTATTATCCAAAAGACAAAATCTAACAAGCGTTGATGAGGATGTGAGAAAAAATAATCCTTGTTTAATATTGATTGGAATGTCAAGTGGTACAGCCATTATGGAAAATAGTATGGAGATTCCTCAAAAAATAAAAAGTAGAAATACTTTCTGATCCACTGTATTAGTCTGTTTTTGCACTGCTGTAAAGAACTACCTGAGACTGAGTAATTTACAAGGAGAAGAGGTTTAATTAACTCACAGTTCTACATGGCTGGGGAGGCCTCAGTAAACTTACAATCATGGCAGAAGGCAAAGGGGAAGCAAGGCACATCTTACATGGTGACAGGAGAGAGAAAGAGTGAGGGGAGAACTAAAGAACACTTTTAAACCACCAGGTCTTGTGAAAACTCACTCACTGTCATGAGAACAGCATGGGGGAAACTACTGCCATGATCCAGTCACCTCCCACCAGGTCACTCCCTTGATACAGGGGGATTACAATTCAAGGTGAGATTTGGGTGGGGACAAAGAGCCAAACCATATCATCCAACAATCCCACTTCTAGGTATATGTTCAAAGGAAATAAAATTAGTATGTTGTAGACACATCTGCACTCCTATGTCCATTGCTGTATTATTCATAGTAGCTAAGATATAGACTTAAACTAAGTGTCCACAGATGGATGCATAGATAAAGAAAATGTTAAACATATACACCTACACAAACACACACCCAAAATTGAATATTATTTGGCTTTAAAAATGAAAACAATGTGGAAGATGGGGATGAAGAGAAATTGATTAATGAGTAATAATGTACAGTTGTATAGAGTGAATAAGCTCTAGAGTTTGATAATAAGAATAAAAATTATATTTAACAATAATTTAGTTTATTTCAGAATAGCTAGAAAAGAAGAATTGCAGTGTTCTCAATACAAACAAAATATAAATATTTGAGGTGATGGATATCCCAGTGACCTTGATTTGCTCATAACACATTGTATACATTATGAAAATATCACTTGTACTCTAAAAATATGTGCAACCATGATGTATCAGTTAAAAGGTTTTAAAAATAAAAAAGAAAGAAATACTGTCATTTTCAATAACATGGATGAAACTGGAAGACACAGTGGTAAGTTAAATTAGCCAGGCACAGAAAGACAAATACTGCACGATCTCATTTACTTATAGAATGTTCAAAAGTCAAACTCGTAGAAATAGAGATTAGAATGGTGGTGGAAAGGGATTGGGGAGTGGGAGAAATGGAGAGATATTGGCCAAACGATGTGAAGTTTCAGTTAAGCAAGATGAATATTGTATTAGTCCATTTTGCATTGCTATAAAGAAATGCCTGAGACTGGGTAATTAATAAAGAAAAGAGGTTTATTTTTATTCATGGTTCTGTACAGGAAGCAGAGTGTCAGCATCTGCTTCTGGTGAGACCTCAGGAAGCTCCCAATCAAGGTGGAAGATGAAAGGGGAGCATGTATATCTTATAGCCAGAGAGGAAGCAAGAGATATACTGATAACGGTTTGGATCTGTGTCCCCACCCAAATCTCATGTTGAAATGCAATCCTCAGTGCTGGAGGTGGGGCCTGGTGGGAGGCAATTGGATCATTTTCTCATAGTTTAATAACATTCCCCTTTGGTGGTGTTGTCACAATAGCAAGTTTCTGTGAGATCTGGTTGTTTAAATGTGTGTGGCACCTCCCCTCTTTCTCTCGATCCTGCTCCTGCCATGTAAGACGCTGGCTCCCACTTTGTCTTCCTCTAAGAATGAAAGTTTCCTGAGGCCTCCCCAGAAGCAGAAGCCACTATGTATCCTATATAGACTGCAGAACTGTGAGCCAGTGAGACCTCTCTTCTTTATAAATTAACCAGTATCAGGGAGTTCTTTAGATCAATGTGAGTACAGATTAACACAGAAAATTGGTACAGAGGTGTGGGGCATTGCTGTAAAGATACTTGAAAATGTGGAAGCAGCTTTGGAGCTGGGTAAAAGGCAGAGGCTGGAAGAGTGTGGATTGCTCAGAAGAAGTAGGAAGATGAAGGAAAATTTAGAACTTCCTAAAGACTTGTTAAATTGTGACCAAAATGCTGATAGTGATATGGACAATGAAGTCCAGGCTGAGGAGGTATCAGATGTAAATGAGGAGCTTGCTGGAAACTTGGGTGAAAGTCACTTTTGCTGTGCTTTAGCAAAGAACCTGGCTGCATTTTGCCCCTGCTCCAGGGATCTGTGGAACTTTGAACTTGAGAGTGTTGGATTAGAGTAACTGGCAGAAGAAATTTCTAGGCAGCAAAGCTTTCAAGAGTTGGCTGTTTCTATGAGTCTATGCTTATATGTCTGAGCAAAGAAATTACCTAAAACTGGAACTTATATTTAAAAAGGAGGCACAGTGTAAATGTTTGGAAACTTTGCAGCCTGACCATTTGGTAGAAAAGAAAAGCCCATTTTGAGGGAAGGAATTCAAGCTGGCTGCAGAAATTTGCAAAAGTTAAAAGGAGCCAAGTACTAATATCCAAGACAATGGGGAAAAGGCATCCAGGGCATTTCAGAGATGTCTGCAGCAGCCCCACCCATGACAGGCCCAGAGGCATAGGAGGACTAACTGGTTTATTGGATAGGCCCTGAGCCCCACTGCCATGCACATCCAGCCACTGCAGCTGTGGCTAAAAGGGGCCAAAGTACAGCTGGGGCTGCTTCTTCAGAGGGTGCAATCCATAAGCCTTGGCAGCTTCTATGTGGTGTTAAGCCTGCATGTATGCAGAGTGCAAGAGCTGATGCTTGGAAGCCTCTGCCTAAATTTCAGAGGATGTATGGAAAAGCCTGGGTGCCCAGGCAGAAGCACCCAGAAGGAACAGAGCCCTCATGGAGGACTTCTATTAGGGGAGTATGAAGGGAAAATATGGGGTTGGTGCCCCCACTGGGGCACTGCCTAGTAGATCTGTAAGAAGGGAGCCACCATCCTCCAGACCCCAGAATGGTGGATTTACCAGCAGCTTGTGTTCTGCTCATGAGAGCAGCCACAGGGGCTAAACTCTGCAAAGCCACAGAGGCAGAGCTGCCTAAGACTTTGGGAGCTGTGATGGTTAACAGGAGCCTATCCCTCACACCACTGTGCCCTGGATAAAGACATGGAGTCAATGGAGATTATTTTGGCGCTTTAAGGTTTCAGACTAGTATGGGGTCTGTAGCCCCTTTCTTTTGTATGATTTCTTTCCTTTGGAATGGGAATATTTACCCAATCCCTATACTTCCACTGTATCTTGGAAGTAACTAACTTGTTTTTTATTTTACAGGCTCATAGGCAGAAGGGACTTGCCCTGTCTCAGGTGAGATTTTGGACTGTGGACTTTTGAGTTAATGTTGGAATGAGTTAATACTTTGGGGGACTATTAGGAGATTGTATTTTGCAATGTGAGAAGGACAGGAGATTTGAAAGGGGTCAGGGGTGAAATAATATTGTTTGGATCTGTGTCCCCACCCAAATGTCATGCTGAAATGTAATCCCCAATACTAGAGGTGGGGCATGGTGGGAGATGATTCAATCACTGGGGCAGCTTCTCATAGTTTAACACATTCCCCCTTGGTGCTGTCATCACCAATATGGAGTTCTTATGAAATCTTATTTCTTAAAAGTGTACGGCACCTATTCTCTCTCTCTCGGTCCTGCTTCTGCCATGTAAGATGCCTGCTCCTTTGCTCAACCACTATGAGTAAAAGCTCCCTGATGCTTCCTCAGAAGGAGAAGTTGCTGTGCATCCTGTATAGCCTGAAGAACCATACACCAATTAAACCTCTGTATAATTTACCCAGTCTCAGGTATTTATAGCAATGTGAGACCAGACTAATACAGATGCCAAGCTCTTTTAACCAACCAGCTCTCATATGAATTCATTACCAAGGGGAGGACACCAAGCCATTCATGAGGGATCCACACCATGACTCAAGCACTTCCCATCAGGCCCTACCTCCAACACTGAAGATTACATTTCAACGTGGATTTGGAGGGAACAAACATCCAAACCCTATAAAATATGTTCTGGAGATCTTATGTATAGCATGGTGACTATAGTTAATAATAAGGTACTGGGTACATGAAATTTGCTAAGAAAGTAGATCTTAAATGTTCTCAACACCAAAAAATAAATAAATAAATATGTGAGTAGATCAAAATGTTAATCAGCTTGTAGTAATAATTTTGCAGTATATACATGTATCAAAACATCATGTTTTCCACCTTAAACATATCAAATTTTGATTTCCTTATTTTATCTCAAAAAGGGGAAAAATCCTAAAATATTGAGGAGACCTAATGATTTCCATCTATGGTTTTCTGTTCAAACATTCATCCATAAGTTTATTCAACAAATATTTATTGGTGTTTATTCCATTGCAATACAGTGTAAGGCTTTTAGGATTCCATAGTGAAATAAACATAGTCCCTGCTTCAGGATACTTTATCAGTATTATTATTTAGAGAAAGGATCTTGCTTTGTCACCCAGGCTGGAGTGCAGTGATGTGATTATAGCTCACTGCAGCCTCGAACCCCTGGGCTCAAGTGATCTCCCCACCTCAGCCTCCAGAATAGCTGGGATTATAGGAACATGTCAACATGCTCAGCTTTTAAATTAATTATTATTTTAGAGACAGCATCTTGCTATCTTGCCCAAGTTTGTCTTAAACACTTGTCCTCAAGTGATCCTACTGCTTCAGTCGCCAGAGTAGCTGAAATTACAGGCACAAGCCACTGCCTGGCTCTGGGAGACTTTGTTATGGTCTAATGAGAAAGGAAGAGAGACATGAAAAGACAAAAAACAGTGCACAGGTGCAAGGGGACAGGCATCAGGATGAAGCTAAGTGTGCAGTGAGTGGAAAACACACAGCTGAGCTAAGCACCTGGCCTGGGCCATGGAAGTCCTTGTCGGCTGGCCAGAGGTGGTGATGTCAACTTTGAGGATCAAAGGATGAATGGGCATGTTTTGAGTGGATCAGGGAATAAAAGGATATTGAAACCACAGAGAAAAAACAAGTGCGAATTTCAGAGGCTGAGAGAGCATGGCCTATTTATGAAATGGCAACAAGCTTAATTTTTTTCAGACTGTTACAAGAGGAGTTGGGATAATAGCAGTAGAGAAAGACGGAGTGGTGACCAAGGCGCAGGTCACGAAGTTACCTCTTCATGGAGGGAATCTGTCTTTTTCTGATGAGAAAGGGGACCCAGCCATGCAGAGGAGTGACTGGATCAGGTCTGAGAGTCATAATGATGAATGGGGAGAGTACAAGAGAAGGGAGAGGGCTGCAGGAAGCAGGATTTCCCATGCCTGGCTCCACCGTGCCCAGTCGATTTCTCCACCGCCCTCACTCCATTTTCTACTTCCCACATGCTCTGGGCTGATGCTCTGTAGGATATGGGAGTTGACAGAACTCTAAGAATAAGAAAATGCTCCACTGGCAGTCAGGCAATGTCCATCCAGATCAGGGTTTCTTTGGTTCCAGAACTGGGCAAAGCTGGACTCAAACACAGAGCCCCCAGATAACTCTGCATGTGGAATATCCTAGACTAAAATCCAGTTGTGTTACCTCAGCCCCATCCTATCTCTTCTTCTGGCTTCTGTCTCCCCATCTATAAAATATACAGATTATTCTGCTCCTTAGAGAAGCCTTTCTTGATCACCAGGGCTCTCACACTAACCCGATTTATCGCATATCACTACTGAATTTATTTACATATCTTACCACTTACATCTCTTTAATAGGACATTGTGTTTTTTTTAACTAACATATCTCTAGAATAAACAATAATGCCTAGCACATAATTAGTGCTCAGTAAGTATATATTGAATGAATGAGTGGATGAATATATAAGCAAGGGATTACCATTGAAGAATATGGGGGCCACCAACTCAGAAAAGCAGAGATCTCCGAGGTCATGTGGACCGCGACCTTGGAGTTAAGCAGTTGGATTAGTCGGATTCAAGCCCAGATGTAAATTTCAGACCCTATGTTGTATTCCCTCCAGTACATGGTCTTGCTACTAACTCAAGTCATTTTCATTCTTTCTAAATTCAATCTCCTAATTTTCAAGAGAAAAAGAAAAATCTAGGGCTTACTGCCTGTGTTTGGTTGAGGAAATATGCATCATGAGAGTATGGATATGATCATAGAGGGAGACACTGTAAAAACTCGGGAGTTCATTATCACTTTCCTTTGGTAGTCCAGCACAAGCACTTGTCAATTCTCACTTAACACTTATTTCATTTTCTCCTTTCAACTGAGGGCAGGACAAAGTGTCTATTGTTGCAAGAGGGAATCATTGACTCCATTTCTTTCTCCCTGAAGATGGAATAAAGCACTCAGTTTCAAAGAAGTTCCTTAAGTGATTAGTGTCATTTCATGTAGTGCTTATAGAGTCCTGGATTGCAAACTTTTGAAAGCTGGAGAGACCCCTTGAACTTTCATTTTTCTATTTCAAAATAAATGAAAGGGACAGCAACTTAATTCTTCACCAATAAAGTAAAATCCAACTCTGATTTGGTGATTGGGGAGCAAAATACCATTCTCTCCTTTACATACACTATAATTTTATACATAATTCTCCACCCATGTACCCTCATCTTCATTTTCCTTACCTGGGATTGTGTGATGGAATAAGGTTATGAATACATAGGAGTAGCCTGGTCCAAAGTGATAACTTTATGGCTGGCCATCCTCTGGGTCTGAGAACATTGTGCTCAGTCCAGCCTAAAAGCTTTACAAGAGTAACCCAAAATTCACACAATCAGCTGTGGTCTTCTTATACGGAGTTGTCCAATTTTGTAGTCTTCACTAAGGGAATGAACTGCTTTTGTGATTACCTGGTGGTAGATGTAGTAAATTAATTGGAATTAAAATTATAGTAGGAATTGTTGATTTATTAAATTATTGAAAATGTACTGCAGTAGACAGTTTCAGGATTGATACCCAATGATCCCCAACCTCTTGGTTTTCCCTCCTTGTGCATCACTTCCCTTCAGTATGGGCTGGACTTAACCCAGTGACTCACTTCTAACCAAAAGAACATGGCAAGGATGATAGAATGCCACTTGCAAGGTTTAGTTATAAAATTTGTGACTTCAACCTATCTCTCTCTCTCTCTTGCTCTCTCTGACTCTTTTCAGTCTTATGAAGCAAGCTGCCTACAGAAATGTCCATGTGTCAGGAAACTGAAGCTGGCTCATGGTCAGCAGCCAGCAAGCTACAAAGGGCTTCCAACAGCCCATGAAGCACTGAGTCCTGCCAAAAGCCACGTGCATGAGCTTAGAAGAGCTTCATCCTCCAGGTAAGCCTCAAGATGACTCAAGCTGCCCTCTCTACATCTTAAATACAGTCTTTCAAGGACACAAGTACGGGAACAATAGACACTATTGACTACTAGAGGGTGAAGGGAGAGGGGTGGGTTAACAAACTACCTACCTGGGTGGCAGGATCCGTACTCCAAATCTCATACAGAATACTCCTATGTAGCAAATCTGTACGTATACCCCCTGTTTCTAAAATAAAAGCTAAAATTAAAAAAAACCACACACACACTTAGGCAAATTAATGATCTTGGCCATTGTAAATAGTGCTGCAATGAACATAGGAGTGAAGTTTAAAAACAAAAAGAAAACCTGGACCAAAGAACCCAGTTAAGCCCTGTCTAGATTCTTGACCCACAGAAATCGTGAGACAATAAATGTTGTGTCTAAAGTCACACAGTTTGAAGTGACTTGTCATGCAGCCATAGATTACTATTACAGATGCTTTTTCCCAAAGGAATTATCCAAAGAACTGCCATAATCAATGAAAACTCAGTAAACTGACTAAATAGCACATGTATATTCAGCAAAAAACTGGATTTAAAAATCTTCATCAGAAAATATTCCATTAACCACGACCAAAAGAAGGAAATACTTAGGAGCATTTTTAACAAGAAATATGCAGGGCCATTTGTGGAAAACTATAAAATATTACTGAGAAATATAAGATAATACTTGAATTACTAGGATAGAGATCATATTTCTGAGTTAGAAGACGTAAAGACTCTAAACTATTATTTCTTTTCAGATAGCTCTAAATTAGAGTGCATTTCTATCAAAATCATGACAGATTGTCTACTTAACTGGAAAAGATTAATCCAAATTTATCTTGTAAAAAATAAGTATGCAAAAATAGCAGATAATTGTTTTGAAACAGAAGTCTTATGTGGGAGAATTAATCTTATCAGATATTAAAATACTATAAAGCTACAAAATAAAAAATCTGTATAATTTTGACCCAAGCCTAAAAAGAGAGATGAAGCAAAGTATAAATATCAGAATTATGCTCCCTAAATATTAATAATTTTACATGTAATATAAAAATATTAAATACTTTTATTTAATAATCAATACATCAATATATTTATTTAATAATTTAATTGTTAAATATGTTTATAAAGTTACATGTATTCATGTATTAACTCTTCTTTTCAGAATTAAAAAAACACATACCACCCATCAATCACATACCACCTTACAACTACTAACATAATAATCATTAAATACATTTTAAAATATACTTTCTAAAAACTAAGGGAGAACAGCAGCTCAAATCTCTAGAGCAGTGGTTTTTAAACTTTAGCAAAAATAAGAATCACAAAGAGCTTTCAGAAATACAGGTTTCCAGCTTACCCTGAGAGATTCTGAGTTACTCCTGCTTATTTTAACAAGAACATCTGATCATTCTGATGATGGAAATCTAAAGATCATACTTTGAAAATTACTGCTGTAGGAGCAGAAGTTCCTTCTAATCCCAAAAAGGTTGGATGAAATAAAAAGGAGTGAATGAAATAAAAAAGACTTTTAATGTAAATTAAAGCAAAGAAACCTATGGTATATAAAATGATCATGCAAATGTATTACTGAGACAGCATATTTATAACAAATACGGCAGAAAGTTTTATCAATAATGAATAGACAGCTCAAACAGATCAAGAAAATGTACTTGGAAGTTTACAGATAAATCAGAAAAGAATAGCTCTTCCGTAGTAGAAATGTATTTGTTTAAAAAACAATGAGAATATGTTTAAATCTAACAGTAATCAAAGTCATGCAAAATTAAAATCATCACAATGAAATTTCATTGCTTAAATACATTTGCAAAGATTTTTTTGAAATGTCAGTATGAAATGCTTTCAAGTGTGCTGAAAGATGACAAAATCTCATGCATTGCTAATTTTTGTGTAAATTGTTGCCACCCCTTGGGAGAGCATCCAGCAATATGTATCATAAGCTTTATAAATATCCATAATATTTGAATCAATAGTTCCATTTCTAAAATGTACCCTTAAAAAGAGAGTGTATAAACATATTCATCACATTATTTGTAATTGCAAAAATCTTGAAAGAGCTTAAATGTCAACAAAGATGGTTGATTACGCATATCCTTTTATTTTTAGCCCTAAAAATTATGTTTGAATATGAATGTTATATTATGAAAATTTCTTGTCCTAAAATGACAACTCGAAGTAGAGCATCGAATTGACTGTAGTGTTAAATATGCATAAATGAGATATATGATTTTATATTTTAGATATTAATGTGTTATATATTTTAATCGTAGCTTATATAGCATATATAAAAAAATCTATAACTAAGAATTCTGTATGCTTTGACCCCATACTGAAATAAAATTTCAAAATTTAATCCTCACAGCCCTATTGCACAGGTACTGTTAATACGCTAACCTTGTCAAAACATGCTTTCAGCAGAGTCAGACAGCTGCTAGGTATCGGGCTGGGATTTGAGTCTTGTTTCCCTCAAACCAAAGCCCATACTCTTAAGTTCTGCTTTTGGACTTATGCCTTTAAAAGAAGTGGAAGAAAATGTACAGCCAAATCATACTAATGACTATCTTTGGGTGATAGGACTAAGGATAATTTATTATTACCGTCATCATTATCATCCTATCTTCACACATTTTTACATTTGATTTGATGAATGTATATTAATTATTATGATGTATTATGAGAAAATAAGCAAAACTAAAATAAACAAAACTAAAGAAAATATAACTCTCTTTAAAAATTGATTTCTTTGCTAGGCATATGAGGGAATATAAACAAAATATCACTTGCTCCAACAAAATTGATAGAAGGGGTGAAATTTGCATGGTGTCTCCTGGGGTACAAGGTTTTCGGGCACAGTAGTCCCTTCTCTACACACATTTGTCCTAAGGTCTCACTTCTCTGGCCTGTTTTGACAAATGTACAATGAGATAGTTCAATTAGATGATTTCCAGAATGCCTTCCAACTCTCTCACCCCAGAATTCAAATAGTATGAGTTAAGCACTAATATTTATTTCCCCAATAGAAATCCATCTGGGGTCCCAACAATCACATGCCTATTTTTCTAGGCACGTTTAGAAAATGTGTTGAGATCTACTATGCAAAAGTGGTTTCCCTTCTGTCTTCCACAAATTAAAAACAAAAAATTTAATAATTAAAAAGTTAAAAAAGAGGCATACCCAGAGTCCTAATTGATCACTCCCTCCAGAAGCCAGACTGACAGCTGCCTGTGGGAACCTCCATGTCTATCCTCACTGGGGTCACTGGGCTGCCATGGTGGATTTCAGAGACTTGCAGGATCCAGTGGTTTCCTATTCACTCCGTACACAAGCAGGGAGCTCCTACTAAGAAACACATTCTGTGCTAGGTGCAGGGGTTGGAGAACTTTCTCAACTATGGCTTAGACATTCCTGTGAATATTCTGCCTCTGACTCCCTCAGTGTTTGTTGGACATGTCTTCCTTGCAGTTAGATGGACAGCGCTTTGGATCCCAGTTCTGAACTTTACTAGCTACGTGACTTAAGTCCCTCAGCACCTCTGAACATCACAGCCCAACATTTATTTGTGAAGGGAATTTTCATGTAAATTTACAGTCCAAACATACTCAACTAGACTTCACATGTCTTACATTTACTCACACTACTAGCCAACATCTCAGCTTTGAAGACACAGATACACTTTAAAGACTCCAAATGGACAATCTCTTTGGCATTTGATGGACTCTTCCCTGACAAGCTATTATTGTGATTTTAAGGAATTCCCTTTCATCTTTCTAGAATGACTCTAAATGGGACTCTCATTAAAATAGAAGCCTTACATCTCAATCACAACTTGTCCTTCTCCCTCTTTGTACATGAAAATAAAGAAAATGCCTTGGGAGGTCCTGCTCCCAAAGCACGGAGAGAAAAATAGGCCAGTGGCATATTACAGCCAGCAACGAGACATGGTGGCTAATAGCCTACATCCATGTATGAGAGTGATTTTGGCTCCTGCACTGCTTTCAAGGACAGTTGAGGAAATTGTTATGGGTTCTCCACTTACTGTTCATGTGCCACATTCCATAGAAGCTCTCCTAAACTCTCATTACTCTCAGCATTATTCTGAGTAGATTCGCCTCTGATAAGCTTCTTTTATGATCTCCCTCTCATGTCACCATCTCTCACTGTAGCAACCTTAACCCCACTACCCTTTTCCTTTTGCCTCTCCCTTGTAACGAGATGCCTCACGACTGTAACACCTTGACCATCCCACTTCTTACCTCTAGGCAAGATCTTCAAGAAATGCCAATAGAAAACACTGGCTTGCTTTGGTTCAATGGTGACTCGTATTTAAGGAATGAATCAAGAAAATATTGTGCTGGCTATGCAGAAGTGTCTTTAACTGAGATAGTTGAAGATAATCCATTACCAGGGATAGCTTCTGCCCAGCAAGCAAAATTGATCGTCCTAACCAGATCCACAAAAAAATAAAATTAAAAAAAAAAGCCAAACATAGTCAGTGTTTCTCCTTTGTGCCTATTTCTATTTCTAGAGGGCATGCATAAAATGCCAAGTGGGAGAATAGCAGATCGGGAGCAAGTTCAAAAAGGAAGCCCTGAGTTCTGTTCTAGTCACGTCCAGTTTGCGATACTTATGAGGAAATAGAAGTGGAAAGGTTGAGTGGACAGTGTGAAGCTCTGGATCTAAAGCTGGAGTCATCAGCGTATAGATGGGTTCTGAAACTGGTGGAGACCGAGATCACCTAGAAAAAAAATACACAAAGATGAAAGTACCCAGGATAAAAAAATGTCTTGAGAAACTCCAATATTCAACTACAGGATTGAAGAGCAGAGTATACAGAATGTGGACATAGAAAGGGCAATAAAAGAGTAGAAACAAAAAGGAATAGATGTCACAGCCTCCAAAGAAAGACAAAATTTTAAGGAGATTTGGTCTTGTCAGCCATTATTGATAGGCCAAATAAATGAAGACTAAAAACTGTTTTTTAGATTCTGCCACAAAGATGTTAAATCAGAGTCTTGGTAGAAAGCTAATGTTCTTTGTCTCACATAGTACTCCTCTTTACTGGGAACTGTTTCCTTCCCCCTGTGCCTTTTTGAAACTCTCCTCTCCTCCCTACTCCATCTATGTGGTTACTCTGGGAGATGTCCATTGGTATAACTGCATCCCATCCTTTGGCCACAGGGCCTTGAAACAAGGCTAAGCCCCTGGCCCAAAACCATGACAACGAAATAGCTTAACTGGCAATTGAGAATTAAATGAATATTATAGTTAAGTCCGGCTGCTGTTTGAATTGAAGAGAAGTAAACCAAAAGAGGGTTGACTGTGGCCATTATGCTCCATCCAGACAATAGAAAAGAAAAAGCCTGTCTTCAGCAAGAAGAATGTATGATGGTATATGAGTTTCTAAATTCAACTATTTCCATGTTTTATCTTCTTTCTAGTCTTGATTTCCATAAATCATTTTTGTCTCAGCTAGTTAAAGTTGGATTTTATTATTTGTAATAAGAGTATTTTGAACAAATACATGAATTGATAACTATCACATATCATATATTATAAAAAGGGTACACACTGTTTAATCCCCTTTAACCATGACAATAACCCTATTATCACCCATATTATAAATGGGGAACCTCGGGCACCTAGCAGTCAAGTAACTTATTTAAAGTCACACAGCCAGTGGGTAGTAGATGTTGGTGCCAAGTGAATTTCCCCTCCACCCTTGGAAAGTTCACTGAAAAATCAACTCACAGTAAGGCAGATTAATAAGAGAAAAGTCTTTACAAATATATTGCTACCATGTGCACAGAGAGAATTACAGGGTAATTGCCTAATATTTCAATGGGGTACAGATGGTGATATATCCTCTGTAATACATGGGGAAATGTGCATGATTTTAGGAGGATAGTAAATGATTTTTAGTGGGATTCAATGGGTCTGAAAGCATACAGTGGTCTGGGGCAAAGTCTATTGGGCTTGCAGAGTGAACAATGGTTTGTGACAAAGTCTATCCATGTTTGTTGAAAGACTTCAGTCTTCTTTCCTTCCTCAGTTAATGAACACTCAGGGAAGAGATGGAGGGTAATTGTTTTCTTCTTTGGCAGGTCCTGACCTTAGGTAAACACAAAAACTTCAGATAACAACTTTATCCCATGCTTAGGGAGAGGTGGTGGGTGAGCAATACGGGCAGAGCCAGAGAGACCTTGAGGTCTCTTTTACAATTCAGCATCTACAAAGCACCATATCCTGCGGTATTGGTTTCTGAGCCCCAACATACAGCTAGCACTTAACTCACATACTCTGCATCTAAACTTCACGCTCTTAAACACTGCACCATAACTTTGCCACAGGCAGTATTATAAGTAGCAGATGTTCAGAGCTGCAGTGTCATGAGTAATGAGAGCAATGAGAATGGATTCACTTTGGACTGAAGAGTTTGCAATTGTTCCATTGTAGTGAATTCACTAGTGAAGCTAACCTGCTGATTTTTCGTCTCAGATGTGTGCATTGACACTAATGATTAAAGGTATTTCATCAGGTCATCATACTATGTGCATGGTTATTTTTTAATTAGACACTATAAGCTAATTGGATATCAGAAACATACATTTATAAAGAGAAGGATTTTCTGCTCTTAACTAGAAATCTGAGACCCCAGGTAACTGGAGGTGACAACGGAAATGTGGATTAGGGCTAGCTGGAAGAAATCAGATGACTTAAGAAAATGTGAACCCGCATGTCTTTCCAAAGGACTCCTGCTTATAGCCCTCATCTTATCTTTCTTCCTAAGTCTTGTTTCTAAGGGGCAGTCAATTAGAATATGGCTTAGACCAGGGGAGGGTTCTATGCTGGATAATAAGACTTCTAGCACAAGGCTATATAGGTATACACATAAAAGAAA
Organism: Homo sapiens; assembly: GCF_000001405.40. Classification (NCBI taxonomy): domain Eukaryota; kingdom Metazoa; phylum Chordata; class Mammalia; order Primates; family Hominidae; genus Homo; species Homo sapiens. The sequence continues at coordinate 11,335,643 of NC_000004.12, forward strand.
TCCTCTTCGTGGGCACAATCATGTGCAGCCACATGACTGAACATGAATTTCACTCTGTGATCAAAGAGGTGATTCCAAGAATTCATCTTCATGTGCTCCATTCATCCTGTTACTCACCTTACTATATTTGTTCAACAGAATGTGATTTATTCTCCAGATCAATGACCAGTGCCTGCTGCATCAACTTTTTTTCTTTTTCTTTCTTTCTTTTTTTTTTTTTTTTTGGTGAAGCTTAATGCCGTTATCTTGCTTTTCTCCCACCATTGTATGTTTAGAAAAATCTATAGAGCAGAATAGTCAAAAGCAGAGATTCTTATGTACAAATATAGAGATTGAAGTCCAAGCTCTACCACATATTAGTTGTGTGAACTTGGCTGAATTATCCAACATTTTGATGTCTCACTCTCCTCTCCTCACAAAAGAGATAATATATTGTGGATTCAGAACACAGTGGCCCAGGTACACCATGTTTTGTTCCTTTTTTGAGGAATGACATAATTTTGGATTCCAAATCTTAAAATCACTTTTTGTTTATTTAGTCACTCACAAACATGTATTGGGTTCCTATGATGGGCCAGGACCTTACCCAAGCAACATACTGGCCCCTGTTTTTTAGTAAATATAAACTAGTGGGACAGAGAGACGCTAATTGTGTAATTATACAAAGAAGAATAAAGTTGTAATTCTGAGAGCTGCTATTATAATAAAACCTGTAGCGGGAAGATGTGATCATATAGGGTGTGGAAGTTTTGAAATTATGTCTATGGAAAGACTACAAGGCTGGGAACCAAGAGGTGAACGGCAGTGGATACTTATTCCTTTGTCAACTTAGTACCCACCACATTGCTGGGATCTGCTTTTCCGAGATCTATCCCTCCCTCCCCCAATTCTATCCACAGGGTTATCACGAGTGATTCTATGTAATTAGAGTATGACTCCAAATCTTGGTCACAGCTGGTCAGTACAGAGGTGGGTGTCTTACTCAAGCTGGGCCAGCTGAAGAGGTCTTCAGGGAATGTGGATTCCATTAAAAGAGGACAGTTGGGTCTGGCTGTTCTTTTGCACTAGAATGATGCAATTCAGATGTTACTGACTAACATAATTTTTTTTCCTGTTTTTCAGGCTAGGAAAGAGACAGTCGGTGTGCAGCAAGAGAAAAGAGAGGAGGAAACATGTGGAAAGACCCAAAGGTAAGACATAGAGAGAAAAAAATGTGGTTCTAGCGGTGGCTGAACCACTAGATTCAGCTGGTCTCCATTCTTGGGTTATTTGAGACACTATATCCTAATGATAACTTTCCTTTTTAGATTGTTAGTGTATTCAGTTTGAGTCCCTGTTGCTTTCTGTTCAGATTTCTGCTATATTATTGTCACCAAATAATAGAGTCCAAACAAAACTCAGTATAAATAGTGATGTGAAGGGGTGGGAGCAAGAACTAGACTAGAGCAAGCAAAGAGTGATGATGAAGTGAAGAAGTCGAATAGCAACCATTTCAACAGATTTGGCTGTAAAAGTGAAACTGGGGATGAGGTGGAATGGAGAGAGAGTGGTAGAGACAGCTTGTGACCAGTTTACTCCCCTGCAATGGTATAGATTTGTGGCTGCAAAGCAGCTGCTTGTAAAGATGAGCTGTAAGTTTGTTTCCTTCTGTTTGGATCATTTAATTTTGTTAATTTTAAGAATGAAGACACAAGAGCATGCCTGAATGCAATGGGAAGTAGATCAGTTGACCTTTGCTGAATAACAAGGTGGACCTAAAACTGGGTGACTTGAAACAGTAAGTATTTTTAGTTCTTGATTCTGCACATCAGCAGTCTGGGCTGGGTTCAGCCAGAGGATTCTGCTAGTCTGAGCTGTTCTTACTTACATTATCATTGCAGTCCATAGTCAGTCAGTGGGTGGTTTTCTGGGGCTGGATAGTGTATGATGGTTGACCTTCATGGGTGGCAGTTAGCTTGCTGCTATCTAGGGTCAATAGGCAACTAGACAACATATCTTTTGTCATCTCATAAGCTCGTCCAGGATTTCTCCTTTTTGATCAAAGCAAACCACATGCCCAAACCTGGAGTCAGAGTCAGTGTTGAAGGGCATTAGCAAAGGGTGTCACTCAGGGAGGCATGAACAAATCAAGGCCATTATGGAATTCAATTTGCCCAAAAGGCATAGAGAATGAATATAGAAGTATGAGATAGGGTAACTGTTTGAGATGGTCATATACAGTCCTCAGATCCATTTTAGCCTTAAAATAGAAGGCAGTTTTGCTAGGAGTTCAACAATTAAAACGCATCATTTTGGTGGCATTTCAAAAAAAATGTTGGTGGCAGATGCAGTGTTTTGTTTTCTTGAACTCTTATCATTTATTTCTCATAGAAGCTGCAAAAGCAGGCCTTCCATTTTAGAAACCGGGACAGCCCGCTGCCAGTAATGTGCTCAGCTCAACTCTCTAATTACTGTCATGCTGATGGAGGTTAAATATTTATGAAGAATGCGCTTTTTATCACCCAATCTAATTTTTAAACTCAGATTTTCTGATCTCATTGAGATGTTAATAACCCGTGTTTCCCCCCCTCCTTTAGTTTTTTTTTTAATCTTTTTTTTTTTTTTTTTTTTTGCTAGAAGTCAAAGATCTCTGCGTTCTCATTTATTTTGTAAAGAGTGAGACATTTTGGGGGATAACTGTTGCATAAAGGGGATTGCCAAGAATGGAAAGTGGAAGGAATTGACAAGAACCTACTTTCAATTCAGCCAAAAAAATTGTTGGTAGCAGTACTGGAGAGTGAATTTGAACAATTTGATTGTGATACTAGTTCTGCCGTTTTATAGCATTGTTATGGTCTTGGACAAATGAACCCCACTGAGACTTAGTTTCTTCATTGCTAAAATGAAGATTTTATCATACCATGTATTAGTTTACTGTATTACTGCTATATCAAATTACCACCGACTCAGTGGCTTGAAACAATACAAGTGTATTATCTTACAGTTCTGGAGGTCAGAAGTCTACACTGGATGGGCAGAGCTGGTTCTTTCTAGAAGCTCACCCATTTACTACTATTCTTTTCCAGTTGGTAGAGGCTGCCATCATCCCCTGGCTTATGACCACACATCACCCCAATCTCTGCTTCTGACTCTGACCCTCCTGACTCTCTCTTATAAGGACATTTGTCCTTATAAAGTGGGCCCACCCAGAAAAATCCAGAAAACATTTTCATCTCAAGATCTTTAACTTAACCACATTCTCAATGTCTCTTTCTAAAATGTAAGGTAATATACACATACATTTGGAGGATTAGGATGTGGGCATCTTTGGAGCTCTTATTCCATCCACATCAATTAACTGGGTTTTTGCAAAGATGGCATAATCCTTGTGAAGGATTTAACACAGTGCTTGGCATGAGTAGATGGTGCTGTTGCTGCTGCTTCTGCATTGCCTCACTGTTGTCTTCTGAATTCCCCCACACCTGCAGGAAAATGTCTCAGCACCCTAGCACAACATGTAAGAGACTTAGAGACTCATCCTGATACTGGGTGCCCTGATCTTCATCGTCCAGGCACCAAAAATAGGTGATGGCCCACCCTGTCCACTTTTGTGTGCAAGAGGACTCCATGCTTTTGTTAAAACCACCCCCACCTTCACCCACAAAGTAATCTTTCCACCTTTATTAGGTGGCGTAATTTCCATTATTTCTACAAATTTCAGTTTCAACATTACTTTCTTCAGAAAGCCACCACTGAGTGATTTCCTCTTCCCTAATGTTACCAGGTGCTTCCTCTGAGCCCTTTCTATTCTTCTTGTTTTCATGGGAATTCACTCACTGTTTTGTAATTATCTCATGGGTGTCAATTTTCTCCTTAGAATGTATTTTCTTGAAGGTGGAGCCATCTCTGCCTCTGAAGTGCTCAATGCTTAATACGCAAGTGCTCAACTCAAGCTTGTTATTATAAACACTGTCAAAGCCACAGATGAGCAGGTGGCACTTAAGCTACTGTTCTAGACAAACAGCAGCAATGCTTTGTGTTAATAGCAGAGATGGCCTTGGAGACCTATACGAACTTACTGAGCTCCTTCATATTGAGATGAAAAACCGGAGTCCATACCTGGGCAAGGCAAGGAATGACATAGGGACACTAACAATGTTGCTTTAGAGGCAAACTCACCTCCACAGTCAGTGGAACAATAAAAAGGGTGAATGGTTTTGGACAAAGTTTAGGGGAAAGGCTATGAATTGACAAGATGTGGTTGAGCACCCAGCATTAAGTTCTGCTTTGCAGATAGTCAATCCTTGCTTCCAAGTGCCTATTGCCTCACTGAGGAAAATAAATATGCACATATGATAATGACAAGGAGTGGTCCAAGTGTATAAATCACACATTTACCTGTGGAATTGACTATCAGTGACTGCATTTTTTAGAAGAGAGCAGCCACCCTGGCTCTGTGGCTACATTCAGCTTTAGAGTCAGCCAGATCTGAGTTTGATCCATCCTTTTCTTACTATATGACCTTAAGTGAGTCTAATTACTCCCTGAGCCTTGGTTTAATAAAACAATCATAATCATAATGTAATAACTTTGAGTTGTACACTTTCCATACACCACAATAAATAGCTTTAAAGGATTGATTTACTCAATCCTCACCTCCATTTTGAGAATAAGTATCTCTTCATTTACAGAAGAGAAAATTGAGGCACAAAGTGGTTAAATTATTTTCTCCAAGTCAGCACAATTAAGGGAGCAGCTGAGACATGACCTAAGTTCCTTGCTCCATACCCTTTGCACTTGCCCCTGTGGCACTGGCATTGTCATCTCACCGCCAGGGAGAGTAAACATCTCTCAGAGCTGCTGCAAAAGCTGAATAGAATAATAGATGTGGAAGAGCTTTGTGAGCTCTTGGAAACCTCACTAATGGGAAGAACAGCTCCATTTCCCTGCTTTAAACCCCTTCCTCTCTATCTCTTTTATTGTCTTAGGCCCATAATCCTGTGGACCTAAAGGTTGCTGTATGAAGTGGACAGGATGATGTTGTTCATGATCTGCCTACCTCATAGGGTGGAAGCGAAAAATCAAGTGAGATTACATATGTTAAAAGACTCCATTGTAGGTGCAGAACACACTTTATTTACATAGTTAACCATTTATCTTTCTGTCAGCCTTCTAGTTTCTTTTTTTGTATAAAAGCTTCCCAGATGTCCCTAGACCATTTCAAAACCTTGTAGATCTACTAAGTAAGTGCATTTATTGATGCAAAAAATGTTTATTGTACACCCCTACATCTCAGGCACTGGGGATTTTGTACAAACAAGACAGATGAGATTCAGGCTGTCATGGAACCTATGTTCTAGTAGGGTGTCCACAGGCACTGTACAAACTAGAAAATAATTGAGCAGATTAAGCAAAATAAGTTCAGATATAGTCAATTTCTAGGAAGAAAATAAAAAAAATAAAAGGATGTGACAGAAACTGACCTGTATGAGTTGTCCTAGAGGGAGTGGTGAAGACAAAAATCATTCAGAACAAGTGCTCCTGAAGTTGAGACCCAAATGATGGGAAGGATGAACAAAGTTGGGGTGTTTAAGGCACAGTAGGAAAGCCAGTGAGCAAGAGAGATGGAGGTCACAGTGGAAGTCAGAGAGGAAGGCAGGATCAGGGAAGACTTTGCGGGCCAGGTCAAAAGTTTCTATTTGATTTCAAGAGGAAAAAAGAGGCATTGGAGGGTTTTAAGCAAAGGTGTCATGACACAATGGGGATATTGAACAATCCCCTTTTGCTTTGACTGTTTCATAGATGGTGAATAATGATGGGGCCAGAGTAGAAACAAAGGCAGTGAGATTAATTTGGAGGCACTCTTATACACACATGAGAGATGGTTCTAGCTTGAACTAGGTGTAACAGTGATGACGTCAGCACATAGGGTCTAATATTTGTAAGAGATCTTTTGAGGTAAGGCATAAACCTCCACCTTGACTGTTACATCTTTACCATCAGAAACCATGTCGGATACTTCCTTCTACCTCCTTATAAGCATTTTTGTGCATGAGTCAATAATGAAAATAAAAAATGCATTTCCAGATGAATTTTATACCCCCAACCCCCAAAGCTCTGCTTTCTATTTCAACAGATACTTAGATCTTAGACTTTGGCAGAGGTGTACATTTTGAGAAAAAGCAGAAGCAAAAATTAACACGTCTAGTGTGAAATGCATTGCCGCTGTTTCATTTCTCCTCCCTCAACAGAGCACTGCATGCCACACTCACTTTAGAGATGATCAGCTTTTTTTTTTTCTTTGTGATCTTGCCAAATTGCATTAGTTTCTATATTTATCTATTTTCCGCCCCCGGGATTGACTCTTAATGATACATTTGGGGAATAGCTCCACCCTCTCTTCCTACATTCCCTGCTAAACCTCTGTGTGTGCTTTTGAGGCACTAAATTTATGCTGTCTCTCTGTGTAGCACTGTGTAGTTTTGGACATATCATTCCCTAACTGGGTTTCATCTCATCACAAAATGTATCAGTCACCCTAACTTTTCATTAAGGGGTCAAGGAGGCAGATGTTCCTCTGGGACTTGTTTTGTCGCATAACTGTCAAACTGTAGGCGTTAGGAATGGGAGGTACAGAGGGAGTGTAAGAGCTCTGAACCCCCATAGGCACCATGCTTTGTCTCCAGACCAAATAAAATGGCTTCCTTTTATAAGTTCCAATATTTTTTTCAAATGCATGTTAATAATGTTTGGTAGAATACAATCTAGATATAGTTTACATTTTTATTAGCTTATGATAGTCTTTTGTCACGTTTTGCTCGATATGGACTCTAGATGTATAAGCACTTTTCCGTGGTGGTTGAAATGTTGTTAGACTCTGAAAAGGCCTCTACACATGGTGAGCATTCTCAAAATTGCAGGCTTCAGAGTCAGGCACCTGTGTTTCTGTGCTTGCTACATTGTGGTGAACTCCAGAAGGTCAGGGCGAAGCCTGACACTGTCCATGTCCACATTGTGAAATGCAGGCCCTAGGAGCTTTTAGGAAAGAAAAAAGAATCACATTCCTGCGTGGTGTGTACTACTGTACTATGCATACTGTTTTCTAGACTTGAGCTGCTAACACAATTAATTCTGAAACAAGCCAGTGAAGGAGGTAGTTTCACGATGACAATTATAATTGATAATGATCATCTTCATTTTATAGATGAAGAAACAGGCCCAGAGAAACCTGGAGCTCAGGGAGATTAAGTAACCTGCCTAAGTTTGCAGCTGCTCAGAGGCAGAGCCTGAACTGGAGCTCACAAATTTGAATCACAATCTCTCAGTAAAACCTCATGTTGTTCCAAATAAAAGTGTGTGACGTTGGTAATGAACAAATGACCTTACAACGCCATGTTGCAGACATCTCAAACATCTCTACTCCTACGGCTGGGACATCAGCCCCTTCTCAGGGTTTCATGCCAGCCTGAGAAAAGATGGCAAGGCAGTGGAGGAAGGAGGAGGAATGTGTAATACCATTTGTTTCTCTAATAGTCCTGTGACACCAATATTTAATTTTCTCACTGAGGATATTTCCCATTGTGTCAGCAGAGCCAAGGAAATTGCTCATTGCAGAGAAGGGCCATATTTATGCTTCCATTAGGGAAAGAGCAGAATGATGTTCTGCATTGATATAATTAATGCCCTTTGCCAAGAACAGACAGCATTTGATATTTATTATTCTTCCCTTAACTCATCCTGCCTCCATTCCCCACCCTGTGTGGCACAAGCAGCCCATAACATTCTTGCCCAGCCCCCCAAAAGGAGAAAAAAGCTGGAGGCTGACCCAGACCCTCACGGCTATGCTACGTCCTTGCCTGAGTCTTTGGACAAGTCACTTTCTTTCTCTGAGGTCATTTTTTCTCATTTTTAAAATAAAAATCACAATCTTATATTGCAAGATCATTTTGAAGATTAAATAGGATGGATGATAAAATGTAAGGTACAAAGTTTGTTCTGCTACGGTGGTACCTGCCTTGTAGATTTCGCTAGTTTTGTCATAGGCATTCTTAAGTAGTGACATAATGGGAAAAGCACTGGCTAGAAGGCAGTTCTGCCTGAGGTCAAGTTCTGACTCTGCCATTTACCAGATCTGTGACATCGTCACCTCTCTGAGACTTCTCATTTGCATCACCATGGCCAGTTCTTGATTCTAGAGCCCTCCACTTCCCTTGGTGAGAAATACTTGCCCCTCTGCCTGCAGGCCTGGTCCAGCCTGGGCGGGTACTCAGGGGTCCATCATTGGGCCAGCTGGATTCTAGACCTGTTCTCACCTGTGGGACATCAGGTATTGAGATCTGAGCATCATCTCTTATGTCTGAGTCTCTGTCTCAGCAGCCCCTTCCCCAGAGACTGCAACCCTGCCTTGCCTCTAACAGCCAAATGATACTTATTGATTGGATTGGTTAATGGGTGTCCATCACTGGGAGCACAAAAGTGGACAAAATAGCTCCTGGCCTTAGGAAGATCAGCATTTAAAGGAGAGAGATGGAAATTTTAAAAAGAGAAAACAAAACACATATTGGATGTCTCCTGCTGCTTAGGGACTCTACTAGCCTTTTACTTAAAGCCAGTTCTGATATGTTTGTTTTTGTAATCCAAATATGTTCCCAAAAGATTGATCTATCAGGGGACAGTTTGAGTATAATGCACATTTTGTGTTTGCTTAGCAGGATTTTGTTCACAAGAAACACTAGTAAACAAAGAAAACTGTACCTGCATGAGCCGGAGCATGTAGAAATGCACACAATGTACACAGGCAATGCCGTGAGCATCTCCCAGTCACTCCCATCCACAGCCTGTGTAGTGAGCCCGTCACATCTGGTGTGACGACTTTCCATCGAATTTCGTACAACCTTCTTTCCTCCACTTCACAATGGCTCACAAGCTGCAAACTTCAGTTCATTTTCAAGATCAAGGGCCATCTTTATTAGTATTCCATCTCTTAATATGTGTGAAATTATGTTACTATTTTTATGAGGTTTCTACATTTTAGGTAAAAAGTGTCCGTGATAAAGTTTGTGAGTGTTGTGCCCCAACCCCATTTTTCTTCCTATAAACCCTGCTGTTCCTACGACATAATCACACATAGTTACAATGATATTTTAGAAACTCTTATGTCACATCATAGCAAAATTGATTATGCATAATCTCATTTAGTTTAGCTTAATTGAGACAGGTGGGTATTATGTCAGTATTTATTATGTGGGTGTTATTTTTTCCAATTTGCAGCTGTAGGAATTGAAGGTCAGGTTGATCCAGGTCACCATCTACTATGTGTAGTGCTGAAATTAAAACCCAGGTCAGTCTGCTTCCTAAGTGTGGCTATTAGCCATGGTGCTTTGAGGATGGAAGAAATCTACTTCCTTAATACTCAGGAGATTCACAGAGTCAGGACCAAATACTCACAGAGCATTTGAAGATTTCCAGCCAACATTTTCAGAGCCTGGCTACTATCCAGGGGAATTTAAAGTGTGACGCAGCCCACCAAAGTTGATTGCATCTTAGAGAATGGAATCCAAGTCTCCCACCAGGAAAAATACAGGCATTCATTAGTTCCTTCCCCTAAAAGGTTGGACATTGATCCAGGCACTATAGAGCACCTGGGATACAACACTGAGCAAAGCGGTCTTCCTCCCTGCCTCACTCTGCTTAGAGGAGCCAATTCCTGGGAATGGAGGGGGTTGCAGACATTAAGGAAAGGAAGCATTCCAAACACAAGAGTGTGGTGGGTAAGGCCAAAGTCTGCTGGAAATAGCTGTAAGGTCCGTGTGGAAATGCAGGGATCATTCGGGGAGAAAATGGTATATTCATAGTGCACTGGATTGAGAAGGAATGCACGACACATGAAGAAATAGAGGCAGCCAGTTCAGTTAGAGAAGCCTAAATAGGTAGGAGATGTACATGATTAAGGAATATTTTATTAAAATAAGGGGAAATGAGCCCACACAAATACAAAAAAGAAGGAGAAAGAAACTGAAGTTAGTGTTAGGGAAAGCTGGTGAGCCAAGTCCCTGGGGAGCTTCCTCCCTGAACTCCTGCACCTCCCTAGAGAGAGTTGTTCCAACAGCACCTCCACTCTGATCATGGTTATGTACCCCACACCCGACAGCCAACATTCTGTGGAATTGGAAGACTTTCCAGTGTGTGTCAGGTGTGATTCCAGCATTCAGACTTCCTGACTTGCCATGTATGACAGGTGCACACAAAGTCACTGGCCTCAGACTTTCCTTCCCATCTCTAATCAACCTGACAATTATCGGCAAAGTGTATGTTACATGGATTTCGCTTCAATTAAACATATCATCTATGTGTCGCATAAAATTGGCATGTGTATACATATATACATATGTGTACACCTATATATACATATGTATACATGTGTGTATACATATATGTATATACATGCAGATATACATGTACATATGTATGTATCTTATCATAGAAAATCATTGGTTTTATGTATATTGTTTCTGAAGACAACTTTAAGTAAGACAAAATCAATTTAAAAAATATATTGAATACAAAAAAAGTACAAGTAGTGGCTGCATGTAGCCTGAACTTTACAGAAGGTACAGGAATTTCTTGGGAAACACTTACGTAGGCAAATAGCTTAACAGAAGATACTGTTTTCTCATATATAAAGTAGGAAATAACAACAATCTCAAGGTTTTTATAAGTTTGACATTAAATTGTAAATGTGGAATCTAGACACTCCCCAGTCTTCTGGTCTTGTGAATACAGACGGAATTCCATAAGCATTATTGATCTAAATTTCCAATATAATCATGTAATTTCAGTCCCCTTCAAAGTCCACCTCTCATTCCAGTATTATTTCTTGGATGTTTTGATCAGTTTCCCAGGTGCTTATAATGAGCTGTGGTATCAAAGTCAAGGGTGCCCGTGCCTACTTCTACTGGTGTGTGGTCTAAGGCACCCATCCTGGCTGTCCTTCTAGGTGAACACTGCCCTTCTGGAGAGATATCTTCCAGGGCATCTCAGCTGTCCAGTCTCTTAGGTATCTCAGGTGGGTTGGTGCAGGCTTCATGGTCCTCTGCATGCTTCCAGAGAAGAGCTCCTTTTTGTTAGGTTTGAGATCCTTTCACTCCTAAGGGCTCAACCCACAGACTGTGCCACCCCCCTGAGACCCACCCACAATGAACATCCCCCTAGTATTTTTCAGTCAAGAAAGAAAAAGAAGATGCCCAGTATGAGTGAATAGATGTTTGCAGACCAACAAATTCAGCTTTTTTTAGACAAGCCAGGAAAACCTGAGCTACCTATCAGTTCAGTTAGAATCATGCAGACACATAGTAGTTTCTTATCCAAAGTTGTTCGGGACCCTTACTAGGAATTAAGATGCAGATGCCCCCACAACTGCTCTATGCATTAACATTGCATGTTCTACTGCAGGGTGAGGTCACCTCCTGGGCCTCATAACCATGAATAGCACTTGGACAGTCACAGAGCCTTTGTCCATCAAAAATTATCACAGCAATCCTGGGATTTATGTAATATTTGCCTTCCCTCACAGGTAAGGCAACTGAGACTAAAGAAAATCAAGTGACTTTCCTACTGACAGAGTTCATCATTGGTAATGCCAAATGCTCTGTATTGAACCCCACCCCAAAGTTCTTATGCAGAAATCTTAAACCTGAGTACCTCAGAATGCACCGTATTTGGAGAAAGACTCTTTACAAGACTTAAAATGAGGTCACTGGGGTGAGCCTTAGTCTAATATAAATAGTGTCCTTCTAAAAAGATGAAATCTGAAGAAAGATAAAGCACACATGTGAAGATAAAAGCAGAAATCAGAGTGGTGTTCCTCCAAAGCCTTCGAAGAAAAGGGATTGCCAGCAAACCGCCTGAAGCTTGAAGACAGGTGTGGGACAGATTCTCCCTCACAGCCTCAGAAGGAACCAGCCCTGACAACACCTTGATCTTGGACTTCTGAGACACATTTTTGTTGTGTAAGCCACCCTGTCTGTGGTACTTTGTTAGAGCAGGTTTGGCCAGCCATTGCAGCAAGGCTCAATGCATGTCTGTCTAAAACACAGCACTTATCACCCACTTACCAGCAGGCTGAGAGCCAAGAAGGGCACACACACACACACACAGACACCACATACACACACATCACACACACACACACACACAAATATACATGCACATTTAAGTTACTACAAAATTTCAGAAACTAAAGCTCATGCACAATGGTCCAAAGACCACTCTCAGGCCATCATGTAGCATCCATTATGGATTATTGTATTCATAGTTCTAACCAATGTGACGATGTATTTTCCAATCAGTTAGAGAAGAGATAGATTGAAGAAAACGTCAGCTAACATGTGCCAAACATTATGTTTATGACTTGCAGTGATAACAGAACATTTCTTTCTAACAAAACCCTTCTGATTTACAAATGTGTATTACAATATACAATGAACATAAACTGTCTCCAAAATATCCTGGAATTTCAAAAGAATGGTAGTCTATAGAAGTCAAAGGTAAAATCTTAGTTACCTAAAATTATTCTTAGGATTCCACTGTATTGCTTTCCTCTTTTCAAATTTATTTTTTAAATTGGCATATAAACTTGTATACATTTATCATGTAAAACGTGATGTGTTATAGCATGTATACTTTGTAAATGGTTAAATCTAGCTAATTAACAAATGTTTTACCTCACATAGCTATTATTTTTGTGATGAGAACACTTAATATCCACTCTCTTAACATTGTTCAAGAGTATAATATGTATTATTTTCTATAGTCACCATGCTGTACAATATATCTTTTGAACTTATTCCTCTTATCTGAGTGTATATATGTATTCTTTGACTAACATCTCCTCAAACTTTTCTTTTCCCTAACCAGTCAGCCTCTGCTAACCATTATTCTATTTTCTACTCTTACGAGACAAACATTTTTAGATTCTACGTATGAGTGAGGTCATGCAGTCTTTGTCTTGCTGTGACTGGCTTATTTCAATTAACATGAGGTTCTCTAGGTTCATTCATGTTGTCACAAATGGCAGGATTTCCTCACTTTTTTTTTATTGCTGATTGGTACTTCATTGTGCGTATGTACCACATCTTCTTTATCCATTCATCCATTAATGAATAATTAGGTTGTTTCCATATCTTGGCCATTGCAAATAATACTGCAGTAAATATGGAAGTGCAGATAGCTCTTTGATATACTGATTTCATTTCCTTTGAGTATATACCCAGTGTTGTGATTGCTGAGTCATATGGTAGTTCTATTTTTAATTTTTTGAGGAATCTCCATACTGACTTTCATAATGGCTGTACTAATTTACATTCTCATCAACATCATGTAAGAGTTCCCTTTTCCCATGAAATTAAACAGCATTTCAATGCAGCATAATGATGTATATAATGATCTCCCAAAATATCACAAAAATAAGGATAATTTTTCAAGTGTCCTGTCTTAGAACACAGGAAAATATGCTTTATCACTAAGAAAAAAAACTTTACCAAGCATATTTATAATTCCAGATTTAAAGGCTTTAATGAGCCAAGTTTTATCAATCCCCCAACATTTAGTCACTCTAGAAATCATAATTTTCTGAGGTTCGAGGAGGTAAGTTTCGCCTGAACTAATCCTACCACGTTCTCTCCTCCACTATCACTTAGGCACAGCCACTTGGAGAACAGAAGAGTGTTAATCACTTTTCCTAGAGTCGTTTTTAATACTGTTTTCTAGGGTGCAGAGTGACCAGTTTTCTGCCTCTAATTAGCAAACTCATCATTTGAAGTGTGACCTAGGCCAGGCCAGCGGACTTTCAATGAATTTCTTAAAGATGCCTCACTCTGGTTGTGCTCCTCGCAAGTTAAATCCACCCCACGGGTATTTACAAGAAGCCTGCACAAGGACAAGCTCAGTGTTAGGAGGGGCTGTCAGTGGAAGTGGAAGACAACGCAGACATCTACACACCTTATGTTTGGGGAGTGGAGGAGAAGGAGACCGGATCGGGACAGGGAAGGGCAGATGGGGCAAGATCCATGAGTCTTGAACTATGAGTTTTTAGGGCTGCCATGACAAGGCAACACACACCGAGTAGCATAAACAACAGAAAGTCACTGTCTCTCAGTTCTGGAGGCTGGAAGTTCAAGAACAACGTGTGGGTGGCATCGATTTCTTCTGAAGGCTATGAGGAAAGAATCAGTTCCAAGCCTGTCTCCCTGGCTTGTAGATGGCCACCTTATCCTTGCATCTCTTTACATTGTCTTTCCTCTATGTGGGTCCCTGTGTGCAAATCCCCCCTTTTTATAAGGACACCAATCACTCAATCAAGACCCATCCTAAGGACCCCACTGTAACTTGATTACTTCTGTTGCAATCTCTATCTCCAAATAACTTCACATTCTGAAGTACTAGGTGTTAGAACTTCGAAACATGAATTTGGGAGAAGACATAATTCAGCTCACAGCAGGTGTTATTTCAGCTTTAAACACTGTTCTTTACCCCAGGTTACTCAAAGCAGTTAATAAAAATTATAAGAAAGAGGGTGTGTGCTTCCTGAGCTCTGAGGAAATGAGGGGAGAGAATATGTGACATACTAAGCTCTGAATTTCTGTGACCCACAGTCTCCTTCAGTTTCCTTAAATGAATGCATTGCTTCTCTCCAAGGAAATGAACTTGATTGACTCTAGCTAGTATTAAGGAAAACGGCCTCTGGGCTTCCCTTAACTGTAACTTAAAGAAATCCTAGTGTGATAAAACCATGTTCATATTAGTGCTTTGCTGAGGGCTAAGTACCATGTTCTTGCTCATGAGATGAGGACAGTAAAATTGCAAGGATGGAATCACATATAGCAGATTTGAGCAGCGAGTGTGTGAACGTAGCAAACAGCTGAAAGAGGAATTTGTTTTTAAAGTTCAGCTAACATTTATCAGTTATGGCTGTTACCAAGGTTAATATTGCTGCTTGCCAGGATGTAGGTGAAGAAAACAGACTTCTGAATCAGACAACCCTTGGAATAAAGTCCCTGCTCTGAGATCTACTTGTGATAATCCTGCTTAAACCAATAAAACCTCTCTAAGTCTCAGGGTCCTTGTCTGTAAAATGGTTTAATGATTCCCACCCCCACCAGGATTCATATAAAAATTACACATGTTCACTGACATTTATTAAATGTTAAAAATGCACAAAAATAGAAAAACAAAACAAAATTAAAAGGTTGCATCTTTCACCTATTGCACAATTTATGTTGGGGTCTTCACTGAAGACTCAGCATATCATTATGCTGTTAAACAAAAAAAGAAAAATATATTAGCTACCACTTTTCTTCCCTCCACGTTCAATGTTCCTATATTAATGTCTTCAGTGAGGAAGGATCTGTATAATTAGCCATTCAGGTATGAATTCATTTTCAAAGTAGAGAAAGATGATTAATTTGTTAATGGATGAGTATATTCACTGGTTAATGAATTTTATAACTTGGCTAAATTCTGTACCTGTTCAATGAGGTTTTATTTTATATGTATTCACTAAGCACAGATTTTCATTATGTAAATTGCACTTTATGAATATTTATTTGGTAAAGTTCCATTTTTTAACATTTAAATGTATTTAATGCCCTTAGATGAATTTTGATGTTCTATGGAAAGCAGTAAGAACAGAAGTAGTGATGCCTGCCATGAGTCTTTGTTTGAAGAAAAACGCTCTACACCATTAAAAAAAAAAAGTGAGGGCCCCACTTCTCAGAGCAGTGGCCTGTAAAAAGCAAAAACAGAAACAACAACAAAAAAGAATTTTAGTGAATGAATTAGTAAGTTGCTGTACGAGTAAAATGATTAATATCAGCTGGTGGACACAGATGGGATTCTTAAATGAGCAGACCCAATACATTGTTCTTTCAGAACTTTTAAGTATATGTGCACAGCTTGTTTTTGTTTTTGTTTTTTGCTTTTTTTTTTTTTTAAGACAAAGTCTTGCCCTGTTGCCCAGGCTGGAGTGCAGTGGAGCGATCTCGGCTCACTGTAAGTTCTGCCTCCTGGGTTCACACCATTTTCCTGCCTCAGCCTCCCGAGTAGCTGGGACTACAGGTGCCTGCCACCACGCCTGACTAATTTTTTTGTATTTTTAGGAGAGATGGGGTTTCACGCCGTGTTAGCCAGGATGGTCTCGATCTCCTGATCACGTGATCCACCCGCCTCGGCCTCCCAAAGTGCTGGGATTACAGGTGCGAGCCACCGTGCCCGGCCAGATTGTGTTAAACATTTAACATGGATTGGCTGATGTAATCTTTACAACACCTCTAATGACATTAGACCCCCTTTTACAGATGAGAAAAGTAAGTTGGAGATGCAATTGATTTCTTAAGTCACTAAGATGCTGTGAGACTAAGGATGACTCCGTGTAGCCTGACTCTGGATATCAGTGATTGTGCTTTGTATGAGAACAGGTGCAGCCTGGAATAGAGTACATGGGTTTCCATTCAGGAACAAGGTCTATCTGGGGAGAGGAAAAAATGTCATAATAGTGATGGGTTAAATTTATTAAGGGCTTATTATGGGTGGGCACTTCACATGTCATACCCTAGTTATTCCTCAAAATAAACCATTGAAATGGGTATTATCATTCTCATTTTACCGCTAAGAAAACTGAGGCACAGAGAAGTTCTCTTTGTTCATTTAGGCTGTTATAACACAACATGATACTGGGTGGCTTAAACATCAAAAATTTATGTATCACAGTACTGGAGGCCAGGAAGTCCAAGGTCAAAGGGTCAACAGGTTTCATGTTTGCTGAGGGGCTACTTTCTGGTTCATAGATGGCTATTTTGTCACTGTTACCTCACATGGAAGAAAGTAGAGGGATCTATCTGGAACCTCTCTAATGAGGGCACTAATCCTATTCATGCAGGCTCCACCCTCATGACCTAATCATTGGCCAAAGACCTTACTTCCCAATATCACTATATTGAGGATTGGGTATCAACATAAATTTTGGGAAGAACACAGACTACAGCAGAAGTTATGTAACTTGCCCAAGTTCAAATGGTTACCAAGTGATGAAGCCGGAATTGCAGGCTCATTACCGCACTGCTAGACTCCCACTTGAGAAGGGGGCTGAGTCTGCTCACATCTTTCTTGCTTTCAGCAGAAATAGCTTAGACACAGGAATAAGTCTGATTCTGAATAGGATGTCCTAGGGTCCACTCTAGGGTAGGGATGTCAGAATGACAGAGGCATGAGCTGACACTTATGGATTCTTCTCAGGATCCCAAAATTAATATTTTATTTAACTTTTAGTTTGTCTTTTCAGCGGAAGCCACATGCAGAAAAGAAGTATAAAATGGCATACTATAGTATGCAGTATCCAGATAGACCTTGTTCTTGAGTGGAAACACATCTACTCTATTCTAGGCTGCTCCTCTTCTCATGCATACTATAATGGCATATTATAGTATGTAAGCCATTAGCACTAACTTATGGTTCAGGAAAGCAATCCATTGCTGTGCTACTTCACAGCACCCTTTTACCTCAGTCATGGGCCCATCTCACTGTGAGATGCAGTCACCTAGTCCAAGATTGCCCCCCGACCCCAAAGAAACCTAGCATTATCAAGAAATTATGATGCATTGTGTCCATGTACTTGTTGACATCGGAGCTTGTCATTCCCAAAGGCCCATTAAAAAGGGAAGTGGAGCCAGGCATGGTGGCTCATGCCTGTAATCACAGCACTTTGGGAGGCTGACACGTGTGGATCACCTGAGGTCAGGAGTTTGAGACCAGCTTGTCCAACATAGTGAAACCCCATCTCTGCTAAAAATACAAAAAATTAGCCAGCTGTGGTGGTGGGTGCCTGTAATCCCAGCTACTCAGGAGGCTGAGGCAGGAGAATCGCTTGAACTTGGGAGGTGGAGGTTGCAGTGAGTCAAGATCACACCACTGCACTCCAGCCTGGGCAACAAGAGTGAAACTCCGTCTCAAAAAAAGAAAAAAAAAAAAAGAAAGAAAAAAAAAAAAGAAAGTGAAGTGGAGAACAATAATTTTAAAAAAGGGTTTTTAGGAATAACAAAATATTCAACAATACCCCTTTTAAGAAAACAATAAGATTCATTGTCCTTAAGAGAATAGTACAATACTTCCAGAATTTATAGCAACAGGAAATGGTACCTGCTGGATGGATTGTATAATTCAGGTAATAACCAAGGGACCATTCAATGACACTTTCCAGGTGTTCTGGCATACTTCAAAGGAGTCATTTGAAGACCAAATAGGCAAGGAAATAAACAGAGCCAGAGGAGTATCACATGGCCTAAAATATGATTTCTCAACAGAACCTAGATTCAATGGAAAAAATTAAAAAATCTTTAAACAAAAATACAAAACAAAACAACATAATAACACTCCTATAACAAGGTCTACCAATAATATTAGTCATAGGTGGGACTGCCAACTTCCCAGGGGTCATCTATACTTCCTTAGAAATAAATAAAACGATGGAAATTTTCTACTAGAAGATTTTGAAAACCCTGAGGATCATTGAGGACTTATAATGTGGAACACAGCAGAGATGGTGAGGGCAGCAACTTAATTAAAATATCAGGCTCACACATGATCATTTATTTAGGTACTTCTGCACATCAGCAATGTGGACCTTTACATTCATGATTTCATTTAATCCTCACCATAAGTCCCAAGAAAGAAAAATCATTCTTGATTCCAATTGGGGAAATCAAACACAGAGCAATTAAGAAAATTGTCTAAAGTGACACAGCTCATTAGCAGTAGAACCAAATTTTACCCACTTCAAGGTAAAGACCATTCTGTTCTGAGACTGGAACCCTGACTTTATTATTCAATTTTAAACATGGCAAAAACAGCAACAACAACAACAGTAACTTGTTCTTTAACTTTCCATGACGGGTTTAAGCAAAGAACAATTAGAAATAGTTGAAAACGAAGTATGCTTCATTGAAGATCAAATCGTAGTACCAAAGAATGACCTCCTTGACTCATTCTTCTCCCCTTCAGGCAGCTTCAGACATAGGCAGTGGCAACAACTGACGATAAAGTTCCTGAGTGATTCCAGGATCCAGATAACCAAGCTAGGACATCAGAACCTTTTCTCTTGACCCACAGGAACATATGGGGAAATGTCAAACCAGGCAAAGCTTCTGAATGGAATTTCCTGTCTGTTCTTCGGAAATCTCAGGGAGGGAGTAGAAAAGTTACCACTGCAAGTGAGAGTAGTTCCATTCACTTCTGGGAAACAAACTTCTTACAAGCAACTGATTCAAATAAATCAAAAGAGGTACCCATATAGGAGTGGCATTTTTTGTGTGTGGTTTTTTTTTGTTGTTTTTTTTGTTTTGTTTTTTTGTTTTTTTTTTTGAGACAGAGTCTCGCTCTGTTGCCCAGGCTGGAGTGCAGTGGTGCTATCTCTGCTCACTGCAAGCTCTGCCTCCCGGGTTCATGCCATTCTCCTGCCTCAGCCTCCTGAGTAGCTGGGACTACAGGCGACCACCACCACGCCCGGCTAATTTTTTGTATTTTTAGTAGAGACGGGGTTTCACCATGTTAGCCAGGATGGTTTCGATCTCCTGACCTTGTGATCCGCCAGCCTAGGCCTCCCAAAGGGCTGGGATTACAGGTGTGAGCCACCGTGCCTGGCCGGGATATATTATTTATGGTCTTTATGTACCAGCTAATGTCCTCAGTCCTTAAATGTGAACTCGCTTAGTCCTCCGAGTGACTCATGACTCAAGAATGGCTAATTCTCACTTTTTCACATAATTAAACAAAGGCTCAGGGCCATCAAGGCGTCTGAGGTCTCACAGCTGGTAACTGCAGGATCCCATTTACATGCACATCTGTCTAACTCATCTGTCCAGGTGAGTGACAGTGAGGAGGCATCTAAACCCTTGCCACCACACGGAATTAAATAAAAGACCAGAGGCAAGTTTTGCTGGAGTGAAGAAGTCTCAGGATACAACAGCTGTCTGACTTCAAGTCGGGGGAAAAAAATGATAAAAGCTGAAATGCTTTGCTTAAATGGGGAGAGAAGGTGTTCCAAAAAAAAGTGTTCCTAGGCAAGTTAAGCTCCTGAATAACTCAAGAGGCAACACAGCTTAGAGAGGAAGCAGATGGAGACTCATGATTTCCATTGCCTGAGTTTGCACCTCAGCCTTGCCACCCCCAAGGTTGGTGAATTTAGGCGAACACCTAGGACTTCTGATGGTGCATGCATTTTGTTCAGGTCCGCTGAGAACCAGTGCCAAGATGTGATTAAACTCATAAGACATTTATTAGAAGGGTGTTTTAGTCAGCTTTTGGTACCATACTAAATACCATAGACCAGGTGGCTTAAACAACAGAAATTTATTTTCTCACACTTCTGGAAACTGGGAAATCCAAAATCAAGGTGCCAGCCAATTTGGTTTCTGGTGAGAACTCTCTTCCTAACTTGCAAACGCCTACCTTCTCACCAAGTCCTCATATGGTAAAGAGAAAGAGAGAAAGAGAGGCCACAGTCCTATCCCATTAAGGTCCCACTCTTATGAACTCATTTAACCTTCATTATCTCATAAAGACTCTATCTCCAACTACAATCACACTGCCTGTTAGGGGTTCAACATTTCAATATGGGTTGGGGAGGGGAGGTACACAATTCAGTCTATAGCAGGGAGGGAAGGGTGGGGGACTGTCAGATCTCTATATGGGTCTGACAACTGTGAAAGAAGAGAGAGAAAGAAAAAGTCTTGAGTAGGAAGGATGTTCAACTGTAGCACAGTTTCAAGAAAGATTTGGCCAGGCTCATGGAGCTCAAGAGCTTGAGCCAAAGCCATTCAAGCAGTCCTGCTTCTACCTGGACTGGGAATGGAGTGCCCTGCTGTGCTCAGTAACTGGTCTGGGGGCAGTCTTCAGGAAGTGTGGTTTCAACAATCATGGTAATGGATTTCAAGGGTCAGCATGTAAGACTAGAAGCAAAATATGCCTCCTATTGCAAGAGATCTGAGTAGCACATTTCCCTGGCTGCTTCCCTTCATAGGTAAAGAAAGAGCAACAAAAGTGTGTAATTTAAAGAGCTTCTTGGCCAGATTAAATGAGTTAATATAAAGTTCATGGCTCATGCCTGGCACATATGAGCACTTAATGTATGTTAGTTCTTATTAAAATGTATTTCTTATACATCCTGATCTTTGAGTGCCACATGGAAAGAGCTCTCATTACATATTCATCCCAGGTTGTGCTTGTTGATCATCAACACCCATACTTCAATTAAATATACCATTGGTTTTATTGCTTTGTAAAAGTGTTCCAGAGATAATCAGTGTGGATGCTAGAAAAGGTTATTGCTCTATAAAAGGGATAAAGAGCTCAATTTTCCTGACTTGAGTTTGTGACCATAATATGCAATTATAATTGCATTGGTTATTTATTTGTCCCTAGTTTAGTTGAGGTACCTTAGAATTACAAAGTTTTAGAATTAACTGGAAAATGTTAAGCCATCTGGTCTAAACACCATGCTCTGTTTATGATATGGTTTGGCTGTATCCCCACCGAAATCTCATCTTGAATTCTCACATGTTGTGGGAGGGATCTGGTGAGAGGTAACTGAATTATAGGGACAAGTCTTTCTTGTGTTGTTATCGTGATAGTGAATAAGTTTCACAAGGTCTGATGGTTTTAAGAAGAGAGTTCTCCTGCCAAGCTCTTTCTCTCTGCCTGCTGCCATCTATGTAAGACCTGACTTGCTCCTCCTTGCTTTCTGCCATGATTGTGAGGTTTCTCCAGCCACATGGAAGTGAAAGTCCAATTAAACCTCTTTCTTTTGTAAATTGCCCAGTCTTGGGTATGTCTTTATCAGCCCCAATGAAAACAAACTAATACAGTTTAGCTTTCCCAAAGAAATGATCCTTCAGCCTCTTTTCACCAATGGTAATGATGAAAAGCCTACTGGTTTGTGGGGTTGGCTCCTCCTTGTTTGGGCTTTGTTCAGGCCACCTTCTATCTGGCTCTCTGGATCCTTCTTCAGCACCCTGTGCTTTCTTCCAGGAGGCTGATTTCTATGGACTACATTATTTTTATTTTTTTCTTCAATTTTTATTTTAAGTTTCAGGGTACATGTGCAGGATGTGCAGGTTTGTTACAAAGGTAAACGTGTGCCATGGTGGTTTGCTGCACAGATTAACCCATCATCTAGGTATTAAGCCCAGCATCCATTAGCTATTATTCCTGATGCTCTCCCTCCCCTGCAACCCCCAACAGGCCCCAATGTGTGTTGTTCCTCACCATGTGTCCATCACTGATCATTAGAGAAATGCAAACAAAAACCACAATGAGATACCATCTCATGCCAGTCAGAATGGCAGTTATTAAAGAGTCCAGAAACAACAGATGCTGGTGAGGTGTGGAGAAAAAGGAATGCTTTTTCACTGTTGGTGGTAGTGTAAATTAGTTCAACCTTTGTGGAAGATGGTGTGGCAATTCCCCAAAGATCCAGAAGCAGAAATACCATTTGACCCAGCAATCCTCTTACTGGGTATATAACCCCCAAAATAGAAAACATTCTATATAAAGATACATGCATGCCTATGTTCATTGCAGCACAATTCACAATAGCAAAGACATGGAATCATCCCAAATGCCCATCATTTGATAGACAGGACTACATTTTTGCTTCCAATTGAGTTTGACCCATGGATTTAGCCAGCATCCACCAGGATATTGGCAGGTGGGAGGGGGGAAATCAGGCTACTTATTTCCATGGGTCCCAGGTGTAGCCCTGATTGAAGTTACCACTCTCAAACCACTGAGTGCTAGCAACTGTCTTTCCCACTCTGTTTCTTTTATTAGCTGAGCTGGTGTTCCACTATAGCCCATTCATACCTTTGTAGTTAGTTCTTTAATGAGTTCGTCCCAAATTATCTCAATTTAAATTTGTTGTATTTCCTGTTGGTATCCCCACTACCACAGACTGCTTTAAATTAATAAAATTATATTCCTTAGAGAGGTGATGCAGCCACTTGGAGTCATACAGAGATGGTCTTACCCATTTCTTCAAATAACAGCTCTTCGAATCCACAGGGCAGAACTTAATAGAAACCAAAAAATCTGGACACTGCTACTTTCCAGTCTGTTGCTTTTGTGACAATGATTTTGAGAGGCATTTTGTGGAAAATCAAATTCAATAGCTAAGTGTTTTTTGTAAATATCTAGCTGAGCTCAACAATCTTTTTTACACCTTTCATTCAAAAATTTTTCTAAGTCTTTTAATAATCTATTTTTATTTTCAGTCCTCATCACCTCTTAGGAGAGCACACTCTGTCTGTGAATTCCTTTGTAATGCTAGCTGCTCTCTATGAGTGTGGTGAATGGGGTATTGATAAAGCACTGATAGCCTTTATGTGTTCTTAATTTACTGTTGCTTATTTCCCCTAAAGATACACTATACATCTTTAATGTTATTACATTTTCATTTCTAATGACTGACAAAGAAACTGTGTGGGGAGAGGAAGAGAAGGCAGGATGGAAAAAGAACAAAGAAATCTGCAGCCCCACCACACAAACCCACCCAGTTAACTGTGTTTTGAATAACATATTGTCTTAGCGCACAGAATAATATTTTTATGTGTTATAATTGTATCCTTTTTGCACTATATTTTTCAACTAACATTAAAATACTCTCCAATATTTTATGTAGCTTTCTGGAAAGAAAAAACTCCATGTGCATATAAAGATTATACAATACACCATTGTGTTTCTATGCCACAAGTTACTTAACCTTGTCTTATAATTTGATTTGTTATGTAAGTTATGTTACATAAAACAAAACTTGATATTTGATTTGTTTATAAGCTTGACTATTATAAATGTTAACAATGTATATCCTTGGAAGTAAGACTTTCTGTTGTTGCTCTTTGTTTTCATTTTCCTCCTTTGGGTTTTATTCTCAGAAATTAACCATAGGTATCAAAACATTTAAACAATTATCAATCTCTAGTACCATGAACTGTATAAGAATTTCTAAATAACCACACCTGGGCCAGCAAAATATTGTCATCAGTGCAAACCCTGTTAATGTTCCAATTTCAACCTTTCTGGTGTTGTTTGTGGTCTTGGCTAATGTTCAATCACTTACACAAATGATTAATGATATTCCAACCCAGAGGCTTAGAATATTAATGGTTGTAGGCTGTTTTCTCTGGATCAAGATTTGTTCTAGACACTATGCCAGATGGGCCTGATGCTTGCATAACATTCAAGCAGGACAGTTAAGCCTTGAACTGCATGGACTTCAACTGTGGTGGTCCACTGATACATAGATCTTTTTCAATAAATATATTGGAAATTTTGGGGGGGGATTTGAAGTGACAATTTGAAAAAACTCACAGACCAATCGCATCACCTAGAAATACTGAAAACAATTAAGAAAGGGTAACTATGTCATGAATCATAAATATATGTAAATACTAGTCTATTTTATCATTTACTACTATGATACATGTGTCTATTATGAAAAGTTAAAAATTTGCAAAATATATGCACACACAGACAAACCATGGCACCATTTGCAATCAAGAGAAAGGTAAACAAATGTAAAGATTCAGTATTAAGTTATAACTGCATACAATTAACAGTAGTAATACTGTACCATTGTAATAATTTTGTAGCCACCTCCTGTTGCCATTAAGTCAAGCTCATGTGTTACCAGTATCAGCTTAAAATGCTGGGTTACACTAATCATATCCCCTGAGCAGTTTGTCTCTCTAGTAAATTGCAAATCACAGTAAAAAGTGATCTTTTACGATTCTTGCATATTTTTCATTGTGTTTTATGCAATACCATAAATCTTGGAAACACTATGGGACCTATAAGAAGTGCCAACAGTCTTTTGGTTGTGTAACAGTAAGGTCTGGACAACAGGAACCCTTTTTCTGGACTGGTTCCTTCGATGCTTTGTTTCAAAAGTCAGGAAATACCTTGCTAGTAAAGGACTGTCATAAAGTTCTTTTGAAATTGTATGATGCCTCTGACCATCTGAAACCTCTTGAGTTAAACGCTGATTGTGGTGCCAAAGTGATCTATTTGCCTCCAAACACAACATCCCTAGTTTAGCCTCTAGATCCAGGGCCATACAAACCTTTAAGTCTCATTACACACAGTGATCTATGGAAAGGGTTGCCAACACTGTGGAAGGGAACTTTGACACAGAACATTCTGAAAGTCTGGAAGAATTATAGTATCGTTGCTATGAGAAAAGCCATGAAAACCTTAGACAATAAATTCCTGCTGGGGAAAACTGTGTCCAGAAGTTGTGCTTGACTTCACAAGATTTATGACAGAGACAGTCCAGGAAGTCATGAAAGAGATTGTGAATATGGCAAAGGAAGGGAGGTGACAGTTGTGAAGGGTTTCACTATATGGATCTTGGAGAAAGGAGCTAATAGTCACCACATCAGAGGAATTAACAAGAGATGAATCGATGGACCTGAGTGCTCCCAAACCAGTGCCTAATGATGAGGAAGAAGATGGAAAAAAACAAAACAAACAAACAAACAAACAACAACAACAACAAAAAAACAGTGCCAGAAAACAAATTGACATTAGATAATCTGGAAGAAGAGTTTTGGTTATTCAAGACCGCTTCTGTTTTCTTTTTATGACATGAACCCTTCTGTGATGCAGGCACTGAAACTAAGCAAATGACAGAAGAAGGACTGTGACTGTATAGAAATATTCATGGAGAAATGAAAAAATGAAATATCAAATAGAAATTAGGTTGTATTTCTGTGAAGTTACACTGAGGGTTCCTGTCTCTCCTGCCTCACCTTTTGCTTCCTTCACTTCTGCCTCTGCCACTCTTCAAACAGTAACACCAACCCCTCCTCTTCCTCCTCCTCCTCCTTAGCCTACTCAATGTGAAGACAAACAGAATGAAGACCTTTATGATGGTCCAATTCTCCACTGAATAAATAGTAAATAAGTTTCTCTTCCTTATAATTTTCTTCTAGTATTTTTTTCACTAGCCTATTTTATTATAAGAATACAATCTATAATACATATAACATACAAAATATATGTCAATCGACTGTTTATGTTGTTGGTAAGGCTTCAGGTCAACAGTAGGCTATTAGTAGTAAAGGTTTTAGGGAATCAAAAGTTATACTCAGATTTTCGACTGCACTGGGGGTTGGTGCCTTCAATCCTCATGTTGTTCAAGGGTCAACTGTATATATAATTTTAAGGCATATAAGAGCATATATATGTTTTTAATAGATACTTCAGTTGCTTTCAGTATCACTTTACACTATCATTTAATAAAATATTTGTTCATACATCTTTCCTTCAGGTATTGTTATTTCCTAAAAACAGATTTCTTGAAGAAGAATTATTCACCAAAAGATAATACACCCCATTAAGGACCTTGATACATATGGTTCAGTTGCTTTCTTGAATATTTTCACCACTTGAACTTGAGATTCAAGTTCATGTGCTAATTGATAGATCCTCATCAGTGTTAAACCCTACATATTTATAAAATGTATATATACATATATATAAATAAATTTGATAGGTGAAATTCATTCACTTATATCACAATTACCTGTAAAATATTCCTAGAGTTTCTGAGTAATTATCCATACCTTTACTTAGTAATTATTTTAGCTTTTGAGAGTATAAACTTTTCCCACCTGCTTCTAGCACAATGGGCCTCAGTGAAAGTCTTTTTACTCTAGTCATATATTTCTTAAGGTCGCCCAGACAGCCCTTTCATTTTTAACTTTTCAAACTGAAGAGAACAAACAGCATAGCAGGCACAGGAGGAGAATTTTCAGCTTGCAGCTGGTTAGCGGTTATCAAAGCATATCCCACTAATATTCCAGTTCCACCCTCTCTGGCACTGTCTGTGGTCTTAGCTAATGCTCAATCAGTTACACAAATGATTACTGACCCACAGCCTTGGGATATTAATCGTTATAAAGTGTAGCCTGCTGTGCAAGATGTTATGTAGATGGGTCTGACGCTTGCAAAACATTAAAGCAAAAACACAACATTTCCATAGCATTGTCCTCAAAAGCACCTATAAAAATGGACCTACATATTTTGAAAAGTATATGTATCTGGAGATAACATGAGATACACAAAGGAGAGGGAGATTTTCTTATGGAAATGCCTGATAAGAAGCCATTTAATTAGGCTCCCTCACCACATTTTTTTTTCCTCTAACGTCTAAGACTGTTGAGAAAAGATGCTCTATGTAAAGTGACTTTCACAATGTTCAGCATATGCTTTGTGTTTAGAGAAGGGTGATACATATTATGCACTCAAGCATATCACTACATAGCTATGTGACACCGTGTCAGCAACTCAGTTTCTCTGAGCTTCAGTTGCTTTATCTGTTGAATTAAGGCACCAGACGACATGAACCATACTCCAAAAATGAAATACTGATAAGAGGGGATGGAGAGCTATTGGAGCCCTATCATTTGCACACCTGGACCACGTGATGGAGAACCAGGGATGACAATTGAGAGGAGAGACAGAGAACCCTCCATCTGTGTCAAAATGCCCAGTGTTACCACCAACAAGAGTCAGCCACATCAAAACAGGTACTGGGATAAAACACATTCCATCTTTTTGCCAGGTTTCACCCTGTCTCCAGGTAAAAAATCAGGAGAGTTTACAGAGCACAAGTGTATCAGTTCATTTTCACGCTGCTGTTAAAGACATACCTGAGACTGGGTAATTAATAAAGAAAAAGAGGTTTAATAGATTCACAGTTCCATGTGGCTGGGGAGGCCTCATAATCATGGCAGAAGGTGAAAGGCAAATCTTACATGGCAGCAGGGAAGAGAGAATAAGAATGAAGTGAAAAGGGTTTCCCCTTATAAAACTATCAGATCTTGTGAGACTCATTCACTACCATGAGAATAGTATGGGGGAAACCACCTCCATGATTCAATTATCTCCCACCGGGTCCCTCCCACAACACGTAGGGATTATGGGAGCTATAATTCAAGATGAGATTTGGATGGGGACACAGCCAAACCATATCAACAGGTGAACTGAAGAGACAGGTCTAAGTATAGGATTTAAAAGACAGCAGAAACATAATACCTGTTGCCCTTGTGAGTATTTGGCAGGTGTTTTTCTATAACACCTGTTTGCCAACCTATGTCCTCATAGTTGCTCTTCTCTCTGCTGCGAATATTATTCCTGCTCTTCACATCTCTGGCCGCTTCTCATCACTCATACCTCAGCTCACTCTGCTCCACCACAGACACAATGGATGCCACTGAAAACCCTTCTGAAGGCACCCCTCCTCCATCAGGATCACATCATCTTGGGCTACTGTTCTCAAACAATTACCACCCCAAAGTGTGTGTACGTGTGTGTATCTGTGTGCGTGTGATACATACTCATTTTATTTTCTGTCTCCCCCAAATGCAATTCAAGCTCAAAGACAGGAAGAGCACCTCTTTTGTGCTCATCTTTGTCTAGCAATGCTGCTCTGTATTAATAACTGTATAAACATTTGTTAAAGGAATGAATGGATGAATGATCTCTAGGAGAAGCCCTACAGAAGCATGTTGCAGGATAGAAGGAGTCTGCATAGGGGAGGAAATCATGAGAGATCCTGACCCTGGCCTAACCAGGAGGGGTGGAGGGCAGGAATGGCCTGAAGAGGGGGATATTTTATCAGTGACATTGATTCGCATTACAAGTGCATGGTAATAACAAAAAGTACGCCCACTTTTAATTGTTTTTATTACTGTTTTTAAACTACGCAAACACTACACCCCTCATCACCTGCACCCCAGGAAGACTGTTCCCATTGCCCTACAGTACACCACTGGACTTACAAGCGAGTCTTCTGCTCAATGTGGAGAAAGAAAATATTAAATTAAGGAAGGTAGAGGAACCTCAATATCTCTGATCTATCTATCAACTATCTAAATGTTCTTTCAACAAACATTTGTTGAGTACCAACTATGAGCCAGTGCTGTGTAAAGTTCAACAAAACAAGGTGGTGAAGGCATAGCTGCTGGGCTCTGTACCTGGTTATAGACCCAGACCCAGTAGGGACAATGACACTGAATGGTAAAGACTTCCCTACAGATGAGAGCCAAGTGCTTGGTGGATGTCATAGATGTGCTGAGTTCTTCTATTGTAGAATACCAGGGGAAGTCAATCCCAAGAGGTGATGTGTTAGGTGGGCTCTGAAAGTCACACAAGATATTGCTGGGAAGCAAGAGGAGGAAAATGTTTTGAGTGAGGCACAGAGATGTGAAAAGGGATGGCCTGTTTGGGAATGCAGGCTAGTGTGTCTAGCACTCCTGTCGCTTGAACTGCAGCCCAACATATAGAAGAGCAGGGAAAGAGGACAGTAAAGGTTAAGTTGGGCCAGGCATGCAACAGGCCTTGAATGCCACATTGAAAATAAAACCCAAGAAACAAAAAAAGCAAAATTACCTTCTACCAGTGGGCAGCCACCAAGGTGTGGAAGTGGGGAATGACACCAGGAGCCTTTTACTTTTTGAAAACTCCCCTGCTGGCTGTGAAGATCACAGCCAACATGGGTGACCTTAACTCTGTGCAAATGTCAGCCAGCAAGGAAAGTGGAGCTCCCTATAGCATGCACCTGCTCTCTGCATCAATGTTTCCATCCCTTTATTTGCTGCCAGTTTTCTGAACCTCAAAAACCCATTCATGTTTATTAATGACTACCTATAGTACATCACAAGTGTGACATTTAAAACTTAAAGTTGTTTGAATTATGAGATTTCCAAGAAAGTAAAAATTCCTCTACATTTGAAACCCTTTCAGTTCTACCAGCCCCCATAGCTATGGAAAAAGAGCTTAAGAGTTTTCAAACTCCACAGAATTTTGTTTTTGTTTATAGAAGGACCAACTGTGAAGTATTTCAAACACTAGTTATTATTGTGTTGTTTTGAAAGCTGTGAATGTGTCAAAGTCTTCAGTAGGGAAGGTCCATTATCTCTAGTGCAATGATAATAAAATACATAACATGATATAATTATACATATATTAAAATGATGCATGTGCAGGCACAGAGTCCAGAACAGAGCAAAATGGGAAAAGGAATTATTGCTGTGTGCTCCGAAGAACATTGGCTTTAGTGTGAGACAGTCCTGGGCTCAAACCCCAGCCTCCATTTCCTTCTAAGGAATCATTGCTAAGCTTCAAGGAAACAGAATACACCAAAGACATTAATTCTGTCCAAGCAAGGTCACACTGACATTTAATCCAAATGGATAGTGATATTGAGCCCTCTTAGCTTGATTGCAGGGTGTCCTTCCTCTCATCGACATCTTCTGATTCTTTCTTCCACTTGCAAAAAGATAATACCATGTGCCTACAATTAGTTTACTCATTGCCCTTGTCCTATGGGTTATGTTAATCGGGTAAAACTTTGGCTGTGTTACAACAGCAGCACCCCTAAATCCCAAAGGGTTTACACACAAAAGTGTGTTTCCAGCTCACACAAAATCAACTTAGAATCCAGGTGACCTTGGCACAATTATCCCTCATGCCACTTGCCCCCACTGCCTCCAAGTCTGAGGAGGAAGGGGGCTGGGATGTGGACACTGGCTCTGCCCCATTTGGAGCTACTTTTTCACTGGACCCTGGAAAAGTCTTTCTCTACCCAGAACTTCACAATATCTCTCATGAAATCAGAGTCTTCAGCTTCGCTTTCATTTGTGTTTTCTCCTGTACGTAAATATCAGTAAAGGAACTTTCAAAAACCCTCTCCAGCTGGGTGTGATAGTGTGTGCCTGTGTTTCCAGCTACTCAGGAGGCTGAAGTAGGAGGATTGTTTGAGCCCAGGAGTTTGAGGCTGCAGTGAAATACAATCATACCACTGTACTATAGCCTGGGTGACAAAGCTAGACCCTGTCTCAAAGAAAAAGATTATCCATTTTTACAATGATAAGGTATAGACCACAGAACACATTCTAAATCTATTTCACAAGTTTTTGCCAGGCCCCAGCTGTAGGCCAAGACAAGGTTAACTCACTGACTTAGCAACTCCTACCACTGAAACAAGTGGCAAGTGTAGCATGGAAAATGAAAAATGGAAAATAGGTTTCCATGACCAAACCCATCACTGAATTCCTCTATGACATCTCAAGAAATGAGATTTGTAAATAATGAACAGAGGAAAAGGTGGCTGCAAAGGAGTCCTCAAGTTTCATCATGTAAGGAGCATAATAAAATGTCTACAGCTTTTTAGAGGATATCTTTCTGGCTTCTACCCAAGACAACTTCAAAATTTCAAGGTACTAATTTCATGCAGAAATTATTTACTTAAAATCTTGGTACATTAGAGAGAGAGAGAGGAAAAAGAAGACAGGAAGGAGGGAGGAGAAAGGAAGGGAGGGGAAGGGAAGGGAAGGGAAGGGAAGGGAAGGAGGCAGGGAGGGAAGGAGGGAAGGAAGGAAGGAAGCAAAGAAGGAAGAAAATTTCCTTTTTTCTTAAACTTTCTTCTTTCATACCTAGGAGAAATTATCATGTTTTGGAATTTTTCAGAAATTTAAAGATAATCTAGTTCTATGACCCTTTTCAGAGAAGGAAATCTGTAGCTCAGGAAGGTGAGGCTCACCGTCACTAATCACAGGGTCAGCAAACGAATGAACTAAACCTTTGTGCAGCACTTTCCACAAACTCTGTTGTGCTGTCTAGCTAAACAACAGCTTAGATGAGAGGAAGACCTTGCGGGGTAATTATCTCTCCCAGATCCTAGCCAAAGAATGCAGCCTTCTGTTTGTACCAAGGCACTTGGTTTCTGTGTTTCTGTGCTGAAAGAACAGTGCCTGTTTGAGTCCTTGGCCATTGGCCAGAGAAGCTGGGCTCTGGAAGCAGTTCAGGGAGACTGCAGTGAATGGGAGGAAGGCTCCCAGCTGAGAGGAGGCTCTTGGCTGTCCACTGAGGAGAGGCTAGGAATCCTTCACAATGAACGATTGAGAAATCCTCCAGGAAGGTAAACAACTTCAAGTGTGCAATTGGTGGCCAAGGATGAACTACTGATGTGAGCAAAAGGCCAACTAAGTGTCCGCCCGCTTACTCATTTTTTCTCTTCTTCTTTTCCACTCCCTCCCTCCTCTTCCCCTTCCTGCTCCTTCTCCTCCTCCTCCACCTCCTCCTGCTGCTGCTTCTCCTCTTCTTCCTTCCTTTTTTCATAAACCACTAAAATGATTTATTTTTTTCAGGTATCTAAACCCTAGATGTTTAAAATCTCCAACATCTATTTTAGATGGAGTGTGGGGTGATGCACACAGCCTAGAGAAACTCCTTATGTAACTGAGGTGTTTGCCAACCCTTCACTATTTCTTCTCATTACTGGTCTGTAACTCAGGGCTCTTCTGCACAGATATAGTAGGTAAATTGCAGAGTTGGTGGTCAAATAGACCTGGATTAGAATTCTGACTCCATTTCCATCGAACTGTGTGTCCTTGAGGAAGTTGTTTAATGTCTCTGATTTTCACTTTCCACACTAAGAAAAAGCACAGACCCTGCAGAATCATAAAGAGGAAATCTCAGATGCATTCCATTACCCAGCTCTCTCCGTGTTAAAGAGCTTCAAGGTTTGCTCCTCTTTTCTTCCCTGGTGACAATTTTCATGTGCCGGGTAAAAA
Source organism: Homo sapiens (assembly GCF_000001405.40). Taxonomy (NCBI): domain Eukaryota; kingdom Metazoa; phylum Chordata; class Mammalia; order Primates; family Hominidae; genus Homo; species Homo sapiens. Next base: position 11,368,303 of record NC_000004.12, read on the forward strand.
TATTACTCACTCACTCATTTGTTTATTCACTAAGTGTTGACTTTATGGGATAGTCACTGTTCTAGGTTCTGAGTTTTGAGGAATGAATCGAAGACACAGAGTCCCTACTCTCATGGAGACAGGCTCCTGGTAGTGAAGGTCAGTAAGTGAACACCAGAAAAGAAGGTGAACAAAATTTTACCTTTTAATTACTGTTATATTTCCAGTCCCATGAATGGGTCCTGGCACATAGTAGGTGGTCAGTTAATATCTGTAGAATGATTTAAATGAATTACATTTGGTAAAAAAAATTAAAACAGAGAGCGGCGCCGGCCTCGGCGGCTGAGGAAAGCAGGAGGAGGTGGTGGCGGCGGGAAGATGTAAGTTGGCGCGGAATCCGACCGCATCCGTGTTTCGGGGGCTGCCCGGCAGGACGCATCGTGAAGCCGGTCCACTCCTCAGCCCCGCAGTGCGGCGGTGGTCTGGCAGCGCGGTGCGGGCTCCGAGAAGAAAGAGTGTGGCCCGGGGCGGGCGCATTAGGAGGTGTCGAGGCCGTGGCCCGGAAGTGGTCGGGGCCGCTGCGGGCGGAAGGGCGCCTGTGCTTCGTCCGCTCGGCGGTGGCCCAGCCAGGCCCGCGGGACTCAGACCAGCGGGGAGCGCGACCTCCGCCCTTGGGGCTCTCCCGCTGGGCCGGAGACCCAAGCCCCCAACGCTAGGCCCTGCCCTGGAAGCGCTCGCGGCCCGGCGCCTGGACGGGGAAGTTGTGAGTGAACGCGGACGGGTAGCGGCAAGGTCGGCGTGTCGGGCCGGTGTCGGCGGGCGCGGAGTTTCTTTGTGGGATGCGGTGGAAGGTCGGCTGATCCCCCCTTCGGAGTCATTAATTCAAACGTGTACTCCGCGAACGTTTCCCGGACTCCCGTGTGCAATTATCGACGCTAGGCCTTGGGGATACGGCCCACTATGGACCGAGCACGGTGGCCGAGCTCAGTTTGATGGGTTACCCCAGAGGGGCGGATACGGGAAGATTAAGGTTGTTGGAGGAGAAACGTGGAGTAGGCTTTTTGTCTTGATTCCGCATGAACTGTGCCTGAAATGTACTTTTAAATGGGGAAGGTGCTCTGAAGATTTGTGCCGAAACGCCCTCTCCTCGAGATTTAACTAATTGTTCTCTCCTCTCTCTGGCTGTTGGACGCGCACCTTTCCAGAGGATGGGGGAGGTAACCGAGGTCCTGAGCCGGTACCTGAACTTGGGTGAACAGAGAACCTCAACTTTTGCTTTCTAGCACTCGACCGCACCCAGCAAGGCGTCCGCTTACTCAGTGGTTCTCAGTGTTTGGAGTGCTTAAGAATAACTGGTGGCTGTTCATGTCCTTTGCCCACTTTTTGATGGGGTTGTTTGTTTTTTTCTTGTAAATTTGTTTGAGTTCATTGTAGATTCTGGATATTAGCCCTTTGTCAGATGAGTAGGTTGCGAAAATTTTCTCCCATTTTGTAGGTTGCCTGTTCACTCTGATGGTAGTTTCTTTGGCTGTGCAGAAGCTCTTGAGTTTAATTAGATCCCATTTGTCAATTTTGTCTTTTGTTGCCATTGCTTTTGGTGTTTTGGACATGAAGTCCTTGCCCATGCCTATGTCCTGAATGGTAAATTAGCCTAGGTTTTCTTCTAGGGTTTTTATGATTTTAGGTCTAACGTTTAAGTCTTTAATCCATCTTGAATTGATTTTTGTATAAGGTGTAAGGAAGGGATCCAGTTTCAGCTTTCTACATATGGCTAGCCAGTTTTCCCAGCACCATTTATTAAATAGGGAATCCCAAAGAAGACATTTATGCAGCCAAAAAACACATGAAAAAATGCTCATCATCACTGGCCATCAGAGAAATGCAAATGAAAACCACAGTGAGATACCATCTCACACCAGTTAGAATGGCAATCATTAAAAAGTCAGGAAACAACAGGTGCTGGAGAGGATGTGGAGAAATAGGAACACTTTTACACTGTTGGTGGGACTGTAAACTAGTTCAACCATTGTGGAATTCAGTGTGGCAATTCCTCAGGGATCTAGAACTAGAGATACCATTTGACCCAGCCATCCCATTACTGGGTATATACCCAAAGAACTATAAATCATGCTGCTATAAAGACACATGCACACGTGTGTTTATTGTGGCATTATTCACAATAGCAAAGACTTGGAACCAACCCAAATGTCCAACAATGATAGACTGGATTAAGAAAATGTGGCACATATACACCATGGAATACTATGCAGCCATAAAAAATGATGAGTTCATGTCCTTTGTAGGGACATGGATGAAATTGGAAATCATCATTCTCAGTAAACTATCGCAAGAACAAAAAACCAAACACCGCATATTCTCACTCATAGGTGGGAATTGAACAATGAGATCACATGGACACAGGAAGGGGAATATCACACTCTGGGGACTGTGGTGGGGTGGGGGGAGGGATAGCATTGGGAGATATACCTAATGCTAGATGACGAGTTGGTGGGTGCAGCACACCAGCATGGCACATGTATACATATGTAACTAACCTGCACAATGTGCACATGTACTCTAAAACTTAAAGTATAATAAAAAAAAAAAAGAATAACTGGTGGTGTTTGATTTCACAAAGTACATTTGGGCAGATCTTTAGTTCTTGGGGGGGTGGGGCTGGAATCTGCGGGTGTGACCGCCACTCTAGGTCTGTGCTGTCCAGCAAAGTAGCCATTGGCCACATGTGGCTACTAAGCATGTGAAATACAGCTAATCAAGACTGAAATATTAAAACACACACCAGTTTTAGAAGACTAGGAAAAAAGCAAACCTTTATTAGATTTTTATGTTGATTATATGTTGGAAAGATAATATTTTGGATGTGTCAAATGTTAAAAATTAATTTCACCCATTTTTGTGACGTGGCTACTAAGGAATTTCAGGTGATGCTTGTGGCTCCTCACACGGTTTCTACTGGACAGTGCTGCTGCAGGTGATCCTAAGGCGGGTGGGTGCAGGAACCCAGCTGAGAGTTTAGAAATTACGTGTAAATTTGGAGACAAGTGTCTGTGGGGGAAGGAGCCTCCGGACGTGGAGATACAACTCTTGCTCCTAACATTTATCGAGTCTTTAATTAATGCCCTGGGTAACTATAAGGTTGGAACTGTAATTGTCACCATATTGATGATGAGAAACTTGAGAAAGGATAAGTGACTTGTCTAAAATCACACAGTAAAACCTCAAATCAAACCCAGGCCCTCTGGCTCCAGACTCTAAATTATACTCTGAATGATACTCACTGATTGTCCGAGGACACAGTGTCGAGGCACTATCTGCTGGGTGTCTGCAGAACCTTACTGTTCTAAAGCAAAACATTTTACCCCTGGACAAGAGCAGCAAAGGTGGCGTTCGGCCCTCCTTGGCTCTCATTTGACTGTTCAAAGCCAAGTGCTTTTCTTTCTTGGGTCAGAACATATTTTCAGCAGCATTTTGAAGCACCCCTGGCATGCACTGCACAGGGAAACCAGGACCACATTGGTGTGCTGCGTCCTCCTTACCAACTGGCTCTTGGAGGAGGCCGCTCTTTGGCGTAAATTGCAATCGATTAGGGATCGTTTCTCAGAATCAAGTTAGAAGTGAGAGTTCAGATAAGTGAGGCCGCCATTGCTGCTTTGAACACCTCAGAAGGGGAGAATGGATTTATCAGGAGTGAAAAAGAAGAGCTTGCTGGGAGTCAAAGAAAATAATAAAAAGTCCAGCACTAGGGCCCCTTCACCTACCAAACGCAAAGACCGCTCAGATGAGAAGTCCAAGGATCGCTCAAAAGATAAAGGGGCCACCAAGGAGTCGAGTGAGAAGGATCGCGGCCGGGACAAAACGCGAAAGAGGCACAGCGCTTCCAGTGGTAGCAGCAGTACCAGGTCTCGGTCCAGCTCGACTTCCAGCTCAGGCTCCAGCACCAGCACTGGCTCAAGCAGTGGCTCCAGCTCTTCCTCAGCCTCCAGCCGCTCAGGAAGCTCCAGCACCTCCCGCAGCTCCAGCTCTAGCAGCTCTTCTGGCTCTCCAAGTCCTTCTCGGCGCAGACACGACAACAGGAGGCGCTCCCGCTCCAAATCCAAACCACCTAAAAGAGATGAAAAGGAGAGGAAAAGGCGGAGCCCATCTCCTAAGCCCACCAAAGTGCACATTGGGAGACTCACCAGGAATGTGACAAAGGATCACATCATGGAGATATTTTCCACCTATGGGAAAATTAAAATGATTGACATGCCCGTGGAAAGGATGCATCCCCATCTGTCCAAAGGCTATGCGTGCGTAGAGTTTGAGAATCCAGATGAAGCTGAGAAGGCGCTGAAGCACATGGATGGAGGACAAATTGATGGCCAGGAGATCACTGCCACCGTCGTGCTGGCCCCCTGGCCTAGGCCAACCCCCAGGAGATTCAGCCCTCCCAGGAGAATGTTGCCACCACCGCCTATGTGGCTCAGGTCTCCCCCACGGATGAGGAGAAGGTCCCGCTCCCCGAGGCGCAGGTCCCCCGTGCGCCGGAGATCACGGTCCCCGGGCCGCCGCCGCCACAGGAGCCGCTCCAGCTCCAACTCCTCCCAATAAACAGGCCACTGAAGCTCTCGCCCCTGTAACTTATACGCCACCCAGCTCAGTTTTGTCACTTTTCTAGCCAAAGCAAGACCAGTAGGAAAGCAAACCCTTGACTCTGGCAGGATTTGCAGGCAGCAGGCAGCACCCCTCTGCCAGCCGGGCTCCGGCTGCAGAAGTGCTGTTGGCTTGGATGCTGTGTGCCTGTCAAGATTCCCTCCGGTTTTCTGGCTAGAAAGCTCACCCGTTTCCGGTTTTAAGAGTCAGTTCAGTGGCAGAGCCACCAGGGACAAGTGAGGCTCTTGGGGGTGGTTTGACCCTGCTTACCTGGGAGCACACTTTTCCCTTCCCCGATGACCTGGGATGGTGGCCAGGCCGTGCCCTTGCTGTTGCTGGGCAGTGTCTTTTTGGAAAGGGAGCTGCCCCAGGCTTTAGTGCAGCTGCCAACGCTGTTAGGCCTGGCCTCTCGAGGCCTCTTCTGACTTCAAGGGTCACAGCCCCCCAAAGATCCTCTCACCCATGGTAGTTGCTGCTCATGGTTCTGTCTGTCCGTGCACCGATGCATACACCACACCCCACCGCTGTACTCTGAAATTGGCGAGTGAGTTGAGAGCCAGCTCTGCGGGGTCATCACGCAGCCATGGTTGTGCCTGTCCTTCATGGTGGTCTTTCAGGTTATCTTGGCAACATGTACATTGCTTTTATTTTTTTTCTTTTTTGCTTTTATTGTACAGTCAGTTCTATAAAATTTCTCTTTTGAGTTTTATACCTTTGTAGCATTTTAGATGACATTGTGTTTGTACTTTGTTGTGTAGAGTGGAAGAATTGTGTTGAATAAACCCAAGATCGGAATGCAAATCTAAAAAAAAAAAAATTAAAACAAAAGGGGCAACATTTAAAATAATATTTAATCTGTATGTTACTAATATACCTAGTAATGATCAGTTCTATGAGGAAAAATCAGTACAATGAAAATCGAAAGTTAGCAGAAGTTATAAGGTGGTGAGGGAAGCCTTTATTTGGTGGTATTTGAGTAGAGAGCTAAGTTAAAGTGAGGCAACAATCATAATGAATATTTATTCATGACCTAATCACATGAGAAGAGTTCTTCTTTTCCACACATTTGATTATTCAGCTCTCCGTAATCCAGTAAGGGATTGCCGTTATCATTGCCATTCCAACATTGATGGAAGGAAGCACTGGGAGTCAAAGAACTTGTCCAGGGTCAAACTCTCTTCTGTCTGTCTGGAGATATTTCCACTCTAGATAGACAGAAGAGAGGTTGAGATTTGAACCCATAACCCTGACTCTAGGTTTGTGTGTTCAGCCTTCATGTGGCACTGCCTGAATTCCATCAGGTTAGGTGACATTCTCAAGCCTTGGACCCCTCAGATTCAAATTATAGAATAATGGTTCAATCATATTGTGTGTTTCAGAATAACCTGTGCTTGAAATGTTAGTAGCAGATGGAAATATTTGCAGCCCCCATAAGCAAATAGTACAGGCTTTAGGATTTTGGAGCAAGCTCTGCCATCATCTTCAGAAAACTCTTCTCCTTTTGAGAGACAGCTCTCTGCCAGCTATTAGGCCTTAGTAGAAACTGAATGCTTGACTATGGGCCACTAAGTATCCATGCTATCTGTGCTACTTATCATGAACTGGGTGTTACATGACATACCAAGCCATAAGGTTAGGCACGCAGTACAATACTTCATCACCAAAGGAAGTTCTGTATACTGATTCAGACCCAAGAAAGTCCTGAAGGCAGAAGTAAATTACATGAAGAAGTGACCCAAATGCCCATGGTCCCTACTCTGGCTACACTGCCTTCTCTCTTCTAGCCTGCACCTGTGGCTTCGTGGGTAGTACCCTATGATCAGTTGACAGAGGAAGAGGACAGTTGAACCAGGCTTCAGATGTTTTTGCATAATATGCAGACACCACCAAATGTGGGCAGCTGCAGCTCCACAGCCTCTTTCCAGAATATCCATGAAGGACAGTAGCAAAGGGAAAACCTCCCAGTGAATAGAACATTGGGCAGTGCACCTGGTTATGCACTTTACTTGGAAGGAGAAATGGCTAGACATGCAATTATGTGTCAATGCATGGGCTGCAGAATCAATGGTTTGGCTAGATGCTCAGGGTCCTGGAAGGAAATGGAATCTCCATTTATATTTATGTCTTTCGCAACAGGCTATGTGTCAGGCCTCTGAGCCCAAGCCAAGCCATCGCATCCCCTGTCACTTGCACGTATACATCCAGATGTCCTGAAGTAACTGAAGATCCACAAAAGAAGTAAAAATAGCCTTAACTGATGACATTCCACCGTTGTGATTTGTTCCTGCCCCACCCTAACTGATCAATGTATTTTGTAATCTCCCCCACCCTTAAGAAGGTACTTTGTAATCTCCCCCACCCTTAAGAAGGTTCTTTGTAATTCTCCCCACCCTTGAGAATGTACTTTGTGAGATCCACCCCTGCCCGCAAAACATTGCTCTTAACTTCACCGCCTATCCCAAAACCTATAAGAACTAATGATAATCCACCACCCTTTGCTGACTCTCTTTTCGGACTCAGCCCACCCGCACCCAGGTGAAATAAACAGCTTTATTGCTCACACAAAGCCTGTTTGGTGGTCTCTTCACATGGAAGCGCATGAAACTATGGGCTCCACCAGGACAAGAACTGCATCTGAGCCACCTGTGAGTCACTGGGATTTTAGGGTGCAGAGAGGCCCAAACTTTGAAAAGGGAACACGGAACAGTATGGTCCGAAGAGGAAGAAACCTGAGGAAGACAAGCCTGACTTTGTTGGCTCTATCTCTTAAACTGCTCCAGGGCTGGGAGTCAGAATGCTTCCCTGGGCTACAAGAACTTGAGTTGTTAAAACCATAAATTTCATCCTCACTACCTGTATGTTTGAAAATAGCGATACCCCCTTCCAGAAGTCACTCAGTGCAGTTAAGAGGCTGCCTTGAAGGGAGTCCATTGAGCTTCCTTTTATCTGTGTCCTGAACCTGAGGCTCCTCACAGACCTGGAGTCTGTGTTTTCTCCAGCACCCCTTGGGGGGCTGAATAATGTCACCACAGATATCCACATCCTAGTCCCTGGAACCTGTGAATATGTTAAATTACACAGCAGAAGGACTTTGCAGGTATGATGAAGGTTAGAGTCTTGAAATGGGGAGATAAGTTACCTGGGTGAACCCAATGTGGTCACAAGAATCTTGAGGGAAACAGAGGTAGATCAGAGTCTGAAGGAAGGTGATTTGATGTGAGACCACTAGCCAAGAAATGAGAATGGACTCTAAAACCTAGAAAAGACTTTATGAAACATTCTTCCCATTGCCTCCAGAAGGAACAGATTCCTGACAACACTTTGATTTTAGCTCACCAAGACCGAGTTTGAACGTCCAAATTTCAGAACGGTAAGAAAATACATTTTTCTTGTGTAAGCCACTAAGTTGCGGCAATGTGTTTCCGTGGCGATAGAAAACAAATACAAGCCATTTGATGGATCTTCTGAGTTGACAGACGTCTACTTGAAGATGAACAATCCATTCCTGTGTAAGGCAGACACTCTAGTTTCTTATGGTTATATAAGTGAGCCAAAGATGGCCTCTATGTATTGGCTACTGGGTTGTTTACTTCTTTGCAGAAGGCTGAGACCCCTGAGCTCAAAATTCCACTTGCTTCAAAGTCAAATATTTTTGCATATCCAATTATTTAAAATATAACCCAAACAAGCCAACTGTAGCCTGCTTGTTTTGCATACTCCGGGAAACCTCACCAGGTAATTGTTACCCATTGATAAGATAGGGCCTTGTAATTACAAATTCAGAAGAAGCAGCTGCTACCTTTGGGAGCTTTCTGACGCGGCCTTGCTGTTTAGCAATATCACCTGGGCACTCAAACCACTGGATGGTCTCGTGCTGTAAGGACTTTCCTGTTATGCAACCCTGTCCAAGTACTGCCCCATAAGGCTTGTTGTGTGTTACAGCCTTTCAGGATCATATCTTATTTATTGATCAGCCCCCAAATCCCTTGAACTTCCTATTTACTGGCCTCTAGTAGGAGAATGCCCAGTTGCCCAGGACTTATTTTAAACAACTAAACTATTATTTAAGGAATCCAATCAGATTGTAAGGTGTCAAATTTTCTCCATATAAGACTGCATATATATATATATATATATATACACACACACATATACATATATACACTTAACTCTATGTGACGTTAAATATAGTCAGTTTTATTTCCAATTATATAACACTTTTCACTTGCTATCTAGCAGGAAGTTGGCATACGATACAAAATGATACCTACTCAATTAGCCTGTGCGTCTGATGGAGATAAACAAAACAAAAATAATTTGAAGGTACACCCACCCCTTGTTAATGTATTCTTTTGGTTAATTTATTACAGCTCAAGTATACTATCTGCTTTTGACTATTAAGGAGCTTATCTATTTAGTACTTACTCCAGTTTGGGCAGCTATGCTCAACGCATGATCAGGAATTGTTGTTTAACAGAACTGAGAGGGCAAGGGGTTAATTTCCACCCTGGAAATTGCTGACTGATGATGCATTCACACTGAGGTTGTGTCGCTGAACGTTTCACAGGTAGATTGGGAATAACGTGATTTAGAGAGGCAATAATATACTTCTCAGGATGGGAGAAACTGAAAACCGCTTGTACAGTAGTTTAAGTTACAAGTGTAAATGATTTATTTGGTTTGAAGCTAAGTCACATGTTAGGCACATGAAAAGTGGGTGTAATTAAGCCTGCTTCACGTTAAGTACCATGTTTATTTCCCATCTATAAACTGATAAATAATGCAGCAATTGGTAACTGAAATTGTCATGCAATAGTGATGCATAGATTTAGCATTTTTATAGAAGATTTTATGCATATCCTAGAAATGAGTCAAGAACATAATTGACTTGCTTGCAATTAAATACAAAGTTCACATAGAACGTAAGATTAATGTTTTCCCCTGTTTTGGGACACACAAACAGAAACACACACACACTCACATAGTGGTAAAATATATATAACATACATTTGCCCTTTTAATCTCATGTGTATGATTATATGATTCAGAGCCATTAATTGCTTTCAAAATGTTGTGCATCCATCACCATTATTTCTAGAAAGTTTTCAGCACCCAAACAGAAACTTTATACCAGTTAAGCAATAACACTTCATTGCCTACCCGCCAGCCCCTGGTATCTGCTAATCTACTTTCTATCTCTATGGACTTTCCCACTATAGATATTTCATGTAAGTGCAATCATAGAAGATTTATTCTTTTGTGTCTGGTTTATTTCACTTAACATTTTCAAGGCTCGCCCTTGCTGCAGCGCGTATCAGAACTTCATACATTTTCTTGCCTAAATAATATTCTACTGTATAAATACGTCCATTTAGTTTATTCATTCATCAATCGATGGACATAGGTTGTTTCTGCATTTTGACAATCATGAATAAGGGTAAGATTGGATTTTAATAAATAGAAGGGCAAGACTGAGATATCCCTTGACCTTTACAATTCTTTTTGTCCTTTTCAAACTTGCCATCCTCCACCTCTCTAGAAAAAAAATAATAATAGTAAGTAGGGCTATTTGCATTGAGAGGGGGAAATAACTGAATTTTAAAGGAATCATCTCGATAAAAATGAAAAAAAATGATAGATAATTGAAAATAGTCATTTTACATCCTTGAAAAACGGTTAACAATCATCTTTAGAAAAAAGTAAATTTCTCAACTAGTTAGTAGAAGTGTTTTAAGAAAATTAACTTTAATCTGCATCTGTCTATGTGTAAGAAGAAAGAACAGGAAAACCATCAGCCTTTTCTTTTTTTTTTTTTTTTAATTATACTTTAAGTTTTAGGGTACATGTGCACACTGTGCAGGTTAGTTACATATGTATACATGTGCCATGCTGGTGCACTGCACCCACTAACTCGTCATCTAGCATTAGGTATATCTCCTAATGCTATCCCTCCCCTCTCCCCCCACCCCACCACAGTCCCCAGAGTGTGATATTCCCCTTCCTGTGTCCATGTGATCTCACTGTTCAATTCCCACCTATGAGTGAGAATATGCGGGGTTTGGTTTTTTGTTCTTGCGATAGTTTACTGAGAATGATGATTTCCAATTTCATCCATGTCCCTACAAAGGACATGAACTCATCATTTTTTATGGCTGCATAGTATTCCATGGTGTATATGTGCCACATTTTCTTAATCCAGTCTATCATTGTTGGACATTTGGGTTGGTTCCAAGTCTTTGCTATTGTGAATAATGCCACAATAAACATATGTGTGCATGTGTCTTTATAGCAGCATGATTTATAGTTCTTTGGGTATATACCCAGTAATGGGTTGGCTGGGTCAAATGGTATCTCTAGTTCTAGATCCCTGAGGAATTGCCACACTGACTTCCACAATGGTTGAACTAGTTTACAGTCCCACCAACAGTGGAAAAGTGTTCCTATTTCTCCACATCCTCTCCAGCACCTGTTGTTTCCTGACTTTTTAATGATTGCCATTCTAACTGGTGTGAGATGGTATCTCATAGTGGTTTTGATTTGCATTTCTCTGATGGCCAGTGATGATGAGCATGTTTTCATGTGTTTTTTGGCTGCATAAATGTCTTCTTTTGAGAAGTGTCTGTTCATGTCCTTCGCCCACTTTTTGATGGGGTTGTTTGTTTTTTTCTTGTAAATTTGTTTGAGTTCATTGTAGATTCTGGATATTAGCCCTTTGTCAGATGAGTAGGTTGCGAAAATGTTCTCCCATTTTGTAGGTTGCCTGTTCACTCTGATGGTAGTTTCTTTTGCTGTGCAGAAGCTCTTCAGTTTAATTAGATCCCATTTGTCAATTTTGTCTTTTGTTGCCATTGCTTTTGGTGTTTTGGACATGAAGTCCTTGCCCATGCCTATGTCCTGAATGGTAATGCCTAGGTTTTCTTCTAGGGTTTTTATGGTTTTAGGTCTAACGTTTAAATCTTTAATCCATCTTGAATTGATTTTTGTATAAGATGTAAGGAAGGGATCCAGTTTCAGCTTCCTACATATGGCTAGCCAGTTTTCCCAGCACCATTTATTAAATAGGGAATCCTTTCCCCATTGCTTGTTTTTCTCAGGTTTGTCAAAGTTCAGATAGTTGTAGGTATGCGGCGTTTTTTCTGAGGGCTCTATTCTGTTCCATTGATCTATATCTCTGTTTTGGTACCAGTACCATGCTGTTTTGGTTACTGTAGCCTTGTAGTATAGTTTGTAGTCAGGTAGTGTGATGCCTCCAGCTTTGTTCTTTTGGCTTAGGATTGCCTTGGTGATGCGGGCTCTTTTTTGGTTCCATATGAACTTTAAAGTAGTTTTTTCCAATTCTGTGAAGAAAGTCATTGGTAGCTTGATGGGGATGGCATTGAATCTGTAAATGACCTTGGGCAGTATGGCCATTTTCACGATATTGATTCTTCCTACCCATGAACATGGAATGTTCTTCCATTTGTTTGTATCCTCTTTTATTTCCTTGAGCAGTGGTTTGTCGTTCTCCTTGTAGAGGTCCTTCACATCCCTTGTAAGTTGGATTCCTAGGTATTTTATTCTCTTTGAAGCAATTGTGAATGGGAGTTCACTCCTGATTTGGCTCTCTGTTTGTCTGTTGTTGGTGTATAAGAATGCTTGTGATTTTTGTACATTGATTTTATATCCTGAGACTTTGCTGAAGTTGCTTATCAGCTTAAGGAGATTTTGGGCTGAGACAATGGGGTTTTCTAGATATACAATCACGTCATCTGCAAACAGGGACAATTTGACTTCCTCTTTTCCTGACTGAATACCCTTTATTTCCTTCTCCTGCCTAATTGCCCTGGCCAGAACTTCCAACACTATGTTGAATAGGAGTGGTGAGAGAGGGCATCCCTGTCTTGTGCCAGTTTTCAAAGGGAATGCTTCCAGTTTTTGCCCATTCAGTATGATATTGGCTGTGGGTTTGTGATAGATAGGTCTTATTATTTTGAAATATGTCCCATCAATACCTAATTTATGGAGAGTTTTTAGCATGAAGGGTTGTTGAATTTTGTCAAAGGCTTTTTCTGCATCTATTGAGATAATCATGTGGTTTTTGTCTTTGGCTCTGTTTATATGCTGGATTACATTTATTGATTTGCGTATATTGAACCAGCCTTGCATCCCAGGGATGAAGCCCACTTGATCATGGTGGATAAGCTTTTTGATGTGCTGCTGGATTCAGTTTGCCAGTATTTTATTGAGGATTTTTGCATCAATGTTCATCAAGGATATTGGTCTAAAATTCTCTTTTTTGGTTGTGTCTCTGTCCGGCTTTGGTATCAGAATGATGCTGGCCTCATAAAATGCGTTAGGGAGAATTCCCTCTTTTTCTATTGATTGGAATAGTTTCAGAAGGAATGGTACCAGTTCCTCCTTGTACCTCTGGTAGAATTCGGCTGTGAATCCATCTGGTCCTGGACCCTTTTTGGTTGGTAAGCTATTGATTATTGCCACAATTTCAGCTCCTGTTATTGGTCTATTCAGAGATTCAACTTCTTCCTGGTTTAGTCTTGGGAGAGTGTATGTGTCCAGGAATTTATCCATTTCTTCTAGATTTTCTAGTTTATTTGCGTAGAGGTGTTTGTAGTATTCTCTGATGGTAGTTTGTATTTCTGTGGGATCGGTGGTGATATCCCCTTTATCATTTTTTATTGTGTCTATTTGATTCTTCTCTCTTTTTTTCTTTATTAGTCTTGCTAGCGGTCTATCAGTTTTGTTGATCCTTTCAAAAAACCAGCTCCTGGATTCATTGATTTTTTGAAGGGTTTTTTGTGTCTCTATTTCCTTCAGTTCTGCTCTGATTTTAGTTATTTCTTGCCTTCTGCTAGCTTTTGAATGTGTTTGCTCTTGCTTTTCTAGTTCTTTTAATTGTGATGTTAGGGTGTCAATTTTGGATCTTTCCTGCTTTCTCTTGTGGGCATTTAGTGGTATAAATTTCCCTCTACACACTGCTTTGAATGCATCCCAGAGATTCTGGTATGTTGTGTCTTTGTTCTCGTTGGTTTCAAAGAACATCTTTATTTCTGCCTTCATTTTATTATGTACCCAGTAGTCATTCAGGAGCAGGTTGTTCAGTTTCCATGTAGTGGAGCGGCTTTGAGTGGGATTCTTAATCCTGAGTTCTAGTTTGATTGCACTGTGGTCTGAGAGATAGTTTGTTATAATTTCTGTTCTTTTCCATTTGCTGAGGAGAGCTTTACTTCCAACTATGTGGTCAATTTTGGAATAGGTGTGGTGTGGTGCTGAAAAAAATGTATATTCTGTTGATTTGGGGTGGAGAGTTCTGTAGATGTCTGTTAGGTCCGCTTGGTGCAGAGCTGAGTTCAATTCCTGGGTATCCTTGTTGACTTTCTGTCTCGTTGATCTGTCTAATGTTGACAGTGGGGTGTTAAAGTCTCCCATTATTAATGTGTGGGAGTCTAAGTCTCTTTGCAGGTCACTCAGGACTTGCTTTATGAATCTGGGTGCTCCTGTATTGGGTGCATATATATTTAGGATAGTTAGCTCTTCTTGTTGAATTGATCCCTTTACCATTATGTAATGGCCTTCTTTGTCTCTTTTGATCTTTGTTGGTTTAAAGTCTGTTTTATCAGAGACTAGGATTGCAACCCCTGCCTTTTTTTGTTTTCCATTTGCTTGGTAGATCTTCCTCCATCCTTTTATTTTGAGCCTATATGTGTCTCTGCACATGAGATGGGTTTCCTGAATACAGCACACTGATGGATCTTGACTCTTTATCCAATTTTCCAGTCTGTGTCTTTTAATTGGAGAATTTAGTCCATTTACATTTAAAGTTAATATTGTTATGTGTGAATTTGATCCTGTCATTATGATGTTAGCTGGTGATTTTGCTCGTTAGTTGATGCAGTTTCTTCCTAGTCTCGATGGTCTTTACATTTTGGCATGATTTTGCAGCGGCTCGTACCGGTTGTTCCTTTTCATGTTTAGCGCTTCCTTCAGGAGCTCTTTTAGGGCAGGCCTGGTGGTGACAAAATCTCTCAGCATTTGCTTGTCTGTAAAGGATTTTATTTCTCCTTCGCTTATGAAGCTTAGTTTGGCTGGATATGAAATTCTGGGTTGAAAATTCTTTTCTTTAAGAATGTTGAATATTGGCCCCCACTCTCTTCTGGCTTGTAGGGTTTCTGCCGAGAGATCCGCTGTTAGTCTGATGGGCTTCCCTTTGAGGGTAACCCGACCTTTCTCTCTGGCTGCCCTTAACATTTTTTCCTTCTTTTCAACTTTGGTGAATCTGACGATTATGTGTCTTGGAGTTGCTCTTCTCGAGGAGTATCTTTGTGGTGTTATCTGTATTTCCTGAATCTGAACGTTGGCCTGCCTTGCTAGATTGGGGAAGTTCTCCTGGATAATATCCTGCAGAGTGTTTTCCAACTTGGTTCCATTCTCCCCATCACTTTCAGGTACACCAATCAGACGTAGATTTGGTCTTTTCACATAGTCCCATATTTCTTGGAGGCTTTGCTCATTTCTTTTTATTCTTTTTTCTCTAAACTTCCCTTCTCGCTTCATTTCATTCATTTCATCTTCCATCGCTGATACCCTTTCTTCCAGTTGATCTCATCGGCTCCTGAGGCTTCTGCATTCTTCACGTAGTTCTCGAGCCTTGGTTTTCAGCTCCATCAGCTCCTTTAAGCACTTCTCTGTATTGGTTATTCTAGTTATACATTCTTCTAAATTTTTTTCAAAGTTTTCAACTTCTTTGCCTTTGGTTTGAATGTCCTCCCGTAGCTCAGAGTAATTTGATCGTCTGAAGCCTTCTTCTCTCAGCTCGTCAAAGTCATTCTCCATCCAGCTTTGTTCCGTTGCTGGTGAGGAACTGCGTTCCTTTGGAGGAGGAGAGACGCTCTGCGTTTTAGAGCTTCCAGTTTTTCTGTTCTGTTTTTTCCCCATCTTTGTGGTTTTATCTACTTTTGGTCTTTGATGATGGTGATGTCCAGATGGGTTTTTGGTGTGGATGTCCTTTCTGTGTGTTAGTTTTCCTTCTAACAGACAGGACCCTCAGCTGCAGGTCTGTTGGAATACCCTGCCGTGTGAGGTGTCAGTGTGCCCCTGCTGGGGGGTGCCTCCCAGTTAGGCTGCTCGGGGGTCAGGGGTCAGGGACCCACTTGAGGAGGCAGTATGCCCGTTCTCAGATCTCCAGCTGCGTGCTGGGAGAACCACTGCTCTCTTCAAAGCTGTCAGACAGGGACATTTAAGTCTGCAGAGGTTACTGCTGTCTTTTTGTTTGTCTGTGCCCTGTCCCCGGAGGTGGAGCCTACAAGAGGCATGCAGGCCTCCTTGAGCTGTGGTGGGCTCCACCCAGTTCGAGCTTCCAGGCTGCTTTGTTTACCTAAGCAAGCCTGGGCAATGGCGGGCGACCCTCCCCCAGCCTCGCTGCTGCCTGGCAGTTTGATCTCAGACTGCTGTGCTAGCAATCAGCGAGACTCCGTGGGCGTTGGACCCTCCGAGCCAGGTGTGGGATATAGTCTCGTGGTGCGCCGTTTTTTAAGCCGGCCTGAAAAGCGCAATATTTGGGTGGGAGTGACCCGATTTCCAGGTGCGTCCGTCACCCCTTTCTTTGACTCGGAAAGGGAACTCCCTGACCCCTTGTGCTTCCCAGGTGAGGCAATGCCTTGCCCTGCTTCGGCTCGCGCACGGTGCGCGCACCCACTGGCCTGCGCCCACTGTCTGGCACTCCCTAGTGAGATGAACCCGGTACCTCAGATGGAAATGCAGAAATCACCCGTCTTCTGCGTCGCTCACGCTGGGAGCTGTAGACCAGAGCTGTTCCTATTCGGCCATCTTTGCTCCTCCCGCCACCATCAGCCTTTTCTTCTTCATTATTGGAATAGTTCAGAAAAACAAAATGATCTTCATAATCCTGATAATTATCTCAAAAAATGGTGTTTGTTTGTCCTACAGGATAAAACAAATCATTTTATACTCACTCAACTTCCACACCACTGTTTCACTTCTAGTCATCAAATGTGTGCTTTTTTCCTCCCTCACACCAAGCAATTTTTAAATTCTTGGCAGACAACAACAGTTGAGTGTTCTATGATTTAACTCAATTCTGATATGATCCTGAGATCGTATCAGACCCCATAGGCTAAGGTTCATTCCCACAAGACTGCCCCCACTTCAAAAGTCAATAACAAGATCTAAGGTGTCATCATTGCTTCTGACTTGGCAAGTACAAATTCAAGGGTTCCAATAACCCCCTTTCTCAGGTTTAATAATTTTATACAATAGCTTATAGAACTCAGAAAAGTGCTTTACGTACGATTACAAGTTTATTATAAAAGATACAACTCAGAAGCTGACAAATGGGAGATATGTGTTATAGTTTGAACATATCTCAAAAAATTCATATGTTGGAAACTCAATCTCCAATGCTTGGGGTTGGGGCCTAATAAGAGGTAATTAGGTCATGAAGCCTTTGCCCTCATGAATGGATGAATGTCATTATCAAGGGAGTGGTTTATTTATCACAGAAGTAAGTTTATTAGAAAAATGAGTTTGCCCCCCTCATGTTCTCTCACTCCCACCCTCACCTATATGCCTTGTTCAATGGGATGACACGGCACTAAGGTTCTCAAATACTCCTGGACTCCCCAGTCTTCAGAACCGTAAGCCAAATAAATTTCTGTTTATTGTAAATTACCCAGTATGTGATATTCTGCTCTAGCAAAATAAAATGGACTCAGACAGAAAATTGGTACTGAACAAGTGATGTTGTTGCTATAACAAGTACCTGAAAATATGAAAACAGCTTTGGAACTGCCGAATGTGCACTGATTAGAAGAATTTAGGAAAGCAGGCTAGGAAAAGCCTAGATTGCCATAAACAGAGCCTTAAGGGCTGTTGTGGGGAGGACTCAGAAGAAGAGAATAGCTGTAAGAAAAGTCTGAATCTTGTTAAAGATTACTTAAGTGGTCATGATCAAAATGTTGGTAGAAATGTGGACAGTAAAAGCCATTCTGATGAGGGCTGAGATAGAAACAAGGAATAGTTTATTGGAAACTGAAATAAAGCCTATATTTGTTATAAATTGACAAAGGATTTGGTTGAACTGTGTCCATTCTCAAGGGCTCTATGGAAGGTGCAATTTAAGTAAGAATGATAAACTATTAGGTTGGTTTTTGCCATTGGATGTAATGGCAAAAGTGCAATTACATCTGCACCAACCTAATAGGATATCTGGTGGAAGAAATTTCTAAGCAAGATATTGAAAGACTTGCCTGGCTACTTTTAACTGCTTATAGTGAAGTGATAGAAGTCAGAAGTGATTTAAAGATGAAATTTATAATTAAAAGGGAAGCAGAATGAAAAGACTTGTAAAATGCTCAGCCTGCCATGTCAGGAATAGAAAAAAAAATAAAAAATAAATAAAAACATGCTTGGGAGAGAACACTAAGAGTGTGGCCAAGTGAACATTTGCTAAAGTGATTAATATGGATAGAAGGAAGCCAGGTTCCATTTAACCAGACAATGAGAGAATGCTCTTGGAAGCATTTCAGAGACATCCCAGGTGAGCTAGAAACTTGAGGGCAAGGTTTTCAAAGAAGTGCCCATGGAACCTCAGAATCTGCTGCCCTGTGACATCTAAAATTCAGGGATCCCTGAATTCTGGTGCAGCACCCCTCAGCCACCCCAGCTGTGGCTCAGGTGAGTCCAGGTGTGGCTTTACCCACTGTTCCAAAAGTTACAAGCCATAAACTTTGGGAGAACTCATGTGATTCTAATTCTGCAGACAAAATGCAAGAGCTATGTGGCCAAGATGGCCTCCGTCTAAATTTCAAAGGATGTCTTGGACAGTCTGGGGGCATAGACCTGTCACAGTAGTAGACACCACAGACAGCACCCACTAATGCAAAGCCTAATGGTGCTATGAGAGTGGAACAGTCCCTAAGACCCCAGAACTGTAAAGCCACTGGAGTGCAGCTCCAGGAACCCTGCAGTTGCAGGCATAAGATTTTAACCCATGATAGCTTCTGGATGGATTGTGCCCGGCAAAGCCATAGGCATGGGGCTGCCTGAGACTTTGGGGGCCCAGTTCCTAACCCACTTTGTGCTCAGGATTCAGGACATGGAGTCAAAATAAATTGTTCTCCAGATTTAAGACTGAATGTTATTTTCCCTGTTGGGTTTTGGACTTGCTTGGGCCCAGTTACTCCTTTCTTTTCGTCTATTTCTCTCTTTTGAAGTGAGAATGTCTATTCTGTGCCTGTTTCACGATTGTATTTCATAACTTGTTAATTTCACAGGCTCACAGCTGGAAAATAATTTGCCTCTGATGAATTGTGCCTTTAGTGTCACTTTGATTTAGATGAGACTCTGGACTTTGAACTTTTGAGTTGATGACTAGAACAAGTTAAGAATTTGAGACTATTGGGATAGAATGAATGTATTTTGCATTGTAAGAACATACATTTGGAGGACCAAGAATGGAATGCTATGGTTTGAATATGTCCCCAAAATTTATGTATTGAAAACTTAATCTCCAATGCAACACTGTTGGGAGGTGGGGCCTCGTAAGAGGTGATTATGTCATGAAAGCTTGGCCTGAAGGAATGGATTAATGTCATTATCAAGGGAGTGAAATAGCTGTCACAAGAGTGGGTTTCTTTTAAAAGTGAGTTCAGCATATTTTGCTCTCTTGCTCTCACCCTCCCTTGCTCTTCCACCTTCTGCCATGGGATGATGCAGAATGAAGGAGTGCAGAGCGTCCATGGCCTCTCTGGGCTTGCTATCCTCCCAGCACCCTCAAATGTTCATCAACTTGGAAACTCTGAACTCTGTCCGTTTGGGTTTTTATGGTCACACCATTAAGTAGGTATGGCTGATTAAATCATTGACCATCGGTGATCAACTCAATCTTCAGCCCCCCTTCACCTGCTTCCTTCAGGGAGATCAGAAGTGAGGGAGTGTGGCAGCTAGGGCTGAAAGCTCAGACCTTTTAATCATGTGGTTGTTTCCCCTGGCAACCACCTCCCATCCTGTGGTTATCCAGGAGTTTTACAAAAGTCATCTCATCGGCCGGGCGCGGTGGCTCACGCCTGTAATTCCAGCACTTTGGGAGGCCGAGGCGGGTGGATCATGAGGTCAGGAGATCGAGACCATCCTGGCTAACAAGGTGAAACCCCGTCTCTACTAAAAATACAAAAAATTAGCCGGGCGCGGTGGCGGGCGCCTGTAGTCCCAGCTACTCGGGAGGCTGAGGCAGGAGAATGGCGTGAACCCGGGAAGCGGAGCTTGCAGTGAGCCGAGATTGCGCCACTGCAGTCCGCAGTCCGGCCTGGGCGACAGAGCGAGACTCCGTCTCAAAAAAAAAAAAAAAAAAAAAAAAAAAAAGTCATCTCATCAATGTTAACTCAGGTGTGGTGGAAAGCGGCCTGTTGTGAATAACAAAAGGCTCCTTTCTGTGCTTTATTGCTTTTATCCCTTAGGAAATTCCAAGAGTTTTAGAAGTTGTATGTCAAGAACAAGGTGAAGACCAACATAGGGATGGTTCTCAGCTTACAGTGATTTGGCTTACTATTTTCTGACTTTGTGATGGTAGCAGAAGCAATACAAATTCAGTAGAAACCATATTTCCAATTTTGAATTTTGATATCTTCCTGGTCTAGTGATATTCAGTAAGACACTCTCTAGCAAGGCTGAGCAGTGGCAGCGAGCAGTAGTTCCCATTCAGCCACGTGCTCACTGGGCTAAACTGACACTTGGTATCGTCCTGAAGAACACTATTGCTGCTGACCCATAAACAAGTGTCCGTGTTCCAGTGCCTTCTATCGGCTCTTCTTAAGCCTCACTGGAAGAGAGAGAAATTGATGACCCTGTGGCTGTAGCACCCCCATCATTCAAAAATTAATTTTAGTTCAATTCTTCAAACATATTTCAGGCCCAGTGTGCTTTCAGCTGTATGTGCTAGTGGTGGGTACTCATACAACCATTCTGTTTTTCACTTTCAGTACAATATTCAATAAATGACATGAGATATTCAACATTTCATTCTAAAATAGGCTTTGTGGTAGGTTATTTTGCCCAACTTTAAGTTAATGTAAGTGTTCTGTGCATGTTTAAGGTAGGCTAGGCTTATCTATGATGTTAAATAGATTAGCATATTAAATGCATTTTTGATTTACAGTATTTTCAACTTATCAAGATATTTCAATAAATCAGATTTATTGGGATATAACTCCATTGTAAGTCAAGGAGCATTTGTACATAGTTCTTACTATACCACTATATCACATTTGCCCATGGCTTGGACTTATGTAAATGGTTACCATTAGAAGCACAATAAAATTTCATTGATTTTTAGATGTATTGGCCTTGACATTCATGATGGTACAATGATATCTGAAGGGCTGTTCCATTGTCACAAGTGAATTCCTATTTACAGACCCTTTGAATCCACCAACAAAAAGTGTATTAAAAGATCAATGAATATGTATGTGTTGAATATCTACTGCATGCCTGGCTATGCTCATAGCCTTCAAGAGCCACAACAATTCCTGAAACAAAATCATACTCCCATTTAACATATCAGCCAACTGACCCTCTTGAATGGTTAATCAAATTTGCCCAGCATTACCCAGATTTTAAGTGATGATGCCAAAATTTAAAACCTCGTTTTCTAACTGAGAGGGAAATAAACAGATAAACAGAGAAGAAAATGTAAATCACAGACGAATTGGATACTTGAAGTGCATATCAGAAATAGGTACAGTCTTTAATTGTGTGGAAAATGTAAATTGCTACTAAAGATAGAACTTCCAAATTAAAGAAAGTAGAAATAGAGTCTGCCATATATTGTCTTTTGAGTGCTGCGAACAGCTTTTAATATCCAGTGTTAAATGTCTCAGCAATAGTCTTTTATGTCTGATGAATTGTCTAAGAGGTTTTGCAGGTCTGTCAGGGTTTGTGCTTTCATATAACACAAAGTTTTCCAAGCTGACTCCAGCCTGTAATTTGTTCTAAGTGTATCTTTTCTTCACATGGTTTGGTTGAGCCATAAAAACATTCAGAGGAAGCAACATAGTGTGCACGCCTGGATTCTACTTGTAGAATAAATTGATTTATGCAAAATCACTTAATCACCATCACATGGGATCAAAAGAGGAGTGAACTGGCCACATTCCTTAGGTCAAAATAGTTGAAATTACATAGCAAGCCCAAGGACTTATAATAATGATAACTTACATTTGTATAATGAACACTAATATCCTGAAAGCTTACACTTACATTAATCTCCCTTTTTAAGTATGACCACATAACCATTAAGCACTTGTTCTGTCGATTTCATTGTCAAGGAACAACCAGGTATGGAAGCTAGTCTCAACAGAGGGCCCCCCTGTGAACCACGCCTCCAATTATTCTGCCTCTTTTGTGGTCTTTTCCCACACTGAATTTGGGCCGGCCTTGTTGAAACATTAAATGTGACAATAGTTTCACTATGTAACATTTGCAACTTTTGACTTGGTTTCTTGGAACATTCTGGGGAAAGCCAGCTACCATATAAAAAGTTCCACCAATAACTCTAAGTTGGCCATGCTGTGAGGAAACCCAAGTTGGCCACATGGAGGTGTTACAGTTATCCCAACATGAGATTAAAGAAGCCATCTTGGCCATCCAGATGAGGTTAGTCTTCAGATGACTACAGTCCTAGCCACCACCTGACTACAACCAGGTAAGCCCCCAAGCAAGACTTTCTCAGATGTTTCCAATTTACCCACAGAACCATAAGAGGTAATAGATTGTTTCTTTATACACTAAATTTTGGAGTGGTTTGTTATATAGCCTTAGGTAACTGGAACACCCAGTATGTTTAGCTATTATTGTTTTTCCTGCAGTACCAAAAACACTACTAAATGAGGAGCATAATTTCAATCAAGTCTCAGCTGGGTATCTGCTTTATGCAGAGAACTGTGTGGTGCATTTTTCTCCATAGTAAGCAACAGACCTTCACTTGGAGAGCAAGGGATTAGACAACAGATACGCAGTGTGATAGATATTACGAAGTAGTTCTGAGTTCTCCCTTGGATTCTGCTGCTACCTACATTACTTTACTCCTCCAGATCTCAAATCCTTCTATAAAAAAAGAAGTTTGGCTAAAATGACCGGTATGTTCCCTTTCAACTCTATCAGCTGATGGAGCCGCAGTTGTGTGTATGTGCTTTTTGTTTTTTTTTTTTTTATCTCAAAGGATATAATTAAAATTTGACAATTGTCATCTCTGAATAATCTTGCTGTAAGGCTCTGGTTAATATACAATGGAAATGCATTCCTTGGGTAACAAAAATCCATACATTTCGTTTGTTTTCAAGGGAGCATACAGAAAAGTGAGCATGAGGCAAGATGAATAGACTAGATAATAGAATTACACTTTGAATTAATTACCTATTACCTAACAAATTACTACAAACTTAGCAGCTTAAACCAATATACACCTATTCTCTCAACTTCCCTATGATAGGAGTCCAATCACATCCTACCTCTGCTGTGGCCTTCCCAAGCAGCGATCAAGATTTCAGACAGATGACTTTCTTATCCAGAGCTTGGGGCCCTCTTTCAAGCTCACGTGTTGTTGCAAAAATTTAGTCTTTGAAACTGGAATATTGAGATCTTTGCTTTCTTGTTGGATATTGGCTGGGGACACTCTCAGCTACTACTGGACACTGCAGTCCCTTGCTACATGGCCCTCTCAAAGGCCTCTCACAGCATGGCAGGTGATGCCTTCAAAGCCAGTAGAAGAATCTCCCCAGTGTGCTAAGTTGGAGTCTTACATAACACAATGTCATTATAGCCCATCACCTTTGCCATATAAAGTACTCTAACCAAGAGAGTAAGTGACTCATCTTATTTATAACTTCTGCTCATATTCAAGGCGAGGGGTCTATGCAGGGTTTGTACACAAGTGGGTGGAAACCAAGGGAGCCATTCTAGAATTCTGCCTGCCACAGCCTTTTTTGCTGATATTTATATTAAGTTTCTGGTCTCTATCTTTGCCTTCTTTGTGTTCTAGCTCTTTTTATGAACAAACATGTTGTAGAAGAGATTCTCTTTTGCATTGACAGCATTATAACCTAGAGGTAAAGCATTTTATTTATGAAGAGAACACGCAGGAGATAAATCTGGCTCTACTATTTACTAGCCATGTGACCTTAGGCAAATTACTTAATGTCTCTGTGCTTTGGTTCCCCATCCATATATAAAAGAAGCGAAACAGTAGCATTTGTCTCATAGGTTGATATGAAGGTTAAATGATATAATACCTAGGTTTTAATAAACACATGAGTGTTATTCCTTTACTTTCTGTCGAAGATGATACCAGCCATGAGAGCTAACTAGGAATTAGAAAGACTCACTTTTACATATTTGGAGAGTTTATGAAATTGTGATCTCTTATATGTCCATTGTCCATTTTCCATAAATTGTTCATAGAATCTCTGTGAAGAAGGTATAATTATCCCTATTTTACAGAAAGGTACTGGAAGTTCAGAGAAGTTAAGGAAATTGCCCAAGGTCACATAGCTGTGAAAAAGGCTGAGATAAACTTCTAAATTCATGTCTTCAGAATCCGAGGTCAGCGCTCTTTTCAGTATGCCAACATGAGAAAGTGGTATTAGACCTGTTCATTATGGCACTGTGTGGTAGAACTCAGATGCATGAGAGAAAGCTGGGGGATGTAGGTCGAGGTACAGTAAGTATGAATTTCAATAGCCAGTTTGGAGATATAATGGGTTACCTTGGAGAACTATTCATTGGTTCAATATTCAAGAAGAGGTCATATAGTAAGGCATAGTGAAAAGAGCTTGGGTATTAGGGTGATCTGTTCGATTAATAAATATTTATAGCTCCTATGTCAAGTATGGTTACTATTTGATGTGGATCTAATGGTAAACAAACACAGGAAGCTTGAATTGATTATTTCCCCTGAGGTTTGTGAAGATTACATAAAACAGCTTATTTTAAAGTACCTACCAGTGTCTGGGCCAGAAAGGCTACTTCCAGGAGGCGGGCCAGATCATGAGGCTGCGATGTGGTAGAAGGGGCTTTCGCGTAAAACTGACAACTAGTCTAGAGTTACCCTTCAATCCACAAACAAGTATTAATACTCCTTACTTACCATGTACCAGGCACTGTGTTAAGTGCCAGAGGGTTGCAATCAAAAGAAAGAGACATCCATGTATTAGTTCTAAGTGGAATATTTATCAAACAATAGAAATACAAGATGTTGCTACATAAGATGGAGCAATACCTTCATATTTGTTGGGCCCAGAATTGTTTTATGAAGTTGAAATTTAAGTTTGATATTGATGCATTATACTATTTTGGTAGTCCGATAAGCTAATAAAAGAGCCTACTACTTGGTAACAATTTCAGCCATTATTGAATTTAACACTTTGCTATTTGCTAGCCAATAAAATAGACTCATTCTCTGCTATATCTCATTTAATTGGAAGAATTCTAATAACTCCGTGGGTTGATCACGTTATACATGTAAAATACAGAGAGAAGAAAACATGCATGCAAGGTTAAGACTTTAGAGTGGATGGTCTAGAAGCAAAGTCTGAGGGGGGATTCCTGTTTTCTTGGGAAACACATTTACTGAGAATAGGGTAGCAGAAGAAATGAGTAAGGTAATGTGGGAAAAGGATGAAGTTTCGGAAGAAATAAGTAAAAGTACAGTTTCAGGAGAAGTCTAGCCTCAGCCTGATCTCACGAGGAGCTCTGAGCATGAGTTGCACCAGAGGTTGTCCTGCCTGGAGGCAATGAGGGTGGACTGTTACCCTACTACCCCCATGCCCCATCCCACATGGGTCAGTCAATCATTAGTCATGCCCTAACCCTAGGAAAGCAGGGGAGTGGGGTGGACAACATTTCTCAGGCATCTTCAGGTAAGAAAACTCCTGCCAACTAAGAGAAATCCTTCAGAAAATAGTACAGAAGACAATCTTTGTGGCAGCTGGGGTTGAGAGCACTTCCCTGGTAAATGAGCTCTGGATGGAGCATTAACAGCAATAGCTACAGTCACATAGCTGGGAAGCAGAGGAGGAAAAAAGGCAGCGCATTTCTGCCGACTGGTTCAAAACCAGTTTTGGTCTGTCTCCTAAAGTCCCAAATGTTTTTAACCACTAAGTAACATATGCACTGGGTTTATAGTTTTTACCTACTTTATCTCATTGAGTTGGAGTTTTCCCCCAACAGAGTACAGTACATATCTGCCCATTTTTATGGAGAAGGAAATGGAGGTTCTCAGAGTCTGAATCTAAGATCCCATGGTCAGTGATTGGTACAGCTAGGATGCACACCCAGGTCTTCTGGCTCTCTCTCTTTGCTGTTATCTAACTGAGAAATTTGGGCAAAATAGAGTAAAGGTCTTGACATCAGGGATAACTAAAGCACCAAGGTCATTTTCTACATCAAAACACTTTAGTGAAGCAGCTAAATCCGATGATGTCCTCTTTAGCTTTGGCCTTCTCTCACTGTGTGCTGTTTGGAGAACTCTGTTATGTTGCTCTGGCCTTTAACTCAGGCTCAGTCTTCCGAAATGAGCTGCTGCCGGTTAGGAGCATGTTTTATCACGTCCCTGTTGCATCAAATCCCAGCCACTGCTTTGCTTGAAGGTAATCTTGATATCACCCTAACTGTCCAACTCCAAATCCTAGATGCCCATAATTTCCCTTACAGGCTCTGCCTAATAGACAGATGCATATGCTTTATATCTTCCTCCACTTACCCACAAATAGATGGACTGAAAAGGAGCAGAGACATCGGAGACAAAATTTCATTTGTAAGAAGTAATGGCTCTATCAACATGGGCAAGCCCTTTAATTTCTGAGTTTATTTTTCTGTAAAATTAGTAGCCCATTTTCTACTTCCTAGGGTTGTTATATAGGTTAGAAGCAATATATTTAAAATACCAAGCACATGGCAGGTGTGCAACAAATGATAGCTATTTTTATGCAACAGATACACCTGCACAGGAGCCAAATTCACATGGGTGCCTGCTAAGTAAGCTTCCAACACTCCAGCCTTGGAAAGCAGTAGCTTCTCATTGAGTTTAACACATTTGACATGCCACTCAGACAAATCTCTTGCCTACCTCTACCCTCTACCCCCAGCCTCTCCCCGTGACCACTGTCTTCATGTCTCAAGCTTCCCTTGTTCAGAATGCCCTGCTCTGGTGACACTACTGCCATTCGTGCGTGCCCCAGCTTTATGGCAATTCCTCCATGAAGCCTTCCCACAGGAAGGTCAGGGTCTCTGTGGCCCACAAGTTAAGTGACCTGCCCTGACATGCGACCTCTGGGAAGATTCTCTATTTCTTAATATTTCTGAGAAATGACATTCTGGAGAGGGTCTCTGATATTTTTCACCTTCTTTTGTGATTTGTGATGTCAACATTTTCCATTTCTGGACTATTTCCCTGGAGTGAGCAAGAATCCTTTCTTCTGAAAAAAATGACTTGAAGTCAGGATTACTTTTTTATTTTTTTATTATTAATTTATCTTTTTTTTTTTTTTTTTTTTTTGAGATGGAGTCTTGCTCTGTTGCCCAGGCTGGAGTGCAGTGGCATCATCTCGGCCCCCTGCAACCTCCACCTGCCAGGTTCAAGTGGTTCTCTTGCCTCAGTGTCCTGAGTAGCTGGGATTACAGGCACTCGCCACCATGCCTGGCACATTTTTGTATTTTTAGTAGAGATGGGGTTTCACCATGTTGGTCAGGCTGGTCTTGAACTCCTGACCTCGTGATTCACCTGTCTTGGCCTCCCAAAGTGCTGGGATTACAGGCGTGAGCCACTACACCCGGCCAGGACCACTTTTTAAATCTCAGTTTCCTCTTCTCTATAAGGGGGCTAGTTGATTTCTCTCAGGAATGTTGCTGAACTGAATGCCAAACCATGGAACACATTCCCCCACCCATTCTATACACAGCTAAATGTCTTTGCCTTTGTACTCCAAGACCCTCTGTACTTTTATTAAAGTCCAGAACAAACAGTTAATGACTACTGGTTCCTGTTGTATTTTCTTTTTATATTCTTGAGGACTCAATACCATGTTGAGCATGTGGTAGGGGATCAAAAAAGTAAAATTTTAATGAATAATGGTGACCTGTGACACCACCCCTGTAAGCAGCAGGCACGCTAGGCATCGGCCTCTCCTGCCCTCCATCTCCTTTCAGTTGGGTAAGCCTCCAAGCACAGAAGGAGTAAAGCACCCTGTGCTCAGAGGCATGTCACTTTTCCTAAACTTGCAAACCTTCAGGTTGTGAGCTGATAACCAAATGGTGTTAAAAGGATTTCAACCCTATCTGATTCCAGGAGGAAGGGAAAGGGAAGGGGCTGTTCTGACTCTGGAGTGTCAAGTGTGTGAATATTCCAAATCTAATAGCTGAGGCTTGGTTCAGTTGTTCTCACTTGCCTCTCTGGAAGGACCCACCTAGATCCCCCAGGCTGCTCCCGGGCCGGGGTGGTCTGGACAGGAGACCCACCCCTTCCACTGACACCTGTCTCTGTTAATGGAATTGGTAGAAGGCATGTTTTGGAGGGACCGGGTGCTATTAGGCTCCTGAGTCACTGCATTTTGGCCCTGTAAGGACAGCCCAGGGTCTACTACAGGGCCTCCTTTGAATTTGACAGTGCTTGGTGAGATCTAGCAATAAATACCTTGGGTAAGTCTGGAGTGATGGTTTCTTACACAGTGTACCTTCTCAATGACTGGCTGGGGTTGTACCAAAAATGAATGAACAGATAGTGCCACTAGGACCTCTGATCCCTTGCTCATGGTAGACTCATTTGAACATTCCTTTAGCCACGACTCTGCACCCCCAAATGAAAACATATTGAATTTACATTCACTGATCATTTTACACTGGACCACCGCCTCCATCGACTATGCCAGTCCCAGCAGCTAGATTATATTCCATGTGCTGGTCCTGTCTTCCTCCACTCCTCCCCGCTGCCTCTTGCATCCACAGTTCATGCTTCTACCAGACCATCCCTGTCAGGGGACAGGAATTTACAGGCAGTTTGCAAAGAGCATCTTCTTCAGTCAGAGACTCTCATTGCAGTTTCCTTTCAGTCACCATATTCCTGAACAGGCTTGGAAACTTGACTTAACCTTGCTGGGCCCTCTTATTTCTTCAGCTCTTCAAGGAGTATGGTAAAAGCAAGATCCAACGATGTGCTGCAGAGGGAGGCTCTCTGCCTATTGAAAAGTACCATGTCCACCAGGGGCCTGCTGTAAATATTTCTGCTACTTCCTCTGGGGGAGATGATGGCTTAATGACAACTTCAATGGATTCTAAAGAGGAAGGCATCCTCTCTGCTCTCTGTTCATGATATGGGGTGGGGCATAGGCCATGCTAAGGTCAGGTCAGGCTGGAGCTGCTGAAACGTACCAAGGTGACTCACTTCCCTGATAACACTGCTGAGAAAAATGCAGGCTTCTTCTTGCCCTTCCTGTATCTGGGACACACCTCTTAGGATGGAAGATATTTGGCACCTGGGAAGAAATGTTAAGTCAGGTCAGGAAGAACTGGCTCTGAGTCTGGGCTTTTCCTTTTGAGTTCAGAAAGAGTTGGGTAAAAACTAAATACATAAATAACCTGTGCTTTGGCTCTGAGTAGCCTCTAAGCCTGAGTTTATAGTCAATGTGACCTTGGGCAAGTTTCTCATGTTCTCTGGGCCTAATTCCTCCTCTTTGAAATTTCCATAATAATATCTGCATCCTGGGGTTGCTTGGAGAAATTTCAATGAGTTCTTAAGTGTAGGAGATGATTAATAACGTCCATTTCTGTCATTTTCCTGCGGTATAAACCATGTCAGGAAGCCGGTTTATTTTGCTTGTTTGTATTTTCTCTTTTACTGTAATGAATGTTTTATTTTTATTAAAATCCAATGGGTTTAATTCTGTAAAAGGCTGACTGCATGAAGAATGCATGAAAAAACTGAGGATAAGAAGGGTTTATGTGACCATCTCCAACAAGCTGGCTGCTCAGGGGCAGAAGTAAAACTGAACTCCAGCCACTCCTCTGGGGGCAGGTACAGTGGTTCTCTTAGGTGCTACCTTCAACTCTGCCCTTTTCTCTTTTTAACTTCAACACTTGGGAACTTACTTTTTCTTTCACATTCAGGACTCCAAATTTAGAGTTGATTTTGAAACATACACATATTTATGTCTCAGTGCATATGGAATATATGTCTATAATGCCAATGTGTCTTTCAGGAAGTAAGCAGACTTTCAGACTAAGCAAAAGACTACTACCCTTTTAGTCAGCCTTTCACAGAACCGACAGGATGAAGACACGCATAGATTTCGCAGTTTCTCTTTTCTATTCTAATTGGCTTTCTGGAGGCCAGCTGCCACCTGGGGCAAAGTATCCAGGTCCAAGATCATTCTGAAGGCCAAGGGTTTAATCCTCTTTATTATAACTGCTGAGATCAGAAGCATGTGCAAATATTCTTTGAGGTCAAGATGGATCCCAAGAGACCTCTAGCCAGTCACTAACTGCTTCTCCATCCTGAATATTGCTTTGTTTACTTGAAGTTTACACATGGGAATGAGTAAAACTGTGACCTCCAAAAATGACAAGGAATCGCCGAGGAGATAAATCTTACAATCCAAGTAAAAATAAATCTGATGATCACAATGAGACATTAAAAATTAAAAAGAGCAATGCAGAAAGGAGAGGGGAGAGAGAGGATTGTAATAGCCATGAAAAACATGTTTTTTTAAGTAACAAAAGAATTTAGATTTTGCAATGATTGCAACACAGACAGCTATTTTGAGTTGGGGGCAAGTTAATTATATTCAAAAAAACATAGCGTCTCCAGAAAAAATCTTTTTTTTTTTTTCAGTGAAATAGTTTAGTTCCTTCATATAGAGACATATTACACAATGTTAACAACCATGAAAAACAATACAAAATGCCCTCCATTTAACAAGTAGAAAAATATAACTAGTATATATGGCAATTGTGAATCTAATACTGTACAGAAGTACTTTATGGATTTTACAAATAAATTATACCTTAAATGCTTTTTTAAAATTCTTTTTCCCCTCAGATGTACACCAGAACTTACAGTAGGAAAGTTTCTGAGCTTAGCTTATTGCAAATCAGTGCCAGTCAAATGTTCTGCCAACAAGCTCGAAGAACTTCTTATTTGGCTCATGAAAATATTCGTGCAGTTTATTGAGTAGTTTGGGATCGACTTGGGGGTGCGCCCGGCCTTTGGACTCATGTAAGCAGCGGTCCCGGCCGCTGTCCCGCAGGCAGTAAAAGCCCTTGGTTTTGTTAAAGTAGAAGTTCGAAGCATTGATCTGCGGCGACAGCTTTAGGAACCTCTCGACCTTTTGGATCTCAGGGAAGGGGTCCCTGATGAGGCGGTCGCCGTCCACAATGTGGATGTGGCGCAGCGGGAAAAAGCGCAGCCAGTTCTGCATGTGCACGTGGTAGAGGCTGCGGTTGAGGGCCTTGTAGTCCACATTGAGCCTGCCATCGCGCACCAGGAACTCCTCGATGGACGGGTAGGGCTTGTGCTTCTGCATGTGGTTGTAGAACACTTGGGTGTAGTCAGATAGCACGCGCTCCGACGGGTCTCGCAGGATGAGCAGCAGCCGGATGGACGGGTTCATGCTGTAGACTCGCTCAGGCACTTTGGGCGACGTGAAATACGCGGGGGTCTTCTCCACTGTGAGCTGGTGTGGCCAGGAGAAGGGCATCTGGCTGAGGTACCAGCCCAAGCCGTGGCTGTAATGCTCCTCCCAGTCGAAGAAGTGGACCTCGTTCTCCGCGGCCGCCACGTCGGGGTGCAGGCTGAGCATCTCCAGCAGTGCGCGCGTGCCGCCCTTGCGCACGCCGATGATGATGGTCTGCGGCAACTGCTGGGCAGAGCCGTTTGGGGCCACGCCATCGCGGACGTCATCCTGGAGGGTCCCCGCTTTCCGCAGAAGCTCCTGCTGGCCTAGCTCGGCGGGGCGGGAAGGCACTAGCTGGGGCTGGGCCACCAGCAGCACCGCGCCCAGGAGCAGCGCGGCCATGCTGGACACCACGGTGGCTTCACTGGGCCGCGCGCCGCTGGGTCATGAAGTGCCGCAGCAGGGAAGCCTCCTAGTCAGTGGCACATGGGCGTTTCAGGCCTTCAATTACTAGGGAACAAAAAGGGAAGATATTAACATATAACAAATACAGGGATAATTCAACTAACAACTCTGTAGCCACTCTGTAGTGAGGCCTATATTCACCTCCCCAGGACTCTCAGTTTCTTATCCTATACAGGAGCCGATGGCAAACATTTTCTGCAAAAGTCCAGAGAATAAGTATTTTAGGCTTTAGGGGACATACTTTATGCCAACTCCAACTCCAACCGTGCTATTATAGATGAAATGCAGCCATAGACAACACACAAGGGAATGGGTGTGGTTGTGTTCCAAGAACACTCTATTTATGGGCACTGAGTGAATTTCATATAATTTTCACGTGTCATTAAATATTATTTTCCTTCTTACTATTGTTATTTTTTGCAATCATTTTATATGTTTAGCTGGCTGCATACAACCAGGCCAGGTTTGCCTCCCTAGTCAGAGCATGCTAACCCTTGCTATAAAGGAAAGGGTTGGGAAGACCCTTTGGAACTCAGCAAAAATCAATAAAATATCTACTACTCACCAGTCCCTGGCAAAGGGGCAGGTGATATAGAAGCAGGCTTTGTTCCTGCCCCCACTCTTCCAGCCAGGGGCTCCTAATCTAACAGAGCATGTGAATTAGTATGAAAGATTGCATGATTAGTCCCAATTCTTCACCTTGTGTCCAACTCTTGAATTGGCCTTGCTACTAGCATATGAGCAGATGTGACAACGTATCAGTCCCCAGCCTGGCTGCAAGAGGCCTTGTGTGTTTTTGCTCACCCTCTTTCACTATTGGCTTTGCCATGAGAAGAATATGCCCTGGCTAGCCCATGGTCCCAGAGGGAGGATGAAAGACACACAGAGCCATCCCAGCTCATGAGTGAAGATGCATGATTGTGGTTTTAAGCCCCTGAGTTTTGGAGTGGTTTGTATTGCAGCGGGAAATTGGCAAAAGTTAATTGACGCAGCCTGACTGTAGGCATCAGGGAGATATATGTTATGATTGTAATTTTGGTAGGGTACTATGAAGACACATGTTCATTCATTTTGCCTAAAATAATTGGGGATGGTTTCACAGTGGAGGAAACATTTGAAATAGGCCTGGAGGGATAAACAAGTGAAATTACTACAAAGTGCAAAAAAGCCTTCATTTGTACAAAGCTTTACTATTGATAATGTGGTCTCATACTATATTCAGCTATTGTCACTACAACCCTACACTGTAAGGTAGGAAGGCAAGGCAGATGTCACCGCCATTTTTTTTTTTTTTTTATGGAGTTTTGCTCTTGTTGCTCAGGCTGGAGTGCAATGGTGTGATCTCAGCTCACCGCAACCTCCGCCTCCCCGGTTCAAGTGATTTTCCTGCCTCAGTCTCCCGAGTAGCTGAGATTACAGGCATGTGCCACCACGCCCAGCTAATTTTGTATTTTTAATAGAGATGGGCTTTCTCTATGTTGGTCAGGCTGGTCTCGAAATCCCACCCTCAGGTGATCTGCCTGCCTCGGCCTCCCAAAGTGCTGGGATTACAGGCATGAGCCACTGCGCCTGGCCTGTCACCACCATTTTATAGAGGGTAGTCTTGTCTAAGGACACAATTCTATTAGTCTATTTCAAAATTTAGAGCCCAAATTGAAAACTCTAAACTCAGTGTTCTTTATCCACAAACCACATCTTTTCCACAAAACTTCTCCTCTTTACCTATTTAAGATTTATAACATTTAGGCAGTAAAGGACACAGGAACTGCTGGCCTAGATGCTGTGGGGTTCCACAAGACAGACCAGTCAAGGGTTTATGTTTTCAAGGAGCTGATACTCATCAGTCTGTGTTTCACGCTATCCCCTAAAGAGGAGATTAGTTGCTTTCACTTGAGTCATCTCTGTTAAAACACATTAAGGGAAGCGTAAGAGACAGGCCTGGCTTGGGGACTGAGGGATTTACAAAGCTAGTAAAAATATTCTCCATCAAGAGGACTCATCATCTTTTGTACGGTAGTTTCAAAATTTACTTCATTAGTTTAAAACTTGTCCAGAATGAATAAAGGAAGAACAAATTCCAGGACATCCATTTTTATGATCAACCAGCTAATCTACCTTTCTCAGATATTGTTATCTTCTTTGAAAAACATATTAAAGAGCAAGTAATCAAATAGATGGAAGGTTTTAGAGAACCACAGTGCACTGGAGAAGGGACCTGAGAGATCAGTGATGTAACTCTTTAAGAAAAAATCAAGAATGCTTTAGAAAGGATAGCCAAGAACGATGAGGTTTCAGGTTGGTTCTACCGATTGGTGAACTAAATTTAACAGGCCAATTTTTTTAGTCAAGTGATGGTTTCAGGGTGTTTCAGCTGAATTTCATTTCCTTCTCAAGTCACCTATGTGGTTCGACCAAATGTACCAATTGTGCTTGGCTCTTACATGTTTGAGATGTGAGAATGTATGCAATTGTATGTGCATGCTTGAGTGTGTCTGTATGTGTATGCATGCATGTGTGTGTGTGTGTGCAGGTATAACAGGTAGGTCAAGTGAGAGAGGGACTAACTACTACCCTTTAGAGAGCTATACTGTGTGTTGGTCACTGCTATCACCATCTTATAGTTCCATGTTCAGACTCAGGGAACAACACATTCATATTATTTGATACCTAAGTGTAGAGGCAGAGGCCAGATCTGAAATTCATATTATCTGACTGTTTATGCTCCTTCAACTCTAACCTGAGGCATCCTGGTTAGTGTAGTGTACATCTGAGGTTTCTTTCCTGAAGGAGAATTACCAGCAGACAGTAGAGAAGAAACTAAATATAGTTTGTCCTTTATGAAAGAAAATAACAACAACGTATTGGGAAGTTAAGTAGCTTATAAGCTCCTTGTTTGTATTTTAATCCTTTCTAAAAATGTATTTACTTATGTCTAGACCTTTTTCATTCAAAAATATTTGAGGCTAATAGAGAAAGAAATTAGCTAATGTCTTATATACACATATGCAAGTATATACGCACACATATACATACACACATACTATATATAGCATATATATCATGTGTATACCCCATGTGTATCTTTTATGTGTATATGTAAAAATGTGTATAAGTACATATGTGTTTGTGTGTGTAAATGTATGCACACATATATTCATAGCTAAATATAGTATAACCTGTTTTATATTACATACACACTGTGGGCATTGGGAGCCAACTTCCTCTTGTGGTTTTGTAATTTGGACTTCCCAGTGGCACAGAAAGGATTTCTGGTCCTTTTTGTAACACTCTCAGAAACAAAAAGATTCCCAAGCTCAGGTGAACCTGTAAGCCATTCCTGTGTGCCACCTTGATCTTGACAATGAAGTTATAAACATCAGGGAAGAAGGGAGTCACTTAGTCCCTGCCTTTCACACCCCAAGATGACTTGCCCAGTGTCACATAGTAAATCTGTTCCTAGGACTTTTGGCTCCAGAAGTCCAGTTCTGTAGTCTAGTTGCTGTTACTACTGTCTTCCGAGTAAGTGGTTGTAATGTAAAATAATGACAATATTTTTGGGATTCCATAGAAGAAAAACCCAACAAAATCTACCCAGCAATGACAACTCCCTGGCCACCAACTTCCAGTGTCAGCTGACACACAGGGTATGTGTAGTACAGGGTCAAACTTGCTCATTTGTTCTGTTCAGTAGAAGGGTCCAAATGAATTGCACAGGCCCTGGAGTCAGGATTCCTGTCTCTAGTTTGGACCTTGGTCAAAGTGACTTAACCTCTCTTAGCTTCAGTTTCCTCATCTGTAAAATGGTAATAATTCCACCTGCTTCAAATGATTACTTTGAGACTGAAATGAAACAATGTGTGTCAGGACTGTCCAATATAAATATATTGTGTATAACATATGCATTCAGACATTTTAAAACATATATTCTACATAGCTTAATAGATCTAAAGTGTTATCACTCTAACCTATAATCACTATATAATTTTTCTTTTTTGAGACAGAGTCTTCCTCTGTCGCCCAGGCTGGAGTGCAGTGACATGATCTCAGCTCACTGTGACCTCTGCATTCTGGGTTCAAGTAGTTCTTGTGCCTCAGCTTCCCAAGTAGCTGGGACCACAGGTGTGTGCCACCACAGCTGGCTAATTTTTGTATTATAATTTTAGTAGAGATGGGGTTTCGCCATGTTGGTCAGACTGGTCTCGAACTCCTGACCTCAAGTGATCCACCTGTTTCGGTCTCCCAAAGTGCTTGGATTCCAGGTGTGAGCCACCATACCTGGCCTAATCACTATATAAAATTAATGAAATATTTTGCATTTTTTTCTACCCAGTCTTCAAAATCCAAGTGCATATATATTTCCTGTGTAGCACATCTCAAGGACACATATGGCTGGTGGCAATTGAGTTAGAGAGCACAGAGATAGATAGCACTGGGCATGTTTGCAATTCTTAATCTGAGAGGTCTTTAAGTGTGGAACACACTCTCCTGAAAGCAAGATTCTCTACGCACTCACAGATTAGGAGCTTCCTGAACAGGAGAAGAACCAGGAAGGCAGGTTTGAACCTGCAGGCAGCACAAAGGCAAATTCGATCTTCTCCCTCAAGAAACAAACCAGGTAAAAGTAAACAAATGGGACCTTTTGACAGTTGAAGCACTTGGCTGATGTGGGCATGGATACAGAATTCTCTATAGCACCTGGAGCTGAGGCCACATCCTTGGCAAAAGCAATGATTGCAGCTCCCATCTGCAGCAATTGCTACTGAGCAGGCACTAGACTGGCAACTTTCCACACAGGGCTTGCTGTAATCCTCACTGCAAGTCCTCAAGGTAAGTGATGTTTTTATTTTAAAAAGTGAGGTTCAGAGAAATGAAGTCTTGTGTCTAGAAAGTTAGAGGAGGTGAAAGGATTCAAACTCAGTCTAAACAAAGCCAGGAACTTCACTGTCACTTTCACTTTTCTTGGCAATGTCTGGAGTTAGTGAGCAAGTTATTAATGAACTTGGCTCTACTTCTTTGGTCCTGTTGAATAGTTGTGCCTTGCACCAATTCTTTGATGAAGGACAGAATTTCTGTGAAGGCCCAGACTTGCTAAGATGGGCAAAATGAACCTCCGATGGGTTAATAGGTCCCAAAGGGAGACCCAGCTACCCCTCCATTTACTTCCCTTTATCAGGGAGGCTGTTTTCTGGGTGTTATGGTGAAAACCCAAGGCCTGAGTTTCATGAATTGAAAAGATTAAGGTCCTTCCTATCAGCAACAGTAAGCTTCCTCGAGTCCCACTGTGAAGACAGTAGCCACATGCCAGGCATGGGAAACCCAAGGGAGATTCCACAGAATCTTCCAGATGGAGGCTTCCCTTGCACTTGGAATTAAATCTAAACTCCTTTCCAAGGAGGCCTTTCCTGCAAATGGAGGTCTTGCCTTGCTCTACTCTGTCCCCTCGGGCCTGGCATGATTTCTGGTATATAGCACATACTAGACATTTTGTTTGCTGAATGAACTTGTCAAATGCAGTAGACAGGCAAATAGCTGGAAGGTACTGGGAACATATTTTAACACAGTAGGAAGAGAAACTTTAAGGGTTTGAAACTTCTGTCTCTAGAGAGTCAAGCAGAAACCAGATGTTGAAAGGGGGACTCAGCATTTCTAATCGTGATTGGGCGACATCACCTGAGAGCCTAGAAAATATTTGGATTAAAAAAGAGGGGAAGCAATGAAATAACCCTTCAAAAATATTTTCATTTTCTCCTTATGTCTCCTTATTACATAATTCACATCATGACCTAGATTTCAAATGTAATTAACTGTAATATATTCTCTCAGTCCCACTACTGGAACATATTCATAGATGAAATGAAATAACTAGGATATTTCACAAGAGGTACATTTAATGAATCTGGAACAGCGATGCCTGCCATCTGTCTGTCTGCAGGACACCTTCACAGCCCCTCAATGAGAGATGGTGACACACTGTCACAGGCAGGAATCTCCTCTAGGGTAGCAGGGATGATCAAAGCATACAACCACAATTCACTTATGGGATTTAACAAAAGGGTTAGAAGGAAAGAGATTACCTGCTGAGCACTCACTGGGTGCCAGGTGGTAAGCACTTGGGTATAAATTATTTCTTCTAATACTTGCAACAATACAAGAGGTGGTTGTTCTCATTTTATTTTATATTTTTAAGCAATAAAAAGGTGGTGGGGAGTAGTAGATGAGCAAAGAATCTTTTGCAATCAGGTAAATCCAAGCTAGAATTCTTACTGCTAACTGACCTCAGTAAATGTCTAACCTCTCTGGGTCTCCACATTCCCCTCTGCAAATATGAGCTTAAATCTACTTGATAGGGGTGTCATCATAATTAAATAAGATGACCCATGCCAAATACACGGCACAGTGTCTGGCACACAGTTATTCAACAAATGTTAATGGCCTGCCTTTCATATTCATATCTGCCATGACAGAAATGGATACATGCTGTTAAGGTTAAATGACCTCCTCAAGGTCACAGAACCAGGAAATATCAAAACTAAAATATTCCACTGGCCATCCTCAAAGCCCACGGTGTGCTTTTGTCCCCTTTGAATGGTGATGCTTCCCCTTGGGCAGTGGGGAGTGCATTCCAGGCAAGGGAGAGCTTACTTAAAACCACAATGAGATAGAAGTGTGAGATTTATTATACTGTTATGCGAGAACTGCTTCTTTCCAAGAATCCCATGGTGTTGAGTGATTTAATTTTCTGGAACGTACTGAAACATGAGAAACACAGGTTGAACAACAAAACTGTCTTTTTTTTTTTTAATCTACCAAACTTCTGGGCAATCAAAAGTATAAGATTATTTTTTCATTGTTAAGAACGAAACATGTCTTCACTTTCATCTTTGCATAGCTATGGAAGAGCACCTCACAGTGGTGTCAGATTTTCATCCTTGGCAGGTCATTTTAGAAACAATGAAATTGGAAATACGTTTAGTTTGTGCCTGTCAGCCTATGAGAGGACAGTGATATTTCAAGACCTACATAAATATTTATTTTCTTGAAATTGCCTATACATGTCAATCTTCAACAAATGTTGACATTCACTTTTGTTTGGATTTCCTTATGGTAATTGCTGTGAGGTGGGATGGGGTGAAAAGAGTTTAGGGTAGAAAGGACCGTAAGTCAGGCCACATAATGTTAATAAGCTTCCTTGGACCACATTTACTATGCAGTGGGGGATAAGTTACAGTAATTGGCCCCACTTTTTCCTTGAAAAAGAGGAGGACTATTCGAATATCTCCTCCTCTAGCCTTCTGTGCTTCCTTGAATCCTCTGCATGTCTGAGAGGTGCCATATTTACAAACGTTTAACTGGATAATAAATTGAATTCTCTGAAATTGAAGGAAGGAGATGCTTTGGCAAGCCAAGGGAGGCAGCTTGGTGTAGTCACTGGGATAAGGATTCCCATCTTGGTGTTATTTGTGAGCCTCTAAGTGCTCCTTGATAAAATGAGAATGATAAATGCAACCTGTCCCATAGGTGGTCTGAAGTCAACCCACACAACATTATTGTCCAGATCAGGTGAAGGATTATGGCCCAAGGATCTGGATAAAAAATTCGCATGAGAGGTAACTAAAGATTTCCTCCTGGGAGGGACTTGTGGCTGCAAGTTACAGTCATCAGGCATAGTGCTTTCCAAACATGCATATGCACGCAAGTCACTTGGAAAGCCAGTTACAAATGCAGATTCTAATGCAAGAGGCCTGAGCAGAGGCCTGGGATTCTGTATTCCTCATAAATTCCCAGAGGAGCTGATGTAACCCTCGATAGTCTTTGGCATGGCTAGGACCCTGTGAGCTTAGAATGTGGGTGCCAATTCAGATTCTGATACTCTTGGCCTGGGGCAGAGATGGGCAATGTCTTTTGTTTTTTATTTGTTTGTTTCCTACTGTTGTTGGGGTAGTATATTTTTAATTCCAGGACTGAAAACAATTGTGGTAGACAAAATAGACAGGGATTATTTTGTCTGCTGAGTTTGTATTTTGGGAGGCGGGAGATGGAGGAAAGATGCTGGGAATTAACAGGATTTAGAGCCAAAAACCCAGTCTCAAATCTTAGCTCTGTAACTTGAAATCTGCAAGACAGCCCTGAAACTCAGAGCTTGAGATTGAATGTCTTGGCCCTACATATTTACTGTGAGGATTAAATAAAAAAGTACATGTGGCATGCTTAGGGCATTGCCATACTGACTGGCCTGTGGTAAGCTCTCAAATCATGGTAGCTATTTTTGTCCCTTAAAAAAAAAATGTTGGGTGGTATAAATGGGATCCTGGGATGATAATTAGTCAAACACATTTGTTCATGATGCAAAGTACTGCAGTGACTCAACCAGACAGAAGCTCAAAGAAGAAAGGACAGTGACACATAGAAATAATTTAGCTCTCTGTAGAAGGGCACGCAGTGGCTGTGGGTCCTTCATAAAGGGCTCCTGAACGAATGATGAGCAGCCAGGTGTGTGCAGTGGTGAGGCAGGCCCCAGTGAAGGAAGAGGAGAAGTTACTTCTCAACATGTTTAATCTGCATTGCTGTGCACAGAAGGCAGCAGTGACCTAAATAAATCCTTCATTAGAAGCAGAAACACACTGGCTCAGGCACTGTGCAGCAGAGCTCCGTGACAGGAGGGCGGACAGACGGGGCTTCTCTTATTACTCAGTGCAACTGAGTGGAAGAGGAGCCCCATAGCAGACAGGAGACAGGACCTGGGCTGCCTTGGGCCCACAGTGGGGTGCATGGCTTCAGCCCCTGCTCCAGGTATGACTGAGCCTCTGAGAGGTGCCATCTTAGCTGAAGAAGCTCCCCTGGCTGGGGTGGACAGTCATCTGTCACCCTGCAGATGGTGAGTACCCACAAATCTTTTATGTTAACCCAGAAGTGGTCAGGAAAGACACACAAGGCATCAGAGGCAAAATAGCCATGTGCCATCATCTTGTTCTGTCTTATCATTTTGCAGATAGACAAACTGAGGTAAGCAGAGAACAAGAACCCCAAGGTCAGGCCTGCAGGGACTGAACTGACTCAGAAACATGGGTCTCCCAATTTGCATCTTACTAACCCCCAGACACATGGAAATCTGTCCTTTTTTGTTTGGGTAAGGAAGATTGGAATAATTCACAGCTGAAAATAAATTTATACAAACCAAAGTAAATTGTTTCCCCTGAAACAATTTGGACAAACAGGGAGAGATGATTTGTCTCATTTCTTGAGCCAGGTTGTTATGGACTGAATGTTTTTGTCCTCCCCAAATTCATAGGTTGAGACCCTAACCCTCAGTGTGATGGTATTTGGAGGTGGGGGCTTTAGATGATCGGATTTCCATAAGGTTGTAAGGGTGGGGCTCCATTCTGACAAGATTGGTGTCCTTATAAGAAGAGGAAGATAAAACAGAGCTCACTCTGTCTCTCTCTCTCATTCTCTCCACCATGTGAAGGCACAGGCAAAACGTGGCCCTCTGCGAGCAAGGAATGGGGTTTCATGAAGAACCACTTCTGCTGACACCTTGATCTTGAACTTCCAGCCTCCAGAGCTGTGAGAAATAAATATCTATTGTTTAAACCATCCATTGCAAGGTATTTGATGATAGCAGCCCTAGCTGACTAGTACATGGTCCTCAGAATAATTAGTAAAGCAAAACTGTTTGGCTGGGACTTCCTCCACTGTGTGTATTTCCAGGGGCAGCACTCAGATGCTTCCAGGTTTAGGCAAGTGACATCTATGTATGAAGCCAGCTGGCTGATGGGAGACGGTGGCAATCAGCTGTGTGTGTAGTTTGGCTAAAGAAGCAGGTGCTGCCAACTCTGGCAGATATTGTCAGAGACCAGGGACCAGAGTGGTCTGATCTTCACATTTCTCAAAACTCAACTATGGATATTTATGTGAAAAGTGCTGATTTTTAGGAATCTCATAAATGGATATAAGTTGCCAAGTAAAGTGAAGAAAAGGAAAAAATAAAAATAAAAAAGACTGAATGGCAAGTCTGCAAAGAGCAATGCCTAAGGTCTATGCTTTGCCCATAGGTGATCACTCAAACTCTTACAAGACATCTACGATGTTTCTAAAATTGTACTGAGTCCCTGGGGACACTGAAATAATCCCGTCCCTGTCCTCAAGGAGCACCTTATAATGTGGAAGATGCACGTGGAAGGAATGAATGACTAGACCTCAGAGTAGACATAGATCCAGCCGTGGAAACTCAAGAGCCCAGAGGAAAGAGATGGGAGCTGGCAGAGGGTCAGGGAGGGCCTCGAAGGACCTCACAGCAAAGATCATGTTCGAACACAATCTTGGAGAAAACTTGGCCATTGCTCAGAAGGAAGTCCCACGGAAGCATTCATTCAGGGCAGTAGGAGAAAAAGCCAAATGGGGTACAAGGAAAGCCTCAGCCTATGCTAAGATATGCTGTGGGGAGCACAGGCCATGGCAGGTGCTGGTGTGGATGAGGCTACAGGACCCACAGCTTGAGAGGCTGCAGTGTTCTCTCTAGAAATTTAGAAAGAGGGTAGAGGAGGCTGGGAGCGGTGGCTTATGCCTGTAATCCCAGCACTTTTGGGAGGCCAAGGCGGGTAGAACATGAGGTCAAGAGTTCAAGACCAGCCGGTCAAACATGGTGAAACCCTGTCTCTACTAAAAATACAAAAATTAGCCAGGCGTGGTGGCACACGCCTGTAATCCCAGCTACTCAGGAGGCTGAGGCAGGAGAATTGCTTGAACCTGGGAGGCAGAGTTTGCAGTGAGCCAAGATCACACCATGGCACTCCAGCCTGGGCAACAGAGCGAGACTCCATCTCAAAAAATAAATAAATAAATAAATAAATAAAAAAGTAGAGGAAAAATAGCCCTGGCATTGGGATGAAGCATATAGTCCTGAACTTAAATCTCAGCAGTGTCACTTCACTATGTACAGGCTCTGACT
Organism: Homo sapiens; assembly: GCF_000001405.40. Taxonomy (NCBI): domain Eukaryota; kingdom Metazoa; phylum Chordata; class Mammalia; order Primates; family Hominidae; genus Homo; species Homo sapiens. The sequence goes on from NC_000004.12 coordinate 11,411,017, forward strand.
TGAGAAAAGTTAATGGTGTAACTTGGAAACTTTTGTTCAGCTTTGGCCCAGGAACTTTTTACTATCTTTCTTTTTAGGTATGTGTGCTCTTGGTTTATCATGATCATTTGAAAACAAACATTTAAGAGAGTGCTTAGTATTGCCAGGCACCATGAAAAACACCAGGGATAGAGCAATGACAAAGCGGCATCCATGCCTGAAAGAGCTCAAGGGGAAAACTGGCATAGAAATAATATGAGTAGTATGCCCTAGTGGGTTTTGATTTTATATTGAAAAAACTGTTGCACTTCATATGATAGCACTAAATAAAGCAATAGTACATGGTTCTTTCCTCTGGCCCACATACATATACACACCACTGTGATTTCCATCTGTCCCTTACTTGAAATGTTTTTAAAGTGTCATTCAAGTTGAATATTTCATTATACTGATGCTTCAGGTTCTACAAGTAAATTAGTATCTCATTTGCCTCTAACTCAAGCTTTACTTTAAACAGGAGGTGCTGTTTAATCATCTTGCTAATCTTGAAATATTTAAATGCCATGTAATCTATCCAGAGAAACAACACCTAGATCGTGCACACCACACAGCCCCCTCTGTAATCTCTTGTTATCTCTTATTATAATTACACTATCTTCAGATTAAATGCACTGGTGTATGTCAAGTTAATCCATCAGTGGCCTGGTCATCTGTTCTTTCTGAATGTTGATGCAAAATGATTTACATTTTATATTTTTAAAATGTTATTTATTATTACTTAAGTAATGTCAGAAGGAGAAGTTCAGGAATCATCAAGATGAATTACAGGAGCTCGGAGTCGGGAGGCTGGTGATTAAGGGCCTGGGTTTGAATCCTGGCTGCACCCATACTGGCTCCATAGGACCAAGAGCAAGCCATGTGATCTCTATATGAATTTTCCCATCTGAAATATGGGGATGGTAACAGCACCAACCTCATGGGATTGTCATGGGGATCAAAGGAGGTGTGACTGTGTGAACTGTTAAAGAGTGGGGCTGGCATAGAAAACTCCCACCAAATTTCAGTTTTTGTAACCGTCAGACTTCCATATCCCAATAGCTGATAAAGCTTCTATTCAGGTAATCAATAATTCGGACACATAAGATGCATATCCACAAAGTCTTCTTTGCTCGAAAGGGCCAAAGCACCAGGGTAAATAGGGTGCTGAACTGGGAGATAGGAGCTGGGGTCTAGTCCCTGGTTCTGTCTTGACTTCCATGTGATGGTCAGCAAGACACAGGGATACTCTAAGCCTTGTTTACAGAGTGAAACGATTGGGTCGTAAATTCTAAGATAGTATAAGATCAATCTAAAACATGAATGCTTTAGAGGATTGAGAAACATACGGGTTGATCATGCATGGCTCTCTTGGAATCCAGAATTTCAAGAGAATTTTCCAAGAGCCACGGAATCCAAAATTCCTAGCCAAAGTGATTACTGTTAAAAATTAACCACAAAGTTTTGTCACCAATGTGGGCATCTAACATTTTATAGGTTAAAAGTAGCACCATATATCAAACTTCTAAGCTGCTGAGGTCTCCTTGATGGGGAGGGGGAAGAATACAGCCTTTAGTGGAAAAGAGGCTGTTTCCTTGGATAGGGTCTCTCAAACTGCACTTGCTGCTCTGATTCCACTCAGATCATACTTAGCACTCATTCAATGAATATTCATTGAACCCAGGACCTGATTGAGAGGTGGATCAGTTAGACTGAGAAATAATCTATGAAGAATGCTTAACCATTACTAGAATGAAACAAGGCAAAGAAGAAAGCATTATACTCCTACGGACTGAATGTTTGTGTCCTTACAAAATTAATATGTTAAAATCAAATCCCCATCATGATGGTATTGGAGGTGGGGCCCCTAGGAGGCAAGTAGGTCATGAGGGTGAAGACGTCATGAATGGTATTAGCGCCCTTCTAAGAAGAGGCCAGAAATCTGGCTTATTTTCTTTCTGCCATGTGGGGTACAAGGAGAATTCAGCAGGGGCTGCAACCCAGAAGAGGGCTCTCACCAGAACCCAAGCATGCTGGCATCCTGGCCTCAGACTTCCAGCCTGCAGAACTGTGAGAAGTCAGTTTCTGTTGTTCATAAGCCATCAGGCCTATGGTGCTTGGTCATAGTAGCCCTAATTAACTAAGATAAGTATTATATAAAAAGTTTATCAGTGACAATAAAGCATACCATTAGAAGAGAATCCTTCCAACCTGGGGCATGTGGTGGGATAAGATTTCCCTTATCCCCACACCAAACAGGCAGCTTAATCACCTTCTAGGCTGGAGGAAGGCAGTTTGCTCTAAGACTTCTGCTTGCTTAAATGAGGTATGGACGATTGGGAGTGAGTAGAATTGCTTAGGAAAAGAGCCGAGGACTGAGAACTGCCACAGGGGTCTAGTTTCCTGGTTTGTGCCACATATGACACTCAGCCTCTTCCGCCTCTTCCTTAGCAAATGGAGAAGCAAACTTTGTAAAGTATCAGGGTTTGAGAGTATCCACAATTCAGAGTCAAGGCCTAAATAAATGTACGGTGCATCAGGCACTAAGAAATTAGAGACACAGTTGACACCCACCCTGTCTCTTCCCTCAAACAACTTGGGACCATGCAGGGTATAGGGTGTGGAGAGGGAACAATAGGAGAGAAGGTACAAAACAAAACAAAAACAGCCATGATCACCTTAGGGTTAGGGCTGTGAGAGGGCTAAGGACAGGATGCTTGTGGGAAGAGCACAGAGGCTCATCGATAATGGACTGAGAGATCTACATGAAAACCATTTTGGTCTTATTCATACTTTATGAGATAAGAAGAAGGATAGCAGAGCTACAATTAGAAATAGATTGCTTTGTGTTTCAAAATTGAAAAAAAAACCATGTGAACATGAGTTATTGTCTGTTAATAACTGCATTCCTTCCTCTAAATCATAGTGAGAAAGAAGGAAAAACAAAGATATTGGCAGGAGAAATGAAGGACTAGCAGGAGGATGCATGAGATAGGCTTCTTTCCTTTCTTTTTTTTAAAGCATAAAACACTGGATCTTCCTGGACAGTCTTCCATCCCAAGTACTAACCAGGCCTGACCATGCTTAGCTTCTGCAGTCAGGCACTTGCAGGGCGGTATAGCTGCAGGCAAGAGAGCCTTTGCTATGTTGCTCTTTATTCTGTCATGTTCATTAGATTTGATGGGACCTCAGCAAGGTTCACTCATCAAGTCCTGGTTCCATCTCCTTTCAAGAGGGGCCTGTGGCATATAATTGTTGTGTCTCTCTTTGAGTGTGTGTGTGTGTGTATATATACATATACACGCGTGTGTGGTTGTTCCAATGATGAACTGAGTTTTCAAGACTTCCTGCTTCTCACAACCTTCTCAAGGTCATCAGCACATTAATGAAGGAAGCTATGCCTAGAGGTCCTGAAATGTTCTAGCCCATAGCATGGTACCATAAAGATGAGTTTTCAGAGGCGTCTAAAGAATAAAACTGACTGTGGCTTCCTTGGTGAAGTCAGTCCCATTGCTTTTCTACTTTAACAACCGTATTTACTTCCCCAACCAGCTAGCGTGAACACTCAGGCCTGGCTTTGTATTCCAGATTGATATCAAATCTAAACCAACAGATTCGTTAGTGTCCAACATGCCAAGGAAGATGAGTAGGCTTGGCCAAAGAACAGTAGCTCATGTTAAATAAGCTTTGGAAATTGTGTTGAGATTTCTGGATTGGTTTTTCACAGTTTTTCTTCAAATGCTTAGATTCATAGAGAGAATTTTAATACTGTGAGTCACTAAGTTGGAATCCAGGATTTCTTTCTACAATTATTATCCCCTTTCCTCACCCCCACAATGTAAGATTAGCAAATTCAGACACTGAAGAGGGTTAGATGTCATTTGCTCAGGTCACAGGTAACCAAGCCCAGAAATGTAAGAAGAAAATGAGGTCCCATCCCAAGGAACCCACTGTGTAAGGGGAAAGATGGATTTGGAAACAAACACTGCCAATCCAATGAGATGAAAGAAACTGTGGAATAGACATTATTTCATCAACATTAAGGAGGTTGGGATGAGGAAATTTGGAATATGCTTCATGGAGAAGGCACCTGAGGAAAGTTCAGGGGTCTGGTGAGGACAAAAACAAAGTTCAACACTTTGAACTAATGTCCAGGCTAAAGTATGTAAATAGGGAAACAGAGAAATAAATGGATGGGGCAGAAAGATCAAAGCAATCATGTTTAAATTATCTTGGGTTTGCATTCTGGGTTAGTTACATGCCCTTGAAGAAGCTATTTTTCACTCTGGGCCTAATTTCCCTATCTTGAAGAAAGGGACCAGTGCTTGTTTTCTTAGGTGGAATTAAGTAAAATATTATAGAAAAAACATTTTAGCCCACCTGACATATGATAGACTCACAATAAATAATTGCTCAATAGTATTCACTCAATCAATAATAGCTCAATGATATTAACTTGAAGAGAAAAGTGAAAGAAAAATATTAGTAATAACTTAGGTTTAACAACTATTTTTGTCTGCTTAAATAGTTGTCATAAGTAAAGAAAGAAACAACATTCTGAAAATTGATGAGTAAGAAAGAAACATTCTCCAGTGAAAGCAGAAAAATGCTGCTCTATTGATAGCTGTGCAGAGACAGATGACAAAGAAAAAGCAGAATAAAAAGCCTAAAGTGGCTCTTAATCTAGTGTTTTTAAAGGACAACTTATCATAAGATAATTAGCCTTTGTGCTGCCTTTAGCAGAGAACCTTAAGAACTAAAGCAAGAAAAAGGAGCAGGTGATGACAATCTTAAACCAAACACATGGGTTTGTCTAAATGAATAGGGCCCACTGGTCTATGTCACCAAATGACCCAATGACAATGCAGAGAGAGTGCTTCTGCGGAAATGTGTGCAGCTAAGGAGACTTGTGTGGGGGTGAGAAGCCGGCAGGAGCAGGCTGCTCCAGTACGCCTGGAAGTGTAAAAACATTCCTAGAACAGGTGCCTTCCTGGTTGGGGAAGGGCTGATGCACATAAGAACTCCCATGAGAGAGTTCAGGGAAGGGCAGAGTGCAGGTAGCATTGACCTTACCCAGGGGACATTTTCTCAGGTCACTTTAAACCCTTCATGAGATGACAAAGGACAGCTGCCAATCTGAACTCAGGCAATCCGAATGAAAAGATCTGCCTCCCCTCAAAGACTGATAATTCTGTTTATCATAGTGGTACTTTCACTTCCTAACAACCATGACCAAATGCCCCTCCTTTCATCGCCCCTCACCACATAAATCCATATTTCACTCAGGGATCAAGGACTTATACTCTGGACTAGGCACGAGAGGTGTGAAGGGGCATGAAGGGGCATGACCGTGGTTCTGTCCTGCTCTCTGGGAGCTGTCTCCTGAGGGATGCAGCCAAGTCAATGAGCAATGACAACAGTGCCACCTGCACAATGTGGAGAGCTCCAGGAGGACTGAAGAGGTGGTGCCTCGTTCAGGGTATGCCAGGTTAGGCTGAGATCAACACCTACATCTCTGTCCCTCCTCCCTTTGGCTGTTTGTCCCATGAGGGTTGGTGGCAGGACACTGCTCATTCGAGTCTCTCAGAGAGGCAGAAAGACGGAGCAGGTACTCTCCGGAGTAGTGCCAGTCACCAGGCTGGTGGGGAGGAGATCTGACACAAAGCATGGGCTGGCTCTTAAAGCTTCAGGCCAGGTGACCACACATCAGTTCCCCTTGCTTTTGCATGGCCCTGCTGAACTCCAACTAGGAAGGAAAGCATGTCCCATCAAGTGCCTGGAAGAGAGTGATCCAAGGCAAAAGGCACACATGCAGTGATTTACTATGGAGAGGGAGCAGTGTATTGGGACAGAGCTAGACAGCTCTTAAAGAATGATACAGTCTGAACCTGATAAGAAAAGGGAGAACGTACAAAAGTTCTACGCAGAGGAAACAGTATGCGTAGGGGTGTGAATGCTCACATTCCTGATTTATCTGGGAACAAAGGGTGGTCCTGAGGTCAGATTATGAGGTATGTATACAGAACAGAGAGTGGCTAATGATGAGGCTTAATAAATTAGAATGTGAGAGCCATCCTGCAGAACTTGAATTTTGGTACTACTTTCATTATTTAAAAAAACAAAAACTGAAAGGACAGCCAGCTTTCCAGCACCCACTATGTGTATTAAACATTCTAAGTTAATCAAATGCATTATAATTAAAATAATCAGTAAATGCATTATCATATTTAATCCTGGCTATTCTATGAAATGGAGGGCGTTATGTTCCATGGTTTTTCACTCCACAATTATTTCCTGGGTGACCACTGTCTGCCAGGCATTGGTTCAGATTAGAGACAGATTTTGGTGGGGGCGGCTCTAGACAAAGTCCCCATCCTCTTACAATTTCATCTATTAGACTAAATTAAATGTTAATAAATGAGTGTATGAAAAATACATAATTAAAAATCATGGAAGAATACCTGAAGTTTAGAGAGATTATTCACCTGCCCAAGGTGATATTGTGATGAAGTGATGTGGCTAGGACTTGATCTCTTCTTGCATCTAAAAGTCCTGCACTTAAACATTAATATTATGAGTAATGGAAATCCATGGAACATTCTGAATTATGGGACTGGGCAATAACCTAATTATATTCGTGTTTTACAAAGATTTCTCAGGTTAGCAAGAGAGATTAACATAGAGAAATATTGCAGATTGCAAATGGCTGTAAAAATGACAGAGCTGGGAAGGAAAAACAAAACAGAAGCCAGAAAGATATCAGATTTGTATTTTAGCTGAAGACGGCAGTAAAAGACAAGTGATGAAGCTGAGCAGGATCAATCTCCAATTGTAATATACAAACAGAAGTGTAATTGTTGCCCAAAGGCAAGAGGGATCAATTCAGAGTTACCATATTCGATTCATTTTCCTCTTTCACTGCTTCAAATGTCTTTGTGCCTCAGTTTCCTATTCTGTAATGATTTTGCCTGTGAGCCTGTGACCTAGTTTTTGGCCAAGAGGACACAAGGGGAAAATATTCTGGCATTTGAGAAAGATTTTCCTCTGTGATTAAAAGAGAGCCCCTCTCTTCTCAGCCCCTCTGCACCTTGCTCCCCTCCTACTTTAGAGCAGAGTGATGACATCGGCTGCTTTGGGACACTGTGGCACTTTAGCCACCTGGAGGGGAGGATCGGCCAGAAGGCAGAGGTGGACTGGAAGGCAATAAGCAGCTAGATCTATGATGACATTTGTAATCTGCTTTTCAATCAAAATCAGGCTTACCAGCAAGAAAAATAATCATTGCTATTAAGTGCAGCATTATAGACACTTAACTACATACCAGGCTCTCTAATGGGTGCTTTGCATACATTATGAAATGTGATTCTCACAACAAAAGTCCATAAGGAAATATAATTCTGTTTGACAGATAAGGCGACAAAGGTTCGATGAGGCAAAGTCATTTCCCTGTCATCAAATGCTTCAAATACTACACTCCCTTTTGGATCAGGGAATAGTCTCTCATACCCAGAGCCACCATGAATTTCAAACTGCGTGGCGAATGGAGCTCTGGCCCCAAGAATGATCCTGCATCACAGAATGACTGGTAACAATGTACTCATCACCCCAGAAAGGATCAGTTCCCATGGTGCAGGCAGGTGGGGCTTAGGGACAGGAGGAAGGCCAGGATACACCATGCAAACCAATAAACCAAACCAAACCCCCACACAGTGAGAGGACCACCAGGGGCACCATGGCCTGTCCCTCCACAAGATGGCACTCAGGTCCCTTGTCTTCAGTTTTCATCTGTGATGTTCAGCTGTCACAGAAACAGACTGGGGAGAAAGCACATGGCTCACTGCTCCTATCATGCTCCATATGCTTTCTAGTTGGAACACTACAGTTTCTATGTCTTTCCCTCAAGATCATGAGGTGTTGTGTTGGGGTCCTCAGAAGCTCTGCTGAGGCAGGGAGAGGGAGTGGCATGTACCACTCTCAGTGGTCTGGCTGCGTTGGGGTTTACTCAGGGGCTGCTGAAGACCACCCTGTCACAAAACATCACTGGACTTCTATGCTCTTCAAATCCTTTTTTCTGCTTGTCATGATTTTTCTTTTCTCTCTTGTCCTGTATTCTCTTCCCTTCTCTCTCCCTCTATCCATCTTGCCTTATCTCCCCACTTCTCTTCCTCTCCTTGTACTTTTTCTGCATCTTCCCCCTCACTGTTCCTTCCATATTTTGCTACATTGCTGCATCTCATTGGTTGGCCTAGAAAATGAATAACAGTGCTTGCTTGAATTATATAAATTAAGACTAAAGAAACAAAGGGCAAAAAACTGAGACACTCTCCCATGAATATGATGCATAAAATTTAGTTTGTGACACCGCATGTTCTCACTCCTAAGTGGGAGTTGAACAATGAGAACACATGGATATAGGGAGGGGAACAACACACACCGGGGCCTGTCGGAGGTTGGGGAGAGGGGAGGAGAGCATTATGACAAATAGCTGATGCATGCGGGGCTTGAAACCTAGATGACGGGTTGATGGGTGGAGCAAAACACCATGGCACACGTTTACCTATGTAACAAACCTACATGTTCTGCACTTGTATCCTGGAACTTAAAGTAAAACAAAATACAATAAAATTTTAAAAAAAGAAAAAGTAGGGGCCTTCTAGTAATAAAACGTATATGGTAGGGGCACATTTAACCCATTAAGAATATAATTTGAAAAAACAAATTAGTCTGTGGTCTTTGTGACAGGACGTTGAGTTTGCAATCCAGAGGCCTTCCTTGCTTTCCCTCATCATTAATGGCATCCTTTAAAAAAAAATTCTGACCGTGAACCAGACACCGTATAAGTGCATGACATAACTTATTAATTTAATGCACATGAAATAAAATCTGTGCTATAATTTTAATTAAGCCTATTTTGTGGAGGTGGAGCTGAGACGTTGAGCTGTAAAGTAGCTCACCTCTTATGGCATGGCTGCAAAGCAGCATAGCAGATTCTAACCAGATCTCTCTGGCTGGTTAAGCCTTCACACTAATCATACTGCTGTTCTACCTTCTTTCTGTCCCATATTTCATGTAAACACCCTGCTAGTTAGGAGCTCAGGTTAAATGAGGAGTCACTGATATTACACGCAACAGGAACTGGTTATTTTGGCATGAGCAGTACCTCACTATTGAAGAAAGCATGAAACTCTGCTTTGGAAAGACCACACGCAACAAAACTGTTGTTAATTTAGTTCCCCATCAGTCTATCACCTGAAATGGAAATGCAACATTTTCACAGCCCTCCTCAGAACGTCATGCTCCAGCAGTCGCAGGAGAGATCTCAGACTCAATTTATAATCTGTGTTCATCTATTTGGGGGGAGCGAGTCTGAAAAGCTCTCTAACAGTTTTATTAGCTTTTATTGCAGGAGCAATTTCAGGTGTGAGTTTTCAAAGCACAAAGTATCCCTTCAGTGTACTCAGTGGAACGCTGTGTGACGCTAGTCTTTCTAATTCCAGCCCTACAGTAACGAGCTTGGAGCAATGTTAGTATTTAATAAGGTTCTATCTTAGCGGAACGAACACTACGCTGGTGGCCTCACAGGGTTGAAATACCTTCTTCTTGAAGGGTGTTGAGAATAATCTGGCTTGTGCTTTGGTGACATAAGCAAGAATCAGACTCACTTCTTCAATGCCCAGAGTTCTGTTTTGCTCTACACTTCTTTTGGTCCTTTTAAGCAAAGAAATAAGCTTGCTTTTGTTTGATTGTTCTGTTGCTTAGCTCACCAAAGAAAACAGCCCTTCTCTTTCATCTTGGACCCTACTCCCTGGACAAGTCATTTCACCTTGAAGACAACACTGCTTTCTTTATCTTTCTATGGCACAAGAACTTTCAGAAAAGAATCGTTCAGAACTGCTACCAGGAGAATAGGGATGCTAATAAAATACAGGATGTCCAGTTAAATTGAAATTTTAGAGAAACATGACACATTTCTTACTTTTTAGTATCTGAGACATACTATACTAAAACATTATTTGTTGTCTGTCTGAAACTCAAATTGAATTAGGTGTTCCGTATTTGTATTTGCTAAATCTGGCAAATCTACACAAGGAAAAACACATTGAGCATTGTGCTAGGCACTATATATTGGCCATCTCCCTCAATCCTCACTAGAGTATGGAAAAAAACCGAGGCCCAGAAAAACCGTCTATTACTCAGAGTGACACAACTAGTGAGAACCAGGCCAGAAATTCAAACATACATGACTTCCAAAGTCATGCTCTTTCAACCACAAAATAGCTCCAAAATCTAATCTCAGAAATCTATAACCAACACCCTCCCCCTCCTTCCTACCCAGGACACTGGGAGAGATCTGGTTTTAGAAGTAATTCAAGTAAAGTGCAAGCCAGTTTTCCAGAGGAGGCTCCCAGCCCACTCTCATTCCCTGCCACACAAGTATGTATTTTTCGGAGCACAGCTAGGCAAGCTTGCTTTTCATTTCAGCTGCAGCCGAAATCACCTTTCTCTCACTGTATTTTAACTGCTGACACAGAACTTTGATTTACCCTCCTAAACTAAAGAGTGAAGACATTTACATAAAACAACCTACCACAGGGTGTACAAGTACTTCATCTGCAGGAATTCTAGTGGAAATTCGACAAGACATAAAATGCTGAAATAGAAGTTCTTGAGGGATGAAAGGAGATGTGAATGTTTCACATCTAAATGTATTTCTTTGCTTATAGAAAATGTGGACTACTCAGTTCTCCAGGGATTTAACAAATCTCCACCTTGAGCCTACTGCTCACAGCAGGTAGAGAATTTTGTCCCTGGATCCGGAGTCTGCCACCTTTACTCTGGGCATCTCTAAGAAAAGTTTCTTCACTTCTGGACCTCAGTTTCCTTAAATAGCAAATGAAGATGGTGAGAGCTCCCCTGCAGTCCTCGCAGGACTGGGTACGAGAGATAAAGGAGGCAGTGGGTATTGTCACATTATGTGAAAGTAAGGAATTATCTACTACATTCTTTTCATGCCAGAGTGCTTTTGCACAAGCAGACCAGGATCTATTCAGCAAAGCGCTTGTATTAATATGCCAGTTATTCAGCTGGACTGACCGTATTGGGAATCCCTAAAATAGACAAATGAGTTTTCAACAAAGGTTTGAGGGCTATGCAATTTTGACTACGTCTTATCATTCTTCTTTGGCTGTTCTCACCACATCTCTTTTCTTAAATATTTCTTCCACCATGAACCGCTTCCTAACTCCCCCAGACAGAAATGCCGCCTGTTTCTTCTTTTCTGAGCAATACACTGTTCTAGAAACTGGAGCAAACAGACACTGCCCCTGCTCTCCTGGAGCACATATTCTGGTGGGAGAGTGTGAGAAAGTAAGCAAATAAGCCAATCCAGTAACAAGGTGACTCCAGATAAACATACTTGCTACCTAATTATGTTACTGAAGAAATTATTACCATGAAAGAAAGAAGGTGATGAAAGGGAAATATTCTTGGGATGGTCCATCTCATGAGACAGGCAGAGACTCGGTTATTTATCTGACTCCCATACTAAACTGTAAATTCATCAATGACAAGAACTATTTCTTAATATCCTGCACAACTGCCTTGTGAACGACAATCAATAGCAAAGGTAGGGGCAGATTTGGGAGAAGGTGTACCAGAGTCTCCAAGGGCACAAGCACACTTTACACTTGGAACACATTTTTTAAAAATAAATACTTTTAATAATGCAAAATGAAATTTTATAATAAAAATGTCATTGCCAGATAAAGAAATTAAAGCCTCAAAAAAATTTCCGTGGACGATGGGAGCAGGCTTAAAGTAAGTTAATAAGCACAGATGTAAACTGTTCCTGGAACAAAACAAATGATCAAGTTAAAAGGTGCTCAGGAGGCTGAGATAGGAGAATCCCTTGAACCCAGGAGGCAGAGGTTGCAGTGAGCTGGGATCACGCCACTGCACTCCAGCCAGGGCAACAAGAGCGAGACACCGTCAAAAAAAAAAAAAAAAAAAAAAAAAAAAGTGCTGAACGTCAGAGTTCTGAGTATGAAAACTCAACAATTAAGGCATCCTTACCACAGTCCTCAATCACTGTAGTTGCCTAATCATTTGAGATCATGTTTAATGTATTTCATGCTGGTCTATAATTTCCTTGCAGAGTAGTCCTTGACTGGTTTTGTTCATCAATGTACTCTAACACGTAATGCAATGCCGGGTACATGGCAGACAATAAACGTGCTCAATAGTCAGTTTTATTAAAATTGAGAGTATAGCTCAATATCCAAAACTACCCAATGGATGATAGACCCAGGATACAATCAAACTCCCACATAGAAAATATTTTATGTTGGATAATGAAATTTAACTTTGGGTTATGTTGAGCCAGAGACTGAACTGCAGGCTCCCTGGCTAACAGCCTAAGGTTTCTCCCCAGTATCCTGATATTTCCTATCACTTTCCTCTAGTTTTTATTTTTTAATCCTTAGCACATCACTATCTAACTAGGAGAGATTCTGCTTATCTGTCTTGTGTTTTGTCTGTCTCCTCTGCTGGAAGATAAGCACAAGGGCGAGGACTTCCATCTGTTTTGTTCCCTACTGTGTCACCGGTGAGCAGAACAATATGCGGTACATGGCTGGAACTCAATAAACGTGTTAAAGGAGTAAACATGATTGCTGTAACCACTTGCAGAGATAGGAAGAAGGAACATCCCGAACAGAGGTTCACTCTGTAAACAGTAACTAACTAGAGCACTGTCTGTGCTCCATGTCCCTACACTCTTGCCTCGATATTCTGAACAACATGCCCTCCTGAATTTCATATTCCAAATTTCCCTCATATCCCTGGAAACCAGAGGCCATACATTGGAGGCCTGTGTGACAGATATAAGGCTTACACACAGAAATGTTTGGTTTGGCCCACATGGTGTTATTTAGGAATATCGAATTAGCTGCTGGCACTTGAAAGTGAGTAGATTTTACATAAAACTGTGAATTGACAGTCTATCTTGAAAAAAAAAAAAAAAAAAAAACATAACCAGGTCTGGCAAGACCAGACCTGAAGTCCCGCCTGCAGCCCCTGTGCTGGATCTGGGCTACAACCCCCACTTACCCAGGCACAGGGCCCAAGTCCTGTTCCACTCAAGCTGTTACTTGCCTGGCTGCTGAAGACATTAGAGTTTGCGACCCCTGCTGGAAAACTACCAAAAAGCATAATGTATTAGAGAAAAAGAAAGATGCCCACTGGGATCTATTTCTGTTATGTTTAGAGTATTGCTTGGAAGAATAATGTATTCATTTTTCTAGACCTCTTGTAGTAGCACATAACTATTGACAAACTACGGCCCAGTAGATATTATTCTAACGATCTGAAAAAGCTACAGACTTCATTCCCCATGGGTAGAGGAAGCTAAGGATGTTTCATGCTGGAGACAGGCCTGAAGATGAATGGGGAGAAGCTGTACATCAGTGGGTTGCAATTCTGGCTAAGTCAGGGAGAAAGGGAATTCACTTGAAGACTATGGGTTGCCTCTAGGAATTGCTGAGAAGCTGAAAAGCCAGGATTGGAAAATGAGAAGGAATGAAAGGAACCTGGGCACCAGAGGCACATCAAGATGGTGTTGCAGAAAAGGCACCTCTGGGACCACAGCTTGGGACATGCATACTGCTGCCAACGCCACTTGATCCATGATCCAAGGTGGTAAATAAACACTCCAATGTCCCTGTGCCCTTTAGCTAGTCTTTCAAGATTCCAGGCCCCAGGTGGGATCATTCAACTAAGCCCTAGTTCAGGGCTGGGAGATATGGACAAGGAGAAAGAGGCCCATCTCCCACAAAAAAAAAAAAAAATCCTTCTATGAAGGGAAGGTTGTGTTCCCTAAATAGGATGTTTGGTTCCAACTGCTTAGAAGGGTTTTAAGTGAGTCTGAAGAGAGAGGGCACTACAAGCACGACTGTAGAGTGGAATAAGAACAGACAGGCCTGAATTCTAGTCTGGAATCCTTTGTACCTTTAGAAAATTAATTAAGTTTTCCGATCGGCAGATTCCAAATCCTTAAAATAGAAATGACGCCATCTGCTCTCCAAGGTTGCTGTGAAGATTCAGTCCAATCACTCATTCAATTATTCCAAATATACTTATTGAATGTCTAAGTGCCAGGCAGGCACTGAGTTAGGTTCTGGAGACACGTTTGGAACAACACCTAAAATGCAATGATGAGGAGCCAGTGCATTATGCTGATGAAAGATTCAGACAAGGGGGACCCGGGTCATCTCGTGACACTGGTCATGTTTTACTTTTCCCCAGTGGAGTCACTCCCCATTTGTGACTTTTCTCCTTTTTTAAAAAAATTATTAATTAACATCAGGGCCCTCTCTTCAAACAGATTTTCTTAAGACATGTAATGTGTATTATGTTAAAAGGAAAAACACTCTAAAAATTGACTGTGATCCTGAAAACAAGAAAGGAATCATTCTGAGAAGTAGTGAGGCCCGGTGCTTGTAGCATTCAGGTGGAGTGATCACAAGAAGAGACTGGCCAATTAAAAGAAATCTCTCCCACTTAATGTTTAGCATATGTCATTTACTCAGACATATGCAAACTATGATTAAAATGAACATTAAAATAGATCTACGATAAAACTTAATTTTTTGTATTTTTTACCCTTTACAATTGCACAAGTGTTCTCCAATCGGCAAGATGCATTTCATATACATTTTCTCACTTTCTTATAATAATCTTTTCATCACTGTTTTGCAGAGGAAGAAATTTAGGGTCAGGGAGGGAGAAATTGTTGCCCAAGGTCATGGGGCAAGAAGTTGGCTTTAAATCCAGCTAGCACTCTCCTGCCTTCTGCCATAAGAAAAGAGCAGCCTCAATTGAAAGCACCAGGTCAAGTAGCCAGGTTGAGGGGAAAAAAACTGGGAATAGCCCTGATATTTTCCAGCACTAGCTGGAAAGTTACTGCATTTCCCTGGAAGCTGCTAAAAAGTTACCACTCTCCTGCAACAACTGTCTCTAACACAGGGACCCAGGCTTAGATGCAGGCCCGGAAACCTGGTGCCTGAGCACTGACCCAGCCTACAGGCTCAATTTCATCAGGACACCAGATACATCTTACTGTGCCTTCCTCCAAACTTTAGCCCCCATAGACAGACATGATTTAGCAACCACGGTGGGGATATGCCATTGTGGGTAGCTGCTATGTTCTCAGAAAGGCAGTGTGCATGAGTGAAGCAATTTACACCACCCAGGCCATCTTTCTAGCCCCTTCCTAGTCACCATCGAGTTTCAATTCAAGGCAAGAGAAGCTTCCATGTGGCTTTTCCCTTCAGAGGCCCCCCCCCCAACCCTCACAAGATTTTTCCAGTAAAATAATTTCTTATTTTAATAAGAAAAGTACATGCTCCAACTTTTAGGGGGACCCAGGGGGGGGGCTTGAGGCTTCATTCTAGACATAACCACAGGAAAGTAAAGAACCCTTTGCTTTTTCCGATGCCATCTCAAGATGCCAATTTCTCACCAGCTTCTCAGAACAAAAATCTCCTATCTTAAAACTACAGAGCATTGTATACCCTGTGGCATCACAGAGGATCCACAGTCTAGAAGCACAGCTTAATAAGCCTCACTAAGGAATCTTCATCTATGCTGCTGTTGTAATTAACTGCTTCCACTTAAGAGTGCTTAGTCATGAAGTTGTCCATCCCTGTCAAACTCAGCTGAAAGAGTTAGATGGGCTAACCAAAACCTGGAAAGACTCTTTTAGAAGCTGTTCTTTCTCTGCTTAGCGCTGGAGAAAACCTTATGTAACACAATGGTCCATTTCAATATGTTATTTCTGCAATCCTGTGGGGGAAAATCTAAGCGCTGGATGTACAACGGGAAGGGTAAGGCAGGGATTTGCAGCGGAGCGCGCGTCTCCTGGAATTTCAGTAGGTAAGGCTTATTCTAATTGCACCCAGTGTTACCCAATATTACCAGGAATGCAGAAAGCAAGAAAAAAATCCGAACGTCAAAGGATGCGCTTTGCTTTAGAAATGCAGGGAGGCAGAAGTTGGGTTATTTCTCCCTCCTTTTTTTTTCTTTTTTTTTTAAAGATGGAATTCCTGGAATTAACCCTTGGGTGGAAGCATTTCAACAAAATAAAATGAGATTTGCCTGCAAAGCGAGAACGCACGGGTGGGAATGAAGGATCCTGCCTGTGCCAGGCTGCTGCCTCAGCAGTGTCCAAGCACCCAGCGCCTGAAAGCGGGAGCGTGGGGACTCGTCTGGGGACCCTCTTCCGGGGCTACTGGCGGGAGGCGCAGCCGAGCTGGTGGTGGCGGGGTTTCCCTCCGGGGCTAGGGCTGAGGGAGGAGAAGAGGGCGGACTGGCTCCTTCCGTTCTCGGCCACCCTCCCCGCCACTCCTTGAGGCTGCTCCATGCTAACAGGAGACTGTTTCTCGGAGCGCAGCGCAAAGACAGTGGATTTGGAGTGGCCTCCCTAGAATCCCCCCAAAAGCATCTTGGCACAAGTTGTAGATAAAAATAGCTCATGATAACATTGTGGGAAAGGGAGGAGCGAGACTCGCGCAAGGCGAGGCAAGGGTACCACTGGATCTGCAAAGGAGGAGGAAGAGGGAGGATGCAACCCTTGGCCCAAGAGAGCGCCCTGAGTGTGCGAGGAATCGCTGGCTCCCAGGGGAGGGAAAGAGATGGAAGACCTATAGCGCCTATAACTGCAGAGTTATAGACCTATAACTGCAGAGCCCAGCACACCCCATCCCGCGCCGGCACCCGGCTTTGGCTCCAGCTTCTTCTTCCCATCATCCGCCTACGTTCTGGGTCTGTCCTCCGCTTCCTGGGACAGGCTGGGGCTAGAAGGAGGAGCAGCGCGCCGTCCGCCCCCTGGCTGGTAGAGCGCACCTGGAGAGGTCAAGCTCCGCGAATAAGACCCTTCCTGGGAGCTGGGGTCTAGGCGTTCCAACCGCGGGTTCGCACCCCGCCATCCCTCACCTCCATCCGCTGCCACTACCCAAGGGCCCGGAAATAGAAAACCACGAAGGGGGAAAAAAATCAGTAAAAAGTAACAAGAAAAAAATCAAGACCCTCATGTAATTGGCATTAGGGATGAGAGGTTTATTGTCAGGGCTGTCACCTCAATCTCTCTCTTTGGGAGATGCCTATCTCCAACCAAATGCAAAGGCAAACCCGACCAAGGCTTCTCCACCCCCAAAGGCTCCCTCAGCCGAGTTACTTTTGCGGGCTGTGTCCTCGCCCCAGTTTCTGGCCCCAGGTGGTACCCAGGATCCGTTGAGTGCTGCGCTCTCGCTGCCCTACAGGGTCCTATGGTGAAGCTGCGGTCGCGAAGCGGCCGGCAGGAGCGAACCTCACGACTCTGCAGGGGGGGAAAACATCCAACCCAGTAAGAGTCAGAAATCTGGGTCCCTGTCCTTACAGATCAACCGGTCCCTCGGGACTTCCAGAGCAGAGGTGCTAGGGCAGGAGGTGAGGAGGATGGGAAAATCCCCAGCCTTTGCTTCCTGGTTCCCTCTGCATCCACTCCACCTGCTCCAGCCTCGATTCTTCTTAGGTTCTGCACTTGCCCGAAGTCCAGAACGCCAGACAAAGGCACCTCGGAGCCCTCTACACCTGCGTCCTGCCACTCTCCCACCCCGCGCGCGCCGCACTCACCTGAGCCGCGCCTCTGTCCAGCCCGTCCGGCGCCCTAAATAGGCTCCTAGGCTGGGCCATGGGCAGCACTGCCGAGCACCCGCGGCGGGTAGAGCAAGTTTCTGGATGGCCCGGGGCAGGCGGGCGGGGAGAAGGCGCAGGCACCCACTGAGACCCGGCTGTCGTGGCGGCGACTCCTGGCTGCCAGGGCGCAGAGGACCTTGCAGGCGGGCGTTTTGGTGCTCAATCCCGAGGAGGGGGAGGAGCGGGAGGAGGAGCGGGAGCAAAAGGAGGGGACGGAGGAGGCCGGGCCCGGAGGGAGAGCGCGTTGGGCAGAGGAGGATCGCGAGCGCCCACTGCTGCCCGGCCCGCTCGGGTGCCGCCCAGAGTCCGGCCCGCTAGGTGCCTGGTGCTCCGCTCTGCGCTCAGCTGCTCCGCACAGCCCCGCCTGGCACGCAGCTCCAGCGGCTGGTCGGGTAGTAGTCGGTCCCGCCCACCCGGTGCGGTGGCCCCTGGGGTTTCAGTCCAAGGGGAGGGACCAGCGCTCCAAGAAGGTGAGGCTGCTGGGATGGGTGACTCCGCCGTCACTGCAAACACGGGACGTCCCGTCTACTCCCTTACGCCTGCTTGGTCTGAGCCCGAGTCTACCTCTTCTCTAAGTCGCCAGCTCGGCACTTGTACCCGGGACCTGTGCTCCTCCCACGTGAGTCTGCACCATGCGTATTCCCTTCCTGGCAGGTGACCCACCTTAGGCGCTGGCGCTCCTTCCGCCCCCCGGGAAGCAGGAGGTGCCATCCTCTCCAATTCGCTCTGCAGCCGGACTGGGACCGGAGCGGCGGCCTGGGCCAGAATCCGCGTGAGGAGCCGGCTTCAAAGAGCGCCCTGTCGCCATTGAACACTCCTTTTCCTTTGGTTTAGCGTCGGAGAGCGGACGCCAATTTGCCAGGAGAGCGCGGAAAATTCAGCTTTTTTTTTTTTTTTTTTTTTTTTTTTTTTCCGCTAGTGCACTAGGATTGCAAACGTCAGCTCTGAAATAAAAAGCAGGATATTTCTGCCCCGCTCCTCTATTCCGGAAGCTGGGAGGTTCTGTGGGAGAAAGGACCTGCACCCAATAACTCAATTTAAGATTTAAGGTTTTGAGGGGCGTGGGGTTGGAATCGCCTTGGAGAAACGGGTTTGCCTGCTTACCTGAGCCAAAGGAAGTTGCCCTCAAAGGCAGGTCAGCAATCATACCCCGCCAAAAGCAAATGCACATCAAAGTAACTTCCTTTAAATGAGATTACTGTAGTTTCCATGTCTTCCACATTAGTAAATAAATATTTGGAAGACTTCGAATTTGTGATTTACGTTTAAATATATTTCACCAACATTGTTTAATTAAAAAAAAATCCCATCTAAGAGAAGGTTCCTATAGGAAATTGGCCCTTTAACTCATACACAGATTACCCTCGGCACTTTCAGAAAACAACACAGTGACCAGTATATTCTGTCTTTTTGATACAGCCAGAAGCACCCTGAAAGCTGAGACCTAACTGTGCTTTTGGAAAATAAGCTTTTAGGAGTTGAATGACCTTGTCTACTTCTTTTAGTCAGAATAATGTTGGCATGTCTATTTTAGGTTAAAAAAAAATACAAATTCTAAAAAGTGACTTTAAAGGCCCACTTTGAAAGCCTTAGCATTTAAACTAACATTAGATTTAAAAGAAGGGCTTTTCTCCCCCATTATAGGAAGCTGTGTAAAATCATGTGTGAGGTTGTGAGGGTCAAATGGAAGTCTAAGATAAAGTTCTGCCAATTACTGGTGTCTTTAAGCTTCCACCAGCAGCCAAGCACAGTGCAGATCATGAGTCCTTCAAAATACGGGGTGGTTTTAATGCTCTAAGTTGGTATGATTACTTTTTCTAAAGAGCTCAAAGTGCTTTGGTGCCATAGTATGAATTTCATTACCCATTGTGAGACACAAAGGGGGTTAGCAATGATTCTGTTTGCACCCTGGAAGCCAAAGGCAGGTTACTCACCCACTTAGTTCCCTACCACAAGACCTTGAAAGAAACTGGAACCCCAGGTCTCCAGCCCAGAGATTTTGTTGGAAGTTTCCATTTGCAGGAAATGACTGCAGGGCACATGTGGGAAGTGACAGGAATTTGAGGACTAACATTTTAGTTTTCCTCATTTCTTTTTAAATCTGAGCAATTGTTCATTGATCGATAATCTATGTTCTTACATTCAGATAAATAAAAACACCAACTGGCTATTTTGTTCTTACTTAGTTTTATGTGTATGTCCAGGCATTTGCCACTGCTCCTAAATAGCTCTCCCTGAAGTCTTCTGGTCATGAGTTAGGTTTCTTATCCAGAAGCTCATGTAGTGCCAGAGCTTAGCTCTCCTATGACAACACAATCACATTATTGAAACATCTATTTAGGGATCTGTCTTCTCTAATAGATTATAAACGCCTTGAGCTTGGGTATCGTGATTTAATGATGAATCCTCCATGGTATCTGAATCCCAGAATCCTACAATCCTGCATGGTATCTGAAACATACTATGCTCTTAAAAAAAAAAAAAAAAAACTTTGTAAATGGAACTTCCCTCAAGGAGTCAGGGTTTAAGTCAAACATGTTTCCCTTTCAAAGCCGTGGGCATGAGAATAGAGGCTGTTAGGAGACACAGTAGTAGTTGACTGCAAAAGTGTCTGTCAGTCAGTTGTGTGGCCCAAGACTCTTTTTATCAGTTCCAACAACTGAAAAATGAGAGGGTTTTAGTGGAAGATCTCTGTACTGCTAATATTTTAAGATCTCGAAGTCTTTATTGAGCACCTAGTATGTGTACAACACTATGCCAGTTACTAAGAGAGAGATGAAAAAATAAGATATCTCCATTGCCCTAAGAGAGCATAAAATCTTATCTCAAGGAAAAACAAGGCAAACACTCCTAGCCTACCTTTACAGACACGCACAGACATGAGTTAACACAGTTGTAAACTGTTCTAAAGAAGATAAAGGCTCAAGGAGTGAAAAGGCATGAAATAGAAACAAAAGCAACTGACCTATGAGTTTGGGCAATAATCAGTAATAATACCAGCTAAAGTGTATCTAAGGCTTATAGTGCCAGGTACTATGCAAAATGAATCATAGGAGCTGCACCTTTTGTTCATTTTACAAATGGGGAAACGGAGGTTTAGGAGAGTTTAGTGACTCGTTCAAGGTGACATACTAATAAGTGGTAGGGCTGATATTCAAAGAGTTCTCACCTGACTCCAAAGTGCATCTTCTCAACCAATATTAGAGATTATTAGCCCAGACTTCCCTATTTTATAATTGAGGGATTTCATTAGAGCACTAGAGGAGGAAGCTACCCTTCCAGTAAAAACTAGACTCCTAGTCTAGTGCTCTATGTAATTAAGTAATATGCTTATGTTTGCTATTTTTCTGGTTTTTCTCTTTCCCACAAAATATGTAATAGGAGACGGGAGGTCAGGAAAAGGGGAGAGAGAGAAAAAGAGAGAAGTTGCTTCTTTTGAAGATGTCCAGAATCCACAGTAGTCTACCTGCTCAGACTCAATGGGGTTTTATTTGTAACCCCCAGTCTAGTGGGCAGCCCTGTATAGCCTTTCTTCCCATCATGGCTGTTTGAATCTTTCAGGTTAATAGCATGAATATTAAAGACTCCAGTGGGACTCTTTATCCACAAAGGAAATTGGGATCAGGTTAAAAATCCAATTTTAATAAACTTTCCAAGTCCTGATTTAGATGAGGTACTAATGGCTCTTACTGCTGAATCACCTTAAAAGTCAAATGTATTTTTAAAAGGGAAGCTTGTTGGGTATTGTTTAATTGTGCATTGCACATTCCTGTCTTAATAGAAAAAGATCATCTGTAAAACTTATGAGAGCAGATAGGAAATGCCACTATCCACAGAGCCAGTTGGGTAGAGGGAAGGGCGTTGGGTTTGAAAGATAATTTTCACTCGTTTGACCAAAACAAAGAGAGCATGATTGCACTGTGTGAAAATGATATCCTCGAATAACTCCACTAATTTGATTGTGCTGAGGTCTAGAATTGTTTCTATTTCTTTTGATTTGCTAATTAG
This sequence comes from Homo sapiens, assembly GCF_000001405.40. NCBI lineage: Eukaryota > Metazoa > Chordata > Mammalia > Primates > Hominidae > Homo > Homo sapiens. The sequence continues at coordinate 11,432,770 of NC_000004.12, forward strand.
CTAGAGCAGTCCGCTAGTGAGAGGGGAAATGAGGGTCACAGCCATAAAACATGGAGGATTGTTGTTCCTTCCAACTCAGCTCACCCATCTCATGCCTCCCCAACCATCCCGTCCCAACGCCCAATTTTGTCTCTGTGTATGTAACAACAATCCATCCATCTATGACAAATTGAGTGATTCTTTTCTGAAAACAGGATTTTTAAGATTATCTACTTTATGACACCAAATTTGACACATCTTGGCATATGTGGTTATGAGGTCCAGTTATGACTTTTATGATGTTTTCCTTTATGAATCCTGCTCCCTGCCTTGCCAAGTTAAAATTATATCTTATGATTACATTAGTATAAAGGTGAGTATATTTTCTTCTTTATTTAAATATCTTCTTTAATCTAAAAGTTTATCTTTTTCTGATTTTTAGAAGAAATTAAATCATTTTTGGGAAGCCCTCAAGGTACCATAAGCTCTGGGCAGTGTGCCTAAGACTTCTAATGGAGAATTTAGCCCTGTGCAGATGATATTGCAGAGGAGGAATGCTTAGTTAATTTAGGTAAAGTATGCACAGTAAATACAATTTCATAAAAAAGCTTATAGTCTATGGTGTTATGTAAACAACTATAGACAAATAGAATATTGCTTTTATTTGTTATCCTGTGTTAAACTGTGGCCAAAATTACACACATCAGTGTTAGAAAAATTGCAGTATTGCAGGCTTGAAGTGGTCCCCTTGTTCAAATTACTGGCCCCTGCTGAGTGCTGGAATACCTTCAGGGCGATGGAAAATTGTGGCACTCTCTTTGATTTTAGATTTTGGGACCAAAGCTGGCTGATCTTTTGATGAGTCGGTCTTAATGATTTGCTCTTTTAGGCCTTATTCAAGGATACTGGGAACCTCACACTCTTCAGAAAAAAAAAAGTTTTCCTCCTGGCAGGCCTATCAGTTCAGTTGAATCAATATGTATTAGGTACCTCCCATATAGCAGCCTGTGTGCTAGGTACATGGGTAGAGATTTATTAAGAAGAATGAAATTCAATCCCTTACTTAGGAGCTCACAGATGTGCATTAACAGAAAAATTACAATTCAATCTAATCATTCTCATGAGTCCCTAGTTCCATTTGTAATAGAAGGTCCAAGGAGCATTTGAACTGTGACTCTCAGACCCTTACCTCTTACTCTGAACTCTCAACTTCAATCAGCACATGCTGTTTCTAGCAGCTCTCTTCTGTCTTGGAGTCCTCACTGAAGTCCTCTAGAGTATGTCCCTATTGTCCCTGAAAACTGATGGTGCTGGCTTTTCCTTTCAAAGCCTTGTTTTAATTCTAGATTTAAAATAGCACTAATGCCACAAGAAGTCTCTTACACAATGGTAGAGTTCTCTTTCCATAGACTTTGGAACACTGTTCTTTTGGAAATGTTTACAATGACACTTATAAGAACTGGCTATATATATATTAATCTGCTTTGTGGTGGAAATAAATATTTTGTAGAATGCTTTGAAGCTTAGGCAATTAGTTCTTTTTAACAAAAATTAATTTAATTTTCTTTTAAGTTCCAGGATACCTGTGCAGGACATGACATGCAGGTTTGTCATGTAGGTAAACATGTGCCATGGTGGTTTGCTGCACCTGTCGACCCATCACCTAGGTATTAAGCCCCACATGCATTAGCTATTTTTCCTGATGTTCTCCCTCCCTCCACCCCCTTGACAGGCCACAGTGTGTGTTGTTCCCCTCCCTGTGTCCATGAGTTCTCATTGTTCAGCTCCCACTTATAAGTGAGAACATGTGACGTTTGGCTTTCTGTTCCTGTGTTAGTCTGTGGAGGATATTGGCTTCCAGCTCCAACCATGTCTCTGCAAAGGACATGATCTCATTCCTTTTTATGGCTGCATAGTATTCCATGGTGTATATGTACCAGCAGTTAGTTCTTAAATTAAAAAAAAAAGCTTTCATATTTAATCAAGTTAGGTTATTTCAATATATGCACCATAATGATTATTGTAAAGTAAGTTCTGTAAACTAAGGAAAAATAACTATTTTGTGCAATCTCAGAAAAATCTACTAGATGGTATGGGAAACAAGAAAGAGAAATGAAGAGGCAAATAAAAACATGGCATTTATTGAGTAGCTGTATGCTGGGAGATTTGAACATTCTCCTTTCCTTTCCCCTAATTTTACGTACAGAGAAGTAACTTCTTGAAGGTTGTATGTTCCAGCTTGCAACTAGCCATGTTGGATTTAGAAACAGGTCAAAGTCAAGTTCCATGCTTTCTTCCTGTCTCATGATAGCATTCTCTCCCATTCTCTACCTGCACATATATATTTCATAAAACTAGAAAGAGGACTCCACTATATTTTACATCATTTCTTCAAATGAAGAAGAGATCTGAGTTCTTCATACCTTCAACATGTACTTACATTCCAGGAATTTAACTATCCGTAAGGTATTTAAATCCTACATTCATGATATTGTTTTAATTGCCCTGAGTCAACTAATTGACAAAGGAAAATGCTATGCTTAAAAGCTCAGTTCTCAGTGTAATTATTTTTCTCTCCCCACATATAATCATCCTTTAAATATAAAAGCTATTATAGAGATGCAGTTTCCAGCAAACTTTATCTCACATTGAGGCCCTTGACTTTATGTGGTGTTTCAGATCAGCTTTTTTGTCAAGGGTCACACATTCATTCCAGCATCACTTAATTCTTTAGCTGTTAGTCTCCATCCAGCACTAGGGTAGACCCTGGAGATGCAAAAGCAAGCTAGAGACAGTACCCTTATTCTCATGGAGCTAAACATTAGAGAGGTATTGGTGTATTCTTCGGAGTATATAATGCCCTTTCCAGCTATGGACTCTGCCTTTCTTTATGTATTCACCTCTTCCTGGAAGCCACTTTGAGTTGGCAGAAACACTCTGCCTGCCTCAGGAGACAGAGGGAATTATTTGTTGATAAATTGGGGAAGAATGGCTCTAAATGCTTACATCAGCTCTGTCCTTCCTCTTGGGAATGAGATGCATGCAGGGAGCATTTAGCCTGCAAGGCTTCTCTGCTGCTCTTCAGGGATGCTTCCCTGTAGGAGAGAGATCTACCTGGGTCTGGGGTGGCCTCTTCCTCCCTGGGTGAGTGTGCCTAGTTCTGGGGTTCAGCTAGTGGGTATCTTGGCTCTGTCACAGTTATACCCTCCATCATGGCCTCTATTGGTAATAAAGGAGATACTTAGCTCTCATCTGTCTTAGTCTTCGTTCCATTAGCAGGGAAGAGGGGTGTCATTCATCGTGGCTGATTTAAAGCTACAAAACTGATGAGCTTTCTGTATCCCTTTCTTTCTGGCTCCTAATTCACTTATCCTTTGCCCATAATTAGCACTCATTATGCACTGTCCTGTTCGTTAATTGTTACCATGGCTATGGCTTTTTCTTGATGTTTTTGTGAGTCTATCGTGTTTATAGCTTATGTCTTTTAGGCCCTACTTATAAGTAGAAAGAGAACAGGAAGTGAGCTCCCCCAAAATAGACATGCAGTCAATATCACAAACCCCAAGAGGGCAAGTTCTGGAACCAGCAGATTCCAGCTCTGCAATATTAGCTCTATAACTTCACCCACATTACTTAACCTCAGTTTCTTCCTCTGGAAAATGGGGAAAATAATGACACCCTTCTCATATTATCACACATGAAGTTCCTGACACAGAGTACACACTGAATGCATGTGTGCTGTTATTACAAAAAGGAATTAAATCAGATGGTTTTACCTTCCTTAGAAAGAATTAATACAGAAAAAAAAAAAGCTCCTCAACTCTCTTAAGTACTCTGAATGAATGACCTCTGTATTGCAGACTCTTTAAAGCAGCAGTCTCCAAACTTTTTAGCACCAGAGACTGGTTTCGAGGAAGACAATTTTTCCACAGACCCGGGTGGGGTGAAGGATGGTTTTGGGATGATTCAAGCCCATTACACTTACCATTCTATTCTCATAAAAGAGCGCACAACCTTGCATGCACGGTTCACAGTTGGGTTCTGGCTCCTGTGGGAATCTAATGCCGCCGCTGATCTGACAGGAAGCTGAGCTCAGGCAGCCAGTGCTGGCTTGCCTTACCTCCTGCTGTTCTGCCCAGGTCCTGACAGGCCACAGAGCAGTACTGGTCCACAACCTGGGGGCTGGGGACACCTGCTTTAAGGGAACAGTTCTTGAGAACAAACAACATCTGCTCCAGAGGTCATTGATGCTTGAAGATCATAGTGAAAGAAGAATGTTCTCAAAGAACAAGATTTTTGGGTCAGATATTGCTATGTTTGAATCTCTTTCCTTCAAATCCACTTACACATCCTCCCTGAACCTCATTTTTTAAATAAAATAATACAATGATATTTACATATAATATAATATTTTGAGATTTAGGTTAAATGGTGCAGTTGAAAGTCACTAATAGTATAAGGCATATGGCATATTGTACATCAATCTATTGTATTTTATATCAATATATGTTGTATTCAATATTGTTCATTATTCATTGTTCATTATTCAATATGTATTCATATTGTACATCAATATATGTTGAATAACTGAATCCAGGGAATATTCCTTCTGCAACTGATTTCAAATAGTGCCATTACCCAGAGCTGTGGATGTTGCCTGAGTTGACTTGTACTTACCTGCAAAGCAAGTGACCTTGAACGGGCAGAGTAAGAGGAAGAGGCCCTCCATGGAAAACTAAACAACTGGTCCATTTTTGTTTGAATAATCAAGTCTGGGAGGTGTTCCTTGTGCAGAGCACATTATTTTCTTTCTATATTGGATAGCTGTACCCCATTCACAGGGGTGACATGCCATTCATACTGCAGCAGTAGGAAAGTCCCCATGGTTTCTCTTTCCTCATTCACTTTTATATGTATATATATTTTTTATTATACTTTAAGTTCTAGGGTACATGTGCACAATGTTCAGGTTTGTTACATATGTATACACGTGCCATGTTGGTGTGCTGCACCCATTAACTTGTCATTTACCTTAGGTATATCTCCTAATGCTATCCCTCCCCACTCCCCCTACTCCACAACAGGCCCCAGTGTGTGATGTTCCCCTTCCTGTGTCTAAGTGTTCTTATTGTTCAATTCCCATCTGTGAGTGAGAACACATCATTCACTTTTGATGTCGGTGGAATAGTGGCCCCCACAAAGACGTACACATCCGGATCCCCAGAACCTATGAATATGTTCCTTTACATGGTTTTATGGATTGATCTGTATGCTGCTAAAATTAATATGTTGAAGTTGTGGCCCACAATACCACAAAATGTGACTAAATTTGGAGATAGGTCTTTTCAGAGGTAATCAATTTAAGATGAGTTTATTAGGGTAGATGCTAATTTAATGTAACTTTGTTCCCATAAGAAGGAAAAAATTGGACACGGAGATAAGGACAGAGGAAAGATGATGTGAAGACAGGGGCAGAAGTCAGCCATCTACAAGTCAAAGGGAGACATGTGGAACAGATTCACCCTCACAGCCCTCAGATGGAAGCAACACCACTAACACTTTGCTCTTGGACTTCTAGCTTCCAGAACTGAGAGACAATATCTTTCTGTTGCTTAAGTCATTCTGTCTGTGATACTGTGTTTATGGCAGCCCTGGCAAACTAATACAGTCCCACAAAGATTTGGTTGTTGCTTTGCAAGAGAATGTATAATTCCTGGTTATTTCTACAAATAAGGGCATTGACTTTATAAAGCTACAAGTATACCCCAGTATTCTGTTTCTGGTTTTTGTTTACTTTCATATATGCTATCTTTTCATTCCCAGGTGAAATCATAGTGCATTTTAAATGATATTTTAAAGAGCAATTATACTCGTCATATGTACTTCAAATAATACTGATTCCTCAATTGAAGTAATGGTAACATGAGTGTATTAGTTAATTTTTTCTGAATAACTAGTTACCTCCAAAGTTCATGCCTTCAAGCAACACATATTCATTATTTCACAGCTTCTTTGGGTCAGGAGTCTTGGCATAGCTTAGCTGAGTCCTCTGGCTCCTGGCGTCCCAGGCTGTAATCAAGGTGGTGGCCAGGACTGTAGTCATGTCAGGGCTCGCCAGGGAAGGATCTGCCTCCAAGCTAACCAGTGTGGCTTTTGGCAGAATATATTTCTATGCAGGTTGTTGGACTGAGTTTCTTGCTGGCTGTTCCAGAGGTTCCCTTAGCATCTTGTCGTGTGGCCTCTTCATAGGTCAATTCATATTGGCTTCATCAAAGTGAGCAGGTAAGATAGCAAAAGAGAATGCCCAAGATAGAAGCCATAGTCTTTTTGTAATCTAATCTTAGAAGTGACAGCCTGTTATATTTGCTATATTCTCTTTGTTAGAAACAAGTTTCTAGGGCTGGGCATGGTGGCTCACATCTGTAATCCCAGCATTTTGGGAGGCCGAGACAGGCAGATCACCTGAGGTCAGGAGTTCGAGACCAGCCTGGCCAACATGGCGAAATCCTGTCTCTACTAAAAATACAAAGCCGAGTGTGGTGGCGCAGGCCTGTAATCCCAGCTACTTGGGAGGCTAAGGCAGGAGAAGCACTTGAACCTGGGTGGTGGAGGTTGCAGTGAGCCAAGATTGTGCCACTGCACTCCAGCCTGGGTGACAGAGTGAGACTCCATCTCAAAAAACAAACAAACAAAAAACCAAATTACTAGGTTTGTCTCATTCTCAAGGGAAGAGTTTACTCAAGAGAATAAATACCAGGAGGTTGGGATCACTGGAGGCCAGTTTAGAGTCTGCCTACCAATAGGAGCAAGGCCATCAATGTCAGTCAGTGACATCAACATCATGTAGACTGCTTGGCCAACAGTAATGCTAAAATGCCATCAATCTTGAGATCATCTTCATCTCATAAATATTAACATGTAAAAAAAGTCATTTTAAAGTAAAGAAAATATGTTATTTTTTAACATTTGAAACAGCCCCTGAAGTCATGTTTTAGAACATTTTCTCATCATTTTTTGTGTGACTTTTATAATATCTTTTATATTATATGTTATAATAGGGAATAAAGAAAGTAAAATAACTCCAAATCAAATTTTGAGCACTTACCAATTATTAAATCATTTAAACAGTCAGGAAATGGATACTACTGTGTTCTAGAAATGGGTACCAACTCTCAAAATGTTTCACATACTCATGGAAATAACATGGCTTTAATGGAAGGGCTTAGGGAGTTCTGCTTCAAGCTGGCTGATCAGAAAAAGGAGAAGCCTCAGAAAGGAAGTGGGATCTGTACATGCACCCAGGAAGCACAGCTTTAGTGTCAATGGAGAAGTTTCGAATAGCAAAATTCTCCACTGAACTTGCTGAAAGCACGAGAGGAGAAAGAAGCATTTGCAGGCCCAGATGATACCTAAGAGAGGACTGTGCATTGCTTTTCAACCTCCACATGTCAGTACTCAAGGGATAAGCTGAATTTTAAAAATTTACTTTTGTATTTGTTTCATTGTATATTACTACCTGTTCACTATAGCTAATTGGGAAACTTACAAAAATTAGAAATAATAAGATTCCTCTTTCCCCAAAGTCACCACTATCCTGAATTTTAAAACTAGAGCTTACTTTTGCAATCTTGACACTTTATTTCACTACCGTCATATAGTATCCTTCTGTGTCTCAGTCCTTTTTCTTTTTTTGACATTGTTATGAAGTTCATCCATGTTGTTGCATGGGCTAAGGCTCATTTTTATTGCTGAATAATGTCATATTGTATGAATGTACTAAATATTCTTAGTCATCCTTCTGTTGAGGGTATTTGTGCTGTTTCCAGTTAGGACTTTCACAAATCATGGTTTCATGAACATTCTTTGTGATGGCTAATATCAGGTGTCAACTTGATTAGATTGAGGGATGCCTAGATGGCTGGTCATTGTTTCTGGGTGTGTCTGTGAGGGTGTTGCCAGAGGAGATTGATATTTGAGTCAGTGGACTGGGAGAGGAAGATCTCATGCTCCTCAATGTGAGTGGGAACCATCCAATCCATGGCCAGCAGTCCTCTCTCAGACAAAAACAAAGCAGGTGGAAGAAGGTGGGATAAGTTGGCTTGCTGAGTCTTCTGGCTTTCATCTTTCTCCTGTGCTGGATCGTTTTTGTCCTTGGACATCAGACTCCATGTTCTTCCGCCGTTGGACTCTTGGACTTACAGCAGTAGTTTTGCTGGGGGCTTTTGGGCCTTTGGCCACAGACTGAAAACTGCACTGTCAGCTTCTTTGGTTTTGAGGCTTTTGGACTCAGACTGAGGCACTATTGGCTTCTTTCTTCCCCAGTTTGCAGAAGTCATATTGTGGACTTTGCCTTGTGATCGTGTGAGCCAATTCTTCCTAATAAACTCTCTTTCATATATACATATATCCTATTAGTTCTGTTCCTCCAGAGAACCCTGACTAATATACTCATAGATATGCTTTTTGGTACACGATTTCAAGCATATATTTGGTGTAAACCTAAGAGTGAGATTGTCACATCACAGGACTTTCAAATGCTCAACTTGAATGGTTAATGTTGAACTGCTTTCCAAAGAAGTGAGGCCAACTCATACCCTACCAGTCATGTTTCTCTGTTTTTTTTTCAAAGATTTTGGTAGTATCAGTCTTTGCAATATTAGCCATTTTGTTGAGTAGGTAGTAGTGTGTCATTTTGGTTTTCACTGGATTTTGTGATGACAAATGAAGTTGAACACTTTTACTTAGCTATACTTTCAGTTTAGTTTACTTGTAATTAGTTACAGTGTTTAATGGCTGTTTGGGTCTCTTCTTTCATGAAGTGCCTATTCTTGTCTTTTGCCTATTGTTTCCTATTGGCTTGTTTGCATTTTTGTTAGTGATTTCTAAAAAGTCTCTATATATTTGGGATAAGTGGCTGTGACTCAGTTTTATAACGTATAAAATAGAAATAATAATGCTCCCCACATATGACATTGTTATGAGGAGTGTATTAGTTAATACACAGAAAAGCTTCAAGCCAAATGTGGCACAGAGTAAGTGCTCAGTATTATTGTGCTTAGCCGAAAGAACACTGCTAAGAACTGTGGACACAGAAATCCAAAGAGGCCTTCTAACTTCCATTCAACACATTTTGCCTTGCACAACAACTTCTCAGAAGTTCTGAAACTCACTATACTTGCCCCTAATTGTGCCCCAGTACTAGCTTTAGTGAGAAGTACTGTGATAATTTTGTTACAATCCCAACACTATTTTTTAAAATTGTATTTTTCCTTGTAGAAGAAGGCAGTTTTCAAGCTGCAAATTGATAGGGAAGCACTTATTCTCACAGGCACTGCATGGTACAATTGGCATTTAGCATGTTCATTGCAAAAGTTTTAAAAGAATAGCACTGCAGCAGGAGAAAGAGGAAGACAACGACAATAACAACAACAACAAAGCAAAGTAAAAACTACTCCCTGAATGCAGAAATAAAATGTATTAAAAATTAAAGGGTGCACAATGGGAGCAATTAAGTGTTTTAGGCCAAGTGCCCATTCTTGCCTCATCCAAATTCCCTTGGTTCACTGGCCACATTTAAGAAAAAAGGGACAATTTTTATCTTCTGCCCTAGTGAAAATTGTTTTGCTCCCAGTAGCCAGACAATAAAAATTTCCTATAAACAAATAAACACACTTTAATCACCGTGGTTATTCTCCTTCTATCAGTGGAATTTTCACAGATAAAGTTTGTTGAGGAGGATAGAAAAACCACAATTTAGGCCTTTGAAACCAAAAATGACAGAAAAATCTTTCATTTATTATTCCTCGTGGACAATAGCTCTTAATATCTTCCTTCTAGGTTTCTTAATTAAATTCAGCTTCTTATATTTTTCTCTTGATTCACCCACTTTCATTCCCAGATTAACCTAGATCTTCATAACTATAATTTCTCAACTGTAAAATTTCATTTACCTCATTTAAATTTCTGTAGATTTCTCTCCCCAAGTGGAAAGTTTGATTATTCACTCTTTCACCTTTCTCCCCAGGCAATAAAACTATGCTGCTTAGACTAGTGCTAACTGATTTATAAACAGTCAAATAAATTGCATTATTCTGTATAATTCATATATGTGTGAATATAGAGTGACTTTAGAAAGTGACAGTGATAGTCCTAGCCTGTGAAGAATGGCCACCATCTTCAAAGATCCTTCTGAAGCGTTATCTTTTCCACACAATCTCTGATTTCTTCTTGGGGAAAGGACTAGTTTTCTCTTTCAAATCCCCCAGCATGTCTCCAAGGGCATTATAGTTGATTAGTTCATTTTTTCCTGATCATCTGCTCCCTGCATCTCCATAGAGGATGAGACATACCTGCCTCTTGCTATATGACTTTCAGTGGCCCCCTGTGCTTTTCTGTCACTGGTGCCAGGCTTGGCCAAGTGACATTCTTCAGTCAACGGAAGGGGAGCAGATTAGTTCCTTCTGAGAGGAAGTTTTCAAAGGCATTATAAGTTTTTACCAGCTTCATTGCTCTTTTCCTGTGCCAAGTTCCTTCGGCTTGGTCCCAAGAATGAGAAGGCACATGGAACCATGGGACCTGAGCTGTGGCCTCCTACATGTGACATGAGCAAGAAAGAAATATCTGAGGTTTGGGGGTCATTGGTTACTTCAGCACTTAGCACTTTATTGAAATTGTTTGTTTGTTTGTCTTATTCAAGGTGCATTCAGGAAATGCATCTTCTTCGTTGGATGTCTGCATAGTCTGGAGCTTGGCAGTTGGTGGGAGCTAATAAATGTTTGTGGAATAAGTGAATGATTCAATGAAGATCTCCAATGAGAAGCATCTATTATCTGCCATGGCAATTGTGCTGACTGGAGAATGTTTCTTACCCTGAGCAGAAATTGAATCCTCCTGTACTTCCACTATGGGTTTTAGTTATATCCCTTAGGCTCCTATAAAACCGTCTAATTCCTCATCCATATGACAGCCCTCTAATGCCTGAAAGCAGTGCTACTATTCATCTTAGGATTTTATCTTTGCAGAATAGGTATTCCCAGTCCTTATCCATTTTGGTATCTCCCATGGTTTTAATGTCCTTGGTTTCCTGGGGGTCCTCTTTGCAGGTGCTCTTGATGCATGTCTCTCTTAGCACATGGGATCTGCAATTAGCATCATTATCCATGTGTGGTCAGAGTAGCACAGGGTGAGGAAAGAGTGTCTCCTCCCTCTGTCTAGACAAATTATACTGAGTCTAACACAGCCTCCAGTTGCCTTCACTGGTCTTGGCAGCCCCATCATGCTGCTGACCCATGTGGAGTCAACCAAATCCCTTAAGTCTTTTCCAGGAGCCTTTATTGTCAAGCTCTGCCTCAACTTGTGCAGGTGGTTTGGGGAATCCAAATGTAGATCTTTATACTTTTCCCTGTTTGCCTACTCCCCTCATTTCATCTAGTTACTGATTTCTGTCTACAGTATTTTGGGAAATGAAGGCTTTGGTTTCTGGGAAAGGAAATGCAGCAGGTAGTCCACACAAAGGAGAAACAACTGTGTCTTGTTAATCCTGGTATGGCTAGAGAGCTCCATTTTCAGGTTCTGCAATGTATACTTCACTATGTGAGGTAGCTCATTTCTAGTACTGTACTGTCTTTGCTTGGTTTCTCAGGGGGAATAGAAGAGTAGCATCAATAGCACACACCAACAAGAAGCTCTATGTGTGACATATAGACTGACTGTAAGGTGTTCCCCATAACCCCTGCTTCCCGGTAATCATGCTCTTTGATTATCCCCTTGGCTTGAGTATAGACATGTCCTGTAACTTGCTTCTATCCAATGGAATATGGCAAAGCCAATGGGATATATGTGATTGCATGTACATAATTATATTTGGTGTGATTGTAACATTGCTTCCTTGCTGGCTGTGAGGAGCAAGGTTCTAGGCTGTGATCTGTTCCCTGGGAAGAGGCCACATAGTCAGAAACTGAGGGCAACTTCTAGCTGACAGCTAGCAAGAAGCTAAGGCCCTCAACCTGACAGCTTGCCAGAAACAGGATGCTATCAACAACCAAATGGGCCTGGAAAATGATGCTTTCCCAGTCCACCCTTGAAGTGAGGTTGCAGCACTGGCTGATGCCTTGATTGCAGCTTCCAGATGAGACTCTGAGGCAGATGATTCAACAAAGCCAGGCCCGACTCCTGATCCATGGAAACTGTGATATAATAAATGTGTGGTGTTTTATGCTGCTAACTTTGTTGTAAATTATTTATCAGCAATATGCAATTAAGTGGTAGAAACCAAATTCAATTGGAAGCCTATGACATCATGTAGCCAAAATATAAATATATATTATATATATAATATATATATAATATATATATTATTATATATTATATATTATATATAAATATTATTATATATTATATATTATATATAAATATATTATATATAATATATAATATATAATATATAAATATATAATATATATTATATATATAATATATAATATATTATATATTATATATATAATATATATATATATGCCCACTGGCCTGCTGTCTCTTTTTGAAGGGTTGCATTGACTTATAGAACCCCTAATAATTTCCATGGCCTATACCATGAGAATGTGAAAAGGCCACTTATCAGTAGTAGTAGCAGTAGTAGTAATAGAGCTGTTTTTTCTTTTTTATTTTTCCTTTTTTTTTTTTGTTTTGAGATGGAGTTTCACTCGTGTTGCCCAGGCTGGAGTCCAATGGAGTAATCTCGGCTCACTGCAACCTCCGCCTCCCGGGTTCAAGTGATTCTCCTGCCTCAGCCTCCTGAGTAGCTGGGATTACAGGCACGCGCCACCACAGCCAGCTAATTTTTTATTTTTAGTAGAGACGGGGTTTCTGCGTGTTGATCAGGCTGGTCTCAAACTCCCGACCTCAGGTGATGCACCCGCCTCGGCCTCCCAAAGTGTTGGATTACAGGCGTGAGCCACTGTGCCTGGCCAGTAGAGCTGTGTTCTAGTATTTCCCCAGACTAACTTTCTGCTCACCCATCTTCTCCAATGTCCCAGTTCTCCTCTTTGCCTTCCTTTTGGACTTCTTGGTTCCATACCCAGCTGTGAATATTTGCTTCCTGCCCACCAGGCCTTCTAACTTTGATTCGTCATTGGAGCAGGGTTTCCCAGTTTTGATCACTTCCATACTCTCAACGGGAAGTGTTTTAATCTAGCTTCTTTTTTGTCTATATTTTCTAGGTCTAGCTCTTATAGATCTCCTGTTAAAGAAGATTCTAATGCTCTACGCTCCTTTAATGATAAAAAAAAAAAAAAACCTGTATTGGGTAATGTGAACTTCAGCAAAAGAATAGATATGGGGGACGCCAAGGAAGGCACCTCAAGCCATTTTGTTATTTCCATTCAGGTTCTTTTCATCTTTGAGCATTATCATCATCATCATCATACTAAAGCCCTGTACACATATTATGTATGAAAAGGAAGTTGTAAGTACTATGGTTTGTAGATCCTGGGGAACTGCTTGATGCCATGAGGCTAGTTTGAATCCTGCTTTTCATTTCTAATGGTTCAGACACTGGACATGGGGGCCTGAGGGAGAAGCTGATGACTCACTTTTTCTGTTTGTACCAGTATGCTATTTTTGCATGCAGCTAAGTTTGCCAGAGAGAGAAAGGTCTTCTGGAGTCCCTCAGTCCTAATGTACTTTAAATGCTATACATAGAGAAGTAGAGAATCCAAGAGCTCAGTTCCCACACACTGGGCTTGCTCTCTAAAAGCAGAGGGATGTTTGAATTTAGGTATGTGAGCCCTCTTAGACTTGAGCTTTTAGGTTCAGGCTATTTCATTTAAGGTGTTACTGCTGAGGCAAAACATATACTATGAACAATTTGAGTCATGCCCATGGATGTCCCTAGAAGTACAGACAGATCAGAAATGGGACTGAGCTGAGCTCTAATACAAACCTTTAATTTTACCTACAGAAAAATAGAAACTCAGAAAGGTTAAATGCCTAGACAGAATTTATGCAGTTAATTAATGACAGCATCCAGACTTGATTTCAGACAAAGTAGCCATGGTGTTCTTTGAAAAGCCGTAAAGAAACCGAAGCTCAGAAAGAAAGTCAGTCGCTCTCAGTTGCTTGGAGGAGAGGTGAGTTCTAACTCAGGAGGCTGGACCTGGGAGGGGAAACACTCCATTCAAGGAGAATGATTCTCCTTCTCCTTGTCTAGACTTTTAGGAGTCCAAATGATAGACAAAGATGAAAATAGTACCTGTCAAGTCAAGTGCGATCAGGACATAGGAAGAGAAGGAGTCAGGAATAATTCCCTTTCCTTAGGGGTTCCATGTGGATGGAGTGGGCCTCTTAGATGTTTTGATTTTATAGGACTGTTTATTTCCTTGTTTCTGCTCTTCAGCATTTAGTAAAGGGCCTATTGATTTTCATTATTTTTAATTTCAGCCTTGCCTCAGCCTCAGCTGGACAATGGGGAGTTCATTGAAAGGGCTTTCTTTTTTCTGTCTGGGCCAGAGTGTTTGAAGATTACTACCCTCTGAGGCCAGCAGGATGGTGACAATGGAAACAGAGAAGGAGGCGAAGCAAGAGAGGATCTGGAAACAAGTTCAGAGCTCCAGAATCTGGTGCTCCTTCCTCCAGGGTATTTTCTTTCCAGTGCCAGCCTCAAAGGGATTGATTTTTATTTTTGCGCAAAATCCATTTAGGCCCTAGGTCAAAGGCCTCCTTTCTCACCAAGTCTCCACAATTTGCCATCTACCCCTTCAATGCTGTCTTCTGTCTTCTATAGTCCCTTAACTGGACAATCACTCCTATGCTTATAGTTTGGCTTGTATTCAAATTAGTTATGAATAGTTCTGTCCATCCCTTAAGACTGTAATCCTTCCCACAGCAGGGAAAGCATCATTTTTACTCTATAACAATCCTCTCCTCTAGCCCCTGCTCCAATAGACACCCGATAGACACTGCTAGGTGTCTATTACATACCTGCACCAAGTAACTAATTATACGGTAGTGTTTTCCACACTTTTATGATGACAAGAATTATGTGGTAGAACTGGTTAAAAAAAATTTCTCAGATCCCACCCTGACCCTCTGTATAGGAATGTCCAGGGGCAAAACCTAGGAAGCTGTTTTTTTTTTTTTTTTTTTTTTTTTTTGAGACGGAGTCTCGCTCTGTCGCCCAGGCTGGAGTGCAGTAGTGCGATCTCGGCTCACTGCAAGCTCCGCCTCCTGGGTTCATGCAATTCTCCTGCCTCAGCCTCCTGAGTAGCTGGGATTACAGGCGCCCACCACCACGCCTGGCTAATTTTTGTATTTTTAGTAGAGATGGGTTTTCACCATCTTGGCCAGGCTGGTCTTGAACTCCTGACCTCATGATCTACCCTCCTCGGCCTCCCAAAGTGCTGGATTACAGGCATGAGCCACCGTGCCCAGCCGGGAAGCTAAATTTTTAACCGGAGTTGCAAGTGACTCTTATCAGTAAAGTTTAGGAAACTCTCTTCCAGAAGGTGAGAAGGAGAGATAGCTCTATGCTGGGGTGGCCTTTTTGTGTCGAATATATTGGAGATGAGTATTGTGGGGTCAGAGGCTGTCAGAAGGGCAAATTATTACCAAACTTCATTCTTTCTGTTCCCCTGAAGTGAGCTACATGAAGCCCTGCAAAATCGCTCAGGAGCTGCGTAAAATGTCTCTCCTGGCATCCTCATTTGCCCTTGCCGTTGCTTTCAGACATGCAGTTTTTACAGTGTCTCAGTCCTTGTCTTCACTTCCTGGTCCCCCGAGTCTGAGTGTGATGCTAAAGCGAGAATGTCCTTGAATGTTCTTGATCTCGATGTGTCGGCCACTCTCGGAAGCCTTCTGTCTGCTCCCCACCCTTCCGGGCAATTCCACGTGTGTGACCCTCTCTCTCTCTCTTTCTTTTTTCTTTCCTTTTTTTTCCCCCTTAACTCCCCTCATACTCCATGTCTCTGTTTTCCCCCTGGGCAATGAGTGCAGAAAGAGTTTTTACGCACGCAGTGGTTTCCCACTGCTCTAAAGTCCAAACCTCTAAATGAGGCCCTGTTCTGCCTACTTGATTCAGACAGAGCCTTCTTTACAAGCAACAAAGATGGACTCAGTGAAAAGGGAGATTATTGGAAGGGTTCTCGGGGATCTATAGAAGAAACTAGAAGCAGGAGGACCAGACTTAGGAACGGGTAATCAACAGGGGAGCTGATCATCGAAGATTGCAGCAGGGGTCACAACAGAAGCATGAGCTGGCTGCTGAGGCCTCCGCATTATTTGGCCACTCTTTCAGGATACAAACCCCAGAATTAATTGACAACTGGATAAGCCCAATTCATGTGCCAGCTTCCTGTTGACCAAGGACAGGGCGGGAAGAGCTGCGCTTGGTTTTTCTTTTTAAGTGATAGACTGGAGCGTTTCACCAAGACTTCACTAAGAAGAGTTTCTCAAAAGGGAGAAAGTGGTGAGATAATAGAAAAAGAAGCTTGGTTGTCAAAGAACTTAAAATTGATGTGTCTTCTATGACAATGCTCCAGCCTTAAAAAAATGGAAGTGTTTGGAGAAAAATATAAATTACACAAAACTCAAAGGCTTTTTAAAAATTAATGTATTAGTCTGTTCTCATGCTGCTAAGAAAGACATATCTGAGACTGGGTAATTTATAAAGGAAAGAGGCTCAGTGGACTCACAGTTCTACATGGCTGGGGAAGCCTCACAATCACGTCAGAAGGCAAAGGAGAAGCAGAGTCATGTCTTACGTGGCAGCAGGTAAGAGAAGTGCTGAACAAAATGGGACAAAGCCCCTTATAAAACCATCAGATATCCTGAGACTTGTTCACTACCACGAAAACACTATGGGAGAAACCACTCCATGATTCAATTATCTCCACTTAGCCATGCCCTGCGTGGGGATTATTACAATTCAAGGTGAGATTTGGGTAGGGACACAGCCAAACCATATCAATGAATGCACCAAGTGGCCTTGTCTTCCTCTCTTTCCCTCTTTTTGCTCCCCCTCCTCCCATTTCCTCTTTTTCTCTTCTCTCTCTTTGCCTCTTTTTCTCCTTTCTCCCTGTCATTTTACTGGCAGTTATGTTCTTCTGTTCAGTATTAGGAAAGTTCCAGATGAACTTGGAGGAGGAAGTGGAAAAGTAAGACTCTAAGTTGTGAGAAAGGAAATTGGGATGAGGTGTGTCCATGGGAGTTAACGAATTAAAACCACTAAGAGTTTATCATCTTGCTTTAGCGTTGATTTGGGGTTCTTCTTTCCAATCCACAGCACACAGAGATGTTCATTTAAAATAGGTCCTTAGAGTTTGAGGGTCCTTCTAACATTTAACTCAGAGATTTCCCTGCAGATATTCCTCTGTAAGAAAATAATCTAGAAAAATTGGGGAAAAAGTTTATACAGAAAAATGCTCATTTCAGCTTTATTTATAACAGCCTTCAAATTGGAAACAACCTAAATGGGATGAGTATCTCCATGGTATGCTCACTTTATGGTATATTATGCTTACAAAGCATTTAAAACTTGGAAAATGTTTATTAAAAAGTGAAGTGAAAAAGCCAGTGCATAAAATGCTGCATAAAATATAATCACAATTACATAGAATAAGCTAAAAGAATAAAAACTTATCAAGTGAGAAAACACAGAAGTTAGACACAGCACTGTTACAGGGATTGCTTTTAGATAATAGGAGTCTTGGTGATTGACTTAAAAATATTTTTGTTTGTCGCCTTTTGCATGTCTTTGATCTTCAAAAATGCATTGAGCACACATTGAGCACACTAAAACAAGATGCATGCATTTCTTTACACCAGAATAAAATCAACTTTTGTTAACAACCAAAGGAGAAAATGTCCTTGCTTAAACAATGGACCCACGGCTTCCAGTTTTCACGGAATCTTCTGAGATAGCTGCTCTCTTGCTGAGTTCACCATAGTGCTCGTGTAATCAAATCCAGTAGGCATACTGTGCCCTCATTTTCCTCAACCCTCCAGCAGTATTTAATGTGGTTAATCCGTCTTTCTTGACACGCTATCATTTTTTCCTGGAAACCCGCCTGCTTCTCTTGCCACCCTTGACCCTTGCCTCCTTCTCAGTTCTCCTTGTTCATTTCTTCCTTTTGTACCCAAACTCTAAATGTTACACTCCCCTCCTAGTTACACTTGCTTTTGTCACCAAAGGCATCCCATCCACTCCTTCTATATTCAGACACCTTCTTGGTTTATGAATCTGCCCTTCTCTCCCTTGTGATCACTTATCTAGCTGCTTCCTTGACATCCTTGTTTGGATGTCCCCAAAATATTTCAAACTTACATCCAAAATGAAACTCTTCAAGGTAAGTCTATGACATAGAGACTGAATGAAGGTCCATGTGTCAAGTGATATAGTAAACATTGGTGTAATATAATTTTCTTATTTTTTCAATTTAAAAATGTGTGAAAGTAGAAGCTCTAATATTTTCTTCCTGAATCTCAATGGATCGTATTGCTTACTCCTTAAAATACAAATTACCTTCTTAAAGACCAGTGTTTGCATTGCCAAAATCATAGATGATTCTCTTCTCTGGAATCTTCAGATTCTCTGTCTTTTAAAATTAGAAGTGCAACAAAAATTCCAGGTTCTGATGAGACTTGCAAAATAAAAGGATTTTTCTACTGTCACTTTATTTTATATGTTATGCAATGTTAAGCGACATTTATATAGTACTCAAATTATTTCCAATCCCCTGTATATGATGTTTTTAAGTAAGGTCCTACGCCATTTGAACACCACTCATCCACTCCCACACCAATGTTTACAGGAGAAGGACACAGAAAGTTTTGACCATAACCAGCGAATTTTTTTTTTTAACCAATTAAACATGACAACATAATTTTTGGAGAGGTTTTTGTTACAGGGACTTTGTGACATACCTATTCAAGTTCTAGCTGTTTGCACTGTGTCTTAAAGGAGCTGCAACTATCTTGATGTATTTATTAATTACATGTTTCTATTTCTTCCAAAAATAAAGGTAAACATAATTACATGCTGAGTGTTGTTCAGCTTTGGGGTTCTAAAAAGGTAATTTGAACCAGATTCCTTTAGTCTCTTGTTACTTAAAATGTGATGCATCAACTAGCAACATTGGCATCACCTGGGGCTGTATTAGAACTCACATTCTCAGGCTCCACCCAGATCTGATGAATCACAACCCACATTTTGAACAAGATCCCTATGTGACTTGTTTGCACACTAAACTCTGAGAAGCTGTGATCTAGAACTGTAAGCCTTTCGACTTCTTAAAATCTAGCTTCATATTGCTATCATTCACTCAAATTCTATGTATTATGATTCTGACTCTGTAGCTTTTACTTGATAAAACATCAGATTGAGCGCAGTGGCTCAATCCTGTAATCCCGGCACTTTGGGAGTCCAAGGTGGGCGGATCACGAGGTCAAGAGATCAAGGCCATCCTGGCCAAGATGGTGAAATCCCGTCTCTACTAAAAATACAAAAATTAGCTGGGCATGGTGGCACATGCGTGTATTCTCAGCTACTCGGGAGGCTGAGGCAGGAGAATCACATGAACCCGGGAGGCGGAGGTTGCAGTGAACCGAGATCACACCACTGCACTTCAGCCTGGCGACAGAGCGAGGCTCCATCCCCCACCCCCCAAAAAATCATAAGTTTAGAAATTATTTAACAAATTCAGCAGAAAGAAAAATTATTTAAAATTAGAAAAATGGTTTAAACAGATATTTCACTGAAGAAAACATGATGGCAAAAGCATGTGGAAAGAGGTACATCATTAGTCATTAGGTGAATGCAAATTAAAACAACAATAAGATGACACTACACAAGTATTAGAATTGCAATAATAATAATAATAACCACAACAATAATACTTAACAATATTAAGAGTTGATGAGGTTGTAGACTCTCTACTGGTCTAGTACTCTCATACATTGCAAATGGAATTGCAAAATTGTATAGTCACTTTGAAAAACAGTTTGGCAGTTTCTTTTGCTTAAACTTTTATTTTAGGTTCAGGATTACATGGGTAGGTTTATTGTATAGATAGACTCACCTCATGGGAGTTTCTTGTGCAGATTATTTCATCACCCAGGTACTAAGCCTAGTACACAGTAGTCATTTTATCTGATCCTCTCCCTCCTCCTACCCTCCACCCTCAAGTAGAACCCAGTGTCTGTTGTTCCCCTCTTTGTGTCCATGTGTTCTCATCATTTAACTCCCACTTAGAAGTGAGAACATATCGCATTTGGCTCTCTATTCCTGCATTTGTTTGCTAAAGATAATAGCCTCTAGCTCCATCCGTGTTCCTGCAAAGGACATGATCTCATTCTTTCTTTATGACTTTCTTTATGACTGCATAGTATTCCATGGTGCGTGTATATATATATATATCACATATATATCACATTTTTTAATCCAGTCTACCATTGATGAGTATGTAGGTTGATTCCATGTTGCTATTGTGAATAGTGCTGCAATGAACATATGTGTGTTCTTTTTAATAAAATGATTTATATTCCTTTGGGTATATACCCAGTAATGGGATTGCTGGGTGGAATGTTACTTCTGTTTTTAGCTCTTTGAGGAATTATCACACTGCTTTCCACAATGGTTGAGAAAATTTATACTCCCACCAACTGTGTATATGTGTTTGCTTTTCTGCATAACCTTGCCAGCATCTGTTATTTTTTGACCTTTTTTTTTGAGACAGAGTCTTACTCTGTCACCCAGGCTAGAGTACAGTGGCATGATCTTGGCTCACTGTAAGCTCTGCCTCCTGTGTTCAAGTGATTCTCCTGCCTCAGCCTCCCAAGTAGCTAATTTTTGTATTTTTAGTAGAGATGGGTTTCACCACCTTGGCCGGGCTGGTCTCGAACTCCTGACCTCAGATGATCCATCCAGCTCGGCCTCCCAAAGTGCTGGGATTATAGGCATAAGCCACCGTGCTCAACACTTGACTTTTTAATAATGTAGTTTGGCAATTTCTTATAAATGTAAACTCATACTCATCATATGATTCAACAATCCTACTCACAGGTATTTATTCAAGTGAAGTGAATTTATGTCATAGAAAAGCTCGTAAATGTTTAGAGCAGTTTCATCGGTAGTCACCAAAACCTGAAAATACCCCAAATGTTCTTTAACTAATGCATGGACAAATACTGGTATATCCATATAATACAATGCTATAGGACTATAAAAAAGAACAAATTACAGAGATATATAAAAACATGGATGAATCCACAATACATTATCCATTATACTAAATGAATACAGCTACACATTTGTATGACATTCTGGAAAAGATAACGCTATGGGGATGAAGAGCTGACAGTGGTTGCCAGAGGTTCAGGATAGGTGGAGGTGGAGTATTTGAATATAAAGAAATAGTCTTTGTTGTGTATCACTGGAGTTACACTGTAGTCTGATTGGGAAAGTAGCTACATGACTCTAGCCATTTGCCAAATCTCATAAAACTGTATATCAGTCTGGGTGCAGTGGCTCATGCCTGTAATCCCAGCACTTTGGGAGACTGACGTGGGAGGATCCCTTAAACCCAGTTGGAAATCATCTTATGCAACATAACAAGACCTCATAGCTACTAAAATACAAACAAACAAACAAACAAAAAATTAGCCAGGCATGGCTAATTATGATTGGCATATGCCTGTAGTCCAAGCTACATGAGAGGCTAAGTCAAGAGAATCACTTGAACCCAGGAGTGTGAGACTACATTGAGCCATGATTGTGCCACTGCACTCCAGCTTGAGCAACAGAGCAAGCTTCTATTTCAAACAAATGAACAAAAACTGTGTATCAGAAGAAGGAGGCTGGGCACGGTGGCTCACGCCTGTAATCCCAGCACTTAGAGAGGCTGAGGATGGAGGATTGCTAGAGCATAGGAGTTCAAGACCAGCCTGGGCAACATGGGGAAATGCTGTCTCTACAAAAAAATGCAAAATTAGCCAGGCATAAAGGCATGCACCTGTTAGTCCCAGCTACTGGGGTGGGAGAATTGGTTGAGCCCAGGAAGTGGAGGTTGCAGTGAGTTGAGAACACGCCATTGTATTCCAGCCCCAGTGACAAAGTAAGACCCTGCCTCAAGAAGAAGAAGGAAGAAGAAAGACAAAAAGAAAGAGAAGGAGGAGGAGGAGGAGAAGGAGAAAGAAGGAGAAGAAGGAGAAGGAGAAGAAGAAGAAGAAGAAGAAGAAGAAGAAGAAGAAGAAGAAGAAGAAGAAGAAGAAGAAGAAGGGAAGAAGAAGAAGAAGAAGGAGAAGAAGAGGAAGAAGAAGAAGAAGAGAAGAAGAAGAAAAGGAGGAGGACACTTTATTGCATGTAAATTAAAAGTAAATTTACAGGAATTATTTATTATTTGCAGTGCATGCTCTTTATTCTTGAGCCAAAGAGACATAGCTTAACTAAAGCTAACTATGATCAGTGATGTCACATAATGGCAATTGTGACAGTGAGTTTGTGGCCCTTTATCCCTTATCACCCTTCCAATCACATCGCTGTGATTGAGTGCAGACTGCTTCCTTTGTTTGTTTTCATGCTCCCCCTTTGATTACTCTCTCTTTTCTGAGCTGTATTCTCCTTCCCTGTAAGTAAAGTACGACCTGTAAAACACAAGAGGAAATGGGAGCATAAAAATTTGCATAATGTAATGAAACTGCTGTATCATGAGCTTTCTTTCTTTGGTTATGTTCGAATGAAAACAAAGGTATACCTCTGAATCGGAGTTTGGAGTGTTAGCCCTGGAAACTGGAATGAATAAAATAGGCCAGTAAGGCTTGCGTGCCTTACAACTTTAATGCAGCCATGTGCTGTACTGTTTATGGGTAAAGCACCTGGCATCACAGTCCTTCCTGGACTGGCCTTTATCTCAGGTAAGTGAGGCCTTTCCTGTTGAATCTCTTCCAGGCAGGTGTGCAGGGAAAGATGATAGCCTGGCCCATGGCTGAATGATTACTTCTCATCCATGGAATTCATTTTCATATCTGGAATGCTGCATAATCTGGTGAATAAAGCACTAAACTGGAAATCCAGGATATACAGTTTGTGAGGACTTGCTGACTGCACTTATGTGATCATCTTAACAGCTTAATGCTTGAATTAACTCAATCAGTATCATGGTTGGTAATTTGTAGTAAAAATTCTGACAACTTATACATGGTTTAAATTTATAAAGTGCTTTTATGCAGTTTAACTCTTTTAATCTTCAGGTTCAGATGGGAAAAAAAAATTGGGGCTGCGCGCTGTGGCTCATGCCTGTAATAACAGCACTTTGGGAGGCCGAGGCGGGCAGATCATGAGGTCAGGAGATCAAGACCATCCTGGCTAACACGGTGAAACCCCGTCTCTACTAAAAAATACATAAAAATTAGCCGGGCGTGGTGGCGGGCGCCTGTAATCCCAGCTACTGAGGAGGAGGCTGAGGCAGGAGAATGGAGTGAACCCAGGAGGCGGAGCTTGCAGTGAGCCGAGATCGCGCCACTGCACTCCAGCCTGGGCGACAGAGCAAGACTCCGTCTCAAGAAAAAGAAAAAAAAAAAAAAAAACAACAAAAAAAACCTGGCTGAATGAGGTTCGGTGTCATGTTTCTTATAGGATAGTTACGTCGTCTTTCCCTTCATATTCATCCTGTGAAGACACTTTAAGTAACACAGCAGATTTGATCTTGGACCTTTCATGACCCTGAATCATAACATTCAAGACCTGACTTTCTCTTTTTCTTACTTAGTATTTTTTTTTTAAGATTATAGATGAAGGTAAAGGTCACTCAGCCTGTTAATTGCATCTTTAGAAAATTGGGCCATAAGCTTGTGAAATATGACTCCATGGAATTGGAATGTGTTGATGCTCACGACATGTATATAAGGGGATGAATTGTTTCATAGATATAGTGACAGGTGAGGGAGAATAAATAGAGGCTGTTTATGAGGTGCTTTGAATTCTTTAGGGTCAATAAAGTGATTACAAAGTCACATTGGTCAATGAGACATAAAAAGAAAGTAAAAATAAAATGGGGCACAATTACAGTTTGGGTGATGGGTTAAAGTCTAAGTTAGGCATATTTTAGTGGAAAAAATTAAAATGCTTGATTAATCTTAAAGCTAAATTAGAAATGTAGTTGTGAACTTCATGACCTTGAATATAAGTCATTTTTTTTTCAGTTATTTCTGTCTTTCTGTCCCCCAGTACTTATGGACAGTGAGTGGCCACATCTTATGCCCTAATACGAATTAGTTCTTGAACTACAGAGAACAAAGGCTCCTTGGAGATCAATTGATTCCATGCCTTGGGTGCCTCGGGATGAAGCAAAATTTGGATAGATTATGAGCTGGAGTGGCTGCCAGAAAACAAGGAAATTGTAGCAATGTGTAGAGTTGTACCAAAAGGACAAAGGAGATAGCTTAACAAGACCCCCACTAGCCAAGATGCAACAATTTGAGCATCCAAAGGGAGAAACTATAACTAGTTGGGATGAATTGAGTCTATAAGAAAGCCATGACATTCAAAGAGGAAATAATTTAATTACAGTGTATGAGATGATAATTATACTACAAAAAAGGGTGAAAGCAATTTTTCAATTAACTAAAATTAGTAGGGGACTATTGATGTATTTGTTTTGTTTTTCCAAGTACATGTTTATAGGTATTAATATGTTGGTTTTTTGTTCTGTTTTACTTTGTTTTTTACTTACCTCTGTGTGTAGTATGGAAGGAGATGCAAAAAGTGTCTGAAAGGAGGGAGGAATTGCACTAAGAACAGCTAGGGACCATCACCTCAAGGAACCGTAGACAAGAACCAGGTGGATAGAGTGTAAATGGGTTTGCTACATGATGGACTGGTCAAAATTTAGAATGAAGACTGACAGATCGACTCAGCCTTGTATCTCCTAGCAAATAAAACCTATGGAAGACTCAAACAACTTTACAGAGATACAAAAGTTACACAATGACTTAAGTTATACATTGAGGTTAAACATCGTGTATTAGTTAGCTAGGGTTGCTGTAACAAAATACTGCACACTGGGCAGTTTCAAAAACTGAAATTCACTTTCTCCACTTCTGGAGGCTGAAAATCTGAGATCAAAGTGTCAGCATGGTTGGTTCCTTCTGGGGGCTACGAGGAAGGATGTGTTTCAGGCTTCTTTCCTTGGCTTGTAGGTTGCCTTGGCCTCCCTCTGTCTTCACACAGTTTTCCCTCTGTACATGTCTGTGTTCAGATTTTCTCTTCTTATAAAGACACTAGTCATTACATTAGAGCCCACCTTAATGATATTATACCATTTAATTACGTCTTTAAAGATTCTATCTCAAATTATGGTTACATTCTAAAGTACTGGGGATTATAACTTCAAATACAGATTTTGGGAGGACACCAGTCAGCCCATAACATACCTCATGACACCCATGTAGTGAAGAAAGAGAAAGAGAGAGAGAGAGGTTGGACAAAAAAGCATGGCTATGAACATTCCCATTGGCACAGCCTGTCAATCTTCATCATAAGAGAAACCTAGGTAATAAATACCTGGTAGCGTTCAACTCACTGTGGAAGTCTCAGCTGGGTTCTTTGGTCTGATTAATAGTTGATTGATAATGCAACCATTTCAATTGATTTGCAGTAGTTTTTGGATGTTTGAGAGGTCATTGTAATCTGGAAAATGCATTAAATGTATTAACTGACATAAATAATGAAGAAATTGATTAAGCCTATAAGATCCACAGTTTTCTGATAGGTTGTGTACAGATATAAAGATACATTTTATAATTATTGAGATAATTTGCAACTATCTTATCTCTTTTCAATCGCCTAAGAAAATGTAGCTCTCTTAGTCTGTTCAGGCTGCTAGGACAAAAAGACCATGAACAGAGAGGCTTATAAACGACAAACATTTATTTCTCATCATGTTTTCCCATGTCCTTCCCTTTACTCTTCTTGATATTTCTTCATGCAACACTATGCCCACATTTTCTCAGAGATGAGCAAAGCATAGGTCTAACCACAAAGAAGAACTTTATAATAAAGCCATGGCATGTCCCTGGCTCCAGAGCTCACTGTTGATGGGAAAATTGATTCAATAAATATAATTCATTAAAAGAGGCTCATGACTTGAGGTATTACTAGAGTAATTCAGTGGAATTTGCCTTTGATAATAGGACTGTATGGGAGGCCAATTCTTAGCCTGAAGGAATTACCTGAGAACAAGACATGATGTCAAATCTACTTTACTAAACAACTCTATTCATGTGACCTAGAGTGTCCTATATATCAAGTCTGTGACTTAAGTCAAGGCATTACTTTATGGGAAACTTACCCATAGAAATTAATGCCAGTAATCATTATCTTTTGAATATCTTCTGTAGTGCTTTTTGATAATTTGCATACAGCGACACATGGAATATTCCATCCAACTCATAGTATACATATTATTTTCCCAAAGATAAAATCAGAAATTTAGTAATACTAATCAAAGCTCTAAAAGAGGGACAGAGCAGGATAGCCAAATAGAAGCCTGCACTGATTGTCTCCACTGCAGAAACACCAAATTTGACAAATATCTACACAAGAAAATAACCTTCATAAGAACCAAAAATCAGATACTAGCTCAGCCACAGTGGGGTAGAGCACCAAGCAGCCTCTTGAGATCCCCACTTCAAGGCCTGGATGATGGAAGTCATTTCTGGACCTGCCCTGTTCCAGAAGGGAGCCCACTGTCCTGAATGGTGAGTCCCAGGACTAGCAGCCTTTACCACAAGCTGAAGAGTCCTTGGGCCTGAAGTGAACACCAGAGGTAGCCCGACGGTAATCCTTGTGCACCTGTGATGGTGGTGGCCATGGGGAAAGCTCCTCTGCCTGTGGAAAGGAGAGAGAAGAATGGGAAACTCTTTGTCTCGTGGTTTCAGTTCCAGCTTAGTCATAGTAGCATAGGGCACCAGGTAGATTTCTAAGGTTTTTTACTCCAGTCCTTGGCTCCCGGATGGCATCTCTTGACCCACTTGGGACCTGGGGTAACTCACTGCCCTAAAGGGAAGGACACAGGCATGGCTGGCCTCACCACCTGCTGATTGTAGAGCCCTAGGGCCTGGAGTGAACATAGGCTGTAGTCAGGGAGTGGTTACAGCAGGTCTTGGGCAAGATCCAGTGCTGTGCTGGCTTCAGGTCTGACTCGGCACAATTCAAGTGGTGGTGGCCACAGGGGGACTTGTGTCACCCCACCCCCAACTCCAGCACGGGGAGAGAGACTCTGTTTAGGAGAAAGTAAGGGAAGAGAAGAAGAGTATCTGTCTTGTCATCCAGAGAATTCTTCCAGATGTTTTCCAAGACCACCAAGACAGTACCTCTACAATTCTGTAAGAAACACTGCATTACTGGGCTTGGGGTACCCTCTAATACAGTTATGGTTTAGATCACAACACCCAAGTCCCTTTGAATACCTGAAAAGCCTTCCCAAGAAAGATGGGTACAAACAAGCCCAGACTTCAAAGACTACAATAAATATTGAACTCTTCCTTGCAGACATGGACAAACATCTGAAAGTATCAAGGCTATCCAGGAAAACGTGAGCTTACCAAACACATAAAAGAATACACCAGGAACCAATCCTGGAGAAACAGAGATATGCAACCTTTCAGAGAGAGAATTCAAAATAGCTGTTTTGAGGGAACTCAAAAGGAATTCAGTATAACAGGGAGAAAGAATTCCAGAATCTCTCAGATAAATTTAACTAAGATATTGAGATAATAAATAAGAATCAAGTGGAAATTCTGGAGTTGAAAAATGCAATTGACATACTGAAGAATGTATCAGAGTCTCTTAGTAGCAGAATTGATCAAGCAGAAGAAAGAATTAGTGAACTTGAAAACAGGCCATTTGAAAATACAGAGTCAAAGGAGACAAAAGAAAAAAAGAATAAAAACCGGTGGCCTACAAGATCTACACAATAGCCCCAAAAGGGCAAATCTAAGAGATTTTTTGCCCTTAAAGAGCAGGTAGAGGAAGAGATAGAGGAGAAAGTTTATTCATTTGCATAATAACAGAGAACTTCCGTTTAGGAATATCAATATTCAAGTACAAGAAGGTTATATAAAACCAAAGAAGACTACCTCAAAACATTTAATAATCAAACTCCCAAAGGTCAAGATTTTTTTTTTAAAAAAAGGATCTTAAAAGCAGCAAGGGAAAAGACACAAATAAAATATAATGGAGCTTCCATACATCTGGCAGTACTTTCACCACTGTTGCTCAACATAGTACTGAAAATCCTAGCTAGAGCAATCAAAGAAGAGAAAGAAGTAAAGGGCATTCAAATTGAATAGAAAGAAGTCAAATTATTCTGGTTTTCAGATGACATGATCTCATATTTGAAAAAACCTAAAGACTCCACCAAAAAACTATTAAAACTGATAAATTTAGTACAGTTGCAGGATACCAAATCAACAGACAAAAATCAGTGGCATTTCAATATTCCAACAGCAAACAATCTGAAAAATAAATCAAGAAAATAATTTCATTTACAATAGGTACAAATAAAATTAAATACTTAGGAATTAGCTTAACCAAAGAAGTGGAAAATCTTTACAATGAAAACTATAAAATATTGATGCAAGAAATTAAAGAGGACACAAAAATTTCCAAGATATCCTAATTTCATGGATTGGTAAAATGTTCATACTACCAAAGCAATCTACTGATTTAATGCAATCCCTATAAAAATACCAATGACATTCTTCACAGAAATAGAGACAAAATCCTAAAATTTATTTGGAACCATCAAAGACCCAGAATAGCCAAAGCTATCCTGAGCCAAAAGGACAAAATTGGAGGAATCATATTACCTGACTTCAAATTATGCTACAGAGCTATAGTAACCACAACAGCATGATATTGACATAAAAACAGATACATAGACCAGTGAAAAAGAATCGACAATCCACAAACAAATCCATACATCTACAGTGAACTCATTTTTGACAAAGGTGCTAAGAACATACACTGGGAAAAGGACAGTCTCTTCAATATGTGGTGCTGGGAAAACTGGATACCCATATGCAGAAGAATGAATCTAAACTCTTGTATCTTGCTATATACAAAATTCTAACCAAAATGGATTAAATACCTAAAGCTAAGACCTCAACTATGAAACTACTCAAAGAAATCATTGGGAAATCTCTCCAGGATATTGGATTGGGCAAAGATTGCTTGAGTAATAACCCAAAAGCACAGGCAACCAAAGCAAAAATGGACATATGGAGTCACATCAAGTTAAAAAGCTTCTGCACAGCAAAGGAAACAAAGTCAAGAGACAACCCACAGAATGGGAGAAAATATTTGGAAACTATCCATCTGACAATGGATTAATAACCAGAATACATAAGGGGCTCAAACAACTCTATAGGAAAAAAAACTAACAACCCGATTTAAAAATAGGCAAAATATTTGGATAGACATTTCTCAAAAGAAGACATACAAATGGCAAACAGACAAATGAAAAGGTGCTCAACACCATTGATCATGAGAGAAATGGAAATCAAAATTAGAATGAGATACCATCTCACCCCAGTTAGAATGGGTTTTATCCAAGTGACAGGCAAAAACAAATGGTAGAAGGGATGTGAAGAACAAAGAACCTTCATACACTGTGAATGTAAATTAGTACAACCACTATGGAGAACAGTTTGGAGATTCCTCAAAAAACTAAAAATAAAGCTACTATATGATACAGCATCCCCATGCTAGGTATATACCCAAAAGAAAGGAAATCAGTCTCTCAAAGAGATACCTTCACTCTTATGTTTATTGCAGCACCATTTACGATAGCCAAGATTGTCCATCAATAGATAAATGGGTAAAGAAAATATGATACTTATACACAACAGAGTACTATTCAGCCATAAAAAAAGAATGAGAATCTGTCATTTGCAGTGACATGGATAGAACTGGAGGTCATTATGTTAAGTGAAATAAGCCAGGCACAGAAAGACAATTTTCACGTGTTCTCACTTATTTGTGGGAGCTTAAAATTAAAATAATTGAACTCATGAAGATAGAGGGTAGAAGGATGGTTGCTAGAGGCTGGGAAGGGCAGTGAAGGGATATGGGGGAAGTTGGGATGGCTAATGGGTAAAATAATAGAAAAAATGAATAAGACTTATTATTTGAGAGCACAACAGGGAGACTATGACCAATAATAATTTAAATGTACATTTTAAAATAACTAAAAGAGTATAATTAGATTGTTCATAACACAAAGGATAAATTCTTGAGGTGATGGATACCCCATTTACCCTGATGTAATTATTCTGCATTGCCTGTCTGTACCAAAATATCTCATGTACCCCATAAATATATACTTCTACTATGTACCCACAACAATTAAAAATATAAAATTAATATAAATAAAAACTATAAATAAATAAAATACTAATCATTCTTGGGTTTATCTGAAATTCAAATACTTATCTTAAATGCTATAAAGCTAGTGACTTTTAACTGAAATACACTGTTTTTTTACCCCCTGAATCTTAGTTACCCATTTGTGAAATAAATATGACATCTACTCATGAGACCCTTGTCGAGTCCAATTATATTTATATAAAGGGAAGGCACTCCTCTTTCCATGGTGAGACCCGGGATGTCTGGGTGCTTTCAATCTCCCAAGCCACTCCTCCCAAAACCTCAGTTTTCAATATATTTTTGTGTATAATTATATTTACATTTATATGTATCCATCTACGAATGCTGGAGGTGAAGTCAATCCTGTCTCTCAGTCTCAGATGAGGCACATCCATCTGTGGATGGATGGTGGTGTGGCTGCCCTCCTCCGTTTCAACTGGGCATGTGATCAGGGTCTAGGTTTGCTATTGCTCAGGGCAGGGTTGCCAGATTAAGCAAACAAAAACTTAACAAGTCCAGTTAAATTTAAATTTCAAGTAAACAAAAATTTTCTGTTGCGTGTTTTATAAAATATTTTGGGCATATTCATAAAAAATTGTTGTTTATCTCAAATTCATATATAACTGGACTTCCTGTTTTTCCTTCTTTTTTTTTTTTTTTCTGGCAACCCTAATCATAAGCCTGGGGACTAGAATCAGCAGCTCTTACTAGAGCCAGAACCTTCCTAGGCAAGAAATTGACAAGTCAGCAATTAACAGGACAGTTGACAGAATTTGGGACAGGCATTGAGGGCCAGTCTCAAAGGTAAAGAAAAGAAGAAGACAGGCACAAAGAATGTAACTATACATCCCAAGCCCCATAGAGGACTTGGGAGGATTCTCTCCTCCCATTTGATTTTCCTCTTTCATTTAGGGAAACAAGCAAACTATTCTGTTTTTCTGTTTACCTCAAATTTGGGAACTTTCTAGATTGACATTAATGCAATATTTTTTTCTGTTGTAGGGCCACATGCATTCATAATACACTAAAATGTGAAAAAAGGGTATCTTTGTTTTCTCTATTTCTTATCTAGTATTTCTCAGAAGCCTCCACTTCATTGGGTGATGGAGAAAAATCTAAATTTAGTCCAGTCTGGCAAACAGTTCTATCTAATAATGCAAGTGATCTTTTGGGGATAATGCAGCTTTATAGACTTAAATGTTTTTCAGATGCTTTCTCTAATATTCCTATTTCTCAGGTAACCTGGTACCATCTTGAAGAGAACTCCAAAACCGTAGAGTTTATCACCTCAGAGTCCTGCCTGGAACAAAAATCACTGATGAACTTTGAGTTCTATTACAGACCCTGTGTAGTGAGGTGAGTATTAAAGCCAGGCCTTGATAAAAGGATAAATAACTTCTTGAGTTTCTGTAGATTCAGCAGGGATCAGAAGCCCAGCAGAGCTGACTTTCCGTATGACTGAGGTGGAGAGAATTCAAGCTATGACACAGTGAAGGCTGAAATGTGCTTCTTCTGGCCTCAACAACATTTAGAAAAGAGCTCAGTGACAGAAAAAGATATGGGAATTGAGATAATGGGGTCCTCGTTTCTCCTCAGCTTGGGATTTGGACTGGGAAACAAGGAAGTTTTAAAAAGATTCAGGAAGGTTTGGGGAACTCAGAACGTGGGGAAATGGATGACATCCTTCTCCAGGCCACCAGTCCCCAGGAGAAGCACTCCACAAGGACACCTTCAGCATGGGCAGAGGTGAGGTAGAACTATCTGTGGAGGGAGGGGGCTGGACAGTGGGCTTGAGGCAGTATGAGCAGCTCCACAGACCTGGGAGAGTGTTACAGGGATCCAGAAGTCCCCCATTGAAATGAGGGAAGGATGGAACATTTCTGTCGGGCTGGTGGTCCAGCAGAGTCTGACAGTCATGACGTAAAAGAGCCTGCAGTGTGGGGAACCGTGGTGTCTCTGCAGAAAAGCTACAACCTTGTACTCCAGACATGGGCATTCTCATGTTGACCCTGGAAAGGTCTTAAGCCCAGTGAGCACATCAGACTGATCATCGGTTGAAACCGTGCAGACTCAGATTGACAATGCATGGGTCTATATGCACCCCTTGCTTGCTTTCTTCAAACACCTCTTGCCTGAGTGTCTGTGCATTTGTTCTTCCTTCTCTCAAGGATACCCTTTCTTTTCCTCTTCACTCCTGTGCTTTCTTAGCCTTGAGATCATTATTCCAGTTGCCTCTTCCCAGAAGACCTCCAGGACCACCACCTGCATTATATTAAGGGATTTCCCTTCTTAATTTTTCTGCTTGTCTATTTCCCATCATCCACCACGTAAGTTCCATGATGTCAGGGCCCTTTCTGTTTGGTTAATTTCTGCATCTTATTATCGACTGCATGTTTGTGTACCCCTCAAATTAAATGCTGAATCCCTGAACATCAATGGAAAAGTATTTGTAAGTGGGGCCTTCGGAAGGTAATTAGATCACAAGGGTGGAGCTCTCATGATGAGATTAGTGACGTTATAAGAATAGACAGGAAAGAGCCTCTCTCTCTCTCTCTCTCTCTCTCTCTCTCTCTCGGATGCAATGAGGAGACTGCCATCTGTAAACCAGAGGGCTCTCACCAAACTCTACCATGCAGCCTTCTGATATTGATCTTCTAGACTACAGAAGGGTGAGAAATAAATTTCTGTTGTTTAAGCTACCCAGTTAATGGTATTGTTATTATAGCAGCCAAACTGACTAAGATATATCTTCAGTGCCTAGTACCTAATGGGAATTCAATCAATATTTGCTAAAAACTGAAAGTTATTCAATTATTCTCCTCCCATATCTACTATCATTATTATATTGTCCCATCATGGACTGGGCCCCTACTACATGTTGGCACCATACTCAACCATTTATTTAAATTATTTCTTATCGTAGAAATGCCCTGTTACATTGTGCAAGTAGACAAACTCGGGCTCTGGTGAGATAATGTTGCCTGAAGTTTTCAGATTAAATGTTAGTAAGTAGGAGAGCTAAGAATAGACTCAGATACTTCAAATTTTAAGGTTTTCTATTATGTTACCATGTCTTTCAAATAACAAAAATAATGTTTTCATTTTACAAAGTGCTTTGGTTTATTTTGGAAAATGTGAGGTGAATTGGAAAGAGCACTATTAACATTTTACTCTGGATAATTCCTTGCTATAGGGTGTTCTTCTGTGCACTGAAAGATGGTTAGCAGTATTCCTGGCCTCTATCCACTAGGTGCCAATAGTATAAATGGTCCCCTTCCCCAGTTGTGACAACCCCAAATCTCCAAACATTGCCAAACATCTCGTGGATGCACAATTAATCCCAATGGAGAACCAGTGGTTTAAACTGACACCATTTGTGTGATCTTGGTCAGTTTATTTGTATCCGTGAGCTCAGTCCCCTCCACCACAGAGAGGAATCACAATATTTGCCACCCGTACTACAAAGCTCATCAAGCCAGTATATCTGGTGAGATGAAAGGGAATCACCATATATTGAGAGCCTGTTGTATGTAAGGCATCACTCCAGCCTGCATGTTTTCTTGTTTAGTCCACCCCACATCCTTGTGAAGTCCTATTATCTCTTTTTTACATATGAAGAAAGTCAGGTTCAGAGAAGTAAAGTAACATGCTTAAAGTCACAGATTCAGCAGGCATGAGAGAGCAGTCACACTTCATAGCAAGTGCAATGGAAAAATGTGACTGGTCAACTCTAACCTACGATACATGTGGAAAATATGATAGGTTGCTACACGTGGTTAATTGGTCAATATTATCACCCTGCAACAAGACAAACAACAACAAAAATTTTATATATATATATATATACATATATTTATATACACATTTTGTTATTTGAAAGATATGATAACATAATAGAAAACCTTAACATTTGAAGTATCCGAGTATATATACATATATATATACACACATATACACACACATATATTTACACATATATGTGTATATATATGTATACACATATATATGCATATATACACACATATATACACATATATACACATATATACATATATATACACACACACACACATATATATATATATATCCTGAGTCAAAAAGGAAGTGGAAATGTTAGTAAATGCCTTGAGTTTGTAAACTTGTATAGACATTCTTTAATTTCCTTTATGACTATGAAAATAAATATTTTACCTTCACAGAAAGGAAACGATCCATAGACATCATTAAAAAACACTGATGAACCCCTTATACAATAGCATTTTATTCTCATGAAAGAACAAGGTTATGTCCAGCACTAGAGTCTATCACATTAGTGTAATTTCATGGAGCATCGATACTTCAAACTTTTGTTTTTAACTGCTTTTATGGTTTTCAGGAATTTTACTGTTGTCATTATTTTTTACATAAATGTACTTTGTGTTCTCTGTAAGGATTAAGCAGGAAAAAAGTATTGTTTTGGAGAGAGAGAGACTGAGGGGTGAAAGGGAAGAAGGAAGGAAGGGACAGACAGTATGAAGACCATTCCAGCTGGGCGCGCCGGCTCACACCATTAATCCCAACATTCTGGGAGGCCGAGGTGGGCAGATCACTTGAGGTCAAGAGTTCGAGGCCAGCCTGGCCAACATGGTGAAACCCCGTCTCTACTAAAAAAATACAAAAATTAGCTGGGTGTGGTAGTGTATGCCTGCAATCCCAGGTACTTGGGAGGCTGAGGCAGGATAATTGCTTAAACCCAGGAGGCAGAGGTTTCAGTGAGCCGGGATCCAGCCTGGGCAACAGAGCAAGACTCCATCTCCAAAAAAAAAAAAAAAAATTCCAAGAAGTCACAGGTGAGGAAGCCATAAGACAACATCCTTTTTCTCTGTGAGAGAAAAAAAAAAGTGACTTTTAAAGTGCACTGAGTCTGCTGAGTACTTGTGAATAATTTCAGAACTGAGACCCTATAGCACTCTTGGAGCTGCTGAGCCAGCTGCCATCCCCGCACCCCACCTCACCAACTCCCTGGCTTCCCCCACTTGTGCCAGCACTGCCAGGTGGCACTCAGAGAGCCTCCAGGGGTGTGTCTCCGGACCTGCCATTACCTACAGGAAGGGGCTTACATAGACCAGGGAAAGCCAACCCTGCCTTTTCAAAGGAACTTCATGCAGCCTGGGGACTTTTTTGACTTCTGTGAATTGTATCATCAGCTTTCCTGGTTCTCAGGGGATAACTATCTATCTTCTACAGAAAAATCTTTCTTTTCTATAGAGAGAACAATGCTTTCTCTCTCTCTCTCTCTCTCTCTCTCTCTCTCTCTCTATATATATATATATATATACGTATATATATATATGTATATATATATATACGTATATATATATATATATATATATACGTATATATATATGTATATATATATATATACGTATATATATATATATGTATATATGTATATATATCTTTATATAGAGAGAGGTAGATACTTATTATATATATAATCCCTCTTTACATGTTCCTCAGTTGGGCCCTGAGCACTACAGCTTGTCTCCTTTATCTGGAAGCTGATTGCATGCCTCCCCTCTCTCCCTGGCACAGCAGCTGGGAGCAACTTGCACATGACCAGGCTTTATCATTTTACATTGGAAATAATATGTTTCCATCCAGGATTTCAGTGAAGCTTCATGTTCAATCTTTTGGGAAGTCAGGACAGGGGGAAATGTTGTTAGTTTTTTCTTAACCAGAAGAACATAGAAGCCAGAAGAGACAGTACTAAGCTATTGTCCCCTAAACCAGTTTCTGGTGGAGAAAAGTGAGGCTCAGGGAGGTAAAAGTGTCTGCCTCAGTTGGTTCATCAGCGCCAGTGGCAGTGCTCTAAGGAGACGCCAGGCCTCCGGTAACCACTCAGTGTCAGAAGTTCAGGCAGCAACAGGTGCATGAGGAAGGAGTGGGGACATTCCAGAAATGCAGCTGTCAGGAATTTTTTAAATTGTTTTCCTTTCCTCTTGGGCCAATCATTGGGTATTTACATTCACTGTGGTCACCTGAGCCAGGTACCGCAATTGCATGTCCTGGAGTAGAAACTGATGTGATACCCAAGACTAACACTTAGTTCCTTCTTTGCCTTTAAGTACTAAGTGGATCTGTGATTTTAGGCAAGTGATTGTCCCTTTCTGGGCCTGTGGTTTTTTTGTTTGTTTTACTTTTTTGTTTTTTAATTATCATGACCAAAAGTCTTTTATTATTAACAACAATTGCACACTTTTTGTTGGGAAAAAAGGTATACAAATTATAAAACAGTTAACAATGTTTCCTTAAGGAGAGAAGTGTTAATGCTCTTCTCTAATTATGCTTTTAATGGTATTTTGTTCTATTTTTTTATTTTCAATAGCTTCTTTATTTCCCTTGGGATATTGAAGCTTTACTTAATCTTATTCTTTCTAAGTAGGGTAGAGAATTCCTGTTTCAAGTCTCCACAAAACAAAATCCCTTTTCTTGACATAGTAGAAAGGACAGGTGCTTGGATGTTTGGTTGGCAGGGGAAAGGAAAGAGTCCAGGTGCTACTGATAGAAATATTCAACCAAATCCTCCAGTTTTCGACTCCACCACTCACTGTGGTGCCTTCCTCAAGACCTTGGAGCTCCAAGTCTCTGAAGAATATTTCAGGCAATGAGAGGAGTCCCTGACTAAGGTAAAACCCTCCTCTCTGTCTCTTTCTGTGTGCGTGTATATGTATGTATATGTATATGTATATGTATATGTATATACATATACATATTCTATTGCTGCTTCCTCCTTAAACTCCACTAGAATAACAATGAAAGGTATTTAACATATTAATCCACCAATGTGAATAGTTGAGAGATGCCAACAATTTGAAAGATGGAAAAGAGGTCTGCAAATGCTCATTGTCGTAGCACAGCTGAGAAAGCTCACTGAGGCGCTGAGAGTGAGATGCGAAGGGACGGCCAGTGCAACACGGGCCTGTGTGTTTTTATGGACAGTATGAA
The DNA here is from genome assembly GCF_000001405.40 of Homo sapiens. Classification (NCBI taxonomy): domain Eukaryota; kingdom Metazoa; phylum Chordata; class Mammalia; order Primates; family Hominidae; genus Homo; species Homo sapiens. The sequence goes on from NC_000004.12 coordinate 11,470,151, forward strand.
GGTATTGAAACTGATCAGTAGTCTTCAAACATTTTCTTTCTTTCTTTTTTTTTTTTTCTTTTAGCAGGGAGATCTATTTCTCAAGTGAAAGGTAACTGAAACTGTCATGCATGAAACAAGCCCAAGCAAGCAGCTGCAGTTGCATGGTCAGCTGAGCCAAGGGCAGAGAGATGAGCCAGATGGGCTTCCCGCCCCTGGAGGGAGCCCCCATCCCCAGAGGGCAGACTCTGACACTCCTTCCCAGGTTCTTGGGGCATCACCAAAAAGAGTGGAAATCCCTACATGTTTTATCTCCAAGGGTCTCTAACCTTCTGTAACACTGCTCTGTGAATGCAATGAGACCATGTAAGAAAAGCACTGAGTAAAACCAAGAGCCTCATGTTTTGTTGCTATGCTGATTTTAATCTTTGAAGGTAAAGGGCCCTTGTATCTGACCTGCAAAGCACTTGGGCTGCTGGCTTTGCAAGGCATTGGCAAGAATAATACCTAAGGTACAGCTTCAAGAAGGTGGCTTTGTTTTCTCCTCTGAGAATAAGGGACTGAAAAAGTGATGAGTAACTCGGAAAAAAATAAAAGAGAACAAGAGAGAACAAAGTAGCTTTTCTTGATAAAGCATTTCCTCTAACCTGAAAGCTAGACACGGAAGCCAGGGAGTGCAGGAATTGCCCTGGCTGTGGCTAGTCACCATGCCGCCACCCCCAAATTCTTCTCACCACCAGATCAGCCAGGGAACGGCTTGCTGAAACCTGCTGGCTCTTTCTTGTGACCTGGAAGGATGACAGAGAGGCTGACATCCTGGAAGACCTCATTGCCCTGGGTTCCTTAGGAATCACAGAAGGGAACTCATTCACTCATTCATTCATTCAAGAATAGTATAGACTCTGCACAGTAGAGAAAACATGTATATCATTTTTCCAGATTCAACAGCTAGTGAATTTCCTGTATGCCAAGTCTTTAGAACTCAGGGATGAATGAAATTTCACAGGCTATTCTGTCTCTGAAAATCAAGTAAGGCAACACTCACATCCCCTCTGGGAAGCCAACCTTAGCCTCGTAGTCTGGATAAAATTTCACTATTATGTGCTACCTCAGCAGTTATGTACTGTAGCATCAGTCACATCCACTTCAGTGTAAGTTCTGGGAGGACAGGACATGTGTCTCTAGTAGCAGAAGAGATTGGCATGACAACAACCTCCAGTAGGTGTTCTACTAATTAAGTTTAGAAGAATTTAACTGTGGAGCCCGAGGCACGGGGATCACTTGAGGTCAGGAGTTCAAGACCAGCCTGGCCAACATGGTGAAACCCCATCTCTACCAAAAATACAAAAATTAGCCAGGCGGGTGGCACACACCTATAGTCCCAGCTATGTGGGAGGCTGAGGCAGGAGAATTGCTTGAATCCAGAAGGTGGAAGTTGCAGTGAGCCGAGATCGCGCCACTGCACTCCAGCCTGGGTGACAGAGTGAGACTCTATCTCAAAAAAAAAAAAAAAAAAAGAATTAACTATATTTAACTTTGCTTACCACACCACACTATGTACCCAATTACTTGTCTGTCTTCCCTCTCTACTCTCCCTATGGGCTGTGAGCCCCTACGAGCCCCTAAAGGCTGGAACCTTACCTCTTCCTGTCTGGCATCACATGCACTGTCTCATTCTATTGTGCGGAGACGTGAGCCAGGTCTGAATTCAAATCTATGACCCTGCCACTTCCTGTGGGGTGCATATCCTGTTTCAGTTTCCTCATATCTCAAAATGAAAATGAAAACACAATTTCCACACCTACAGCTACGAAAAAGCTTAGAAAGAATGCCAGTGATCTGCCTAGGACAATCCATAGCAAAGCATGGGCACACAGTAATTGCTAGCTATTAATAGAAACTTCAATTTGTTTAAACTCCTAAAGCTCATTGAATTGCTGGAAAAAAACAGCCTCTAGAGAACTTCTGTATATGCTTTTTTTCAGATTCGCCATGTTTTAACATTTTGCCACATTTGCTTTTTTATCCTCTATTTTTTCCTATTCTCTCTTTCAAATATTGTTAAATATAGTAATGCACACATACATACATACACAAACATGTATGTGTGTGAATTATGCATTCTAAAATTATTGTTTTCTATACCATTTGAAAGTAGATTAGCTACATCCTGTTCTTTTATTTTTTAATATTTCAATGTGTATTCTCTAAGAATATTCTTTTAAATAATTTAACCACAATGGTATTTCATTTAGGAAATTTAATGTTATAATATTTTCATCTAATCTACATTTTAATATGCCATATTTGTCATTGTCCCAATAATAATAATGTGCAAGTGCTCTTCCCTTCAAAACAGGATCTGGTCCATTTAGCAATTGTGTCTGTTGAATTCCCTTTAATTCAGAACTTTCTTCAGTCTTTCCCACTTTCACGACACTGACATTTTTAATGAACACAGGCCCCTTGTAGCATATTCTTTAATGTGGGTTTGTCTGATGCTTTTTTATGATCAGATTCAGGTTATGCATCCCAGCGGGGATACTCATAAGTGATGGCATTCCCTCTCCATGCACACATCCAGAGGCATGTGACATCCATCTGTTCCTTATTGCTAATGTTAATTTTGATCACACTGTCAAAGTGACATCTCTTTATACTAATACTGTGTAGTTACTACTTTTCCCCTTTTTGACTAATATGCAATCGGTGGAGAGACCTTTTGAGACTATAGGAGTATTCCATTTCTCAAAATTCCTCTGACACTTGGTACCCATGGATGATTCTTGCCCAACCAACCCTTACTAGGATGGTTAGAGCACAGTGAGTTCACAAATCTACCACCTCCACTTTTGTCATAGGTTTTCTACCGTAAGAAGGAACTATCTCTAAAGAGGCAAGACAGTGTGTCTGAGGACATTTTTCCTGTTACTGCAAAGAAATAGGAACTTTGTATCCTGGTAAGAGGTTGCGCTGGAGACAGGGGTGTGTATGTTAAGCCTACAAGAGCCCCGAGAAAGGCTGGGAACAAATCAGACCCTAAAACAAGGGAAGTGAGAGACCTTGAGCATGAAGGAGCAGAAGAAGATGAATTATAGGAGACTCGTTGGTGTCAGGAGAGTCTGGGCACCAGCCACAGGCAAAGGCAGGTCATATGGCACTGGGACCACAATCTAGTTAGTCCACTAGGAGAGTCTCTTCCTTTGAGTATGTTTGCTCTTCCATAAAACTGTGACAATCATATTGATGTCATAGCATTTTCCTGTGTTTAGGCTGATGTTGGATGCAAAGTGCCAAGCACACTGTTTAACATCATGTAAGTGCTCACTAAATGCCCCCCTTCCCTTCTTCCGTTCTCTTGCACTGTTCAGATATCGCCATGGAAACTCTCCTCTCTGCTTTCACTGAGGCCCTTTAAAATTTTTACAATTACTTTAACAGCTCATTTTTTTCATCTGAAATGAGAAATTCTAAAGGTAATAATATACCATATTTGCTGCTAACAGTAAATTAAATGCAGGGTCAAAAACTGCTTCTGAACTCAGCTAGGAAGTCTCGTGGATGCTTTTATTTGAAAATTTATTGCATTATTCTTGATACATTAAATATAACAAAATTAATTAATTATTTTCCATGATAATGATATCTCCATTTTATTGTTGTCATTAAGATACAATAATTATAATTGCCAGTTTTAAAACTCGATACCTAATATTTAGTAGGCCCTTAATTAGGTGCTTTGCAGTCATTACTTATAGTGCTCTCAACTGACTTATGTCAGCATTCTCTCCACTTTACAGATGAAGATATTGAGGCTCAGAGTGTCTGTGGGACCTGCCAATGGTCTTATTCCTGAAATATGGCAATGCAGGCTGTAAAAGTACTCTGTCTCCAAAGAATGCATACTTTGCTTTTTGGCAGTGATTTCGATGTGATAAAAATTCCATGTTTTCCATGAACTTCTGTATTTGACTTAGTATAGAGCTAAATTTAATTAACTATGTAATTGAGACAGGGATGGCTGTTGCACACCTCACATTCCATGTGCTCCCCTTCACTTCTCACTCTTCCTTGCAGTGAGGTTGAGGCCAAGTGACTCTTTCTGGCCAATGAGTTGTAAGCACAATGACACATGTTTCTTCCAGGCTGAAGCAATTGCAATCTGGTTTGCTTCTTTCTTCTCTCTGTCCCCATGCTGAAGCAACCTTAGAAGTGACATGTTAAGGAGCTATATTATAAGGTGATGCAAGCCTGGATCCTTGAGTCACTCGAGGGAGGGTCATCCCAGGATCCTAGGCCAACTGCATTAGACTCTGTGTGTGAAAGAAATCAACTTCTGTTGGGCTAAGCCACCATGATTATAAAGTTTATTTGTTACTGCAGGACAACCTAGCCTACCCTAATAGAATGGTGAATCCTTTTAGGTGACAAGTTATCATGGGTGGTGTAAGAAGCTCCTGATTTTGGAGGTCAAGGAGGCTAGATGCCTCTCCTTACCATCATCAAAGTGAAAACTGAATTCCATGACCTCTATGTCTATTTTTAGGCAAATTAAACATAGTCTTGTTATTATTATTTAAGGGGATAAGTGTTAAAAATGAACCTCTTCCTTTTCTTTATTGAAATTTAGTTTAAGCTGAATGAATGAAACTTCCACTGCAAGCAAAGAGGATAGAAGAGTAATCCTCATGAAGCGGCTGTTGTACACTCAGGAGGATATGTTTTAAATAATGTTCCCACAAAAAGCACCTGCAAACATCAGAATCTAAAGGAAAAAAATCACAACAAATGAGATTCAGCCTGATTAGGGAAAATGATTTTCTCTATCACTTTTACACTGCAAGGCCAGGCTTTGTCTGAATCTTATTAATACGAGAGCGATGCCAAGATAACTAAGGCTGATAAAGAATAAATACAATTTGACCGGATTCAGCTACAAATATCAGATGTTTTGAAAGATTATCATAAGTGGCTCAAATTCACTTAATTCTTTTATAAAACAAGTTTTTGTTGGACTATAAAATATTTTCCAATTTCCCTGGATGACAAATGGCAAAAGAGGTTAATTAAAAGTCAACTGAAGACTACTTAGGCACTTAAACATGTAATTTCTTGAGCTTCAAACTTAAATAGCTCAAACTAGTTAAAAAATAGCTTATTATTGTAATTCATGTATTTCCTCTTTAAATATACTTTTCTTAGTTTGATTTAAAATCTTACTAAAAGTTTGAAAAAAAACTAGTCGTTTAATAATCATTCCGTATTTGAAGGAATGAATGAGAATATACATGCAAGCACAGAGAAGGGTACAAGGGTCTCTTGCGATCCTCAGAACACTAATTGCAGGCTTCTCTGTCCCTCTTTACTTATATTTTCTTTCTCACCTCTGTGTCCTCACCCTGGCACCTTTTCTCTCTCTATGTTGGATTATCCAGCTGTTACACATCTGTCAGAATCCTATTACTTCCTCATGACCCAGGTTAAATTGTTCTTCCTCTGAGGTGCTCTTTCAGACTCTCATATTCTCTCTCTTGATTTCCTGTTACATTCTTTGGGCAATTCCCTCTTCATTTCAGGAAGTTTATAATTTTTACTATTTTGTTAATTTTATTTTCATATTTATATTCTGCTATGCACCGAATGCTTGTGTTTTCCCAAGATTTATATATTGAAGCCTAAATGTCAATGTGATGATATTTAGAGGTGGAGTCTTTGAAGAGTAATTAGATCATGAGACTAGAGCCCAGATGTATGGGATTAATGCCCTTTTAAGTGGCTAAAAATGACCAGAAGTCTTTCTCTTTGACGTGTCCTCATGACAATGAGAACATGACCATCTGTAAACCAAGAGGAAAGCATTCACTTTGATCTCAGAACCCCAGCCTCCTGAATTGTGCTAAATAAATGTCTATTGTTTAAGGCACTTTATCTATGGCATTCTGTTAGAGCAGCATGAACTGACTCAAACATAGGCCTTATCTCTTCCTTTTTACTGTGTATTTCCCGGGATTAAGGAGGATACCTAATGCCTTGTACAGCATCCCTTGCTTGGGCTTGGTAGTGGAAGGAAGTATCAAGTTTCCCATATTGTGTCTATTTCAGAATCTATGTTCAGTTCTGTCTCCACTGGCAAGTAACTTTTCCCATAAAGAGAAGGAAGAATAAGCACATACTCCAGCCTAGAAACAAGGTCAATTTTCAAACTCAAGGCCAACTATGGAATTGAATGAGGCAGAGTTGTATGGCCATGAAGACAGATAAATAATTTTAGCTGGGGTTTAAAAGTGATTAGCAGACATTTTCAGAGTATACTGTCAAAAAATAAACACTTCTTTATTAATATTTGAAGTTAACTTTGAACACTTATTAAAGACAAATTGAGGATGTTCTGCAATTAGTAATAGGACTCTGAGAAACTCTACTCATTATGGATAAGCTGTTCATGCAACACAACAAATGAGCCTTGTTTTGCCTTCAAGAATGCCTATCAGAACTTTTAAGACTTGGAGGCCTCATGTTCTCTCAAGGCTCCAAGCCCTTTTACACATTTCTCATCTGCCTGGAGCCACCCTCTCTTTACCAAGGTAACTCCTTTGCCAGGAGTTTTCTTAAAAACAAAAATATCACTGGTACACAAACAGGCACATAGAACAGTAGAACGGAATAAAGAGCCCAGACACAAGGCTGCACACCTACGACCACCTGGTCTTTGACAAAGCTGACAAAACAAACAATGAGGGAACAGACTCCCTATTCGATAAATGTTGCTGAGATAACTGGCTAGCCATACGCAGAAGATTGAAACTGGACCCCTTCCTTATACCATATACAAAAATCAACTCATGTTGTATTAAAAAGTTAAACATAAAACCCAAAACTATAAAAATCCTGGAAGACAACCCAAGCAATACCATCCTGGACATAGGAGTGGGCAAAGACTTCATGACAAAGACACCAAAAGCAATTGCAACAAAAGCAAAAATTGATAAATAGAATGTAATTAAACTTAAGTATTTCTTCAAAGCAAAAGAAACTATCCACAGAGCAAACAGACAACCTACAGAATGGGAGAAAATTTTTGCAAACTATGCGTCTGATAAAGGTCTAATATCCAGCATCCATAAGAAACTTAAACAAATTTACAAGAGAAAAACTAACAACCCCAAATTAAAAGTGGACAAGTGACATGAACAGACACTTTTCAAAAGAAGACATACATGTGGCCAACAAGCATATGAAAAAAGCTCAATATCACTGATCATAAGATAAATGCAAATCAAAACCACAGTGAGATACCATCTCACACCAGTCAGAATGGCTATTATTAAAATGTCAAAAAATAACAGATGCTGACAGCATTGTGGAAAAGAACATTTATACACTGTTGGTGGAATGTAAATTAGTTCAACCATTGTGGAAAGCAGTATGGTGATTACTCAGAGATCTAAAAGCAGAACTACTGTTTGATCCAGTAATCTTATTACTGGGTCTATATCCAGAGGAATACAAATCATTCTACCATAAAGACACATGCACACAAATATTTTTGCAGCACTATTCACAAGAGCAAAGACATGGAATCAACCTATTGTTTATCCATCAGTAACAAATTGGATAAATAAAATATGGTACACATACACCATGGAATACTATGCAGCCATAAAAAAGAATGAGATTATATCATCTTTTGTGGAAACATGAATGGAGCTGGAGACTATTATCCTCTGCAAATGAACACAGGAACAGAAAACCAAATACTACATGTTCTCACTTATAAGTCAAAGCTAAATGGTGGGAACTCATGAATACAAAGAATGGAACAAGAGACACTAGGGTCTACTTGAGAGTGGATGGTGGGAAAAAGGAAAGGAGCAGAAAAAATAACTATTGGGTACTAGGCTTAATACCTTGGTGATTAAATAATCTGTATAACAAACCCCTATGACATGAGTTTACCTGTATAACAAACCTTCATCTATATAAAATAAAACAAGTGAAGGTTTTATTTTATTTATTTTATTTTTTATTTTATTTATTCCTAAAATAAAAGTAAACAATTTTATATGGATAAATTATAAAGGCTTACAAATACACTCAAACATACATATGTTTGTGTGTGTATACATATATATATGCATATGTATATTTATGTATATATGTTTTTAATAGCTCTAATTAATTACAATTCAAAGTGGTAATCAATAATTGCAATGCAAGTTTGCTCCAAAGTACACCTGTGAAGATGAAAGGAAAAACTCCATGAATAACTCAAGCTCCTTATTGAACCAGTGTGAAGCATGTATTACTAATATTAAAATAACTTCTAGTAAAAAATTTTACCAGGGTAACTTCACACATCTTCTCAAATGTCACTTCTGCTGGGAAGCAAAGACAGATCTTCTCCCGTCTTTCTTCCCAGCTTCCAGCTAAGTTAGTTGTTTCTCTCATGTGTATCCTGAACTTTCACTATTATAGTGCTTCTTGACTCTAATTCCCTTTTTAATTGCCCCTCTTCTCTGATAAACTATAAACTTTATGAAGGTAGGAACCAAGCCTATCTCTGATAAACTATAAACTTTATGAAGGTAGGAACCAAGCCTATCATCTTGTTAGCTGTTAAATTTCCCTTGCCTAGGACATTGCATTGACATGGTAGACACTGAAAATATCTGTTAAAAAAAATAGAGTTGTCAGTCTTAGGCAATGAAAGAGGAGAAATCCAGGCAAACCAAGCCAGAGTCTTGTCTTTCAATTATCTCTGGCTAAAGTTTCTCACATTATTGAGGAAGAGATTGGCATTTACACTAGAAATCTACTGTACAGTAGTATAGTACAATGCATTTGTTAAAAATATGATAAACTACTTAGAGTTCTAATTTTGTAGATTAAGTTTAGTTACTTTCATCTGCATGGGTTGCTTCATCCTAAAGTTTTCTGTAAAAGAATTTGAACAAATTATTTCATAGAGAGATGCCTGGACTCTGGGGCCCCTACCAAATAATTGCTGTCAAGTTTTGTCCAGAGAATCGACATTACCATTTAAATGTCTACCTTACATATATTCATGACTAGGAATAACTACTAAGGTTAACACAAGCTCGTAGTTGTTGAGTACTTATTATGTGCTGGGCACTGTGTTAAGTAATTTGCATCAATTATCTGAGAGTCATGACCCCTACACCAGGTTGGCACTCTTATCCTAATTTATTAATTTATATACCTGACATTTACTGGGTTCATAACGTGTAAGATATTGAACTCAGCATCAGAGATACAATAGGGAATAAAATAAGTATCAGTTATCCTGGAACTTACATTCTAGTAGAGGAGAGGAGAGAAATGAGAAAAACTGAAAATGCCAATTTTATTAGATACTAAGAATGTTATAAACAAGTGTCAGTAGAGAAGAGAGAAAGAGTTCTAGGGAGTACAATTTTGCATAGAGAGTTCAGGGAAAGTGTCTCAGTCTGTTTGGGCTATTATAACCCATAAACCATGTGGCTTACAAACAACAGACATTTATTTTTAACTGTTCTGGAGGCTGGAGATTCCAAGATGAAGGTGCCAGCATATTCGAAGTCTGGTGAGGGACTCGCATTCTGGTCATAGATAGTGCCTTCTCACTGCCACATGATGGCATCGTCACTGTCCTCACATGGTGGAAGGAACAAAGCAGCTCTCTGGGGCCTCTTTTATAAAGGCACTAATCTCATTCATGAGGGCTCCACCCTCATGACCTAATCACCTCCTAAAATTCCCACCTTCTGATACCATCACCTTGGGGATTAGATTTCAGCATAGGCATTTTGGGGGGACACAGACATTCAGACATAGCAGAAGGCTTCACTTATAGGGTGCATGTGAGCAGAACCCTGAAGGAGATAGGAGAGGGAACCACTCAGATATCTTAGGGAAGAATATTTTAGGCAAAGACAGCAGCATGTGCAAAATTCTGACATGGGAGCATATTGGAGTAGTTAGGGAATAGCAACGAAACCAGTGTGGTTAAAATCAGTGAGTGAACAATAAGCAATTGTGAAGAAGGGGCCAGATCATGTAAGACCTTGTTCGCTATTTTGAGGATTAAGGCTTTATTTTGAGTGACAGATGTTGTTGGAGGATTTTGTGCAGAAAATGATCTGGTTTACATTTTAAAAGGATATTCTGGCTTCTGTAAAGAGGATAGCTTGAGTGGGTAAAGAGAAGAACTAAGAAGTTTAAATAGGAGGCTATTACAATAATCCAGGTAAGAGGGCATGGTGACTTGAAACAGTGTTTTATTGGTGGAGATGATGAGAACTGCTCAGGTTCAGTATGTATTTTTATGTGGAACTCACAGGATTTGCTGATGGATTGGATGTGGGTTATGAGAGAACAAGAGAAATCAAGGATGACACCAGAGTTTTTGCCCTGAGCAACCAGGAATATGGAGTTGCTATCTACTAAAATGCTTAAGATTGAAGGAGGGACATATTTGGGATAAAAGAACAAGAGATCGGACTTGGACTCATTAAGTCTGAGGTTCCTATTAAATATCCAGTGCAGATGATAAGTACGGGTTGGATATATATGTCTGGAGTTCAGCTGACTGCTCAGGCTGGAGACACAAACTTGACAATGCTTAATATAAGAATGGTATTAAAAACCCTAGAAACTGAGTTGACTCATCCAGGAAATGAGAGTTGAAAGAGTAGCAGTTCAAGGACTGAGGCCTAGGGCTGCCCAACATTTAGGTATTGTGTTCATTCAGGGAAGCAGATGCTCAGACACTGTTAGGAGGGCACGAGGCTTCTTGGGACATTTTGCCTGTGAAAGACAAAGGGGAAGGAAGTGGAGTTGCACAAGGAAAGGCTTCAGACCACAAAGCAGATCTGATAGCTTGAAACAGAAGAGTCTGTGGGAGGCAGGATTGGTAGAGTTAGCCTCCAATTTTGATACAGCTCTGATAAGATATTGGCCAACCCAAGGGAAAAGGTGGCATTTTTGCAGAGCCCCACTTTGGATAAACATGGCCAATCCCTAATGCTCTTGCTGTGCTCTGTCCCTGATTAGGGGCTTCTGACAAATCATAGTGTCAGCTTGAAATCTGCAGTAGACCCCAAACACTCTGCAGCTGAAGCCTGGTTGCAAATGACACTGCTTGCAACTAAAAGGCAAGTCTTTTCTTAAATGAAAATCTGAGCAGCACACTTCCTTGGCTGCCACAGATACCACTTGTGGCCATACGGATGCCCCGGCACAGAGAGACTAGGCAGCTAGGCTGAATTCACAGAGAAAGTAGGTGGATTTAAGTTCTGGCAGCCTGATTATGGATGCAGTCCTCTACTGTGCATGTAGGACAATGTCAAATAGTGAATTAAACTTTATTTGACATTGTACCTAGAACTCAGTTAAAGAAGCACTACAATTGGTTTGGGTAGCTGTGTACCAATTTGATAGCTCCCCCTTTTATCTGGCTCTCAAACTTTCTTGGAATGTCTGCCTCTTCTCCTTACCTGATTCACCACAGCCAGCCACACAAACACTACATAGTTGATTCCTGAGCCAAACTCAAAGTATTTGCAGATAACTCAAAAATGTTGCCTCATCAATGAAGCTCTCTCTGGTTCTCTAAGGAACGGTATTCTTGTACTACTCTAAAGCTGCATAGCATTTTATCCTAATTATCATTATTACTTTCTACCTTCCATGATAAATACGTGCCCCATTTCCCTATTCTTCAACATCAGCCCCTCCTCCTGCATTGGCGGACCGAGGGACTCAAGCCCTATTCCTGACCCATTGCAGGCTCCTTCTGCTACTCTGCAGCCACAGGTCTTTATCAATCTTCCCTCCTTTCTCACTCCTTAGGGCCTTTTTCACAAGTTGTTCTTTCTCTTGGAATGACTGCTTCTTCTCCAAGTTTCAGCATGAGATCTCTTCATTGAAAACCTTTCCTCTTCTACCTCCTACTAATTTCATCTAGATGTCTCTCCTCTGTGCTCCTACTCACACTATACTGATGGCATTTAAAGATTTTTGATGATGACCTGAAGTCAGAAATGCCTTTTACAGCATGACCTGGTACACAAACCTGCATATACAGAGCCTCCTATGCAATCAGAACACAGTTGTTTTATCAAACTCTTATATCTTTACTGCAGTATAACGCACCCTGATATATTCTGGCCTATTTTATTCCTTTAGAAAGTGCTGTCTGCAGCCCAGTAAATTGATTTAATGACCTGCCAGTGGGTCTCAACATACAGCATGAAAAACACCACCCTTCATGAGCCTTTGTTAATATACTGGGCTCGCAATGCTGACATCATTAGTATAGTTGTCTATTTCTCCACGCAGGCAGTAAATGCTGAGGGTAGAAATCGTATCTTATTCTTGTTTTTTCTTCTAGTTCAGCACAGGAAATGTCTAAGAAATGAATAAATGAATGCATGCAAGCTCTGAGGTCTTGACAATAACCTACTTCGAGTTTGAAAATGCAGCACCGGAATGTTTGCGTTCGACTTACCAGAAGCTTCTCCCTTGCCTCTTGGCTGTGAACCTCCACAGCGCCCTCCCACAGTATGTCAATGGTGTTGTTGGATCAGCATTCCCCCTATTCTGGAATGTTTTTCTCTTTCTGTTCATTTGTGTTGTTTGCATTGGAGGTACCCCGATCTTAACAGAGCTATTTCTCTGACTTTAGGTGATGACCCAGGGATGGGCACCCAACATAAGGTGAGCCAATTTCTAAACCTGTGACCAGAATGCATGCGAGTCAGTTTCTCTCCAGGCATGGGAAGACAAGTTTTCTGCCACATGGAGGAAGCCAGACCATAGAGTATGATGTAGAGACCACAGAACGAAGGAAAGGTAGAGATAGAGTAGGTATCCTGGCACCATTTCTAAACCCCTGGTTCCAGTTTTTTAATAGCCAGCAGACCCCTACATATTTCCTGTTGGGTGATTCAGCTGTCAAGTGACACAAGATGCTTCCAGTAAGTTCTTTATTCAGTGGAGTTATGGGTCTTAACAATACCACTGGCTTTTGTCAGTTTGATGTAGATTTCTGTCACTGGAGAAAACTAAGTCCAAAATCACACAATCCAAATGTGCCAGAGAAGCGTGTGGCTGGGTAGACAGTGACTTGTGGTTATGACTAAGTCTCTATTCTAGACACCATCATTTCCTCAACTCTATCAGGAAAGAGGCCTAGAATGTTTGCTTGGGAATGCAAATATTCGTTAAACCAAGAGACAGGTCATGGTTGTACCAGAAAAGGCAGAAGGGGCTTTTTGCTTTTCATTTATAAACTAGAATAGGTCGTAAAAATCATTTTACTGAATGAACTCTGGCTTTCTTGCCCTCATTTTTTTAATCCATAAAATCTACATAGTTCTAAGTTTTGTTGTGAAGATTAAATAATATAATAATGTGAAATACGTAGCATTTCACATTCTTGACATGGAGTAATAAATATAGCTCTTCTAATTATTCCTTTTCTTGTAAAAATCATGACATAGTCTTCTAATTTTTAAGTTATTTCTTGTTTCAAAAGTTAATGTCTTAGATAAAGCAGAGATTTCCTGTGCCGCCATCACTCTTGTTATTTAGCGTTCTATTATCATTTGCTGAATCACTAAATCTCCAGTGATTTGCATGTTTGGTTTGGTTAATAAATAGTAAAAATAATGCCACAACAAATTAAGATGGTTTTATTTTTAAAGCAGCCTAGAAAATGGCTGGTCAACAGCCCAACATGGGACTGGATGATAGGCATTTCTCTAGATAAAGCATCTACCACCACTGACCATTACTAACTCAACAAAATTGTCCCACTTTGCCACATAGATATTTAAACAGCTTGTCTTGTCAGGACCTGATGCTGAGCTGTCAGACAAAATTGAGTCTCTGAATTTTGCCATATTTTGTAGTGACCAGAATCTCACTATGAGAGACAGCAGGTTTAAGTGGCAGAATTAGACTTCTCTCTTCAATGTATTTTTCTGGAGAAGTTGAAATTCTACTTCTGAGGCTTGGGACAACCTCTGTAGCCTAAGCCGCTCAGTCTGAGGTTGCTTCAGGGATGGGAAAGTGATCTCAATTCTAGATAATCATAGAGCCCTGCCTGTGCTCTGGCCTCCAAAAAGGCCATGGGTGAAAAGTGGGGTGACAGGGGTAGTTCTTCTCCTTTCTCCATTGTCCACCGGGTCCCCACATATGAAAAATTGGTTCAGAGAATGGTATTCAGAATCAAGATGGAGAACCACAAAGGAAGTTAAATGTAAGCTAGACGCTGTTTTTCAATGGGCAGAGATGGGGCTCTCTGGGCTACATGACCTCGGGAAATGGGGATAATCAAAATTGCCTGTGAAGTTTTTGTCAAATTATCAAAACCCCTTTATAGGAGACTATCAGAGTAAATTTGGATCAGAAAAGCTCTGAGACTATTCTGTTTGCAATTTAAAAAACCTGATGATTTTAACATACCACTATCACTGCTACTCCAGAAAAATAGCAGTTTTCTCCAGACCATTTTCTCACTGAAAACCTCCTCTGCCATGCTGACCAAGAATTCAATTCCACTGTTGCTACATCACACAGAAGAGAAGAGTAGGTGGTAGTGCCACTGGCCCTGCGGTTTAGTCCTTCTGATCTCTTGATCAGCTCTCTTCCTAATATTGCCCTACTATGCCTGAGTCCAGAACCCTTCAACACACCTCCCCAAAATCTCCCTGCACCCCAGAGTAGACCATGTGCTTCCCTTGTAATCTAGTTCCATATAATAAAGGAGCTAGAAGACAGCTTTGAGCTCACTCAGTCTGTTCAACTCCAGCTGCTTCATAGCCAAAGGAGGAAAAGTGAGGTTCTCAAGATGAACAAGTGAAAGAAGAAAATTTAGCATTTAATGTGTCATAATTCACTCTGTTTTGCATTTGTATGACCAAGTTCTTTACTACTGGCATATACCTTCTTTGTGAAGTGATCAATAGGAAAATCACACACCAATCTCTTATTATGCTGATCTCTCCCCACTTTATTATTATCCCCACATCATGCATGTCCAGGGTGAACAAAGAAAGACACCTCCTTTCAAGGATCCAATGTATAAGTGCAGAAGAGTAAGTAAATATACTATGCCAAAGCTACTCAAGAATTCATTCAGCTACCATAATGGTGTTTATGTAGAATTTACAAAAAAATTAAAAAAAAAAAAACAGCAAAAAGTAGCCGCAACAAAACCAACATTGATAGGTTGAACATTGTGGACTTTGGCCCCAGTATTCATTCTCTTCTGATAACAGAATTTCTGTTTTCCTTCTGGGCATTCATGTCTCCTTCATTCTCAATCATGTATTCTGAGCACAACGTGGGTGAAAACTGTGACACAGACTGGTGTACTAGCTTTCTTGATGCAGCTGTCGCAAATTAACACAAATTTAGCGATTTACAGTTCTGGAGGTCAGAAGTCCAAAATGGTTTTCATGATACCAAAATTGAGACATCAGCAGGCAAGCCTAGTTCCTTTTGGAGACTCCGGAAGGAGAATATGTTCCTTGCCACTTCCAGCCTGCACAGGCTTCTGGCAGCCCTTGGTTTGTGGCCACATCACTCCAATCTCGGATTCCACTGTCACAGTGCTTTTTGTACCATGACCTCTAACTCTTTTGCTTTTCTGCTATAAGAACCCTTATAATCACATTGGATAATATTTCCATCTCAAAATCCTTAATATAATCATGTCTGCAAAATCCCTTCGGTCATAAGGTAACATATGTTCTGGGGATCAGGACATTCATACCTTTGGGGTGTTCTTACTTAGTCTAACACAACCAGCCAATCAAAGCAGCAAACATCTTCAGCAACAGTCATTGTTTTGGATAAGTAAATGGCCCAGGTTGATCCACTCAGAGAGAATCCTGGGACTTGTGAACTGGCACTGAGGGAAGCAAGTTCTCACTCTAGGCCGCCTTGGAGCTGTGAAGCAATGGGCTAGCACTGGCACCCCTGCAGCTGTTCTGTCACTCCACGTGTGTAACTTGTATCTGAGCAAGAGTTACCACAGTGATTGAGCCTCTGGTCAGGTCTATGTCTAGGCTACTATTTTGAAAGCAAATGTGCTTCCATTTGCTGAAGTCAATTGAAATTTTGTGTGTGTGTCATTTTCAGTTGAAAAAAAGTCTTACCAGTTATAAATAATAATAATCTATTGATTTCTTACTCTCTACCCAGCACTCTAAGAGTTTTACATGGATGGTCTCACTTTATCCTTACACAGCCCTATAATTAGGTGGTTACTGTTATTATCCTCACTTCCTATGAGAAGGCTCGAGGCTTAAAGAAGCTGAGTGATCAGCTCATGGACACAGAGCTGGTTACTAGAGAAGCCTGGATATCATAGTCTGTCTTCAAAGACTTAACCACTCTGCTAAAAATTACCTTGTGATGTCGAAGGAAAAGGCTGAGTAAAATGGCAGGGTCCATATAATAAAATTATAATAATATAAACAAACTCTGCATAGCAACCATTATAGAGAGGCAATATCTTTGGGGAATCATTTTGTACTTTTTCCTACATATTGTAAATTTTCTATAATTACAGTTTCTCACCTTTTTAATAGAAACTAATTTTTATTTAACCAGAGATGACCTTTTTCTCTGCACAACTGTGTCTGAGTATTGGTCTTGTGATCATAAGAATGGCAGGTAAGACTTTGAAGCCTAGTGCAACATGCTACTAATTGCTGCATTTGCACTCATCTTCCTTGAAGTTGGGCTGCAAATGTACATGCATGCTTCACCCGTTGTGCTGGTGACATTAATAAGAAATTACATTTATTTTTCCTAGCAGAGGACTGGATAAGTAGGTCTCTGATAGATGTAATTATCGCAAGGTTTCAAAATGAATTATTTTTTAACAAATACAAAAACTTAAATATGTATGACATGTACATACCTATATGTTGGTTTATAAATACAGTCATCGTGAAAACTCTACTTAAACTTGCCATTCAAATGCTAACTTGGTTAATGAATCTCTCTGTTATTTGTCTATGTCACAGTGTCTCTAACTTGAAGTAACATGAACTTGGCATTTTGGGGACAGATACTGTGTACCAGACATATTGTCAGGTAATTTAACCACATCCTCTCATTTAATCCTCACAAAAACTCTATGAGGTGAGGAAACTACATCTTTTAGATAAGGAACCTGCAGCTATGAGCTTATGAGATTTGCTCTGGGTAACACAGTATGCAAGAGTGAGAGCTGTGACAGACTGTGGTCTATCTGATACCAAAACATTTTTATCTCCCCCTTCACATTCCTGTGTTTTCATCTGTGAAACCCTATAGTATTATGCAAAGCATCACCTTACCTATTGTGTTTTATAGACTGCCTACTTCTGAGAAGGAATGAGAATTAGAGGACCATATGAACTTCAGAGTTAGATTTGGATTTCAGTCCTGGCCCTAGTAAATGCTAGCTATGGGACCTTGGGCAAGTTACATGACCTTGGTAAACGCCTTCATCTGAATATAAGGAAAATAACTGCACCCCTGTAGAGTTGCTATGAGCAGAAATAAAGGGATACATCCAAAGTTGTCGCAATAGAGGCTGGTTTGTGTTCCCTCTTTCCCAGCCTTTAGGAAGGTTGGAATAGTTCTGTAAATGTGGCCTGATGGATTAGCTAAATTAAATTAGATTAAAACCCCTTCTTTCCTATTCCCTGACCACATTCCTCTTTCAAAAAGATGTGTAGGCAGAAGAAGGAATGAATAGCTGGCATTCTGATGAAAATACCCCATATTTCTGGCAAAGAGGATTCATGCAATAGATCAGAGCTCGTGTGGCAGGTTTCATTTTTATAGCCTGATGAGTGGCACATTTTGCTTCTCTTGTTTGCTTTTATCTTGAGGTCAAAGAAATGATGCAATCACAAGTGCACACCCTTCATTTCTTGAACATCTGTGCTCATAGCATATGTCTGCCTAGACAAGTGGATTCATCTTGCTGCTATCTGGTCTCTTCTGTGTTGGCTCCTTTGAATCATGGTGCATTTATTTTGACCATTCCTGCCAAATAATGACAAGTTTAAGGGGAAATCAGGAAAAGGGAAATGTTTGTTTTCCATCTGGAAAGAACTCTGAGATGTTTATTAGCCTCTTTCTCTCTTAAATCATCAAGGTTTAAGTATGTTCAAGAGCCACAAGGCCCGAAGTTAAGTTATTACTATTGGCTTATCTTGAGCAAATTTTGGCTTGTAGACAGACACCCATGTGGTTTGAATTTCTTCCATAATAAGCTTAAAATATGAGGGTGTAATCAGTGAGTCTTGAAGTTGAATGAATTTACGAGCATGCAAACTCTTGAGATAAGCCAAGTGCCTGTGGCAATACCCCATCCTAATGAGAGGCTTTCCAGGGATTTCCTGAAAAAAATTATTTTCACTACTGCAACATGATTGTTGTTAGAAGCTCTCCTTAGAACATCATCCAAATAAGAATTTGGAAAAGTGGGAGACATCTTTGATACCTCCTTCTTCCTCTCTCCAAGCATCAAGTCCTGTGGGTTTTTCACCTTTCCATTCTCTCTCAATTAAGCATCGAATTGCCTTCTAATATCTGCCATTTGACCCTCTACTGTGTTCATCTTGCAGCCAACTATGAGTTTTCATCAACAAAATCTGATCACATAATGACCTGTTCACTGTATCTCCATTATGTAGCACTGTGACTAACACATGTTAGATGCTTGATAAGGCATTGCTGCATGACTAATGCACCACTGTATAAGTGAACTGGGGAACTTTAAGCACATTTCACCTCCATTTTTCTTACCTGAGATGAATATTTGGATACATACTATTCAAGTGGATTGAGGGACATAATGTATTTGATCCAGATGTATGTGAAAGGTACCATAGACCAGCAAGACTACTTAACTCAATCAGAATTTTACTTTCCAATAGAATAGTGTTGTAATGATATTTTGGTGTTTGGTCTTGAGGGCTCTCTCTTGAGAGTGATCCTAAGTCAAGATAACAACTCTCTCGGAGAGTCATGATAGGGGAAATGTTAGGTTTGAGTGTGTGTTTCAGGTGAGATACAATGAGAAAATGAAACCAAAATGCGTGAAATAGAAAAAATATATATTTTGTACATGTCCCAGAGAGGTTACGGGTGCTGATGGGCTGCTGATGGAAAGTCCAGAGAAGGTGAGAAGCTCAACCAGCAGGGGCCAGCACAGGACCCAACCTGTGGGACTATGCCCCCATTAAGGTCTATTGGCGTTATCCCTTAGGCTTTTCCAACGGGGTTGTGGACTGGCTAATTGAAGAGAATATATGTGAAAGGAGGAACTTATTTACATGATTCTGAGGTTCATCATTAGATTGCTCATAGTCAGCAGCTGTGGATATGCTGAGTTTTGCATCACTGGGATGAGGAACAAGCAGAATCTATCAGAGTCACATAGGAGAGGGGAAATTATAACTAGGTCAGAGGTGACATGGCGTGCCTGGGTTTCAAATAAATTACATCAGGCCTAAAAATGAATGCTGAGGCAGCAACTATATTAAACAAATTTATGAACACTAAATATTTAATAAGGAATTTAATAAAGAACAAGAACCTTCGTCTGATCTTAAAATAATATTTATTCTGGTAGGACAACATAATACCTTGAAGCCCAGCTAGCGATTTTTTAAGAAGAACATATGTATTCACAGAATCAGAGCCAGCTGGCAGTGAGTAATATCAGTAAATGAAGATCCTGTTAAGACACTCATCTCAAACTCTGTAACACCAGGAGGTACAGTGTTGTATAAAGAGGTAGGGAGGGTTGGGGAGCCTGATAGCTCAGTCCCAGGGATAAACTTGGCATATCTTCCTGCTAACAATTTCACTTGAATGATGAAGATAGTGGGGAAACAGGTAAATGTTTATGCTTAGAGTTTATATCATATCCAACAAATCTGTTTTAATTCCACACAATTACTTGTTAATTTTATGTGCCAGGTTTACATTTTGATAATAAAAGGAAAACATTAACTCTTACACATCCGATCAATTCTTTACACCAAATTCTCAAATTTGATTTTTTTTCACAAATATATAATTCTGCTGTTTCATTTTCAACTTCAGTGAGTTTTCTCAGCGAATCTGTGTGATTTGCATGTAGTGACATCAGCATCGTTCTGTGTTTAGATCCTGCCCTGTCCCCCGACATTATGCACAGATATAGATGTGAAGGTGTGCTTGAAACCCACTGGAATGTCCTTCCCGAAGCCTGCTGAGTTTCTCTTCCAATGTTTCATGATGGCTTCAAATATGAATCACAGTTTTCTTATACAGTTTTGTTTCCCTGGAAGGTTTTCTTTTCTCTTCTTAAATTTTTTTGCAAATTGTGCTTTCATCTTATTCCTCCTCATCTTCTTCTTCTTCTTTTTTCTTTTTTTTTTTGAGAGAGTCTTGCTCTGTCACCCAGGCTGGAGGGCAGTGGCGCAATCTCGGCTCACTGCAACCTCTGTCTCCCAGGGTTGAGACAATTCTTGTACCTCAGCCTCCTGGGTTGTTGGGATTACAGCTGCTCACCATCACGCCTGGCTATTTTTGTGTGTGTGTGTGTGTGTGTGTGTGTGTGTGTGTGTGTGTCTATTTTTATTAGAGATGGTGTTTTGCCGTCTTGGCCAGGCTGGTCTCAAACTCCTGACCTCAAGTGATCCTCCTGCCTCAGCCTCCCAAAGTGCTGGGTTTACAGGCCAGAGCCACTGCGCCCAGCCTACTTATGCCTCTTGTTTCTACATTTCCAACCTTACTATCTGTTCTGATTTATCCCTTTTTAGGGGGTGATCATTCTTTTCATTCTTTTAACCCAATACAGATTATTTGCCCTGTAAAATGGCTTCATTAACAACATTCTCTAGACTTCCTGTTTCTACTGCCCTGTATTGATCTCACCACTTTCTGGTGGTCATGTCATCTTTTTTTTTTTATTTTCGTGTATGCTGGAGTACATTCTCAAGGAACTTCCTAAGAGTGTATGTGAGAAATAAACTTCATTCTTATCTTCCCTGACAATTTGGCTGTGTATAAAATTCTGGGTTGGAAACTGTTTGTCCCTTACATCTTGGAAATCCTTTCTCTGTTGTTTTCTGGCATCCAGTGTTCCTGATGTATTTGAAGATACCCTAACCTCTCCATAAGACTGTAGGTTCTTTGTTTTATCATTAGTGTTCTATTTTTTTTTTTTTTTTTTTTTGACTTGGGGTCTTTCCTTGTCACCCAGGCTGAAGTGCAGTGGTGCCATCTCAGCTCACGGCAACCTCCACCTCCCAGGTTCAAGCAATTCTTCTGTGTCAGCCTCCCAAGTAGCTGGGATTACAGGCATCCACCACCATGCCCAGCTAATTTTTGTGTTTTTAGTGGAGACAGGGTTTCAACATGTTGGCCAGGCTGGTCTGGAACTCCTGACCTCAGGTAAACCGCCTACGTCAGTCTCTCAAAGTGCTGGTATTATAGGTGTGAGCCACCACACCCAGCCTGAATTTTTTAAACGACATCCCTAATGAGAGCTTTCAAAAAACCATCTCGTTTGGCACTTAGTGGGCCTTTTCCTTTTTACTGGCATCATATTTGCTGAAGGGTTAACAAATAATTGAATCTACTCTTTCGAAGTACAGTTTAAGCTTTCATAAAGGTATACTATCATGTATTCATCACCAACTGATGATATAGAATATTTCTAGCAACACCAAGAGTTCCCTCTTGCTCCTTCTTAATTGATCTCAACTCCTCATCTCCAATTTCTGACAACCACTAACCTTATTTCCATCTCTTTATTTTGTCTTTGCCAGAATGTGACATAAATAGACTCAAACAGTATACAGACCTTTGTGTCTCACTTCTTTCACATAATACTTTTGAGATTTATTCATGTTGTTGAATATATCAGTAGCTTGTTTCTTATTATTACTGTAGTATTCCATTATTGTTTATTGTTACTGTAGCATTCCATTGTTGGTATGTACCAAAATTTATTTATCCAATCACCAACTGATGATTTGATGGTCCTTTGAGTTGCTTCTTGATATCATATAAAGATGCTATAAACTTTTATTTACAGGTGTTTGTGTGGCCAGATATTTTGACTTCTCTTGGGCAAATAACTAGGAGTGAGACTCTTGGGTCATCTGGTAATTACTTATTTATGTTTATAAGGTATCGACAATTATTTTTTCTAAAGAGGCTGTACTGTTTTATATTTCTACTTGCAGTGCATGAAAGTATAAGTTTGTCTGAATATTCATCAACAGTTAGTATTTTCCATTTTTCCCTATTTATTTTTTAATATTAACTATTCTAGTGGAAGTGTGGTTGTATCTTATTGTGGATGGGACATTTTCCATTTGAAGATTTCCATTTCCTTCAGTTCTACACACTTTTCTTGTATTATATCTTTGGCAATATCCTTCCCTGTCTTGTCGCTATTACTCTTGTCCAGGATTCCTTTTATTCAATGCCGGGACCACTGGATTTGTTTCTTCTCTTACGTTCTTCTCTATCTTTTTATATCTAAGTTCTGTGCAATTTCTTTGACTTTACCTTTAGCCCATGTATTTTTTCCCTTTAATTTTACATGTAGTATTTTTTAACCCCCAAGAAGTCTTGTTATCTTACAATTTCTTTTTTTCCAACGCCCTATTCTGGTTTTTTGAAGGCAAGTTGTCCTCAAATTTTTGTCAAGATGTGAATTGGAATCTGTTTCCTGATTAGAGCAATCTATTTCTCCTTGAGTCTTTATTTCTCAATTATTTATCTTCGTCTTCCTCCATCAAGCTTTCTTCATATTTCCTGTATTATCTTTTCACATTAAGGAATTAGGCAAAAGGAGGCTTCCTGGAAGTTCCATGTAAAAATGAACAAGGCGGGCCGGGCGCAGTGGCTCACATTTGTAATCCCAGAGCACTTTGGGAGGCTGAGGTTGGTGGATCACCTGAGATCAGAAGTTCAAGACCAGCCTGGCCAACGTGGTGAAATGCCATCTCTACTAAAAATACAAAAAAAAAAAAAAAAAAATTATCTGGGCCTGGTGGCAGATGCCTGTAATCCCAGCTACTTGGGAGGCTGAGGCAGGAGAATTGCTTGAACCTGGGAGGCAGAGGTTGCAGTCAGCTGAGATTGCACCACTGCACAAGGCAAACAGAACAACAGACCTTGCTTTAATTTGTCTCCTTTCCTGTTCATTTGTACATATATATAAAAAAAGGCAAGAGCTCTGGTTTAAATCATTGAACATCCAGCTGCAAAGGGGGAAATGCTGCAGTGGATATCTATTAAGAATCAGCTATGTTCCTAAACCCTTTCAAATAATAGCAATACATGAACAGTTATCTAGTGCTTATAATTTTCAAGACCACCTTCCAAACACTTCATTTATTTAATCCTCACAAGAACGCTGTCAGAAATGCCTATTACTATTATTCCTCTTTAGAGATGTGGAAATTGGCACACAGAGAGGTTAAGTAATGTGTCTAAGGTTGCACAGCTGATCAGTGGCAAAGCTGGGTTTGAAAGACAGTGGTTTTGATCCATTGTCTTTGCTGCTAGGCAGTGTTCTAGACTGGCTCTTAGACATCGACTTTCTCCCTGAATCCCTCTAACAAATTGGTGAGGTGGCCATTATCATTGCCACTTTATAAAAGAGATTTCTGAGGCCCAGAGAGATCGAATGACAAACTTGATTCCCCAAAGTCAGATGAGTAGAATCTGTCTGACTCCAAAGCCTGAATTCTATTGCCTCAGATTTGTCCAAAGAATGATAATTTTAAATACTTACAAATGAAGATTTCTTGACAATTAAATCAATGTTTATTTGAAGTAGGGTAACATATGAACTCAATATTTTGTTTTAAATGATAAAAACAACAAAAAAATCTTGTTACTAATGATCTGTGAGAACTGTCTCTTTTACTTTGGAATGAACAATTAAGATTTAACATATCAATTATGTTGTTTCTCAATAACATAACGGATCAATAACCTTCATTTTGTGTTCTTCTTAATTACTGCATTGGGGTTTCTGCAGAGATATTCTGAACCAGATCTTGTGTATTAATCTTTGCACATAGTCCTTGTTCCTCACAATGGAGCAATCAGCCCTTGATTAATGTTAGCATTAAACTAACTGCTATCTAATCAGTTGACAAAATGCCGGTTTTGACTCTGGTTTTCTGTGGTCTGTTTGTTTCTGATGTTTCTGATTGGTGTTTGCTATGGGGAAGAATAAAGAAATACGACATACATTATTCATTGAAGTGAATAGAAGGGTTTTTTTTGATATTCCCTCAGGCTTTGACAGAATGACAGAGCAGTAACTCAAGGCCTAAATGTAAACCATCACCCTCCCTGCCCTGCTATTTTTTGAAGAATAGCGAATTTAAACCAATCATCCAATAAGTAAAATGTCCCTCTAGAATCCCACATCATAAAAAATGATACCAACAGCTGCCAAATTGCCCATGAAAAAAAAAGAAGACTGTTAGTGAATGTTTGTTCTTTGCCTTGTATTCCTTCCAGATTCTTTCAGATCCTTACATTGTCCTTTCTCCCCCTATTTAAAAATAATACTTAACCATCTTTTTCTTCATCTATTTCCTGCTTTTGTAGTCATCCATCCCTACTTCTGTCCTATCTCCATCCATCAGTCTGCCACATTGGAGCAGAATGAGCTTCCAAATACACAGCTTCAGATCACCTGCCACATGGTCAAAATTCTCCAGTGGCTCTCTAGAGTCCCCACTAGCTTTTCAGAGCCCTAGGGTTGAATGAGGGTGTCTCAGAGGTCCAGAAGTTCCTGAGTGGAAAGACTTCTGCCCTGTTTAAAATGAGCATTTCTATTTGTATCTGCCTGTTGTGTAGAAATTCTGAATAATACATTATTAGATAAGTAAAACAAAAGGTTATACAACTAAAAAGGCTTGAAAACTATTGGTCTATAGGAGAAAATCTGCACTCCATCCTATGACATACATATCCCATACAGTGACCTAGGAGGTTATTAGTGAAGAGTCCCCCATCTTCCTGTCAATCCATGTTGTGCTGCCTATGCCAGCTCACCCTTTAAAAATTTAAAATTGATCTGATTTACTTGCATCTTTCTGAACAATCTGTACCGTCTCATGCTATCTCCTTGCCTTGGCACATTTTCTTTCCTCAGCCTGGAATCTCCTGGCTCTCTCTGATTTGCCTGGAAACTCTAATTTAGTCTTCAAGTCTCAGCTCAAGAGCTACTTTCTGTAAAGGCTTTGTAACCCCTCATCTGGACTAGCACTGTACAAAAGAACTTTGTGCAGTGATGGAAATGTTCTGTGTTGTCCAATCCAGTAGCCACAAACCATATGTGATTATGAAACCCTTGAAATGTGGTTACTGCAACTGAGGAGATGAATTCTAACATTTATTTATAAAATACTTTCAATTTTTTCAAATTGAAATGTAAATAACCACACAAGAGTAGTGGCTACTGCATTGGAAGAGTAGCTCTAGATAGACCTACTTTGAAACTATTTTTATTACAATACTTTGAAAAAGTTGCATCATAATTATTTATTTACATAGACATTGATTATGGTAGTCTATGAGCATCTGTGGGACAGGACTGTGTCTTTGCCTGTGTGAATACTTTGCTGCCAGCACTGTGTCAGGGTCATAGTAGGGATTCTTTGAATGCTGAATAAGTGGATGAAAGTAAATAGCATAATCAAGTGGGAAGTTGAGATATATAACAGGAAAATTCTGAGGGCATTGCCATCAGACACTTATCATTTTGAGTCTAGGATCTTTCACTTAGTGGATTAGCAACCTAGGCAAGTTGCTTCTCTTTTTTTAGTCTAACTTTTCCACCTACTTAAAGAGCACAACGCATGATGTTCCCTATTAGGTTTCTTCCCTATTTAAAGGAGCTATGGTATATGAAGCATATACGAGTCAATTAGCTAAAACTAGTTCTCCCTTCAAGGTTACCCACTGTACATTTTCTACTTGTATCTTTTGTTCTGAAGTATGTTTATGTTACCTGAAATTCAAAAATGTAATAATAGAAATGTTTGAAAAATTTGCACCAAGAATAAAACAGATTGCAATAAGCATAAACAGTCAAAAATACTTTTAAAAAGATTACAGCTGGTCGGTATCAGACCCAAGTAAGCACAGCTATGTCCCCAACTTCAGTGAAACCAAATCCACCTCTACATGGGTAAGAGCATTAGCAGAGGCATGCCAAATGGCGGGTGGTGAGCTCTACCAGCATGACTAATGGTAGAGAAAAAGAGAAAGGCAGAGGGAAAGAATCTGTTGGTAGAAACACACTGATTTGTTATTCACTGGGAAAAAATGCAGTGTCAAGAAGTACAGGTTCTTGCTTGACATCAGCGCTCTGAATCAATTGGAAGAGTTTTATTCGCGTGAGCTGTAGCCAGAAACAATTGTCCACCTTTGTCATCACTTTGTGTGTCTAAGCACAAAGGGAAGCAAAGGCTGCAATCAGCAGCAGAGAGGGAGGGAGGCTGCAATTACCAAAAAGTATTAGAGTCATTGGCATATACGTGGAGAGACAGCAATCTTGAAAGCACTGCAATGATTTACATAAGTACAATCACGTGAATGACTCCATCCCCAAATCAAAAGTGCCGGCTCATCACAGTACAGTCTAGGGGCAAACTAGTGAGCATTGCATTTCTGCTGCTCCAAATCAGACTGCTATTTAAAATTAATCTTATCAAGGCATTTTAATAGTAAAACAACTTTGGTCACTTTTTGATCTTGGAGACTGATAGACTCAACTATGAAATATGCAAAACTGAAAAACTGCAGTTAGATTTTTCAACAGGGTTTTCTTTCTTTTCATGACAATTCTCTTTTATTTTTTATCTTTTCTCCTGTGAGTCAATGCTCATCACAAGAGCCCTTCAGTCTAGTTTCTACTTCCTTACTGTTTTTTTATTTCCTTATATGCAATTTGAGGTGCTTTTTGTTATGGCTTATTTGCTTTGTTTTGTTTTGCTTTTTGGCTGTGCATGCAACTAAGACCAGAGAGTTAATAGTGTCATACTCATGGAAACTGAAGTCAGTTAAACCTAGGAGTTGACAGAAGCATCAATATTTTTTATATAAGAATCTCTGCTGAGCACTGAGGAACATATTCTATGAATAAGATGCTCTTTACATCTGCAGTAGGTGGTCATAGGAACTTCCACCAGGAATCCATGCTCTACTTCCTAGAAGTGATGACTGTGAATGTGAAATACCACACCCATGATGGTGTTGTATGACACAGTTGACATTATAAAATAGATAATATCTTAGTGGGCCTGATCTGGACCTGATCCAATCACATGAGACCTAAAAAGCAAAGAATTTTCTCTGACTGGTGAAGAAAAAGAAGACAAAAATGGGAGCCAGAGAGTTTCAAAGCACAAGAAGCAGCAGATGCACTATTGTTTGCTTTGAAGCTGGAGGAAGCCATGTGAGAAGTAGAGTGGACAGCTTCTAGGAGCCAAGGCTGACCTCTACTGACAGCCGTGGGGAAACAGGGAAATCAGTCCTACAACCAAAAGGAACTAGATTATGCCAACAACTTACATGAGTTGGAAGTGGATTCTCCCCAAAGCCTCTAGTGAAGAGCTAGGCTGGCTGACATCTTGATTTCAGTCTTTGGAGACCCTAAGCAAAAAGGCTAGTTAAGCTCACCTAAATATCTGACATACAGAGCTGTGAAAGAATATTAAATAGTGTTATTTGTATTAAGCCAATAAGATTGTGGCAATTCTTTACACAGCAATGGATAACTAATACCGCATTCTTCAAGAGTATAAAATTACTAGAGAAGAAAATGAAAATATCTGAGTAATAATTATAATGTAGTGTAATATGTGTTGGAATCAGGGAAAAGTGAAATGTGCCGTAGTGGGAGAGAATAGAATGTGACTCACTTTGTCAGCAGTACCTACGTGACATATGACTTGGGATGTGATGAATGCAAAGAATTTGGGCAGGGAAAGACAGAACAGAAGTGCTATTCAAGCAGAGGGCACATCTGCAAATATCCAGTGTCACATATTTGTTCCCGAGGAAGCTGACTTTGAGATGGAGATTAAGAGAGCAGAAGTTTTATCCAGGAGTTCCCTTGGGATCCACACCTGTGGAGGGAGGTAGAGAAGTAGGAATATGCAGAGGGAGAAAGTGAGCAGCAATGCAGCCCAATAAAAGTCTTTAGCCAACATTAAAGGGAGCTCTGGAGCTGAAAAGGCCCATTAGAATTGTTGACCAGCAGAGAATGCAGGCTGTCAGTGGA
The DNA here is from genome assembly GCF_000001405.40 of Homo sapiens. NCBI lineage: Eukaryota > Metazoa > Chordata > Mammalia > Primates > Hominidae > Homo > Homo sapiens. The sequence continues at coordinate 11,498,463 of NC_000004.12, forward strand.
AGGAGGTGTCACCTTGGGTAAGGCAGTTTTCTGCAGCTGAGACTATTCTCAAGAAGAGTGACAGCTAATGGCTTCCTCCGCAAATCCACATTTCTAAAGTGGGGCCTGAGATGTATATACAGGAACACGGAGAAGTCTGTCGTTTTCAAAGGCAGATGAGAAATTAGGCCTAGACAAACAACAGGATATGCAGAAAAATAGGAAAGGTTAGTAAGAAATCAGTGTAAAGAGATATGTGTTTTGGCTCACGTAGGGTTCTGTGAGTTAGGCTAAACAGACAGATGTGTATCCTCTTGGGGTGGGGTCCCAGGAGAAGGTTTTAGGCAGAAGAGTGATTTGGATTATAGATAGATAGATAGATAGATAGATAGATATAGATATATATAGATAGATATATCTATATCTATCTATATATATATCTTTTTTTATTATACTTTAAGTTCTAGGGTACATATGCACAACCTGCAGGTTTGTTACATATGTATACATGTGCCATGTTGGTGTGCTGCACCCATTAACTCATCATTTACATTAGGTATATCTCCTAATGCTACCCCTCCCCCCTTCCCCCACCCCACAACAGGCCCCGGTGTGTGATGTTTCCCTTCTTGTGTCCAAGTGTTCTCATTGTTCAATTCCCACCTATAAGTGAGAACATGCAGTGTTTGGTTTTTTGTCCTTGTGATAATTTGCTGAAAATGATGGTTTCCAGCTTCATCCATGTCCCTACAAAGGACATGAACTCATCATTTTTATGGCTGCATAGTATTCCATGGTGTATATGTGCCACATTTTCTTAATCTAGTCTATCATTGTTGGACATTTGGGTTGGTTCCAAGTCTTTGCTATTGTGAATAGTGCCGCAATAAACATACACGTGCATGTGTCTTTATAGCAGCATGATTTATAATCCTTTGGGTATATACCCAGTAATGGGATGGCTGGGTCAAATGGTATTTCTAGTTCTAGATCCCTGAGGAATCCCCACGCTTTCTTCCACAAGGGTTGAACTAGTTTACAGTCCCACCAACAGTGTAAAAGTGTTCCTATTTCTCCACACCCTCTCCAGCACCTGTTGTTTCCTGACTTTTTAATGATTGCCATTCTTACTGGTGTGAGATGCTATCTCACTGTGGTTTTGATCTGCATTTCTCTGATGGCCAGTGATGATGAGCATTTTTTCATGTGTCTGTTGGCTGCATAAATGTCTTCTTTTGAGAAGTGTCTCTTCATATCCTTTGCCCACTTTTTGATGGGGTTGATGGTTTTTTTCTTGTAAATTTGTTTGAGTTCTTTTAGATTCTGGGTATTAGCCATTTGTCAGATAAGTAGATTGCAAAAATTTTCTCCCATTCTGTAGGTTGCCTGTTCACTCTGATGGTAGTTTCTTTTCCTGTGCAGAAGCTCTTTAGTTTAATTAGATCCCATTTGTCAATTTTGGCTTTTGTTGCCTTTGCTTTTGGTGTTTTAGACATGAAGTCCTTGCCCATGCCTATGTCTGAATGGTACTGCCTAGGTTTTCTTCTAGGGTTTTTATGGTTTTAGGTCTAATATTTAAGTCTTTAATCCATTTTGAATTAATTTTTGTATAAGGTATAAGGAAGGGATCCAGTTTCAGCTTTCTACATATGGCTAGCCAATTTTCCCAGCACCATTTATTAAATAGGGAATCCTTTCCCCATTTCTTGTTTTTGTCAGGTTTGTCAAAGATCAGATAGTTGTAGATATGTGGTATTATTTCTGAGGGCTCTGTTCTGTTCCATTGGTCTATATCTCTGTTTTGGTACCAGTACCATGCTGTTTTGGTTACTGTAGCCTTGTAGTATAGTTTGAAGTCAGGTAGCATGATGCCTCCGGCTTTGTTCTTTTGGCTTAGGATTGACTTGGCGATGCAGGCTCTTTTTTGGTTCCACATGAACTTTAAAGTAGATTTTTCCAATTCTATGAAGAAAGCCATTGGTAGCTTGATGGGGATAGCATTGAACCTATAAATTGCCTTGGGCAGTATGGCCATTTTCATGATACTGATTCTTCCTATCCATTAGCATGGAATGTTCTTCCATTTCTTTGTATCCTCTTTTATTTCCTTGAGCAGTGGTTTGTAGTTCTCCTTGAAGAGGTCCTTCACATCCCTTGTAAGTTGGATTCCTAGGTATTTTATTCTCTTTGAAGCAATTGTGAATGGGAGTTCACTCATGATTTGGCTCTCTGTTTGTCTGTTATTGGTGTATAAGAATGCTTGTGATTTTTGCACATTGATTTTGTATCCTGAGACTTTGCTGAAGTTGCTTATCAGCTTAAGGAGATTTTCGGCTGAGTCGATGGGGTTTTCTAGATATACAATCATGTCATCTGCAAACAGGGACAATTTGACTTCCTCTTTTCCTAATTTAATACCCTTTATTTCTTTCTCCTGCCTGATTGCCCTGGCCAGAACTTTCAACACTATGTTGAATAGGAGTGGTGAGAGAGGGGATCCCTGTCCTGTGCCAGTTTTCAAAGGGACTTTTTCCAGTTTTTGCCCATTCAGTATGATATTGGCTGTGGGTTTGTCATAAATAGCTCTTATTATTTTGAGATATGTCCCATCAATACCTAATTTATTGAGAGTTTTTAGCATGAAGGTTGTTGAATTTTGTCAAAGGCCTTTTCTGCGTCTATTGAGATAATCATGTGGTTTTTGTCTTTGGTTCTGTTTATATGCTGGATTACATTTATTGATTTGCATATGTTGAACCAGCCTTGCATCCCAGGGATGAAGCTCACTTGATCATGGTGGATAAGCTTTTTGATGTGCTGCTGGATTCAGTTTGCCAATATTTTACTGAGGATGTTTGCATCGATGTTCATCAGGGATATTGGTCTAAAATTCTCTTTTTTTGTTGTGTCTCTGCTAGGCTTAGTTAAATATTCTTGTGTCTATGGAGAAATAGTAAGCATCTGATTTAAGAAATGAACCAAGGAGTACACAGGAGTCAACATGGTTGGGTTTGAGATGTGAGAGAGAAGCTGGATTGGATACTCTTTATATTTTTATCTGTTACATTGGTAATGGGTTCCTATACTATATATTATTATTGGAGCCACTGCGTGTACACTGATGCCATTCACTAAGCCAACAAATAGAGGTAGAGTAGATTTAAAGGTAAATGTAATTGCTTTGTTGAACATGTTTTTGAGGAATGGGTAAAGTTAAAATAATCTGTAGGTAGTAGGGAATACAGGAATGAATCAATGAAGGCAGAACCACACTACATACAGAAATTTGGAAGTCATTGAGAGAACATGATATTTACTAAAGCCTTGAGAGTGTTGACAATTTCCCAGATAGAGCTCATTGAGCAAGAAGAGAAAGTGATCAAGACAGAATCTCAAAGAAACAATATCCAAGAGGTAGGTCAAAAGCAGGAGGAAAGTGAAGAATCTTGAACAATCTTGAGGCATAGAAAGAGAAAAAAGGACCCATGGTATCCTAGAAATTAAAAGGAAGATGATAATAAAGAGTGAATGGTAAGAAGTGCTAATGTTGGGCATTGGACCTATTAATGGCAAGAAAAACCAGACACATCCACTGCCCTCATGGAGTTTATAATCTAGTAGAGAGCTACACATAAATAGAATATTTGCAAACACACATATGAAATTACTACTATGGTAAATGCCATGAATTTACAGTGCAGGCTGCTATAAGAGGCTGTAATGAGGAAGTCTGACTTCATTTGAAATATCAGTGCAAACCTCTCCAAGGAAGTACTGTTTGAACTGAAATCTAACGGGATGAATTTGTCACCCACCCAGATTTGTATCTTGAGTCCTAGCCTGTAGTACTACAGAATGTGACTGTATTTGGAGATCGTGCCTCTAAAGAGGTAATTAAGTTAAAATGAGGTCATTAGCATGCTCCCTAATCTAATATGGCTGATTTCCTTGTGAGAAGATCAGATTAGGACATGGATATACACAGATGGAAGACATTATAAAGACACAGAGATAATACATCTATCTAGAAGCCAAGGAGAAGGGCCTCAGAAGAAAGCAAACCTGCCTACACCTTGACCTCAGACTTCTAGCCTCCAGAAAACAAGTTATGTTGTTAAAGGCACCATCTTTGTTAGGGCCAAGTTATGTTGTTAAAGCCACTTATCTTTGTTATGGCAGCTGTACCAAACAAATACAGGTAGGAATCCACCTACCAGTGTGGAAGGATGAAGCCAATGGGTATTTGATAGCTCCATGAATAGGACTTGATGATGAACTGGATATTGGGAAACCAAGCTTGTTGTGTACGATAATATAGATCATGAATACACTTTACAGTGAGTGAAGGGGGAATTGGAAAGTTGAAGTGTGAATGAGAGGACTAAAGGCTAAGACAAAAAGTGTGGCAAGCAGATTCAAGTGGTCGCTTCCACATGTTCCGCACCTTCTAGCTCCAGGCATTGGAGATGCATTCTATTTATACAATGGACAAAGATCTGCTCTCATGTAACTTAAAGATAGTTCAGGAAGCAGGGCATTATACAAGTAATTAAACTCATCATTATTTACTATTGTGTTAAATCTTTTAAAGAATAAATATGAACTTTATGAAAGTATATATTCAGGTAGAAAGTAGATTGGGCTATTTGGGAAGTTATTGCTAAGGAAGATATTTAAAGTGGGATAAATTTGATAGTTGGGATAAAAATGCCATAGGAAGGGGAGGAAAAAAAATTCAGGATAGTAGGAACACTCATAAGCAAAGTTAGGGTGTAGAGAGGCAGAGGCGTTTGTAAACACAAATGTACTATGTCCAATGTCCCTGTGGTAAGGAAGGTCACCAAAGCAGGCAGCAATGTCACTGACATTTGTCTCCATGGAGCTCAGCAGAAACAAGGCCTGCTCTGCTTTTCTGAACAGCATGTAGGCACCTTGCCATGCAGCTTGTCAGGGGACAGTCACACAGTCCTGCTGAGCTGTGCCTTCCAGGGGCCTGGCTTCCTGTGGAGCTTCAGTGATGGTACAGACAGTGGGATGCTCAGGCGGTTGGGAAAGCTGAGGCTCTCAGGGTTAGAGGGGCCATCTGGCAGGAATGTAGGATCACAGACGGGAAGTCTTAAAGTGACAGTGTTCATGTTTTCCACATGCATTTAATGAAAACTTGTTAGGTTACAAGCACTGTACTAGGTATGAGAAATCAGAGGGTCCCCAAGAGACACAAGTTGTTTGCTCTCTTTAGTAGGTTGTATTGTGTCCCTTCCCCCAAAAGATCTGTCTAAGTCCTAACCCCTGGTACCTGTAAATGTGAACTTACTTAGAAATAGTGTTTTGGCATGTTCTCACTCATAGGTGGGAATTGAACAATGAGAACACTTGGACACAGCAAGGGGAACATCACACACCGGGGCCTGTTGTGGGGTGGGGGAGGGGGGAGGGATTGCAGTAGAAGATATACCTAATGTAAATGACGAGTTAATGGGTGTAGCACACCAACATGGCACATGTATACATATGTAACAAACCTGCACGTTGTGCACATGTACCCTAGAACTTAAAGTATAATAAATAAAATAAAATAAATAAAATAATAAAAAAATAAAATTAAAAAAAAAAGAAATAGTGTTTTGGGGCCGGATGTGGTGGCTCACGCCTGTAATCCTAGTACCTTGGGAGGCAGAGGTGGGCAGATGACAAGGTCAGGAGTTCGAGACCAGCCTGGCCAATATGGTGAAACCCTGTCTCTACTAAAAATACAGAAATGAGCCAGGCATGGTGGTGCCCACTTGTAGTCCCAGCTACTTGGGAGGCTGAGGCAGAAGAATTGCTTGAACCTGGGAGGTGGAGGTTGGAGTGAGCCAAGATTGTGCCACTGCAGTCTAGCCTGGGCATCAGAGTGTGAGACTCCATCTGAAAAAGAAAAATAAGAAGAAGAGGGAGAAAAAAAGAAAGGAAATAGTGTTTTTGTAGATGGGATTAATTTAGAAAGCTCAGGATTTAGATTTCCTGGATTTAGGATACGCTGTAAATCCAGTAGCTGGTATCCTTACAAAAGAAAGGAGAGGGGATTTGAGACATAGACATACAGACACAGAGGAGAAGTTCACGTGAGGGAGGTGGAGGTTGTAGTGATGCATTGACAAGCCAGAGAATGCCAAGATTGCCCACAGCCACCAGAAGCTAGGAGTGAGGCATCGAACAGATTCTCCCTTGGAGCTTCCAGAAGAAACCAACCCTAATGACACCTTGATTTCAAACTTCTGGCGTCCAGAACTGTGAGACAAAACATTTCCACTGTTTTAAGCCCCCAAGTTTGTGATAGTTTGCTACAGCAGTCTAGGAAATGAAAAATGAGGTTAATGTCAATTTTTTTTCTTTTTTTTTTTTTGTGAGGGGTGTGGAGTTAGAGAACTAAGAAAGGCTTGATACAGCTTTCATGACTTCCATGGGGAAAGACAGTAACTAGGCAGAGGAAGAAAGGAATGAACATTCTTTGGTGAACCTACTGTATGCCAGGTATTTTGCTGGGTATTTTAGGTGCAATAAGCTGCTTAACTCTTACAACACTAGGAAGTTTGTATTGTCATTCATGGTCTTCATATAAAACATTTCAGTCTCAAAGAGGTTAGGTGATTTGTCCCAAGTCGCCCAGACGAAGCCAGCAAGCTCAGGCCATCAGGACCTCAGAGTTTGCATCCTTCTCTAGAAACATGCTGCGTTTTCCTCCCTGCCAAGGAGAAGGCCTTGACTCAATGGACTCCAAATAAGATCCTGTGTGTATGCCTCAGTTTCTTCATCAGGTAACTGAAGAGACTAGATAGCCAAAGATTCCTTTCCCATCTAAAACAAACGGTCTGCTTGAGTCCATGGAGCCCCAGAGCTTTCTTACTTAAACATTTCCTGCTCTGATCCATGTTCTTCATCCAGTATGCAAAATGAAACATGTTCATTCCGTCTCTTGGTCTTGGGGTTGTAATTCTTATCTTTATTGCTACCTCTGCAAGGAGGAGTAAATCATTATTTGTGTATTTTGTTGCCCCCCCCCTTTTTTTTTTTTGCTCTCTCTTTCAAAGTTAATCAGGTTACTTCCATGTAATTTTTTACAAAGTAAATTTCCAACTACCTTTAACCACAAATTAGTCATCACATTGTGCTTTTCAGGGTTATATTAAGTCATTCGTCATAGATGCTGCCGATAATAGTTGGCTTAGGCTAAATGTTTCCTTGTTCAGAGTATTTATCACATCCTGTACCTGCCATGCCTGTGAAAATAAAAGGCAGGGAGGGTGTGAACTGGCTCACAGAGGGCATAAGAAAATGAGTATGAAGGAGCTAGGTAAACTGCAGAGGCCCCTGCAGTGGGGAGGTGGTTATTATTGGCATTAAGTCATCCTTTGGCAGGTTTTATTGCTGCAAGATGAAAGGGACAAAGAGGAAGTGTCTACAGGCTCACAAATACGCAGGGGCTGTGTAGGGAGAAGGTGGGCTTCCATGTCTGGGAAGCAATGCTTTCTAGCTGTGAACTTGGCAAATCACTTACCATCTCCCATCTCAGACTCCTCACAGGCAAAGTGTGAAATGGAAATTCCACCCCATGGGGCTATTGTGAGATTTGAATGAAATTGTGTCTATGAAACCCTAGCCTGGCCCAGAGCATTCAATTGAGTTTGAGATCCTGTCATTCAAGGCAATTGGCTGGAAAGAAATCTCCACAGGATTCATTGGCACTGATCACATAATTCCTCATGTCCCATCATGGATCTTGGATAGGTCTGCAAGCTAGGGCCTCCTATCTGCCACATTGTGAGGTACTCCCTCACAATGGTACACAAGGGAGTACCATTTCGAAGGTACTCCCTTGGATGTGGAGTCTTCCACTGTGCTGTCATGGTCTCTCAACCTGGTCATGGCTAGTCTGGTTTGCTTCAGCAAGTAACTTTTGGCACAAGGTGTATATTCATGCTGTCTTAGCATGCGGTATTCACTGAAACACTAGCTCTGACTTAATGATCGATCTTTATTAACCGACCTTCAATGGAACATGTCAACAGTTTCCATCACACTGGAAATAGGATCCCAGTAAATCACCAGCCTCTTGCCATGGTCCACATCACTGATGACTCTGCCTCTGACTTCTCTTGCTCCCTTCCTTCTGCTTCACCAGCTCTAGCAACACCGGTCCTCCTGCTGTTTCTTGGTCCCCACTCCCACCGCAGCCCATGCACACACACTCCTCTCCCCATGTGAAACTCTGTCTGTGCACCTGCATAGTCCGTGCTTTCACCAGCTTCACCTATTTGCTCCAATGTCAACCCCAGAAGAAAGACTTCCCTGATCATCCTGCTTAAAGTCACACAATCCCCTCCATAGCTATTCATCCTCTCACCTTTGTAAATTTGTTTTCACTGCCTTTTTTTGTTGTATTACATTAACTATGTATTTTGCCTGTATTCTGTACTTGACATATATTATGCATATTATAAATATTTGTTGAGTGAAAGAATGCATAAACATACTGACTTTTATGAATAACTATGCCATGGTACTTGAATTAAAGGAGTCAGAGGCAAACATTTACTTAGCTAGGGGATGGTTCCTTCAATAATTTTTTTTTCTTTGAATAGTAGCCCCATCACTCTCAATGAGGTGGAGGTTATTATTCCCATTTTACAGGTAAGAGGGAAGAAAGTGGTTCAGAGATTAGGATATTCACAGAAAAGAATGGTACACAAAGCTGCTCAGTTTCTCTGGTGAACAGTAACTGTGCATTAAGGATTTGCTGATGAATGAACACTTAATTGTTTACATAATTGAGGCTAAAAAACTATACTAATTCCAATGATTGTTGTGTTTACTGCTGTTGTTTTTATTATAATCATTATCATATTATTAATATTATTAACATCATCATCGTTATTACCCCTTTAGCTCTTTCATTCTCAGTTTGGCAAATAAATTTGGATGTGTTCATTTCAAGGCCACCTGACTCTCCATAAGAAACCATATCACCCAGATCCATTTAATAAAGTGCAGTGATCATGCCCCCCTTCAGCTTCCTTGTGGTCACCTGATTCTGTACTCTTTCTAGAATAAAGTAAAGATGGAAGGGGAACAGAACCTATTTGATGGCCGCCTCTAGTGGAGAGGGCCGCCTCTAGTGGAGAGTTCACAAGTCGCAAAGTGAAAAGATCACTAGGAAAACTGTATTAGGCCATTCTCACAATGCTATAAAGGAATACTTGAGGCTTGGTCATTCATAAAGCAAAGAGGTTTGATGGGCTTATGGTTCTGCAGGCTGTACAAGCATGGCACCAGCATCTCCTCGGCTTCTGGGGAGTCCTCAGGGAGCTTTTCCTACTCATGGCTGAAGGTTGAAGAGGGAGGAGGCACATCACATGTTGAAAGCAGGAGAAAGAGAGAGAGTGGGGAGGGAGGGGAGGTGCCACACGCTTAAACAACCAGGTCTCACAAGAACTCACTCACTATCAAAAGGACACCACCAAGCCATGGGGGATCTGTCCCCATGATCCAAACGCCTCCCACCAGGCCCCACTTCCAAAACTGGGGATTACAATTCAACATGAGATTTGGCAGGGACATATATTCAAACTATATCAAATGGTGACCAGCCAGGGCTGGCACTGTCCCAAGCAAACCTGGGCAGATGGCCAACCTAAGTAGAGAAGCATGAGATGGAGATCCAAAAGCATTGGCTTGGTAGTCAGGAAGACCTGAGTTCAAGTTCAGAGTCCTTGGACTTGTGACGGTGGACAAATGCCATAGCCTGCTCAAGGTGATATTAATAATAAAAATATAACTCGTACTTTGCTTTGAGGATTAAATTAAACTGCCCATGTGGAAAACCCTGTAGAGTGTCAGACTCATAGCTCATGCCAGGAAGAAATGTAGCTGCTATAGTTATGCAGCACTGGGTTCTCTGTTTATTTGAAGAGTGGAGGCTTTGAGAGGTTATGAGACTTGCTCGAGGTTACGCTGAGACAGATCTCATATAAGGGTCAAGACCTACAGACACTCCTTGCAGTTTTCTGTCCACCATAAAGTGCTGCTCTTCTGATGCATTCTTTATTACAAGCCACTAGTGCAGTACTTAGTATATTGGAGATGCTTCTAAAATAAAAGATTCCATAATAGCAACATCAAAATGCCATTTATAACATAATTCCCCTTTACTTTTTCAACAAAGTTTTAATAAGTGATTACTACATCCTAAGCCCTGAGTTATAGCTAGGGAATAAAATGATAATGAATAATAGATGATGCCCTTGCCTTCATGCAGCTTACACTCCCAGGTTTGTACACTGTAGATTGTATCAGATGCTAGTTTCTATACATGGCCCCTGAGACATGCAAATGAAGAGTGTTTGATTTACTACTTTTCAGTTCACTATTTTTATCCCAAGAGAAATTTTCATTTCAACTCTCCAGCCTTACCAGTGTCACTGAACACAGAAAATTCTCGAACGCTTAACAAGGTGAAACACAGTTTCTTTCTTTTCATGAACACAAAACAATGTTTTTTTGGAATAATTTTTGGATACAACATCTTTTTTGTGTGTACAAACAAATTTTATGTTCTAAAGAAATGAACAACTAAGGCATGCGCATGAGAAGCTTTGTCTTCATATTTCATTTTTTTCATAAAAATATTTAGCTGTTGTCCAAGAAACCACACTGCTTCCTAATTAGCATTGAGCATTAGCTCTTAAGCTAACCACATAGGTCAGCTGATTTCAGATATAAGACAGCATAAATATAGTAGGCTGAACCTGCACATTCAAAACAAGATCAATTGGTCAACACGTATATGGTAAGTGCCTATCACATGCAAGACAATGCTCTAGGTACTGATGCAGACAAGAGAGACATAATCTTTGCCCTCAAAGAGCTTACCTTCTAGAGAAAGAAACAAGTAGATATTCAACCAAAAATACATTACAAAGCTAATGTTAATTTTTAAAAAGTGTTATGAAAAAGATTAAATTGATCCATAAGTTAAACAGTGCCTGAGGGAGTTGCTGGGGATGAAAAGCTCCACAGAAATGTCATCTCATTTAAGCTCAACACAAATGTCATCTCAACATAAATGAGATGACATTTGTGTTGACTAAGTAACAAGAAGAAGGCAGTCATGCGAAGGTTTACAGAAGGCACTTCAAATAGAAGGAACAGCAGATACAAAGGTCCTGAAATGAGTGCACTTAGTATACCATTCCAAGGGCTGCAAGAGGGTCAGGGTGGTTGGAGCTTGGGATGAGAAAGAGAGTGGCCTGAGATGAAATTCATGACAGAAGCAGGGGCCACTTCATGAAGGGCCTTGTAGGGCATAGTAAAAGCCTAGGGCATGGTTTTACGCAGGGAAGCTTACACCGTCTGATTATAAGGCTCACTCAGGCATCCGTGTGCAGAGCTGCCTGTAAGACACGTGGGTGGAGATGAGGACCATCATCAAGATAATGGCACTTGATCTGGGGGATGGACTATGCTGACCCGGATTAGGATTTCAGTGGCAAAGATAATAGCAAAAGACCAGATTTGGGATGCTTTTTGGAAGAAGAGCTCATACAACTTGCTGATGCACAGAACTAGGGTGAAGGAAAAGAAAAAACAAATCAAGGATTCCTCCTAGTTTGGGGCCTTGATAACTGGGTTGATGGTGGATTTTGGTGGGGACAGGGGTGGCATGGGTAAACAAGTGGTCCGTTTTAGACCAAACTAAGTTTTGGATCCCATTTGATTTCTAAGTGAAAATGCTGAATGGGAAGTTGAGCCTGGGACTCAGGGGAGTCATCAGAGCTAGAAATGCAAATTTGAGAGTCTTACTGTATTGCTGGTATTTAAACAGAGGAAACTGCATAAAATCACCTAAGAAAAGAATTAAGGGAGAGTGGATAAGGGGTTTGGAGATAGAATCCAAGGAACACAAAACTTTAGAGATCTGTTGGGGGAGAAGAGACACCATGAAAAAGTTAAAAAGAAAAGGTGATTTAAAAGGAAAACAATGTAGGCGACATATTCTTTCACAGATTTTTTTTCCCCAACTGATCCTTGTGAAATCTGATGTTTGTCTTATTTGTCCTTGGTAGCTGGTTTGACATAAACCATCTCATTCCTATTCCTCTCAGCTACTTCAATTCAGCATGTCTAGATATTCTGTTTCTGGCCTGTTTCCATTTTGACTGATATTCCTACAAATTGTGGGTCCTTCTCTGACCTGAGATCTACTTCTTAGATCCTCGATTTGGAGATTTCTGAGCTTCAGATACTTGTGGGTGCATTGTGGGTGCCAGAAGTAAGGCTTTCAAATAGAAAATTGGGAAAACAAAAACAAAAGCAAAATACTGTTTATGAAAATAGAAAAATCTCTCTACATGTATTCATTATGCAGCCAACAGATAATGTTTCTGTGCGTCCTTTGAGCAAATAGGAACCATGGTTTTAATGTTTGGGTGATGTCTCATAGGTAAAAAGCTATGGACCTCTGGCACAAATACCTGGAACAAAAGGTCTTATGGTATTTGTAGTAAATCTATATACTTATTAGCCCACGTTTCCCTTTTCTAGACTATAGGTATAGTCTCTCATAAAGCAGGGGTCATATGCTAATAATAACAATAATGATACATTAGCTAATATTAATTGACAGTTACCCCTATGTTAGGTACTGTGCAATGTATTTAATTTTCAAAACAGACTTATGAGGCAGGTGTTATTATTATCTTCATTTTTAGACAGTAAACTGAGGTTTATAAAGGCAAATTCATTCCCAAGATCATTTGGCAAGTAAAAAGCCAAGTTATTAGTTTAACTTAGTTTGACTTCAAGCCTTTACTTTAAGCCAGTGCTTAAACCAGTGTTAACATGCATATTCTGATCCCACAGGTCTGAGATAGAGCCTGATACTCTGCATTTCTATCGAGCTCCCAGGTGATGAGTATGCTACTGGTCCCAGGACCCCTCTCTGAGTAACCAGGCTCTCAGCCTCTGTGTTACAGTGTCCCCTCACGACCTGGAGAAATGCTTGCTGTGATATGAGTATGGAGCAATTGCATACTGAGAGAATAAACATGGGGAGATGGGGCAACAGATAAGTCTTCCCATCTGCTCACAGAAACTCAGCATAAACAATGTTAGAGGACGAGAGCTTTGCCACATTGTGGGGCAGCCATAGAGTAATGAAGTGGGTCAGCCTGGGGTATGGGTTAGCCTCAGTTGAAAGCACAGCATCTCAGGAAGTTCCAGATCAGCTTTCTTCATTAGGTTGTAAATTTTTGAGAGAGGGGAATATGTTATATTTCTTCTACATCTGTCGCAAAAGGTAGCAAAGTTTTTGGAACACAGAGACTGTTCAATGCATGCTCACTGCCTGCTTTTTCTTACCTCTGTCATGTATGTGCTGCTTCACTTATAAAAACTATTTTTCTATTTTCCAAGTCAAGACCCCCAGTGGAGAGATGAGCTCTAACAGTGAAGTTTACATGATCTCGATTTTGGCCAGTAGTTAACATGTGATCTCTAGAGTCTATCTTTCCAGGTTTGAATCCAGCCCTGCCACTTGCTAGCTGTGTGACTTGGGGAAGTTATTTAACCTCTTTCTGCTTCAATTTTCTTGTCATTAAAATGAGAAAGATAGTCCCTGACTTGATGGGGCTGTCCTGAGGTAAAATGGGTGTAAAGTAGTCAGAGAAGTGCCTAGCACTTAATAGGTAGCTCCATACATGTTAGCTGTATTTATTATTAATTACAACCTAATAGTGACTGTATCAGTCGGAGTTTACCAAAGAAGCAGCACCTCTAGGATAGATGGATGGATAGAGATAATAAAGGAACGTGTTACAGGGAACTGGCCTTATATAATTGTGAAGCTGGTTAAGCAGTGTCTAAAGGCTGTCTCCACATCTGCTGGTGAAGCCTGAAGTCCAGAGCGGGGGAATTCTGGAGAGGAAGATCATGAATTTGCCGGTCCCCACAAGTATGAAATGGAGCCCCACAAAAATCTACTGAAGCCTGCGTCCATTCTTGTTGCCTCTGACTTTGGTAGTGGAAAGGGTGTCCTGCAAAAGCTGGGACCATTTATCACAGAGCTAAACGTACACCTGATCTGGGAATTAGACAAGCTGAAGGAGTGATCTAAGAGAAGGCAGAGAAATTGCAGACCTATAGCTGCTGCTTCATGCCAATAAGTGAGTCAGCAGATCAGTAACAAAAACTATGAGCTACAAAATGGTTACTGCTTCTGTTCCAAAATCTTCCCAGAATCTTCCTTGTAGCCCATCCTAACTGGGAAAACACAAGATAGACAATCTGGAAAATGTAGTTGAACCCAGCTAAGTTGATAGATGGCAAAACTATTACAGTGATAGACCGAATTATGGTAGCTAATTTATTAATATACATGCCAATTCAAATCTTATCACTTGCAGTTTAAAAGATGAATTTGACTAATTTATTTGAATGTGAAGTTTTCTTGAAGATTAGTGCTGAGGTCATGAGACCATGAATGGTCTTTTGTTTATTCTCTCCTTCTTCTAGCTCAACACCCTCAAGGCAAATTAAATGAGTTTCATAAGCAGTCCAAGACCTGTGCAGCTGTTCCATGAAGTCATGAAGGACTCGAGATCTTCTAGCTCTCTGCTCCACCATCTTTAGCATGTGGTTCTAGTTATTGGGGTTGCAAAACAGTAACTGTGGCCCCAGGCATTGATTCCACATTCCAGAAAAAAGAAGGAAGCAATAAGGTAGAAAAATTCCAATGGTTGGGAAACAAAACTTTCCTAAAAAAACAGCAAGAGACTCCAGCTGATGTCTCATTGGTCAGAACAGTATCAAATATCTACCCTCAGCAACAAGGAAGGCTTGGAATTAGAGTTCAGGGGAGTTTTTTTTTTTCTTATGCACACATTATTGCTTCAAACAAAATTAGGGTTCTGTTTTTGAGGAAGAAGCTAAGAGAAATAGATATTGGAAAGGTAGATGGCACTAAAAACCAGAGAAGAAAAGGCCAGATGCAGGGGGATTAGCAAGAAGTTATTATTGTATATAAAAAAGAGAAAGAGTGATGTCTTAGAGCATGGTGGTGTGGTAGAGGTGGTTGGAGGTGGTGGTGTCTGGATGCATTGGAATGTAGAGCAGATGGATTTGATTTGGCAGAGGACTGGAAAAAAAAGAAAAAAATAATTTGTAAGCCATCATTGACTTAGGATAATATTTGGATGTAATGCTGCCTGAATTAGTGACAATGTCACAGGACCCATAACTCCTTGCTTGACATTTACATTCTCAGCGATGCAGCTGGAGACAAAGAATGTCTGGGGGAAAAAAGGAATGGATATCTAGTAGTTTGGATCATTGAATTCTATAGGCTGGAATAATGCGACCAAATACCGGTGGGTGTTTTGGCTATGCAATGGATAAAGTGTGATATAAAACTTTTTTAAAAAGTGAAGAAAACAGGTTTTAGGCTATGGTAAAATCCTTGCATCAGCTTTTACCACTTGTACCTGCAAAGGATCTAAATTCCCTGAACCTCAGCTTTCTCCTACTCAAGATAAGGAGATTGATATCTTTGTTATAGAGTTGTTCTGAGAATTACTTAAAATCTTAGGTAAAAATGGCTTATCTTTATCTCTCACTTCCTGGCCTGGGAAATAACCCTCTTTTTCGAAGCTCCTGGAAACTCCTCTATCAGATTCCCAAAATGATTTATAGGCAAACTGATGTCACAGAAAAGGCCAGACTTCAGCCTCAGACAGAAATGCTTTCGAAATATGCTTCTCATCAGTGATATGAGTGGCTTAACTTGTTTCAGCCATGGTTCTCAGAAATACAAAGCAGGGATAATGATACTTATGTCATGACCTTACTGAGAGGCCACAGCTTGTTGGGACAATTAAGTAAACTTAAATAAAATACAGCACGCAAGTTTGGTAGCCTGAGACCAGACACATGGCAGGCGCAGTTCAATGTTCATTTTCCTCCATTGAGATAAATAATGAGACATAGCATAGATACATTATTTAGTCTAAAGCTTTCAGGTTTTCTATGATGCTGGGTTTCTAACCAAGCCTGATTGCCAAATTTTGGTTAATCCTTCTTTGCAGGGGATTTTTTTCCCGCGAAACTCTGCACCACATCGCATAAATCCTCTTGCCATGGCCGTGGCCCTTCATGTCAAGGGATCTGGAGACCTTACGTGGAGAAAAAAAACATGATATGATGTAGTCATTGTGCTCAACAGTGCACTGCAAATGTGATAAGTCCCAAAATAATATAAGCAAGACGATCTTCAGAAGAAGAAAAGAGATGCAGGGATTAGCTAGGAAAGAAGAGATGGATTTCCCTTGAGCCGAATTTCAGTGGTGAAATAACGAGTCATGAAAATAGAGATATTGAACTTTAAATGACACACAAGGGACACCTCCCTGTTCAACCTGCTTCCCACTTAGGGCTGTCGGCGTAAATCAGGGCTCAGACGGGTCTGCTAGGCAACAGGCTGGGTTCGGCGCCTGACAGGAAGACTGTCAGCGACTTTAGGCGTGCCTTACATTTAGAAAGCCTCCTGTCGTCTGACTAATCACAGAGCCTTTTTCTTGTGACTAATGGGTAGTTTTCTTTAATCTCCAGAAACCTCTGATCAATTAACTACTATTTAAGCCAATCAAGGAAATTGAGATATGGGGTGTAATTAGCTTTCTGGAGGTTACACATAGCATCAGTCAGTAGAGAATCCTGAAGTGGAACTCAGAGCAGGGCTGGTGGATGTGGAAAGAGTAAAAACAAGTGGCATCAGAGTAGAAGGAAGATGTGAGCAGCCACCAGGAGATGAGGCATCTCCCCGACCCTGAGGGAAAAATAAGATACTCTTTTCCTATGGTTCCTTAGAGAACCAACTACACCTTTGAACAATAAACTTTTGTCTGTGTCAGTGTTCTTCCTAAGACACTTACTTGTCTCATTTGTCTCTAGCATAGAACATGGCCTCATCAGCCCTCCACTCCACCTCATTGTGTGATTGTGAAAATCTAGTTGTGTATCACATGTGACAACTTGATGGCAAATATTTCGGTATCACACACATGAAGATCGTAGCCACGCACACATGAGGGTCAGTGATAAGCCATTATTATCATTGTTATTTGTTCCCAAATTCTACCACTGCAAACTCCTTGATATTACTGAAATGATGTCTCTTTCTCTGTTTCTCTTCCCCTGATTAACTGCTAATAAATGACCAGCTGCCTCTTCTTTCAGCTTTTGGTGAAATTCTTTCAGCTTCTTTCAGCCCTGCCCTGCCCTCCTCTCCCATGTGCCCCCCATTCATCTTTGGCCTCTCTTTCCCAGAGTTTTTGGGATGCCGACAAGCTCCTAACTTTGTTGGTTTGCCTGCATGCAGTTTGCTTTTCTGTGAGAAGGAATGACAGTCACTCATAGGGAACCCTGGCTATTTTTTTTCACTTGTCCAAACATGAAGCACACTTGCTTCTCCAGGTGTGGCATTGCAGAAAGCCTGGGGGATGCTGTAGGTCTTGATGGTTTTGGTTGGTGTGTGAGTTTCCTATGGCTGCTGTAACCAATTACAGCAAATGTAGTGGCTTACAGTAACACATCTATTGTTTTCTTACAGTTCTGGAGGTTAGAAGCTGAAATGGGCTGATATCAAGATCTCAGCACAACCATGCTACCTTTGAAACCACTAGCAGGAGTGTCCAATCTTTTGGCTTCCCTGGACCACATTAGAAGAAGAATTGTTTTGGGCCACATATAAGATACACTAACACCAATGATAGCTGATGAACTAAAAAAAAAAAAAAAATTCGAAACATTCTTATAATGTTTTAAGAAAATGTATGGGTCAGGTGCGGTGGCTGATGCCTGTAATCTCAGCACTTTGGGAGGCTGAGGTGGGCAGATCACCTGATGTCAGGAGTTTGAGACCAGCCTGGTCAACATGGTGAAATGTCATCTCTACTAAAAATACAAAAATTAGCTGGGTGTGGTGGTGGGTGCCTTCAATCCCAGTTACTCAGGAGGCTGAGACAGGAAAATTGCTTGAATTGGGGATGTAGATTGCAGTGAGGCGAGAGATTGAGTCACTGCACTCTAGCCTGGGTGACAAGAGTGAAACTCTGTCTCAAAAAAAAAAAAGAAAAAGAAAAAGAAAGAAAGAACAAAAAGTAAAAAAAAAAAAAAAGGAAAGCTTATGAATTTGTGTTGGCCCTCATTCAAAGCTGTTCTGGGCTCCATGTGGCCCACGGGCTGGGGTTAGACAATTTTGCTCTAGGAGGAGAACCCATTTCCTTGCCTGTTCCAGCTTCTTATGGCTGTCTCTGCCTCTTTGTTCATGGCCCCTTCCTCCATATTCAAAATCAGCAGTTTAGCATCTTCAAATCTCTAATTATGAGCTCCTGGTTTTGATTTTGTTTTGTTTTTGTTTGTTTGTTTTTGAGACAGAGTTTTGCTCTTGATGCCCAGGATGGAGTGTAATGGCATGATCTTGGCTCACTGCAACCTCTGCCTCCTTGGTTCAAGTGATTCTCCTCCCTCAGCCTCCCAAGTAGCTGAGATTACAGGCATGCACCAGCACACCCAGATAATTTTTTTTTTAATAGAGATGGGGTTTCTCCATGTTGGCCAGGCTGGTCTTGAACTCCTGACATCAGTGGATCCACCCACCTCAGCCTCCCAAAGTGCTGGGATTACAGGCTTGAGCCACTGTGCCCCGCCTCCCCTTTTTTTCTTATAAGGACCCTTTGATTACATTCAGCCCACTCAGATAATCCAGGAGAATTTTCCCATCTCAGTATATTTACCTCAACCACATGTGCAAAGTACCTCTTGTTAAGTAAAGTAACATTCACAGGTTCTAGGGATTAGGGCATGAACATCTTTTGGGACCACCGGAGTCAAATGTTAAAGTAATTAAGAGTTGTTATAGGCTAAAGTGCTTAACTCCCTGATGTGGTTTGGATTTGTGTCCCCACCCAAATCTCATGTTGAATTGTAAACCCCAGTGTTGGAGGTGGGGCCAGCTGGGAGGTGATTGGATGAAGCAGGTGGATTCTCTCCTTGCTATTTTGTGATAGTGAGGGAGTTCTCAGAATACCTAGTTGTTTAAAAGCGTGTAGCAGCTCCACCTTCATTCTCTTCCTCCAGCTCCGGCGGTGTAAGATGTGCCTTGCTTCCTCTTCACCTTCTTCCATGATTGTAAGTTTTCTGAGGCCTCCCCAGCCACTCTTCCTATACAGCCTGCAGAACTGTGAGCCAATTAAACCTCTTTTCTTTATAAAATACCCAGTCTCAGGTATTTTATTAAAGCAGTGTGAGAATATCTCCACATTTATATGTTGAAGTACTAACTCCAGTATCTCAGAATGTGACTATATGAGGAGGTAGAATCTTTACAGAGGTAATCATGATAAACTGCAGTCATTTGGGTGGATCTTATTCAATATGAATGGTGTCTTTTTTAAAAAAGGAAATTTGAACACAGCCATGTATAGACAGAGAATGATGTGTAGGCATAGGGAGGGGGCAGCCATCTGCAAGCTGAGGAGAGAGACCTAGAACAGATCTTTCCCTCACAGCCCCCAGAAGGAACCAACCCTGTTGACACCTTGAGGTCAAACTTCTATTCTCCAGAATGGTGAGAAATTAAATTTCTGTTGTTTAAGCCACCTAGTCTGTGGTACTTTGTTATGGCAGCCCTAGGAAACAAATGCAACAATCAACAGTTGGAAGTTTAGGCAAGAATAATGTATAATGTATTCATTTATACATTATAATGTGTATATTTATAATGTGTATAATTTATAACGTATTCATTTATACATTATAATATTTATAATGTGTTCATTATATTTTGCTGAAATATTTACTTAATATCTGCATGGCCTTAAGAATGATATAATGGAATTTGGGGATTCAGAGGGGAAGACTGGGAGGCAGGTGAGGAATAAAAGCCTACATGTTGGGGTACAGTGTATACTGCTCAGGTCACTGGTAAACAGAAATCTCAAAAATCACTACTAAAGAGCCTATCCATGCAACCAAAAACCACCTGTAACCCCAGAACTATTGAAATAAAAATAAAAAATAAATATAACTATCTTCATGGCCTGAAAACCAGAGACATTTCCTGCATTATAAGAACTTGACATTCTTGGCCCTTTGAATGACAGAGGCCAATTTTAGTATGTGTGTAATACACTATCTCTATTAAGAGTTCTGGTTCTGAAATTAAACTTCTTGGCATGGTCACTTACTGACTGTGTGACCCTAGGCAAATTGCTTCATCTCTCTGTGCTTCAGTTTATTTTCTGTAAAATGGGAAGAAGAAAGAAGGGAGATCAGTTTACTAGCTCATATGACTACTTTGCAGACTACTAACATATGCAAAGTATTTATACCAGAGCCTGACAACAATTATCACTGAATAAATGCTATAAATTATTATGGGTGGACTGCATGCTGGGTACAAAGATTGTAAAGTGCTGACAGTGCTATTGTTTGGACACACATTGTTAATCGTTATTAAAACAACCTCCAGTCTATCCTCTGATCTCCATATGGCCTCCTCCAATGCATTCTTTCACAGCCTCCAGAGAGCTTCTATAAATCTGATCATGTCACATCTCCATTTAAAAATCTTCAAAAGCACCCATGTTTTATAGGATATAATCCAACAAAAGCAGAGCCTATAAACTCCCCAGAATGTGGTCCCTCTCTCTCTTTTTCCCTATTGTCTCTGCTCTCACCCAAGAAGGACATTGAGGTATTTTTAAAGTGCTCCCACACGAGAGGCATTTTTGGCCTTTTTAAATTTGTCCTCTTTTGTTACTTATTTTTTTTATACTTTAAGTTCTGGGGTACATGTGTAGAACATGCAGGTTTGTTACATAGGTATACACGTGCCATGATGGTTTGCTGCACCCATCAACCCATCATCTACATTAGGTATTTCTCCTAATGCTATCCCTTCCCTAGCCCCCAACCCTCTGACAAGCCTGGGTGTGTGATGTTCCCCTTCCTGTGTTCCTGTGTTCTCATTGTTCAACTCCTACTTGTGAGCGAGAACATGTGGTGTTTGGTTTCCTGTTCTTGTGTTAGTTTGCTGAGAATGATGGCTTCCAGCGTCATCCATGTCCCTGCAAAGGACATGAACTCAACCTTTTTTATGGCTGCATAGTATACTTGTTACTAATTTTTATAGGGAGCTCTTACTCATCACCTGCTCCCATTTTCCCCAACATCGTATAATCTTATGGGGTGAACTGGGCTCTGACAACTGCTTTCAGAACCTTACCTGGACTCCCTTCTGTTAGCATCCATTGTTTTGCATTGCAATCATTTATTTACTTATCTTCCTGCCCCACTAGTCAGGGGCATCCTTGAGAACAGAAATGTATCCTTTATCTCCATGCTGTGGGTCCCTAGTGCCTACTGAATGCTCTATAAATATTTTCTGAATATGAGGGTGAGTAAAGGAGATACATGACTAAGTGAAATGCAACAGACCTTTGATGAACCAGTGAATCCCAACCACTACTTATTACACTTTCTGCTACGATCAAAGGGTCCATTTTCTGCTCATACCAAAAGATAAGGCCATGGTGAGGATGCAGTAAGGTAAGGGATGGATCAGAAGACTTACTTGACTACAGGGGATTCTAGGCATCTATGAATCCTGATCCATAAGATATCTTGATTTCTCTTTATTCTCGTGTTGGCCTCTTGTTTGAAAAGAGAATTAATAAAGTGATCTTCATTGAGAAGAATAGTTCTTTTACAAATTTAATCTTAACAAAACCCCATGCAGTAAGTAGAATTATTCCCATTGTTCAGGAGAGGAAACAGATTCTCAGATAGTAAGTGCATCATCTAACAACAAACTACTGGTATTAGTGGAGCCTGATTTCGAAGCCATGTTGGTCACAAATATCCATGTTCTTTTACTTTTTCTTGCCAGTACACTGTTATAGGATATTTTTTATGTTTACTTGCTTATTTCAACCTGCTTCCCTCTCTAGCAAGGTTGCTTTTTGTCTTTCCTTACTCTTGGTACCAGGTATCATTTCCAATCCTGTTCCTGACCTTTATTCATAAATAAACCCCTTGACTCTTGGCCACAAGCATTTCCACCATATTCCTAAGGAAATGGGTACCCACTGACCAGTGTTGGCTTCATGGCTGTGCAATCTGTATGGTCCCAGAGGGCTCCAGGCTGAATGTGCTGCTGCTGTCATCTTAATATTTATAAAATCTTTAAAATATGGGGCTGTATATTTTTATTTTGCACCAAGTCCTTCAAGTTATATTGCCAGTTCTGCTGGTGACACAGGTAGTCAAGATCACCAGCGGAGTAAATCACCACCTACTTGTGGATTTGAGGAGACTTTAGATTTCACAGCTGATCTGCTCTTCTGCTTTAAATGTCACAATCAGAACTTAACCACCCTCAAATTATCACCAATCAGCTCCAAATACCCACAGGACAACCAAAAGTCATCATTTGCACATGAGGTCTCAGATGTTTAGAGTGAGAAACAAACTTAATAGATCTTCTGCCTGGCTTGCCTTTCCCATGGTTTGGCAGGACTCAGTCACACAGTTAAATCAGTCTCTGCTCATGTCATTCCCTTAAAAAGCCCATCTCTGATCACTCATTCCAAAATAGCAATCTTTGTTATTCTCCCCCAACCCTTTGCTTCATTTTGTTTCCACATCATTAGCATTAAGTACATTGTACATTGGCATGGTCACTTCTCATGGCTCACTGTATCCATGAACTCCTGGGCTCAAGCCATCCTCTGGCCTCAGCCTCCCAAGTAGCTGGGACTATAGAAATAAAACAATGTCTATTTATTTTTAAAAATGTATTCTCTATCTCCCCTTCACCCCACCACCACTGCAGATGCTATGCATTGCTGCATCCTTCATTCCTGGTACAGAGCCTGACCTACAGTATTCAGAAACAGATGCTAGATAAACGGCCGCTAGTTGAAAAGTTTCTCATCACTAATGGAGCCATGCTATTCAACCAGAAACAGAGGTCTAGGGATAGGTGGAACTTGAGGGTGGAGGAGAGAAACAAACCCTTTTGGGGGGTTCATCTTGGATTCTGAGTATCTTATATATGTCCATCTTCCTCCACAAGAATTTGTGTTTTTGATCTAAAAGTTCATTTCTTTGCCTGGACTCTAACGATGAGGCATAGGGTTGGGCGTCAGTCAAGTTATGCTAGTTTACACTATGATACCAACCCCCAAGATTTCAGTGGTTTAAAATAACAAAGGTTTTCTTATTTACACCAGGTCCAATTTGTGACCAAGTGCTCCCAGGCATCTGTTCTTCATGCGGTGGCTGAGCTTTGCTGCTTCAGAGCAACATGAGCTCCCACAATTGTGGAGCCTGCTGAGGGTGGTTGGAGATGGGAATGCTGGTCATTAATTCCCTCTGCCCACAGCCACATACATCACTTCTGCTTCATTTGATTGGCCAGATGGGTAGGAGAGTGCCATCCTACTCTGACAGTTCAAGGAGAGGAACTAGAAGCATTAGGTAACTGCAGTACCATCTACCACAGGCTTGCTGGAGGATTAAATGTGTTACTGCCTTACGGATAGGGGCAGGAGGACTTTTAGCACATTCTTTCCCTGCCACACCTGCCCTTAATTTCTGGTCTCATACACACACACACACACACACACACACACACACGAGGGGGCACTAATACAATAAAACAAATAGCCGTAGACCTGGACATTAGCTAGTGTATGGTCACAGGTGAGTGAGGGTCCCCGTACCCTGTCTTTCTTGCCCTCTTTGCATACTACTAGGTGCATAGATTTGGGAGGGTCCTCTGCAGATCCAGCTTGCCCCTCTACAGGCTCTCTGACACCCGGCTCTTCATCTGTAAGTATGCAGAATCAGGACTGTCCTTGGCTGACTGCCCGTGCTCTTTCTAACTCCCTCCACAAACACTGAGAATGGTAGTATTTTTTTAATGATTTTTGAAAGCAAGTAATGTTGTTTCATAGGCTTCAGGTGTAAGCAGTGGATTCCAGTTTTACATGAACTCTGCTCTAAAGTGAACTTGTTATTTATGCAGCTACTGCAACCATGACATTTGCCCCCCATGTAACCCTTCCTTGGGAAATAGCTCCTACTGCAGCCTTGGAAAGAGCATAGGGGTGATTGTTGGTATTCTTGGGTCCCCATTTATAGGACCATTAAAATATCATCAAAACTTTAGCTCAGATCTTACAATTACTTCATAAATATTAACTTTGTTTACAAGGGTATGGGTCACCTAGTAGCTATTTTGAATGAATTGTGTTACTTATTTTAATACACAGGAAAATAAAATTACTCACACCCGGAGAATAAAGAAACTGAGGCTGAGGGAAGTGAAGCAATGTGCCCAAGATATATTGTCATTGTTTGACAGAGCAGCATGTTGAATCAATGTCCTTTTGCCTTCAAAACCCCTTTTCTGTCTCTCCAAAATAAACAGTTAATATCTAACACACTGAATAATTTTTTAAAATATGGATACATGAAAAATCCAGGTGGCTAAAATATTAAGTTTTACATATCGGCAGTATTCCTCTGAAATATGCTCTGAAAAGGTAAGAGGTAAAAGTCTCATCAAATTGCAGAAAAAATAGGATCAGCTGTAAGGTACTCTACAGGTACTTGCTCTAAGCTAAGGACAGGTGAGTGGATGAAAGAGGGAATGAGATGTTTTGGCCATAATAACAGGGGCTGAACCTGTGCTTCAGTGTTTAGCTACCATTAGAATAGTTTTAGAACTTTTCCAGTGGAACAATTGTTGAAAAAATCTTGGGTGTTCCATAGCCTTGGGTGTTCTATCAGTCTACTGTGGCCAGAAATAGTGACAGTAATGATAGTAATAATAATAATAATAATATAGTATTGTAATAGTAGTAATTATGTCTAGTGTATAGTATATATTTTGAGCTAGACATTGATACATATTTAAATAAAAGTTTTACATCCTTTAATTTACACAACAACTCTATAGCAATATGTTAAAGATAAGAAAGCTGAGAAACTAGAAGCTACATAATTTGCCAAAGACACTTGTCTAGTGAGTTATAGAGGCAGGACTTGCACCCAGATCTCTTCATTTTATAGCATGCACTCTTAAATTCTTTCCCATACAATTTCCTCTAATGCAGCTGTTTTCTGTTATTCTCATAAGCAAGACAAACATTCAGTGCACAAAAACAAGTGAATCTTTTTTTTTGGAGTAGGAGTCTGCTTTTAACAGTGTTATAATAGATATAGTGCTTTATACTTCTCCAGGATTTTCAAGAGCACTATCACATTTATATTCATATCCATTAATAGCGTGATTTATTCCCACAAATATTTAAGGCTTGGTGCTTTAGCAACTATTTTATTTTTTAATCAAAATGAACCCACACGAATATATGCACATTTATTGTCATTTTCATGGTTATTTTAGTCTTTTTCCCTCAATTAAAAAAACATTTATTGAAGTATAAGATATACACAACAAAATGAACCCATTTATGACACATGGTTTTGATGAGCATTCATGTGCCCATCACCACGATCAGGATGATTTCTATCATTCAAGAAGCTCCTGCCTTTGACTCCCTTTGCAGTCAATCCCACCACACACTCGGGCCCACCCAACCCCCGATCTGCTCCTACAGGCTGATATTTAATAACTAGATAATATTCTGTCACACTGTATCCCCTAATTTGGTATTAGTTTCCAGATTTTTGAACATAAAGTGATTTCTAATTTTTCCATGTAATAAATTACAATCTAGCCTAATTGTATTGGTAATACCTCTTTAGTAATATTCTGATACCTTCCTTGGAATAAATGCCAAAACATGGAATTTTTGGGTCAAAGAATATAAACATTTTTTAAATAAACTATTTTTTGGAATAATTCTTGGTTTACATAAAAGTTGCATAGATAATACATAAGGATACATTATATCCTTTACGGTTTCTCCTATTGTGAATATCCTGCATTATTACTATTGCTACATCACTTTGGTACATTTATCAAAACTAAGAAACCAATGTTGGTAGTACTGGTAAATTTATACTATTGATAAATACAGACTAAATTCTTATTTCACTTTTTTTTTTCTGTTGCAGAATCCAATCTCTGGGATATCACATTGCATTTTGTTGTCACTGCTTCTTAATCTCATCTGGTCTGTGACAGTTCCTCAGTCTTTCCTTCTCTTTCATGACCTTTACCCTTTTGAAGAGTACTGGTTAGACATTTTGCAGAATGCCATTTAAGTTGGGTTTGTCTTATGTTTTTCTCATGATTAGACTGGAGTTATGGGTTTTAGGAAATAATCCTTTACAGAGATGACATGCCCTTCTTACCACATCCTATCAAGGGCACATGCCATCATCATGACATTGTTTGTGATGTTAACCTTGCTTGCAATGCTAAAGTTGTGTCTGCTAAGTTTCTTTTCTATAAAATCACTGCTTTCCTACTCCATGTTCCTGCTGCTATTTCATCTGATGATCTCTTTCCTCCCTTCTTTTCTCCTTCTCTTTTCTCACTTTTATTTCATTTCTTCTGGTATCCTTTCTTTATTCCTAACAGATTTCACAGACAAGGGATTATAATTTAGGTAAGGGCCATTGGGAAAACTCATTTACAGGAAGCTTTACACTTTCAAAAATTTCCATTGTATGCAATATCTCAACAGATTCTAACAAGTTCTTACAGGGGTGTTCATATTATTATCTCCATTTGCAGAAGAAAAAACAAAGGTTCCCTGACTCACCTAAGGTCAAACACTCTTTATGTGAATCATATTCCAGATCTCCAGCCTTGTCCTCTTTGCCCTGGACCAGCACATCCCCTAGGTTTCCACTCCACCGTGATGTAGTTTTCTTTTGAAACTTCTCATACACTATCTCTGAGAACATCTATAGCAGTTCTTTCTTTTTCCTGAAAGATTAATAGGAAAAATGTGCCTTCTTGAAGTTATTATTGATGCAATTTCCATAACCAGGATCACAGGTTGGTGCTGTGCTATTTTTTACTGAAGATGTGCAGTTGTCTTTTCTTCTTCTGCAAAATTAAATGGAGCAAAAGAAAAGCCGATGTTCTGGGACTCAAAAGAACTCACTCTCTAAACCCTGGGAGTCCATTGTCCGACCTGTAGGACAAGTGAGAACTGCTTAAACCAGTCAAGGGCTCCCCCTGAGCTTTGTAGTACATTAAACATTTTTTTCCTAATTAGCCAGCAAATGAACTCAGAGGCCAGCAGGACTTAACTGCCGGCCCACTGTTATCAAGTCTCACTGACACCTCAGACAAGAGGCTGTGGATTCATAGGTTATAGCCATTGAAGCTGAATGTTTCATTTGGAATTGCTCAAATTTACTCTCATTACAATGAAAGGTCTTAAAACGGAGGCTGTAAGAAGGATACTGACAAGAGAAAGGCAAGTGGTGAAGAGTAGGAGCCCGGGTTGTGGGTCAGAAGTGGATAGTCCATGGCACGTGGCCCTGCTCACAGCACCTCTGCCCTGAGGACTTGGCTGTGGATCTTTTTGCCTGCTGTTCCCAAGCCTTGCAGCCTGTAATCCCACCACTCTGGTTATAACCAATTATAGCATAGAACAAATTTCTGGCCTCAGGTGGCCATGAATTTGTTTCATATTATCAAGACTTGTCCCTTGTGAGGTAGCATTGCAACAGACCTCCCATAGCAATATTTTGTTTTGGATGGGGACAAAATAATTCACTCACATATTGTCCTTTGGAGAGTAAGAATAAGAAGGGCATTGAAGGAAACAGCTGATACCCATTCATACCACTTCCTCTCTCCTCATACATCTGGCATCTCTACCCTCTCCTTCCCATTCAGCTGACCTTCATATTGTCTATTTTTCTGATAAAATAGAGGCATTCAGAAAACTTGAACAAACTCCTTCAACTTTTATATCCAGCAACCACTGCCCATACTCGTAAACTCTATTTTTACTTCTGTTGTTTTCTATACATAAATTGCCCATGCTCTTCCGTATGACTAACCTTTCCCCTGGTGCACTAGATTTTTCTTCATGCCCCTTTCAGGACATCCCTGCATCATCTTTCTTCTGCATCCTTCCCCGCCTCCACCATCTCTAACCAAAAACACTAACATCAACATAAAAACACTATTATTTCTCTCATCTTAAGACATAAATTCCACTTGACCCCACTTCTTTCTTCCAGTTATCATGCTTTCTCTTCCTCTTGATAGAACAACTTCTCAAAAGTGATGCATACACTTAATATTTCCAACTCCCTGCTTTTCATTATTTCTTTAGTATACTCTAATTGGGTGGTCATCTCTACACTCCATCAAAACTCCTCTTGGAAAGGTCAAAACATGCCTTCCAAAACGGTAAATCCAACAGTCCACTCTCATTTGACTTACAGCAACATTTGGTATAATTGACTACTCTCTCCTCCTTGAAATACTTTCATCAGTTAAATTCTAAGATATCACTCTTTCCTGCTTTTCCTCCTGTCTGTACAAGCATCTCCTTCTCAGTGTTGGTTGCTGGGTTCTTTGTCTGTTCTCAATATTGGCACAACTCAGGATTGTGCTAACTTTGAGTAAGAAAGAGAATTAATGAGATACATATACCTTAGAGAAGTAATATAATAAACATAATCTTATATTTGTTAAATACCTGAAGGGTAAACCAAAATCTAACAAAACATGATCATCTATAGAGGAGGAAAGTAAACATTTTCTACATATATCTTAGAATATAGTTTTGGCTTTCGAGCCATAAAATGTTTTACAGATCGAAAAAAATAAAACTAATTAAAAAAGAAAGAAACCAATTTCTGGAAACTCAAAATAAACTAAGAGAAATGAAACTGTTTTCCAGTTAGTGCCATAACTACATACAGAAAAATAATTATTTCAATCTATTTTAGGAAACTATATTTTAACCATCCATATCTCCTAAGGACAAATAAAACCATATCTTCTAAGGACAAATAAAGTGAAAACATACTCTTAAAATGTATACATAGATCTAATTGTTAGCAGTAATACTCTTCTTGTTAGTATAAAACAATTTAATGAATTTTAGGAAAGTGCATAAGTAATTAATTTTGTTGATTATAAAGATTTTCCACATAAGAGAAAATAAGAGCAGATCTAAAACAAAGTTAAATTAAAAAACCTCAAATATTACACTTAAACTGGA
Organism: Homo sapiens; assembly: GCF_000001405.40. NCBI lineage: Eukaryota > Metazoa > Chordata > Mammalia > Primates > Hominidae > Homo > Homo sapiens. The sequence continues at coordinate 11,527,706 of NC_000004.12, forward strand.
ATACAAGAATAAATACATGATTTTTTTGTTGTTAAAATAAAGTTTTTTACAATAAAAAAAAAGACATTCTGGAAGCAAGCAATGACCTCCCATTTCAATGAGCTCCTCTACTGTCCAAATTGTGGTCTCATTCCCTATTCTTCTCCTATCAGCTTTCTTGATTAAAAGCAACCATTGCTGTTTGGAGACATGGTTAATATACAAAAGGCAAGCCTGGGATATTGTGTTGTTTCAGAAAGCAAAGAAGCTGTCAGGACCAAGAATCTAACCTAAATGAGTTCCCACTGATTAAAGATGAAACTTTAAACATTAAACAGAGAATCAACTGAGACATGCTGAGTGTTTAAAACCTGTGAATTCATTATGATACATTTTCCAATTCAGAAAAGATAAATAAAATAAAGAAATCTTGCTCCCATACTATCACCTCCTGCAAAAATACTTCAAATAAAACAAAGCAATGGTGTACAGAGAGAGAGAAACAGAAAAAAAGGAGGGAGTGAATAGCTAAATGTAATGAATGGACATTGCTTTCTGCTTTTATGGACATGTTTTCACCAAATAACCATAAAAGGGTATTATAGAGATAAGTAGATAAATTTGATTATGCCCTGATATTGGATGATATCAAGAAATGAGTGATACTTTTATTAGGCATATTCATGGCATTATAGTTATGTGAGATTGTGCCCATCATTTTTAGAGATACATACAAAAGAATGTAGGAATAAAAGTGAGTTGGATTTGCTTTTTTATATTACAGGAAAAAATTTAAAAAAAGGACAAATTAATTAATTATAAAAAACAAATTTTTGTAATTGTTGAATCTGGGTAGTAGCTATGTGGGTTTAATGGACAATTCACTCTACTTCTTTATGTTTAAATATAGTCCAATAAATTTTAAAGTCATGAGTTATGTGAAATCTCTCAAGTTATTCCCAGGTTTGAAAGGCCGATGAGCCATTATTGTCTTCTGCCATGAACTCAGGGGTATACTGGACTCTAAGAAGTAATGGGAACTGAAGTAATTATATCCTGGCATTTAAAAAAATATCTCATGCATCCTTTTCATTGACTTTCAACAGAAGAATCCTAGGATTATAACTCCCTTTTGCCCAGTAAGAGTTTAAATACAATATCTGAATTTGAATTCCAATTCTGTGTGAACTTGTATGAACACTTGCAAGTTTTTTTTCTTTAAGCTTAGGATTCCTATAATGTGAAGTGATAAAATAAGTATGGCATAGGGTTGCCGGGAGAAACAGAAGTAATGTGCCTGAAATACTTGCGTAGGGCTTGGCAAGTGGCAGGCGATCATTACTTACTTCACTTCCAGCACAGTCACCCCCAATTCAGAGATTCTTCCAAGTCACACTAGTTATTGAAGAAAGTAACCACACAATAAGTGAATGCCTATTGATTTCTGATCACATGATGTTTATTGGAAATGTATGTTATCTACTCCTGCTTTTGGCAATATATCCTTAAGTCCAGGAAAGGTCATTTTGGGAACAAATCTGGTTACCATCAAATGAAAAGAAATTGCAACCTCTAGAAAATCAATGCTATTTTTGAAGTGGATTTGCAGAGAAACACATAGAAGTCTCCAATATTGCTGTATTGCAGAGTAACATTATAAATAGCATACACAATATCCCATGGACTTTTTCTAGTGATATAAATATCACTCTTAATCAAACTGAAATGAAAAAATAAAAATAACCCAGAACAATTCTATATTTTATTTCAATTTATGTTTAAAATAGACCCTTTGAGGGATGTCAACTATTTTTCTCCTAATTAATCAAAGGTTTTTGTTGTGCTTTGCCTAATGGTCTTTCTCTTTTTTTAACTGGGCACCAACAGATATTTCTTATTAACTTGGCATTGCCAAGATAGATATTATTCTCAGACCTGGCTCTCAGAGAATCTATTTCTGACATACTGCATTGTCTCTACTGCTGTTGCTGTTACTAGGCCTCACGGTACCCAGTTCCTAAGAAACTTCCCAGTAATAGCAATTTCGGTGAGTCACATATTTACATGGAATATGTTTGCCCACGCCTCTCCATGTGCCATTACTACGTCTAGGGGTTATTTGCTTTGTTTTTACAGAGAAACATCTGGCTCTAACTTATTCAGGAATGACCATGGTTGTTAATTCTTCATCCTATTTGGTGTTAAGTGATTATGCCCAAATACCATGCCTTTAAAATAAACTTCAAGCTCAAGATAAGCACACATGATTTTGATAATCTTTCTCCTAGTGCCTCCCTGGCCTCATGTTCAGCAACTCTTTTTTTTTTTTTTCTTTGTTTTGAGACTGAGTCTCTCTCTGTTGCTCAGGCTGGAGCGCAATGGTGCAATCTTGACTCACTGCGACCTTCGTCTCCCAGGTTCAAGTGATTTTCCTGCCTCAGCCTCCTGAGTAGCTGGGTTTAGAGGCACGTGCCACTACGTCTGGCTAATTTTTCTATTTTTAGTTGAGATGGGGTTTCACCATGTTGGTCAGGCTGGTCTCGAACTCCTGACCTCGTGATCTGCCTGCCTCGGCCTCCCAAAGTGCTGAGATTACAGGAGTGAGCCACTGAGCCTGGCCTCAACAACTCTTTTATAGATAATCTTCGCTCCAGCTTTACAAAGTTACAAACTTAGAGGCTTCTCAGAAATTTCCTTTTATATACCCAAGTCCTCCTCTCCTATTTGCCCCACTACATTTTACACATCCAATGGTATATATATCAAAAACCCCTTCTTCCAGGGAAGTCTTCTGCATTAATTTTCTGTGACTCATGTAACAAATACCACAAACTTGATTGCTTAAAACAACACAATTCTTTTCTCTTATAATTCTGGAGTCCAGAAGAAATACAAAATCATTGAGCCCAAGTCAAGATGTTAGCAGGCTGCACTCCCTCCGGAGGCTCTAGGGAAGAATCTGTTCATTGTCTCTTCCAGCTTCTGGTGGCTGCCAGCCCAGCATTCCTTGGCTAGTGGCCTCATCATTTCAGTCTCAACAATCACATGTCCTTCTCTGCCAGGTCCTCACGTGGCCTTCTTTGTGTAACTGAGTGTCAATCACTCTCTGCCTCTTTCTTATAAGGATACTTAGGATTTTATTTAGAACACAGGTAGATATCACAGGATATTCTGTCCGTCTAAGTTGAGATCTTAAATTGATCACATTTGTAAAGACTTTTTCTGAATGGAGTAACATTTACAGATTACAGAGATGAGGAGCTCTTATCTTTGCGGGGCATTTTTTAGTCTGCTGCACCTTCCTTGATCTTTTTCTTCCAGTTCTAGCTGGGCTTCCAAGGCTGGACTATGGACTTTTTTTTTTTTTTTTTTTTTTTTTGAGACAGAGTCTCACTCTGTCGCCCAGGCTGGAGTGCGGTGGTACTATCTCGGCTCACTGCACCCTCTGCCTCCCAGGTTCAAGTGACTCTCCTGCCTCAGCTGCCCGAGTAGCTGGGATTACAGGCACCCACCACTGCACCTGGCTAATTTTTGTATCTTTAGTAGAGACAGGGTTGCATCATGTTGGCCAGGCTGGTCTTGAACTCCTGACCTCAGGTGATCCGCCCGCCTTGGCCTCCCAAAGTGCTGGGATTACAGGCATGAGCCACTGCGCCTGGCCCTGGACTTCTTATCTGAATGTTGATTTAAAACTTTTTAGTTGGCCAGGCACGGTGGCTCATCCCTGTAATCCCAGCACTTTGGGAGGCCGAGGCTGGCGGATCACAAGGTCAGGAGATCGAGATCATCCTAGCTAACACGGTGAAACCTGTCTCTACTAAAAATACAAAAATTAGCTGGGTGTGGTGGCGGACGCCTGTAGTCCCAGTTACTCGGGAGGGTGAGGCAGGAGAATTGCTTGAACCTGGGAGTCAGAGGTTGCAGTGAGCCGAGATTGTACCACTGCACTCTAGCCTGGGTGACAAAGCAAGACTCCATCTCAAAAAACAAAACAAAACAAAAAACAACAAAAAAAACTTTTTAGTTAACTTTAGCATGGTACACGTAATGACAATGATGATGACATTTATGTTGATGATAGCTAAGACATATTGATTACTTTACAGTATGCTGGGCTCTACTGTAAGAGCTTTTTAGGTATTGTAGCAATTAATTTATTCAGCAATTTTAAGATATAGGTCCAGTCTTCATTCCCATTTTTCAGGAGATGAAACTCAGTTACCCTATAGAATAAGTGGAGGATCAGAGATTTAAACCCAGGCAGTTTGTTCCAGAGCCTCTGTAGTGTTGTTATATGGATGTTAATTCATCTGCTGTATCTACACTTAACTGTAAGGTATTGGAAGTGAGCCAATGTCCCCCACTTCTAGCATACGTCTGGTGTTCAATGGTGTTTGTAAGTAAATTTATAGACTTTGATTCTCAACTGGCTCTTTCTATAACTTGTTATGGGCCCTCAGGCATGTTTGTAAACTTTCCTGGACCTCGACTATTTAATGAAAGTATTGAATTTTAGATGGTTGTTAAGACCCCTAATGTCTTTTGAACAGATCATCTCGGAAGTCCATCTGAGGTCTAAACTCTGGCTCTGGAATCAAAGTGACTGAGACACATGGCCCATATTGTTGAGAACACTGAGCACATAACTCAGGGCACTGTTAATGATTTATCACACTGGGGGAGTTACCTTTTGTAGTAGAAGTCATTACATAATGTCTGTGTCTCAAAAGCTTCAGAACAAGGTAAAAAGTATTGATAACATCTGTTTGCCCAAGATGGGTAAGCTGCTTTTATTGCTGGTTTTATATATATATATATATTTTGTTGTTGTTGTTGTTGTTGTTGTTTGTTTGTTTTGTTTTGTTTTGTTTTTTGAGACGGAGTCCCACTCTGTCACCCAGACTGGAGTGCTGTGGCGTGATCTCAGCTCCCTGCAATCTCCGTCTCCCAGGTTCAAGCGATTCCCCTGCCTCAGTCTCCTGAGTACTGGGATTACAGGCCTGTACCACCACGCCCGGCTATTTTTCGTATTTTTATTAAAAATGGTGTTTCACCATGTTGGCCAGGCTGGTCTCAAACTCCTGACCTCAGGTGATTCACCCACCTCAGCCTCCCAAAGTGCTGGGATTACAGGCCTGAGCCACTGTGCCCAGCCGACTTTAGCTTTTATAAATGATCTCAGAAGACTGCACTTTATTCATTTATTACCTGTCATCCCCACAGCCTAACAGCAGAGAACCATTTCACCTGAGTGACCTACCCACATAATAAATGAATACTAATATCTCAATGCTTGGGTTTGAGGACTCAGGTCACATACGTGTATGACATTCTGCCAATGGGTTAATTAAATGTGAATCCAATAAATTCCGAAATTAACCTCAGATGTAAGAGTTGCATGCATGCACACACATTCAGTGCCTTCTACACAAGTCACTTCATAAAGCAGTTCTCAAATGCTGGGATGTGAACTTTCTAGATACTTATAAATATTAATTGATAATAAAGGGGAAAGACTGAAAAAGTTATCAAGAGCATTATATAGTGCTTTCTTGGTCTCTGAGAGTCCTCACAAACCCTCTCCAATTAGAATAATAATCATGGAAGTACAGACAAAATAAAACACTTTAGACTAAACTCAGAATGGAGTTGCATGTGATTAACTTTCAGTATCATTAATATGTGCTATGGCCATAACCGCAATGATGTGTGAATGGAAGCAGTGCTTTTTTAGTGGCAAACTTTTGTGGTTGTTTTTGCTTTGATTTCAGCTCCCGCTTTGTTATTGTTGTTATTATTGTTCCTTTTGTTATTGTTGTTGTTGCTTTGATTTCAGTTCACCTCCTGGTGAGAGGTGATGTTTGCGCAGTGCTCAGAAGCTGCTTATTATAATGGAAGCAGTACAGGCGTTGGAGCCAGACGGGTCTAGACTAAAATTCCAGATACCACTGGTTAGTTGTGTGGTCATGGGAACAATGCCTAACCTCTATTCTTGTAAAATATGGGAAACAAGGTAGGGGTTTCATGGAGACAGAAACGGAGAGATGAGAGGATGGCCAGGAGGAAGAGTCCATATGACCACTATTCCCGTACTGGGTTTCTCTACTAGGCTCTTGAGGGAGAAATGCTTTGTGATAACCCTCTTCCCAAACACCACACACACAGAAAGTCACTGTCTTCCAGCTTTGGTTCCAACTCTGTATCTAAATTTTTTAATCTAATTTTTTGTTACATCTCTTTTGAAATATAAATACGTACCATAAAGTCCACCTTTTTAAAGGGTATGATTTAGTGATTTTTTTTTTTTTTTTTTTTGAGATGGAGTTTTGCTCTTCTTGCCCAGGCTGGAGTGCAATGGCGCGATCTTGGCTCACTGCAACCTCTGCCTCCTGGATTCAAGCGATTCTCTGGCCTCAGCCTCCTGAGTAGCTGGGATTACAGGCGCCTGCCACCATGCCCGGTTAATTTTTTTTGTATTTTTATTAGAGACAGGGTTTCACAATGTTGACCAGGCTTGTCTCAAACTCCTGACCTCAGGTGATCCGCCCACCTCGGCCTCCCAAAGTGCTAGGATTACATGTGTGAGCCACTGCACCTGGACGATTTAGTGAGGTTTATAGTCACAGAATTGTGCATTGATCACCACTAATTCTAGAATATGTTTATCACTCCTCCCTTTACCCCCAACGTACACAAAGCTCCACACCCATAAGCAGTTACTTCTGATTCTTCCCTCAGTCCCTGGAAACCAATAATCTACTTTCTTTCCCTATAAGTTTGCCTACTCTGTAGGAATCATATAAATGGAGTTATACAATTAGTTTACTTTTGTGCCTGGCTTATTTTGTTACCATAATGTTTTCAAGGATTATTCATGTTGTAGCATGTATCAAAGCTTCATTTCTTTTTATGAACAAATAATATTTCACTTTTTAGATATAATACATTTTATTTATCCACTCAATAGTTCATGAACATATGGGTAATTATATTGGGCTATTATAAATAATGCTTCTTAGAGCATTCTTATACACATTTTTTTTAATGGGCGTATGTTTTCAGTTATCTTGGCTATATCTAGGAGTGAAAATGCTGGGTCAAATGGTGCAGTGAGAAGAATAATAGCCCTGTAAAGATGTCCATATTCTAATTCCTGAAGCCCATGAGTCATTTATATAACATGACAAAGGGGAACTAAGTTTGCAGATGAAGTCAAGGTTGCCAACTGGCTGACCTTAGAATCGGGAGATTATCCTGGATTATTGGAGCACACTCAGTAGTGGGGTCCTTAAAAATGAAAGGAGGCAGTGTCAGAGTGTCAGAGAGAGATGTGATTGTGGAAGAATTTTCAAAGAGATGCAACTTTATTGCATTTGGAGATGGAGGAGGGGATTCTGAGGCAAGCACTGCAGGCAGCCTCTGGCAGCAAGAAAAGGCAGACAAATGCCTTCTCCCACACAGCCTACAGAAGGAATGAAGCTTTCTAACTAACACCTTCATTTTAGCCCAGTGAGATTGGTGTCAAACTTTTGACCTCCAGAATCATAAGATATTAAATGTGTGAGGTTTTAAGCTACTCAATTTTAAGTTTTTTGATCAGACTCTTCTTAGTAACAACTGGTAATGCTGCTGTGGCAACTGTGATGTTAAATGATCGTGGCTGATTATTTTTGCCAAATACCTTGTGGGTAGTGCACAGCAAGCTTTAAGTTATGTCAAATAAAGACTAACTCTGAAAATGGAGTTTTTCAGCAAGCTCTAGACCCATCAAATGGAGCTGATCCTTTGGGGAAGGACTTTTCATAGGTCCAAATCCGTTTTGCCCCCTCCAGTGGCATGCAGGCATGTCGCTGCCTTCACAGCTACTGCTGTGGGAAGTCTCTGGCTTTAGTGACTACTTTGGAGCTGGGGAGACTGATGAGATTAGGGTACATGAAAAGGCTACAAGGCTCTGTGCTTACTGAGATTCAGCCGTGTTTCTTGAATAAATATTGCTTTGATTGTTATAATCTTACGTTCTGAAAAGGCAGCTTTTGGCAGTTTTTGCTAGTGTTCTCTTCACTTTTTAAAGACGTGAATTTTCAGAGGTCCTTTGTCTACCATTCTGAAATCTGAGCCCTTCTTTTACTGGATTTCCATTCTGGAGAGTTGGGCAGTTCAAGAATGGGACTGAAGCCATGCCTCCTCATGCTTATCTTTTCTCAAGGTGGACTCAAGTAGCCTACTTCCTATGTCCTAAATCCAAGAGTCTCACCCAGGTCATATTTATCCCTCTGGATTTTACCATTTATTGTCGCTTCCTGTACCTGAGTCTATTGTACAAATAATTAGGTTGGTGCAAAAGTAATTGCCGTTTTGCCATTGAATATAATGGCAAAACGACAATTACTTTTTCACCAACCTAATACTTAGCTTTCCACCATGAAACCCTTTCCCTGGCAATATCTGAGTCTAACTGGTCATCTGAATGTGACAAAGCCTTGGGAAAACAAACACATCAGCTTATTTCGAAGGAGACTTTACAAATCTCTGGTCTGTAGCTTTACTTAGGATCTAAGAGTTTCCAGGAATGCCTTCTCTATCAGCTCCCTCTCGCTTTCTGCTAAGCAGCTATACACAACCTCTCCTCTCCTTTCCTCTGCACTATGCTCTTGAAGTCAGAAAAACTGCCTCCAGACCTGAATCTGATGTCTTGTAGCTTTGTGGTATTAGACATGCTATGGTACTTCCCAGGAACTGATAGGCAAAAGCAATAAAGATAGCTGTATCACAGACTATTTTGGATATGACATATGTTAATTACTAGAAAGTGCCCTCTGCAGTCTCCAACTCATTTAACCAACTTATTTTAGGTTATAGGAATCAACATACCTCAATATTCCTTTTGCTAGAGCTGTTTTTATTTGATTTTTGTTTTAGAGTTCTCTCTAAAGATTTTTTAAAAAATATTTTTGCCTTAAGTCAAGTAACTCAGAAACAGAAAGTCAAATACCACGTGTTCTCACTTATTAATTGGGAGCTAAATCGTGTATACCTGTGGACATAGAGTAGAGTAATAGACATTGGAGACTTAGAAGGGTAGGAAGAGGGTGAGGAAAGAGAAGTTACTTAATGGAGAAAAATACACTTGCGTAGGTGATGGCTGCATTAAAAACCCAGGCTTCACCACTGTGCAATATAGGCACATAACAAAACAGCACTTGCACCACCTCCATCTATAAAAATAGAAAATTAAAAAAAAATTAGTGATACGTTTGAAAAACATCTTTAAAAATTAACTTTAGTCTATTCTAGATGATTTAGAGGACTTCATAGCCTCATATATAGTACTTTGGAACTATATATTGGCAAGTAATTTCCTTCCCCATGTTTGTGTGCTTTTCATTGTGTTGCCATCAGCTAACATGATTTTAATTGTGGGAAAAGAACCAAAGTCAAATTTAATAGGAAAATAATACATTTGCTTCAAATAAAAACCAAATGACATTATAACTCACACACTCGTAAGTCTAACGGAAGAAACTGTTGAAAGATTTGAATTATTAATTCACACCAAAGTGATAAAGACAACACACACACACACACACACACACACACACATACACATACACAAAGACACATCGCCAAAGCCATCAATACTATAGTCATACTGCAAACAGACCTTTTAGTTTTAGCAAAATCATATCCATAGGCATGTGAATCTGATGTTGATCTTTTGAACTGTAATTCTCTTATAATTTTGTTTGTGATTACTTTCGTAAATATTTTTAGGTTTGTACCAGTATAAGACTCATAAGCCTATGATGATTATAATGAGTTTGTGTTTATGCATATTTGTTAAATTATAATAAAATTATCCAGCCAACGCTTGGTAGGGGAGTGGCATCCATAAGAAGGAATTTTTTTGCAGAAGGCATCTGTATATTACTCACATTTGAGAACATTGCTGTGTCTTATAGAAACCAGAAACCAGGCAAAGCTCTGGGGGAGCCTTGAAAGGAGTTTATATGCAGGCTGAAGACATGTCTTTATGCCACAATGACAAAATAAAGAGATGAGAGAGACTTCCTCAACATGAAGGCTAGGAAGCTGTGCATTACCAAAAGGCACATAAAACTCTTGGGCAGAAACCAACTAAAAATAATGAGGAGAGGAGGGTTTACTGGGAAGGGAATAAGTAAAATAAGAAAACATTTTGGAGGCCCATTTTTAAGAGGGTAGGCTGGGATAAAGAAGACCTGACTTAGAATTCTCTTTTCACCCCTCATTGAATGAGTCCCATTGGCTGCATAGCTTAATGTTCCTGAGTCTCAGTTTCTGCAACGTTAAAATGCCACCTTCACAGATTTGTTATGTGGGTCAAATAAAATTAGAGAAGTGAAAGTACTTCGTGAGCCACAGCGCACGGTGTATATGTTAGTGGTGCCACTATATTTTGTGATTTAGATGTTCATGGGGGATCCCTAGAAATTTTTTCAATTCTTTATAATTAAACATTTCAGCAAAAAGATAAAAAGCCCTAGAAAGCTCAAGGTCAATGAAATAAGCAATTCTTGCATCTAGTCTAGGCTCAGATCTTGGCAAACACAGAGTTGATGTATTTTATTAAAACAAAACCTTGGGGAGACTGGTTTAGGCCAAATGCCTAACTGATGGGGAATTTTTATTTTGTCAATAGATTTTGTTAATCACAAGGTTTCTTTTATACATTAAAACACACACACATTCCCATAGTTTGGCACAAATATGTTCATGCATATATTCATGCACAGAAATATCCAGGCTTGTCCATTTATTGATACTTCCAGAGACCCACAGAGTTTCATGCTTTTATATGCACAAACCACCTGCATACACTTGCCCCACTCACCCTTGAATGAGCCCAGTTCTTGTCAACCATAGTGACCAGAGTCTCTCAAGGATTCATTTCAAGCCTGATTCATAAGTAAGAGGCAAAAATGTCAAACTATCCCATCTCACAGCATTCATCTCAGCCAGTGATGCCATGCTATCCTAGTCTTTAGATCATTCTTAGAAAGCATTTTGGAACCCGTGAAGATAGATTTCAAAGGCAGTCATGCCTAGGTTCATATCACGACCTTAGGCAAGTGGCTTGATATTTCTGAGCCACAATTTCCTTGTTTCTAAAATACTGGACAGTGAAAACTACCTCACCAACGTGCAAACATGAGGTGCAATGATGTAATATATATTTCCTCTATGCTCTTCTGGGCTATTTTAAGGTGAATTTTTTGGTTGGGGGACCATACACACAAACACACACACACAAACACACACACACACACACACACACACACACAGAGTAATCTTAAGGTCCCAAAATGGCCCAGGACCCAGGACCCCCAGCTGGAGGAACTCATGGACCTCTTAATGCTCACCTGCTACTGGCTTGATGACTTCTCTTTCTACACACCTTCTCCATTCTCCTCTCTCTAGCATCAAACTTTCTTTGTTTGCATGGATTTAACTACTGTCTTCTGACTTCCCATAACCTTACTGAATGGGGCTCTAACGTAAGGCATCCTCTTAGCTTCTGACCCAATTATAATGACTATGATCTCTCCATGTTGATCAATTCTACATTTGTGAGAGAGGAATTTGATAAGACTTATCTTTTACACAACAGGCCATAAGAATTTAACTTTGGAGTCCCACAGACTTCAGATAAAAATATAGTTCCAGCACTTCTTAAATCTCTGACCTTAGGCAAGTTGCTAAACTCTCAGAATCTTAGTTTTCTCATAGCTGTATAGGGAGAATTATAGTTTTTACTCCCATTGGATTGTTGTGAGGAATAAACCAGATAATGCATGGGAAGTGCTCAGCCTAGTACATGGTACTTGTTGAGCCATAAAAAAATGCTAACTACAGTAAGTGTCAGTTCTGGCCCTGGGCCAGAGGTCAACCTAAAAGCGGGTTGTCTTTTTGTTAGCTGACAACTCCTGAGCCTGTCAGCCATAGCCACTGGGCAACAGAGGCTGGGGTTGTTTCCTTAGATAGAAGTATAAGCGGGCTGGGTGCGGTGGCTCACGCCGGTAATCCCAGCACTTTGGGAGGCTAAGGTGGGCAGATCACTTGCGGTGAGAAGTTTGAGACCAGCCTGGCCAACATAGTGAAATTCTGCCTCTACTAAAAATACAAAAAAAAAAAAAAAACAGTCAGCCGGGTGTGGTGGCACGCACCCCTAGTCCCAGTTATTCAGGAGGCTGAGGAAGGAGAATTGCTTGAATCTGGGAGGCGGAGTTTGCAGAGAGCCGAGATTGTGCCACTGCCCTCCAGCCTGGGAGACAGAGCGAATCTACATCTCCAAAAACAAAAACAAAAACAAACAAACAAAAAAAAAGCGTTAGCAGTCCAGACTTTCTGTAGTTAAATCTACTCAGCATATGAGATGTGGGTTTTCTTTACCTCTGCATAAAGTTGAAAGATAATGCAATACAATCAACATATACATGGTAAAATGTCAGCATTGGGAAAATACATTGCTACTCAAAAAATAAAAAGTTTTCTCTTACATATTCACTACCGAAAGAAAACAAAAGCCACCTGATGAATATTTAAAGAGATGTGCCCAGGGTGTTATGGGGGCTGTAACCAAACCTGGGACGCTGGTAGAGTAAGTGGAGTTTCCTGGAACTGATAACGTAAGCTTTGAAGAATGAGCAAAAGTTAGCTAGCTTAACAAATTTAACAATGGAGACAACTGGATAATTTAATTGGACAAAAAAAGTTAGCCAGGTTAACAAATTTAACAATGGAGACAATTTAACAATGGAGACTCTTCAAGGAGAAGATAGGAGGCTCACGTGTATCCATATTATTGGTAGATGTACACCTTACCTGTTCAGAGTGAGAATCTTCATCCCACAAAACATTTTTCTTCAGAAAAGTAATGATGACCTTAGGACTTGAGTTTCTCAACATGTGTATCAGGAGTGTCCAATTTTTTGGCTTCCCTAGGCCACACTGGAAGAAGAAGAATTATCTTGGGCCACACATAAGATATGCTAATACTAACAATAACTGATGAACTAAAAAAAAAAAGGGCAAAAAACTCATAATGTTTTAAGAAGGTTTATGAATCTGTGTTGGGCTGCATTCAAAGCTGTACTGGGCTGCATGCAGCCTGTGGGCTGCAGGTTGGACAAGCTTGATGTATATTCTCGTTGATAAGATGGTTTGAGTTCAGAATAAGGGAAATCTAGGTACTGTTAACAATTGCTGCTTAGAAGAATTTACTGAGGGCTTACCAAGTGTCCAACACATATGTTGGAACAATCTTTTTTTTTTTTTTTTTTTGAGACGGAGTCTCGCTCTGTCGCCCAGGCCGGACTGCGGACTGCAGTGGCGCAATCTCGGCTCACTGCAAGCTCCGCTTCCCGGGTTCACGCCATTCTCCTGCCTCAGCCTCCCGAGTAGCTGGGACTACAGGCGCCCGCCACCGCGCCCGGCTAATTTTTTGTATTTTTAGTAGAGACGGGGTTTCACCTTGTTAGCCAGGATGGTCTTGATCTCCTGACCTCATGATCCACCCGCCTCGGCCTCCCAAAGTGCTGGGATTACAGGCGTGAGCCACCGCGCCCGGCCGGAACAATCTTTATCTATTATTCTATAGATCACTATAGGAAGTTTCCAGAAAGTGTCCGAATCTACAGTGCAGTCAAAAGAGGAACCCAGGCTATGTTAAGAGTGCCTAGAAATATTTCTGGGCATCTAAACGGAAGGTCAGACACAGGCTCAGACTTCCACTTCCACAGTGTGCATCTCATTATGCCAGTCACTCAGGGTCCCTCCTAGGGACTGCTCTGGGCCTTAGGGTGGCCAAAGCAGTGTAGTCTGCGACAGATGGAGGAACACCTCTCAGACCTTAAGTTTGTGTTCCCACAAACTGCTCAGGAATCCCAGAGCAGGTGTGCTTGGCTCTCAAGGTGAATTTATTAAATAGATATGTTTTGATTTATTTTTAAAAGCAAATACTGAACAATACAGAAGAAAAAGAGAATAATTTAACAACCATCTGTGTGCTTGCCATTGATAATTAACAGGTATTAGCATCTTGTAATATTTCTTTCCCACATTGTTATTAATAAAATAATATTATTGTACAGTTGATGCTTGCTGCCCAGTCCATCTCAGATCACACCCTTCTTTCCAGAAGACAATTATTAGGATGACCTTGATTTGTAACTTACCAGTCAAATGGTAAAGTTTTAATCCATTAACAATATATTGATGTTTTCAATATTTTATACAAATATTATCATATGATTTTTGTCTTTCTGTAATTAACTTTGATTTCACTCATGTGATGTTTTTTAAAGGTCTGTCTTGATGAATATAGGTCTAATGAATTCATCTTAATTGCTGAATTGAATTTCAATGATGGATGCTTAAGTTGGGTTTTCAAATTTTGCCTGAGTCATTCAAGGACTTGGCATAACATACTTGATAGAAATTTGTACAGATCAGGTGTAGAGGACAGTCACTGTGTGATACTGAGATACCCATGGTTCTCTTGCGATTAAGGCTGGTTTTTGTTATTGTTGTGGTTCGCCCTTCTAAATCTAGTTTACTGTTCTATATACTTTTTTTCTTAGGATGAAACTTCACTTTACTGTAGTGTTGTAAATTAACTTTGATTAGGCCATGCAACAACTTCCTTGATACTTCAATGTATGTTTTAAACATACCTATATATTTACATAGATCTATCTCTATATATCTCACCAGCAAACATGTTAGAAATGGATTTTCACATCCCATTCCTTCCATTTATCACACATTTTCACACATGCCAAAAATCAGCAGCAGAGGGGAACAGCATGCTCAAATATACTAATCACAGCTCAACCTACCACTCTTCATCATACATTGTTCTCTGTCTCCTGCAGGAGTTCTCAAGTATAAAATTGCTTTTAGACAAAACTTAATATCTATACTTCTTTTGTTTTTGTGAATGAGTAGCACACCACAGGCCATATAATATATTTGCTATGGCTGTTAGAAAGCTCAAAACCAAATTTGTGACTAGATCATTGAATCAGAATTGCACCCCTTTCCCTTGATGCTAACGGTCTACTTCTGCCTCATTTAGAGCTTTTACAATGTGTCACTTTTATTTGCAAACCAACTGGATTTATTTCTTTAAAAAAAGTCATAATGTATGTGACCATATAATTATTGTGCAAACTGGACACTTTTAAAAATAAAAGGGACTAATAAAGTAAGTTAATATTATGTACTTTTTGAAACATCATACTGTATTGAATGATATGTAAATAAAATCTTATAGCTCTGTAAGACAAATATTTACCTTCAGACATGGTCTTATTTAAATGACTTCCAACTGTTGAGAAAGACACCGATATTTTTGTGAGTTTGGGTCTTTAGTCAGTCCTGTGGATATTGACACTGCTTTGACCATGCCCCCTCCCCGTTGGTGCTTTGTAAAAATTAAATACCTGAAATATAGAATCATTCTTGACTCATAGTAAACACTATGTGTGATTTTGCCAACATTTTTTTTTACCTTCTATAGGATATAGTTTTCTTCCACTAGTGGACTGAAGGAAACAAAGAAACCAGTCATCATCATCATCATCATCAACAATAAAACAACAATGCAAAGTATCTTTGGTGATATTTTCACAGCCCATCTTATAATATGAAGGCTTCTTATCATGTATTCAATGCTTAACATGTCAAATGCAATGCAATGTGCTCTACCTATATAACTTACATATTTTAATCTTTGCTACAGCACTCGATTCCGATATTTATTTCCTTGTTTTACTGAGATGAAAACATGGGCTCAGAAAGAAAGAGCTACTTTTCTAAGATCACACAGAATGTGAAAAAGGATTTATATCCTGGTCATTTCACTCTAGGGTCAGTGCTTGTAATCACTAAGCTTCTCTATTTTCATAAAGTAGGCAGAATTAAAAAGACATAAAGCAATGATGTTTCTTATCAGCATAGCCATTGATTCCATCATTGAGTTGGAGAGGGCATTGTAATTACTAACATGAACAATAACTTAAAGAGAGGCTTGTTCAGGCTAAAGATATGATTAATAAAAATGAACAGCCCTTATCTAGCAATGATTATGAGTCATTCTTGCTCATGACGAACTAAGTTCCTGTCCTTTGTAGGGTCAAAAGGGGAAGACTGTTTGGCTGCACATGGCTGATCAAGTCCCTCTTCGTCTACTTCCTTCCCCTGGTTGTTTTCCCTGCCTTACTTTCTTCCAATCCCTGTCTTCAGGATCACTCCAAGCTGTGTTGCTTCAGAGAGAAGTTGCTAAGAAGGCTTCTGTTGCAAATGGCACAAGCTGAATGTTTCCCAGTGCCAGGCAATCCCTCACCCAAGACAACTTGTACAGGCCCTTCACATCCTCTTGGTGCTTTTTCAACACAGCAGCTGTACAGGCTGACTTCTGTCAATCTGTGTTTTCCAAAGGTATGCCAGTGCTCAACAACCTCTGTTTTATGCTCTCCTGCTTCTTCCTGTTCCATTTACCTTTTTTTCTGATTATCTCCTAGAATATATTTGTCATCTAAATAACCCCAGTCCCACATCTCTCTAGCCTTACAAAGTTTTGTACTCAAATGTTGTTCTTATCCATTACATTTGCTTCTGTCTCCCTCCATCCTGATTTTGGCTTAGCTTTTCTGGATGAGTTATACTTGAATAAGATCTACTGGTAACACTCTCTCCATTGGACAAGCCCCAAAGCTGACTTCTCTTAGAATTCTGTTCTTGGAGGAATCTCTTGCTCAAATATTCCCTAGCTTGTTCCCAGATAATCTCTTCTTAATAGTCATAGAAGGAAATTGTTGTCATGGTTAAAGTAGAACCTCCATAGTTCAATTTAATATGAACAAGGATGTAAAGCATTTAGGCATCATGCATAGAGTTGAACATATAACAAATATATAGCCAACAGGTTATCTAAATGACAAAGAATGTCTAGAATAACTCTTGACTTGAATCCACACAGATACAGAAAATGATTGAGCCAAAGGCAGGCTTAGCAGCAACTAATAATTTATTTCCCTCCCCAAAACATGCTTGTTCTAACATGGCATTTATTCAGAGTTATGTTTAATTTGGCTGTCTTAAATGCAAAAAACATATACGGACACAAACACATATTTTAAGACATAGTTGTTGTTTTTTTCTCCAGAGAAATGGCTCCTTTGATATACTGAGAGAGTGGAAATAAATGTTGCTTTGAATTAGTCTCTTTGGTCATCTGCTAACTGTGCTACTTATAGCACACACACAAAATTCTGGAGGGACCATATCATAATGTATGAGAGGCCGGGTGCTGGAATCAGCCCGCCTGAATTCTGGCTCTACAGTTTCCAGCTGCATGATGTTTGTTAAATTACTTT
This sequence comes from Homo sapiens, assembly GCF_000001405.40. Lineage (NCBI taxonomy): Eukaryota > Metazoa > Chordata > Mammalia > Primates > Hominidae > Homo > Homo sapiens. Next base: position 11,545,102 of record NC_000004.12, read on the forward strand.
AGCAACCTAATCTTCATTGTCACCACTTTTTTTTTTTTTAAATAACATAAATCACCTTGGATGGTTTTGTGAGGACGAGATGCAATAACTTGAGGTGAAGAACTTTGAAGAGTGCTGAAATACAGTCAGAAGTCAATCAATTTTAGTTGAGAATTTTTACAAAGTGTAAGAGAAAGTGCATAGGCTCTGGAGTCACAGATACCTGGCTTCTCTTTCTTCTCTGCCATTTACTAGATATGTGATTTCCATAGAGTTGCTGCTTGGAATCTCAGTCCCTTAATCTATAAAAAGGGGACAATCATACATATTTCCCAAAGGCTCTTAAATGAGGTAATACGTAAATCTTCAGATAACAATAGATGTTCACTAAATGTTAATACATTTTCACCTTCTCTACCACTGGAAAACCAGTAGAATAAATAAAAGAGGGAGGAAATAGGGACATTAATAAGGAAATTGTTTCATAGGAAGCTGTGAACATTAGGAATTAGTTGAAGGGTGACTTATAGCCAAATCACAAGGTACGAGTTTCTACTTTGCCCGTGCTCTTTCTTCCCCTGCCACACCTCTGGGTCTCTATTCTGAGCCCTGTCTTGGGACTGAAATGGGGTATTAGAACCAGTGAGTCTTCTTTCCTAGTATGCAGAACCCTGTGATCTGCTGAGACAGCCTTCAAAGATTCCATGCTTGCAGGATGTCTGCATGTGAGTCTGTGTGTTTATCTGTTTGCATACCTTGATGTCCATGCATAGTTTCCAGCATCAAGGTGAAAATGTCGGTGCCTGTCATCAGATATATCTGGAATGATTGATATTCCTACTTGAGCACTTGATATGTGTGTCCATGAGCAAGTCATTTAACTACTCTATGAGGACTAAGTGAGACAAAAGACTGAATTCATAATGGCCGGCCGGCACTAAGTGGGAGATCAGAGCTGACTACAATGATCAGCATAATAATTATCAATCTCCCTATAGATAAGCACATATAGATCTGTGGCTGTGGCTGTATAAGAGACATCCATGTAGGTCTCTACTTCTCTTTTTCTAAGAGAACAGGCAGAGGATCTCCAGGCCTCTCCTTACATACTTTGTGTGAAAGCATCAGCGGGCCCTACTGACTCTAATTAACTCATTGTATCAGTTCAGAGCAATGCATTCCAAATGCCGCTGATCGCTCTGTGCTGGCTGTCTCCAGGCAAAGCTTTTTGTAGGCATTGGCCATGAGCTCACTCTAACTTACTAGACAGTGGAACGTCGTCGAAAAAAGTAAGAAAATTGGCTCCAGAAAGATCTGATCCCATTCACAGCTCTATTCCTTACTCCCTGTTCAATACTGGGCCAGTTTTTCTGCCTCTGGGAATTCTTGTTTTCTTATTGGAAGAATAGAATGATAATAAACTTCACAGATGAATCAGATTCTAAATGTATAGATAGGGAACCAAGCACAGAGACCAGCATTCATCTCAATCATTCAGCAAGTAAATACGATGCTTCTCCTGTGAGTCAGGCACTGTGTTAGGCTCTGTAGATGACATAAGGGTGAGGTTTTTACTCTATTGGAACTTGGAATTACTGGGATGTAATAAATGTGTCCAGAAAATGTATATTTTTTCTCCTTTCATCTCTTTGTATGGAAATTCTTTCTAATTTTTGGAGTGTCTGGCCTCTTATTGCCTGTACTCTGCCCCACTGGTGAATTTCTAGTTCAGTGTGTCTCATGGAAATCTATTATTTTAAAGGCAGGATGTGGATCAAGGTAGTTTCAAGCTTGAGGAAGTCTTGAGGTGGGATAAAGCACATGGAGCATTGCAAAGGTTTTTTGTTTTGTTTTGTTTGTGTGTGTGTGTGTGTGTGTGTGAGAGTGTGTGTGTGTGAGTGGCTGGCTGGAAAGCTGCCAAATTTCTAATAATAAATGAATTTGCCTTTATTTAAAGAAGGAAGTGGTACTTTCCCTCACAATAGAGGGAGGAGAAAGGCTGTCTCCTCAGGATTTTGTTACCAGCACCACATCTCCCCTGACTGGAAGGTGGCTTGAGTTAGGAACAAAAATGACAAATGCAAGCCCAGCCTTAGAGAGCCTCCCAGATAGGTGAAAATGAAAGGCGGAAAAGTACAAGTTACTGAAAGGAATGATCTAGAATGCAAGTGGGATGTGGCAGCATAGCACTGGTCATGCAGTATGGGTGGTAAGTTGGGAGAAGGGGCTGGACCAGCACTGATTATTCTCATGTCCTGGATATGACAGAGATGGCTGGAGCTCAGCACCTGTCTCTGTCCCTCTGCACTTCCCAGGGTACCCCGCAGTTAGATTACGGTCCCTGCAACAGGGTTCTAGCCAATGGGATGTGGCTGAAGTGGCTCATTCAATTTCTTGAGAGCCTTCTTAGTGCCAGATCTGTCCTCAGCCTTGGAAATTCAGCTGGAAACACAACCAATACAAATACCTGTCCTCAGAGAGCTTACATATTCTGGCGAGTGAGATAGACAATGAATTTACACTCATTGAATAAGCAAAATATAGTGAATCTGATAAAATATATGAACAAGTAAAATACATAAAATATATGCTTTTATATGTAATTTGTTTATAAGTAAAAATGTAAATGTTTCTATATAGTTTTATAAATTTATGTAAAATTATATAAGTATACAAATATGTATGTGTGTATATATAGTATGTATATAATATATAGTACAAAATATAAAGATGGTGATAAATGCCAAGCTGATAAATAAATTAGGTAAGGAGAATCAGAAGTACTGGGGGAATAATTTTGAAGAGGTGGCTATGGAACCCTAATAGAGAAAGTAAAATTTGAATAAAGAGACATAGAACTAGTCATGCAGACATCTGAGAAAAGAACATTGCATAGTTATCAGGAACTCCACTCAGCAGAGTGGAAGGCGGGGAATAGAACAGGGAAAAGTCTGGAGAGAGGATGTATGTCTGGATCATCTCTGGCCTTGAGGCCGCTGCAAGGTTGTTGGCTTGCAGTCTGGGGTAAATGGAGAAGCTAGCACATGAGGAGTGAGATGGGACATATTTCATGAGAATTACTCAGATGGGTGTTTTGAGAATACACTGAAAGGGATGTGGGAGCAGACCAGAAGCAGAAAGACAGTGTGGAGCCTCTTGCAGTGTTAAGAGAAGAGGCTGGCATGGACCAGGAGTTGGGAGTGGAGGTGGGAGATTCAGATACATTTTGAAGGAGCCAATAGAATTTGCTTGTGAGCAAGATGTCAGGAGTGAGAGCAAGAGAGGAGTCATAGGAGACTGCAGAGTTTTGTGCCTCTAAGGCAGCTGGAAGTTGCTTAGGCTGGAATGGAGTTGCCAGTCTGAGTTTGGAAAGGCTACAGTAGGAGGACTATGCGTGTGGAGTGGGTAATGGTGTCAAAACCTCAAATTTGAGATGCCCATGGGATATCAAAATTAAGATTAAACGTAGACACTGGATGTGTGCCTTGGATGCTGGGGGGAGAGGTTGAGATAAAAATGCACAGTTTGAAGCCATTGGTGTACACATAGTACTTGAACCCTTAAGTGGTGACAAGAAGGTGGGGTCACCCTTCTTATCTTTCTGCATCCAAGGTGGTTGAGTAACAGCTGCAATGGCAGAAAGGAAATGAGTCCACTTGAAGAACAGGAATTTCTGAACATGACAGGAAGGAGAATGGCCTCAGAGGCAGCCTGCTTCCTGAAAAAGTTTTCTGGACTTCCAAGCAGAACCCAGAGATATTAATAAACAGAAAGGGAAAACAAAATTATGGTAATTTTACTAATGTGAGAAAAATAACATAAATTATTTACTAAATAATTTGGTAACCACAGACTTTCTAAGCAGTGACTCAGAAGGTTCTTGCTGGAAGGTGCACCTTGAAACACCGATACTGGAGTGAATGACAGGCACAGAGGTTCTGATGACTCATCCACTTGTTTCACTTACATGTCCTCTGGAAGCTCTGGGGCCATTCTAATGGCAGTCTTAGTTCTAAGGCAATTTCAAGAGAACAAAAATAAAATTATTTTTTCATTGAAAGCTATATAATGTGTTACAGGTTAACACAGAAATCACATAATATCAAATGTGTGCATAGACCAGGAAGCAAATGTAAATGTTATAAGTAAATGAAAATGCATGAATGTATAGACAAGAATGGTGGAGTTCGTGGCAAATTAGGATACAGTAATTATTCAGTTGACTGCTCTCATGTGGGACCAGAAGTCAAATTTTCTTCAAATTTTCAAGAGCCTAGAAATGTGGGTTTTTATGTGGAAATGCCCAATATTTAAATGTTGGCAACCAGTTTACTTTAGTCAACATCTGTGTACATGAAACAAAGTATGTTTTCTGTCTAATGGTAGCTGATTGGACACAAATTTTCAACCACTGATGGAGGACTTTATTTACCTGTTCTTTTCACAAGCATTTGCTGAGAAGCTGCTGTTATTGGTGGATACAAGTGAAACAAAACTACATATGGCATGATTGATTCCCACCTAGTAGGGAATGTGAACAGCTCTACATATGGTGTCATGCTTTGTGTTTGTAAAGGATAGTTCTGAGGCAAAATGGGAAGAAACAAATACCTCTGCAATGACAAGACTCTAAATACCCCATGAGGAGAGTGACATTTGTAGTAAATCCAGCTTGGGGATGAAAGAGTGTGCAAGATGTTAGAAGTCTGCTGAACTTGTATTTGGTTTATTATAAAGTATACAAATGACTAAACTGTCCTAATCTACTGTTGTTGTGAGAGTGGACTGCTTATCTGCCATTTTTCATTATGATCTATGATCCATGGTAGTCACTAACTACAACTTCTTATTAACAGTTTTACTGAAATATAATTTGCATAGGATACAATTAACTTATTTAAAGTGTATTATTCAACATATTTTAGAATATGTACAGGGCTACACAACAATTACCACAATACAGACAGTCCTCAACTTAGGATTGTTCCACTGATCATTTTTCAACTTTATGATGGGTTTGTCAGGGTATTAAATGTGCTTTTGACTTATGATGGATTTATTGCAATGTAACTCGATCATAAGTCGAGGAACATCTGTATAAATTATAAGACACTTTTCCCCTGTAAAATAAATCTCATATCCATTAACAATCATCTCCCACTTTCTCCTCCCACTCATCCTTAGGTAACCACTAATCTATTTTCTGTCTCTATTGATTTGCCAATTCTGGAATAATAGATGCCACAGAATTTGCCATTCTGTGGAATTCAATTCCACAGAAATGGAATAATATAATATTCGAGTCTTTTGTGACTGCTTTTACTTAGCATAATCTTTCCAAGGTTCATTCATTTCCCAACATGTTTTACCAAATAATTTCTTCTTATGGCCAAATAATATCCCACTAAATAGATACGCCACATTTTATAAGTTCATTCATCAACTGATGAACATTTGCATTGTTCACACTCTTTGATTATTATGAATAATTCTCCTATGAACAGTGTGTACAAGTTTTTGTGGATATCTGTTTTCCATTCTCTTGAATATATACATAGGAGAAAATTGCTGGGTCATATGATAACTCTATGTTAAATAGTTTGAGGCACTGCCAAAATATTCTTCAAAGTGGCTGCATCATTTTACATTTCCACCAAAAATATATGAGGGTTACAGTTCCTCCACAACCTTACAAAACACTTGTAATCATGTGTTTCTTTTTTATTAGAAGCAGTCAATCGGTATAAAGTGATATCTCTGTTGTTTTTACTTGAATCTTTAGCAGCGTATGATGTTAAGAAGGTTTTCATTTGCTCGTTGGCTATTTGTATGCATTCTTTGAAGAAATTAAATTTTTCTCTCCTATAATTGAATTGTCTTTTTTTGATTGAGTTGTATATATTTTTTTTACGTTTTTCTACTTAAAAGTCCTAATGAGATTTATGGTTTGTTAATATTTTCTCCCATTCTGCTAGTTGCTTATCATTTCTTAATAGTATTGTTCGCAGAGAAGAGTCATGAAGATTTATGCCTGTTTTATCCTAATAATTTTATAGTTTTTATTTTTTGTTTTTCCATTTAGGTCTGTGATAAAAAAAATTTTTTTTCTTTTCTTTTTTTTTTTATTTGAGATGGAGTCTCACTCTGTCACCCAGGCTGGAGTGCAGTGGCATGATCTTGGCTCACTACAAGCTCTGCCTCCCGGGTTCACACCATTCTCCTGCCTCAGCCTCCTGAGCAGCTGGGACTACCGGCGCCCGCCACCACGCCTCGCTAATTTTTTTGTATTTTTAGTAGAGACGAGGTTTCACCGTGTTAGCCAGGATGGTCTTGATTTACTGACCTCGTTGTCTGCCCGCCTCGGCCTCCCAAATTGCCGGGATTACAGGCATGAGCCGCTGAGCCCGGCCGGTCTGTGATAAATTTTATGTTAGGCTGGACACAGTGGCTTATGCCTGTAATCCCAGCAATTTGGAAGGTCGAAGTGGACAGATCACTTGAGCCCAGGAATGTGAGACCAGCTTGAGCAACATGGCAAAACCCTGTCTCTACGAAAAATACAAAAATTAGCTGGTTTTGGTGGCATGTGCCTCTGGTTCCAGCTACTAGGGAGGCTGAAGTGGGAGGATCACTTGAGCCTGGGAGGTTGAGGCTGCAGCCAGCTGTGATCACACTGCTGCACTCCAGCCTGGGTGACAAAGCGAGACCCTGTCTCTAAATAAATACATCAATTTTAAGTTAATTTTTGTGAATGGTGTGAGGTCGGGGTCTGACTTCATTCTTTTGTGTTTGTCCTAGCACCATCTATTGAAAAGTCTCTTATTTCTCCATTAAATTTTTTGGCACCTTCATTGAAAATCAGTCGAGCATAAATGTAAGTAACTATTTCTGTATTCTCAATTCCATTCCATTGATCTGTGTGTTTATACTAATGCCAGCACTACACTGTCTAGATTACTGTACTTTTGTATTGTTTATCAATCAGAAAGTTGGAAGCGAGTTTTCCAACTTTTTTCTTTAACTTTGTTCTTTGTTTTGGCTATTTGTGGTACTTTGGAATTTCTTAAAAATTTTAGGAAAAATTTGTCAATTTGTAAAGAATAAAGGCAGCAAGAATTGTGTTGCATGTGTAGACCAATTTGGGAGTGTTGCCATCTTAACAATATTAAGTCTTTTATTCCATGACAATGTGATGTGATTCTATTTATGTAGGTCTTTATTTTCTCCCAATGATATTTTGTTGTTTTTATACAAAAATTTTACATCTATTGGTAATTTTGCCAGGTGTAGTGGCTCATGCCTGTAATCCCAGAACTTGGAGAGGCTGAGGTAGGAGGATCACTTGAGCAGGGTCAGTTTGAGACCAGCCTAGGCAACATAGTGAGACTCTGTCTCTCCAAAAAAAAAAAAAAAAAAAAGAAAAGAAAAAGAAAAAATTAATTAATTAGCTGAACATGGTGGCACGTACTGGTAGTCTGACATACTCAGGGCATGGAGGTGGGAGAATCACTTGAGCCCAGGCAGTCACAACTGCAGTAAGCCATGATTGTGCCACCACACTCCAGCCTGGGTGATAGAGCGACACCCTGTTTAAAAAAAAAAAAAAAAACTATTATTATTAATTAAATTTGTGCCTGAATATTTTATTTTGTAATGCCACTGTAAATTGAATTATTTTATTAGTTTTATATCAAAATGCTCATTTTTCATGTGTAAAATTCAATTAATATTTGCATTTTGATCTTATATCCTGAAACTTTGCTGAATGAGTTTATTGGTTCTATTTTTTTTCCAGTGGATTTCTGAGAACTTTCTATATACAAAATTATGCCATTTTTAAAAAAGATAATTTTACTTCTTTCTCTTCAATGTGGGTAACTTACATTTCATTTTATTGACTAATGGCCCTGGTTATAAACCCCAGTATTATGATGACTCAAAGTGATAGAAGCAGACATATTTGCTTGGTCTTGGACCTAATCTTAAGGGGAAAGCATTCATTCTTTCACCATTAAGTATGATATTATCAGAATTTTTTGTAGATACCTTTTAGAAGGTTAAGGGAATTCCCTTCTATTTCTAGTTTGTTGAGTGTTTTTATCATGAAAGGGCATCACATTTTTCAATTTTTTTCTATACCTGTTGAAATGACCCTTTTTTTGTACTTTATTCTATTAATATTGTAAATTATATTCATTAATTTGCAGATGTTAAATCAAACTTGCATTCCTAGAATAAGTTCTACTTGGTCATGACTTAACCTCTTTATTTATTTATTTACTTTTGATGGTATTGAATTCGGTTGCTGAGTATTTTTTTGAGGATATTTGTACCTATGCCCGTAAGGAATGTTGGCAGGCGGTTTTCTTGTGATACTATTTTCTGTTGTGTTTTTTAGGATAATATTGGCCTCATAGAATGAGTTGAGAAGTACTTCTTCCTCTTCTATTTCATGGAAGAGTTTCTGAAGAATTAGTTTTACATCTTTTTTTGGTGGAAGTGAAGTGACACACTCTGGGCCTAGGGTTTCCTTGTAATGGAAAGTTTATAGAATTACTAATTCAATTTGTCCACTCATATGGTGTATTATAATCTTGTATTTATTCTTGAATAAGTTTAGCAATTTGTGTCTTTCTAGGAATTGTCCATTTCATCTAAGTTCCCTAATTTGTTGATTCAATTTTTATATAGGACTCTAATAATTATTTTTATTTTTAAAAAAACTATAGATTCGAGGGTACATATGCAGGTTTGTTACATGGATATATTGCATAATGGTGTGGTTTGGGCTTCTATTGTACTCATCACCCTAACAATGAATATTGTACCCTATAGCTAATTTTTCAACCCACACTCCCTTCCTGCTGTCCCCCTTTTGGAGCCCCCAGTGTCTATTATTTCCGTTTTTGTGTCCATGTGTACCAATTGCTTAGCTCCCACTTATAAGTTAGAAAACGTGGTATTTGATTTTCTGAGTTATTTCACTTAGGATAATCACCTCCAGATCTATCTATGTTGCTGCAAAGGGCATGATTTCATTCTATTTTTATGGCTGCGAAGTGTTCCGTGGTATATGTATACCATATTTTCTTTATCCAGTCATCCACTGATGGATATTTAGGTCGATTTCATGACTTGGCTATTGTGAGTAGTGCTGCAATAAACATATGAGTACAGGTGTCTTCTTTACACAGTGATTTCTTTCCCTTTGGGTAGATACCTAGTTGTGGGATTGCTTAAACAAATGGTAGTTCCATTTTTAGTTACTTGAGAAATCTCTATACTAGCTCAGTAATAATGGCCCCCTTTCACTGCTGATTTTATTCATTTTCCCAATGCCATAAACTCCTGGTTTTCTTACCATGATTTATTAGATTGTCTTGATTGAATATTTTGCCATTTGCTATGCGCCCTTTGGACAAGGTCAGAGATTTTAAGTGATATTTTAAAATATTTTTTACTATTTAAGTTTTTGCTTTGCTGGGGAGAGCATCTGCCAAATTTCTTAATTTACCATTTCTGAAAGTCTCTCAATCGCTACAAGTGTTCTGAAAAATTTCTGAGAATCTGAGGAAACGTCTGAATATTTTCCCCAGAGAAAGTATAATCACAAAAAGAAATTTTATCCAAACTCAGGTGAAATCTTTAGTCTTTCTGAATTCTAGGAACACAAGGTTAAGAATCCTTTTAGACCTCTAAAATTCTATTTTAATAAAAAGTTTACAGAAAGGGAAGAGTGTGGGTTTGCAGATTGTTGTAGATTGCAAATTTGTGTGTAACAGATTTGTACCAGATTTCAGCTAATCATTTATGAGGCTAAATGGGGATTTGGAGAGTCTATATCTGGCTTGTCATCAGTAAGGAAGAGTTGGGGAGTGATCTCTGAGTCTTGCCTAAGTTGTTTGGAGAAGTGTAGTTCTTTGCAGTAAATCCTTTCCTAAGACACAAGAGGGTGGGGAGGTATCTTAAGCTTTGCTGTTTTCCAGGAGCACGGGTCTCAGGAAAATTAAACATAGCCACCACAGAACAGCTAAGATGTTCAGTGGCATCATCTCTGTCCCTATCTGAGTCTCTTGACTGCATCGCACATCTACACTTAGTTTTTTTAAAGAAAGAGTTCAGTGGGAGGCAGGAAAGCCACCCACCCAAACCCTCTGAGCTCTGCATCCCAGAAATAATAACTCCTAACCTAATTTTCTTCCAGATGTGACTGAGCCCCTTTTACCAGTGGGCAGGGTTGCTGTACCTTAACAATTCCTGATTGCTCTCTCTTTTCAATGGGTATGTTCTGATCCCTTTGGCTTTTGGTCAATAAAGCCTAAAATATTTACTACCAGTATTATTAAGTCAAAATTATCTACCGTTTCTCTAGAACAGTGGTTCTCAAACAAAAGCATGTGTCAGAATGACCCAAAAACGTTAAAACTGAGAATGCCGAGCTGCACTTCCAGAGATTCTGGTTGAGTAGGCTTTACTTGTGACTAAATATTTGCATTTCCATCAAATTCCCAGGAAATGCTGATACTGTTAGTCCATGGACCACACTTCAAGAAGCATTAGTCTGGATCTTCAATGTTCCTCACTTACTACCTTCCACCACCTTGGAGTATCTGTTCTCTTTAAATAAAAGTTTTTAAAATTATTTTTTGAAAAAGAAAAAGAAAATGTGTTGCCCAGTTGGTAAGAACATTCTACCATTCTGAGATGTGAAAGGGTAGAATGCTGTCTGGAAGTAGGGAGGTAAAACTCAGACAGACAATTTAGAGAATAGCCTAAAAGATACCTAATTGTTCACCACTCATTATTAACAAGTGTTAACATTTTATCATGGTCTTTTCATAGTTTTAAAATGTTAGCTGTAATAATACTGTTGATCTCTTTAACAAATGCTGCTTCCATCTCATATATTTTCCTAGTCTCATTGCTCTTCCTATCACTTTTATTTACCATGATAGGCAGCAGTATCATTGATCTGTTATGTGTCCACCCTGTCCATGGTTTTTGTTATTACAACATAGTATGTGTACACACACAATATATAACCTTAATATTTATAATATGGCATCACATTTTATTCAACGTTTTGTTTTTTCACTCAGTATTGTATATTTTATATCTTTCCATCCTGATACAAGTTTAATTATTTTGTTTACTGTAAATATATATATTATTCTCTCATATGAATATCCCTCATTTATTTAATCATACCCCTATTGATGGACATTTAGATTTTGTTTATAATTCATTGCTTTTATAAAAATGCTGCAATGAAACTTTTTGTAAGTCATGTTATGCATGTGAGCATGAGTTTCTTTCTTGAGTATGTATGTGGAAGTGGAAAAGTGAAATTGATAAATGTATTAATCAAGGTTATCTACAGAAACAGAACCAATAGGACATATATCGATGCTTAGAAAAAGATTTATTATGGGGCATTGGCTCACTCAATTTTGAAGGCTGAGAAATTCCATGTTCTGTCCTCTGTAAACTAGAGACCCACTAAAGCTGGTGGTATAGTTCCAGTCCGAACCTGAAGACTTGAGAACCAAGGGAGCCAATGGTGTAGTCCCAATCCAAGTTTGAAGGTCCCCAAACTAGGTACCACTGATGTGAGTCCTGGCTCGAGTTCAAGGCCAAGGATCAGGAGCACTGATGTCCAAGGGCAGGAGAGGATGGATGACCCAGCTCAAAAAGAGGGAGAAATTTGCCCTTTCTCTGAGCTTTTGTTCTTTCTCTGAGTTTTTAGTCTGACCTCAATAGATACAATGAGGTCCATCCACATGGGTGAGGGCAGAGTTTCGTGGCTGTGTCCACTGGTTCATTTGCTAATCTCTTCCAGAACACCCTTACAGACACACCCAGAAATAATGTTGAACTAGCTGTATGGGCATCCCAAAGCCTAATCAAGTTCATACATAAAATTAACCATCAGAGTAAAGATTGTACATTTTCAAGTTTACTTACTAAATATCACCAGATCATTCTCAAAAGTGGTTGTATCAATTTGCACTCTGAATGAGAATGTCCCTTTCCACACACCTTTACCTGCACCTGGAATTTCAGGACTCACTTCTTAAAACATAATGCTTTTAATTTTTTGTGTTTTTAGTAGAGACGGGGTTTCACCTTGTTAGCCAGGATGGTCTGGATCTCCTGACCTCGTGATCTGCCCGCCTAGGCCTCCCAAAGTGCTGGGATAACAGGCGTGAGCCACCGTGCCCGGCCCCTCATAAGGCTTGCTTTCATAAATATCTGATGCCATCAAAACCAGTTTTCTTCGTTGACATCTTAAGATCAAAATTCTCAGGACAAGATAATCTTCAAATGAAAAAAATAACTTTTTGAATAAGAATTTTTAAAAAAATCAGAGGAGCCAAGATGGCCGAATAAGAACAGCTCTGGTCTACAGCTCCTAGTGTGAGTGATGCAGAAGACGGGTGACTTCTGCATTTCCATCTGAGGTACCGGGTTCATCTCACTAGGGAGTGCCAGACAGTGGGCGCAGGACAATGGGTGCAGTGCACTGTGTGTGAGCTGAAGCAGGGCAAGGCATTGCCTCACTTGGGAAGCACAAGGGGTCAGGGAGTTCCCTTTCCTAGTCAAAGAAAGGGGTGACAGACGGCACCTGGAAAATTGGGTCACTCCCACCCGAATACTGCACTTTTCCGACGGGCTTAAAAAATGGTGCACCAGGAGATTATATCCCGCACCTGGTTCAGAGGGTCCTCCGCCCATGGAATCTCACTGATTGCTAGCACAGCAGTCTGAGATCAAACTGCAAGGCAGCAGAAAGGCTGGGGGAGGGGCGCCCGCCATTGCCGAGGCTTGCTTAGGTAAACAAAGCAGCTGGGAAGCTCGAACTGGGTGGAGCCCACCACAGCTCAAGGAGGCCTGCCTGCCTCTCTAGGCTCCACCTCTGGGGACAGGGCACAGACAAACAAAAAGACAGCAGTAACCTCTGCAGACTTAAATGTCCCTGTCTGACAGCTTTGAAGAGAGCAGTGGTTCTCCCAGCACACAGCTGGAGATCTGAGAACTGGCAGACTGCCTCCTCAAGTGGGTCTCTGACCCCTGACCCCCGAGCAGCCTAACTGGGAGGCACCCCTAAGTAGGGGCAGACTGACACCTCACACAGCCGGGTACACCTCTGAGACAAAACTTCCAGAGGAACGATCAGACAGCAGCATTCGTGGTTCATGAAAATCCGCTGTTCTGCAGACACTGCTGCTGATACCCAGGCAAACAGGGTCGAGAGTGGACCTCTGGTAAACTCCAACAGACATGCAGCTGAGGGTCCTGTCTGTTAGAAGGAAAACTAACAAACAGAAAGGACAACCACACCAAAAACCCATCTGTACATCACCATCATCAAAGACCAAAAGTAGATAAAACCACAAAGATGGGGAAAAAACAGAGCAGAAAAACTGGAAACTCGAAAAAGCAGAGCGCCTCTCCTCCTCCAAGGGAAGGCAGTTCCTCACCAGCAACAGAACAAAGCTGGACGGAGAATGACTTTGATGAGTTGAGAGAAGAAGGCTTCAGACGATCAAACTACTCTGAGCTACAGGAGGAAATTCAAACCAAAGGCAAAGGAATTGAAAACTTTGAAAAAAATTTAGATGAATGTATAACTAGAATAACCAATACAGAGCAGTGCTTAAAGGAGCTGATGGAGCTGAAATCCAAGGCTCAAGAACTACGTGAAGAATGTAGAAGCCTCAGGAGCCGATGCCATCAACTGGAAGAAAGGGTATCAGCGATGGAAGATGAAATGAATGAAATGAAGCAAGAAGGGAAGTTTAGAGAAAAAAGAATAAAAAGAAATGAACAAAGCCTCCAGGAAATATGGGATTATGTGAAAAGACCAAATCAATGTCTAATTGGTATACCTGAAAGTGACGGGGAGAATGGAACCAAGTTGGAAAACACTCTGCAGGATATTATCCAGGAGAACTTCCCCAATCTAGCAAGACAGGCAAACATTCAGATTCAGGAAACACAGAGAACACCACAAAGATACTCCTCGAGAAGAGCAACTCCAAGACACATAATTGTCAGATTCACCAAAGTTGAATTGAAGGAAAAAATGTTAAGGGCAGCCAGAGAGAAAGGTCGGGTTACCCACAAAGGGAAGCCCATCAGATTAACAGCGGATCTCTCGGCAGAAACTCTACAAGCCAGAAGAGAGTGGGGGCCAATATTCAACATTCTTAAAGAAAAGAATTTTCAACCCAGAATTTCATATCCAGCCACACTAAGCTTCATAAGTGAAGGAGAAATAAAATACTTTACAGAGAAGCAAATGCTGAGAGATTTTGTCACCACCAGGCCTGCCCTAAAAGAGCTCCTGAAGGAAGCGCTAAACATGGAAAGGAACAACCGGTACCAGCCGCTGCAAAAACATGCCAAAATGTAAAGACCATCGAAACTAGGAAGAAACTGCATCAACTGACAAGCAAAATCACCAGCTAACATCATAATGACAGGATCAAATTCACACATAACAATATTAACTGTAAATGTAAATGGACTAAATGCTCCAATTAAATGACACAGACTGGCAAATTGGATAAAGAGTCAAGACCCATCAATGTGCTGTATTCAGGAAACCATCTCACGTGCAGAGACACATGTAGGCTCAAAATGAAAGGATGGAGGAAGATCTACCAAGCAAATGGAAAACAAAAAAAGGCAGGGGTTGCAATCCTAGTCTCTGATAAAACAGACTTTAAACCAACAAAGATCAAAAGAGACAAAGAAGGCCATTACATAATGGTAAAGGGATCAATTCAACAAGAAAAGCTAACTATCATAAATATATATGCACCCAATACAGGAGCACCCAGATTCATAAAGCAAGTCCTGAGTGACCTACAAAGAGACTTAGACTCCCACACATTAATAATGGGAGACTTTAACACCTCACTGTCAACATTAGACAGATCAATAAGACAGAAAGTTAACAAGGATATCCAGTAATTGAACTCAGCTCTGCACCAAGCGGACCTAATAGATATCTACAGAACTCTCCACCCCAAATCAACACAATATACATTTTTTTCAGCACCACACCACACCTATTCCAAAATTGACCACATACTTGGAAGGTAAGCTCTCCTCAGCAAATGTAAAAGAACGGAAATTATAACAAACTGTCTCTCAGACCACAATGCAATCAAACTAGAACTCAGCGTTAAGAAACTCATTCAAAACCTCTCAACTACATGGAAACTGAACAACCTGCTCCTAAATGACTACTGGGTACATAACAAAATGAAGGCAGAAATAAAGATGTTCTTTGAAACCAACGAGAATAAAAACACAACATACCAGAATCTCTGGGACACATTCAAAGCAGTGTGTAGAGGGAAATTTATAGCACTAAATGCCCACAAGAGAAAGCAGGAAAGATCCAAAATTGACACCCTAACATCACAATTAAAAGAACTAGAAAAGCAAGAGCAAACACATTCAAAAGCTAGCAGAAGGCAAGAAATAACTAAAATCAGAGCAGAACTGAAGGAAATAGAGACACAAAAAACCCTTCAAAAAATTAATGAATCCAGGAGCTGGTTTTTTGAAAGGATCAACAAAACTGATAGACCGCTAGCAAGACTAATAAAGAAAAAAAGAGAGAAGAATCAAATAGATGCAATAAAAAATGATAAAGGGGATATCACCACCAATCCCACAGAAATACAAACTACCATCAGAGAATACTACAAACACCTCTATGCAAATAAACTAGAAAATCTAGAAGAAATGGATAAATTCCTTGACACATACACCCTCCCAAGACTAAACCAGGAAGAAGTTGAATCTCTGAATAGACCAATAACAGGCTCTGAAATTGTGGCAATAATCAATAGCTTACCAACCAAAAAGGGTCCAGGACCAGATGGATTCACAGCCGAATTCTACCAGAGGTACAAGGAGGAACTGGTACCATTCCTTCTGAAACTATTCCAATCAATAGAAAAAGAGGGAATCCTCCCTAACTCATTTTATGAGGCCAGCATCATTCTGATACCAAAGCCGGACAGAGACACAACAATAAAAGAGAATTTTAGACCAATATCCTTGATGACCATTGATGCAAAAATCCTCAATAAAATACTTGCAAACCGAATCCAGCAGCACATCAAAAAGCTTATCCACCATGATCAAGTGGGCTTCATCCCTGGGATGCAAGATGGGTTCAATATACAGAAATCAATAAATGTAATCCAGCATATAAACAGAACCAAAGACAAAAACCACATGATTATCTCAATAGATGAAGAAAAGGCCTTTGACAAAATTCAACAACCCTTCTTAAACTCTCAATAAATTAGATATTGATGGGACGTATCTCAAAATAATAAGAGCTATCTATGACAAACCCACAGCCAATATCATACTGAATGGGCAAAAACTGGAAGCATTCCCTTTGAAAACTGGCATAAGACAGGGATGCCCTCTCTCACCACTCCTATTCAACATAATGTTGGAAGTGCTGGCCAGGGCAATTAGGCAGGAGAAGAAAATAAAGGGTATTCAATTAGGAAAAGAGGAAGTCAAATTGTCCCTGTTTGCAGATGACGTGATTAGAAAACCCCATTGTCTCAGCCCAAAATCTCCTTAAGCTGATAAGCACCTTCAGCAAAGTCTCAGGATACAAAATGAATGTGCAAAAATCACAAGCATTTTTATACACTAATAACAGACAGAGAGCCAAATCATGAGTGAACTCCCATTCACAATTGCTTCAAAGAGAATAAAATACCTAGGAATCCAACTTACAAGGGACATGAAGGACCTCTTCAAGGAGAACTACAAACCATTGCTCAATGAAATAAAAGAGGATAAAAAGAAGTGGAAGAACATTCTATGCTCATGGGTGGGAAGAATCAATATCATGAAAATGGCCATACTGCCCAAGGTAATTTATAGATTCAATCCCATCCCCATCAAGCTACCAATGACTTTCTTCACAGAATTGGAAAAAACTACTTTAAAGTTCATATGAAACCAAAAAAGAGCCTGCATCACCAAGTCGATCCTAAGCCAAAAGAACAAAGCTGGAAGCATCACGCTACCTGACTTCAAACTGTACTAGAAGGCTACAGTAACCAAAACAGCATGGTAGTGGTACCAAAACAGACATATAGATCAATGGAACAGAACAGAGCCTTCAGAAATAACGCCGCATATCTACAACTATCTGATCTTTGACAAACCTGAGAAAAACAAGCAATGGGGAAAGGGTTCCCTATTTAATAAGTGGTGCTGGGAAAACAGGCTAGCCATATGTAGAAAGCTGAAACTGGATCCCTTCCTTATACCTTATACAAAAATTAATTCAAGATGGATTAAAGACTTAAACGTTAGACCTAAAACCATAAAAACCCTAGAAGAAAATCTAGGCATTACCATTCAGGACATAGGCATGGGCAAGGACTTCATGTCTAAAACACCAAAAGCAATGGCAACATAAGCCAAAATTGACAAATGGGATCTAATTAAACTAAAGAGCATCTGCACAGCAAAAGAAACTACCATCAGAGTGAACAGGCAACCTACAAAATGGGAGAAAATTTTCGCAACCTACTCATCTGACAAAGGGCTAATATCCAGAATCTACAATGAACTCAAACAAATTTACAAGAAAAAAACAAACAACCCCATCAAAAAGTGGGCAAAGGACATGAACAGACACTTCTCAAAAGAAGACATTTATGCAGCCAAAAAACACATGAAAAAATGGTCCCCTCACTGGCCGTCAGAGAAATGCAAATCAAAACCACAGTGAGATACCGTCTCACACCAGTTAGAATGGTGATCATTAAAAAGTCAGGAAACAACAGGTGCTGGAGAGGATGTGGAGAAATAGGAACATTTTTCCACTGTTGGTGGGACTGTAAACTAGTTCAACCATTGTGGAAGTCAGTGTGGTGATTCCTCAGGGATCTAGAACTAGAAATACCATTTGACCCAGCCATCCCATTACTGGGTATATACCCAAAGGACTATAAATCATGCTGCTATAAAGACACATGCACATGTATGTTTATAGCGGCACTATTCACAATAGCAAAGACTTGGAACCAATCCAAATGTCCAACAACGATAGACTGGATTAAGAATATGTGGCACATATACACCATGGAATACTATGCAGCCATAAAAAATGATGAGTTCATGTCCTTTGTAGGGACATGGATGAAATTGGAAATCATCATTCTCAGTAAACTATCGCAAGGACAAAAAACCAAACACCGCATGTTCTCACTCATAGGTGGGAATTGAACAATGGGAACACATGGACACAGGAAGGGGAACATCACACTCTGGGGACTGTTGTGGGGTGGGGGGAGGGGGGAGGGATGGCATTAGGAGATATACCTAATGCTAAATGATGAGTTGATGGGTGCAGCACACCAGCATGGCACATGTATACATATGTAACTAACCTGCACAATGTGCACATGTACCCTAAAACTTAAAGTATAATAATAATAAAAAAAAGGAAAAAAACAAGTCATTTTTCGAAAAAAAACAAAAAAACAAAAAACATAATGCTTTGTGAGATACTCACAATCCAGGGAGACACTATCTGTTAAACATCTTGAGTATATTTAAATGTTCAAAAAATAATTAGTATGTGATGTGATGGATAGGATAGTTCAGTTTGATTAAATCATTCCACTATGTAAAAAGATATCGAAATGTCACATTGCACACCATAAATATATACGATTATTATTTGTGAAATAAAAAGAAAAAAAAGAAATTTTTGCAGTGATGGAAGTTTTTCTAATCTGTCCTGTCTCTAAAATAATAGGGGTTAGTCACATGTGGTGATAGAGCAGTAGAAATGTGGCCAACGTGATTCCAAAACTGAATTTTAAATTTATTTAATTTTAATTAGTTTAATTTTAAATTTATATGGCCACATGTGGCTAGGGGTTGCCAGTTTGGACAGAAAAGGTCTCTGTGGATAGAAAAGACCTTCCAGCACTGGTGACGTATGACAAGCTTCAAGTGGAGGAAATGCATTAAATGTGGCTGATGTTCAAAGGCAGGAAAGATCACTGTCGGGGAGCTGAGGATCATTTGGAAAGGGAAAGTTTGAATTAGAAGTAAAGCTTATGTTGGGAGAGAAGCCTGAGCAAACAAGTTTGCAGTGAGGAGATGATTTATTAGCCACTAAAAATGACAGTTATGACAACCATATACAATATGGATAACTGCTTGCAATGCTTTATTAGGTGAAAAAATAAAAATAAAAAGTGGTGTAGACACTCCACAGCTTCTAAGAAGACATTTCATGCACATGAAAACTAAAGAAAATATACACAAAATAAGTGTGTTAGAGTTGAGACTTTAAACATTATTATTATTATTTAATAATACTATTTTCAAAATATCTTTTATTCTTTATCATGCTTTCTTTTTTAAAGATTAACTAGCAGATCTTGTGGCTTTATAAGCATAAGTAATTTAATGAACAATTAAGAGCAAAATTTATTTATGGTAGCAGGTGATATTCATGAGTTGAAAACAGCTAAGCATAATCTTGACTTGAACAGCAGAACTTCTAAGCAGAGAAAAACACAAATAAATAGATTGCTGAAAGTTTCTGACTCTGTGTGATCCTTCTGAAAATCGGTATTATGACATATTTTGAATAGATTATTCTAAACTACCTGCTGTGATCTTAGTCAATCAAAGTGTGAATTATTTAGGAAACAGGTTTTTTTCTTTCTTATTGGAGTGTAAGGCAGGTACTAGTTTCTCTCCAAATAAAAAATAAATAATAAATAAATCTGATAGAACACATGTTTACTAAGGTTGTGATTTAATTTTCCTCTTTTCCTTGGTCTTTGTATATTCCAAAGGAAGTAGAGATTTGGCACACATTTCCAGCTAGATTTGGTTGGTAAGGCCTGGGGTATACAGGTATTACTTTGCTTATTCTAAAAAAAAAAAAAAAAAGAATGAATTTTTTTATTACAAAATCTCAAACTTGCTGAAAAGTTGCAAATGTAGAACAAAGAACTTTGAGGGTTTTTAATTTGATGCCACATCTCCCCTTAACAATGTAGTATTTATTGATTCTAACCAAGAATGTTCTTCTGCATAGACATAATAATATCAAAATCAGGAAGGGAACCTTTGATACGTTACTATCATGTAATCTTCAAACTCCAGCAAAGTTTTATAAATGTCCCAATAATGTCCTCTCTGGTGAAAGGATCTAATTCAGAATCCTATGTTGCTGTGAGTTACCTCATGTTTTTAAACTATTTCAGGCTGGAACAGCTCATCAGTCTTTCCTTGAAGTTCATACTCTTGACATGTATCAAGATTACAGGTCAGTTAATTGTACAATGTTTCTCAGTTTTGATTTGTCAGGTATTTCCCCATGATTAGTTTCACATTATACATTTTAAGCAGAAATATCTGAAAAGGGATGCTGTGTTCTTCTCATTGCATCTGAGGAAACTCTTGTATTTCCCCCAGATGACTCTGTAAAGATCTTTCACTCCCCATGCTGTTCTTACAACATGTTATTGACTCTCCTCTCATTGAAAGGTGGGATCCATGTTCTGTTCCTTGACCTGGGTGGGTCTCTGATTATGGAGGGATATATATATATATACACACACTATATATAGTATATACTATATATATAGTATATATATAGTATATACTATATATAGTATATATAGTATATATACTATATATATACTATATATATACTATATATATACTATATATATATACTATATATATATACTATATACATATATATATATATACTATATATAGTATATATATATATAGTAAATAGGGAAGGGCAGGAAAGGGCTAGCTTTTAGAGCTGGTAAATGATATTCATATTCTGGTGTTGCCACTTACAGCTTTGTCTTTGGTTTTTGGCTAACTAGGGACTTTCAGTTTCCTCACCTGTAAAGTGTAGTGGGTGATGATAAAGGTGTTTCTCACATGAGTCTATTGTGAGGGCTGCCTGCTCATATTTTCCCTTTGCTCAGCCTACACTCTCACCAATGCTAAAACAGATAGACCTGCTCCTAGAAGGCAGGGGCTTTCTACTTATCTGTGTATACCTAATGCTTAGCACATAGTAAGCATTCCATGAATATACAAAGTAAATTCGTTTACATTAGGAATGAGTCAATTATATCACATTTTAAACTTTACGATTTTATATTTTTAATTTTTGTTGGTATTGTAAGTGCCACGTGAGTGATGGTTGTGACTTCTGAATAACGATTTCTACCTATCTGAAATATTCAAATATATATGTGTTTTGTACATACTGTTATATATATAGCCATTTTAAAACTTAATACTTGACTTTTAGCCCAAGTTTCTGGACTACAATAGGTGTTCAGTAAATATGAATAACCATCTAAATGGATATGTAGACGTATGAATAAGTAAATGATTAGTAGATATGTATAAAAGAGGACATTCTGAACTGATTTAATTTTTTAGACCTTGCACAGATGGAAACCACCAAGAGTTTCACTGAATTAAATAGGGGAAGTACTTGGCCAGCCACACAGTACAGACTAGAGAGGAGATTTGCCCATTCTTCAGTTGAATGGAATGTTTAGATGTCATAAATGGAAAGTGTAGATTCAGGACTGTTATATGGCATAAGAAACTGAATGTGATTATTATACTGGTAATTTGAGCCCCTGTTTTGCAATATACTACAGGATAAAGTCCAAATTTCTAAGCACGGTATACAAAGTGCTTCCCCATCTGGCTGCAACCTATGTCTCCAGCCTTATCTGGCATTTCCCTTTCTGTCTTTCATTTTAGATACAGCCATGGACTTAACATTTCTCCTTTCTCAGCATATTTTTTTCCATTGCAAAATGGAAATAATAGCAACCCTGATTCTCTCACTGAATTGCTGAGACTCAAATGATATAAAGCATGATAATTAGCAAATGGTATTTAAAGCATTAAATATTTTCTAATTATGTAATGCATGCCACAGATGGCAGAAACACTAGGAATCAGTAAGCCACAGTTCTCATCCTCCTAGGGAAATGAGGAACACAGACATTAGAATGGACATGCCCAGTAAAATGCTATAAGTGCTATCAATCAGTATAGTGGTTATTATTGGCACATGTTGAGTTATTATGTATTATTTAAAAATTTTATTTATTGAGCGCACAGTATAAGCAGTCTAGTTGGTATTTTTAACATTGTCCAAAAGATATAGTCTCTATTCTCTATAGTTTGTTTATTTTAGGACAGTAAGGTGGCAATAAACAAACAAATGGATAAATAATATAATTATACTTGGAAATAAATATTATGAAGGAAAATAAAGGAGAGTAAAGGATAGAGACTAATGGAATTGGAGACTAGTTCGCTTATCATAGGGAAAGAAGGTCTCTCCTAAGTGGAAATATATAAAAATGCCTCACAGGACTGAGAATGAAAACCTTGTAAATAATGAAAAGGGAGGCAGATGGAACTGGGACTAAAAAGACCCCAGGGCAGGAATGTATTTGTGAATTACAGGAATAGCAATAAGTCCCGTAATCAACATAGACTGATGGAGCTATGTGGTGTGAAATGAAGTTAGAGGTATCAGCAGAGTCCAGACCATGTAGGACTCTGTCCATAGCAATAGAGTTTAAATTTTGTTTATAATATATATTAGTTTGTTCTCAAACCACTATAAAGACATACCTAACACTGGGCAATTTATAAAGAAAAGGGGTTTAATTGGCTCACAGTTCCACAGGCTGTACAGGAAGCATAGCTGGGGAGGCCT
Organism: Homo sapiens; assembly: GCF_000001405.40. Taxonomy (NCBI): domain Eukaryota; kingdom Metazoa; phylum Chordata; class Mammalia; order Primates; family Hominidae; genus Homo; species Homo sapiens. The sequence continues at coordinate 11,567,891 of NC_000004.12, forward strand.
CAGGAAACTCACGATCATGGCAGAAGGTGAAAGGGAAGCAAGTATATCTTATATGGCCTGAGCAGGAGGAAGAGAGAGGGAGGAGGTGCAGAACACTTTTAAACAGCCAGATCTAGTGAGAACACACTCACTCTCATGAGAACAGCACCAAAGGGGAAATCTGCCCCGATTATCCAGTCACCTCCCACCATGTCCCCACTCCGACATTGGGGATTACATTTCAACATGAGATTTGGGCAGGGACACAGACCCAGACCATATTATAATGCATTCTACTCTTTTTATTAGAGTTTTGAGTAGGTGAGTGTATTAGTCCATTCTCACTCTGCTGTAAAAACTGCTTGAGACTGGGTAATTTATAAAGGAAAGAGGTTTAATTGGCTCACAGTCGGCATGGCTGGGGAGGCCTCAGGAAACTTACAATCATGGCAGAAGGTGAAGAGGAAGCAAGGTTGTCTTCACAAAGTGGCAGGAAGGGGAAGAATGAGGAGTGAAGGGAGAAGAGTCCCTTTTATAACCATCAGATCTCATGAGAACTCATTGACTATCAGGAGAACAGCATGGGGGAAACCACCCCCATGATCCAATTACCTCCACCTGATATGGGGATTATGAGGATTAGAGGGATTGTAATTCAAGATGAGATTTGGGTGGGGACAAAAAACCTAACCATATCTTAAAGTAACATGATCTGATTTATATATTAAAGTGAAAATAAACAGTAAGGGAGCAAGAATGGAGGCTACTGAAGAATTTGATGAAAGAATATAGTGGCTTGACCTGGTAGGTTAGTGGTAAAATTGTTGAGAAATAGTTCAAATCACAATATTTGTTGGAAGTAACCACAGAGGACTTTTTAATCCAAAGGATGTGGGAGGTAAGGAAAAGCAGTCAAGGGAATGAATAACTGAGAATATGTAGAGCTCAGGGAAGGGAGAGGGTGCTAACAATTTTTTATTTTGTCTTTTATTTAGCTGGGCCTTTAAGCCTTAAATCCTAGGTATTATCCCTATTTTATTTTGAGAGATTTTGGCCTCAGAGGCTAGGGTGTCAGCTCAAGGTCACATACCTCGTTAGCAACCTATCTGTTATCAGGAGGCCAGCCTTTGTGTAAGGCTCAGTGCATGAACTGGCATTACAACCAAGTGTTGTTGTCTCATGCTATTCAGAAAAGAACAAATATATATGCAGGTGACCACTTCACAATGCAAAATGTGTATATGAAGAAGGCTGATTTCAGTATTGCCTGGGAAAGTGAACAAAATTACACTAGCCTGGAGGGATCCATTGAGTTTTTATTGGTGAAGGAAGAAGAAGTTACTCAAGGTTAAGGCACAAAACTGGGAATAAACACAGGCATATAATGACACCTAAGAAGAAGTGATGAACAGTTTACAAAGGAGTAAACATTTATTATTTATTCATTAGTGTGACAAACCTAGTGCCACACTGTGACATATCATGACAAGTACTGGTGATCCAGTCCCCATGCTGCTTGTCTCTACATACGGGTGATGAGACAGATATTCTCAGGGGTTACCTACAAACCCCAGTGTGCAAAAGGAAGTGAAAGAAGGGGAATTAGAGCCCAGGACATCTGCTTTTATATTCATTAAAGACAAGGAAGACGTCTTAGAGACCATAGACTCCGCCCAGGTAACCACCTGATTGGAATTGCATGTGAATGAAGATCACAATAATTGAAAAATAAAAAATGGACATATTGAAGACTTAAAACATGGTGCTTTTATTACGTATGTATTGTGAACTTTTATCACTCTCAAGATAACTCATCCATCAGCTCAATATTACCATTTTTCTACCTGTAGTTAGAACATTAAAGATCTATTCTCTCAGTAAATGTCAAGTATACAATATAGGATTAATAACTGTAGTCACCATGCTTATGTAGTCACCAGAATTTATTCAACTGCTTAACTAAAACTGTGCATTCTTTGACTAACATCAACCCATTTTTGGCCTCTTCCCAGTCCCTCACAATCACCATTCTACTCTCAGCTTCCTTGATTTCAACTTTTTTTGATTACATACGTAAGTGAGATCATGTAGTATTTGTGTTTCTGCACCCGTTTTATTTCATTTAACATAATGTCCTACAGGTTCATCCATGCTGTTGCAAATGACAGGGTCTCTCCTTCTTTCTTAAGGTGGAATTATATAGAGATATAGATAGAACATATAAATAATGTATATATACACATATATGTATGCATATATATGCACATACATCACATTTTCTTTATCCATCAATGGCTAGTTTATCTGAACTATTGTGAATAATGCTACAACAAGAATAATTTCTTCTTTGCTGTAGAACAATTGATATTTATAAAAACAATCTGTGATTACGTTAATAAACTCAGACCATCACTGTTGAATAAACATGGCCCTGAGTAAAAAGACTTGGTTTCTGGAGGTGGCAATGACACTGATTAGATTAGAAGGACACCTTTTATAGTCATTCTCCTTCTCTGGTCAGTTTGCTCCTCCAATAAATGTAATTTGACAAAATGTGGCAGTGTGACACAATGGTTGAGAGTTTGGATCTAGAGTCAGAGAGAAGTGTGTTTTCTTTCACCCTAGCTCCATCACTACACAGCTACTTGGCTCTCAAATTGCCTGTTTCCTTTGTGTGGAATAAGTGCGTATACCCTCCAAGGTCAGTGTGAAGATTAGATGACAAAATGAATATAAAATATTTAGTATACTACCTGGGATATACTAAGTAGTTAATGTTACATTATTATAATAGTGGCATGTGTTAATATTATTACATTATATATTATGCTATTATGTTATTATTCCTATCATATTAATAGAATAAATATTATATTATCATATGCTACTATCATATTGTTATTGTTACCTCAGGTGTATTCCCATTCTTTATGTTGTATGAATTTATTAAACTTTTATGTTGAGTGGTACACAACGAATAGCTATTCTATTTCTTGAAATTTTCTTTATAGTGACAGTGTTAGTAATGTGATTACACAGATGAGATGTTTAAACTCTCAGAGAGGAGCTAAATACCTCCATGGGTATTATATTTCTAAAAACAAGCATTCTAAATATCCTCAGATCTTTTCTGTATTCAAAAATAATTAATACTATGAGAAATAATTAAACTTATTTATAGTCAAATGGCATTTTCTAAAAAAGCATTGATAGTTTCTATGGGATTTCAGAAAACTGTCTTAGTATATTTAAATATGACACATCAAAATAAGTAAACAATTGAATAAAGAAGCACTGTAATTCTTTACTGGAAACAACTTCATGTATCTTCTAACTACCGCTATGCTGAGGTTAGCTGAGGCAAAAGGAAGTTGATAAAGCATTTTTTATTTATGGGAGAATATTTCAGTCTCTCATGCCCAAAATACATCATTTTTATGTACATTTTAACACATGTAGTAGCATTTTCTACAGAGTGTAAGTTTGTGTGTGTGTGTGTATGTGCGTGTGTATTAGAGTAAGGAGTCAAACACCATGGCAATAGGTTAAGAGTATACAAGTGCCTGATAATGATGGAAAAGACAGAAAATAAAAACTCTTAGCAACAGAGATAACCAAAAACCCTAGTAATACAGAACCATTCAGGATAAGAACAAATAATTGATTTACTTCAGATCTGCCCTTTGTAACGTTCATAACTACTACTTTTATCCAAAACTAATATTGTTTAATTTATGCGACTTAAGAAGAGGTCAATAAATTTAGAATGAATTCCACTGAGGATTGTTATTATCAATGTCCATGATTAAAATAAAATTTAAACACATATACTTCTTTTTTTTAATGATAAGCTCCTCATAGGAGATTTTTTGGACTTTTAACTAAAGCCTTGTAGTCTGTACCTGCACTGTTCAATATGGCAGACACGAGTCACTGCAGCTATTGAGCACAAGAGGTGTATTTAGTTGGGATAGAGATGTGGGTGAGCATAAAATATGCATTGGATTTTGAAGACAATAGAAAACAATATAAAAGATTTCATTTATAATTTTGTATTGATTGCATGTTGAAATGGCCATATTTAGGATGTATTTTATTTTTAAATTCACCTGTTACTTTTTACTTTTTATATGTGCTACTAGAAAATTTAAAACTGGCTGGGCGTGGTGGCTCACGCCTGTAATCCCAGCACTTTGGGAGGCTGAGGTGGGTGGATCATGAGGTCAAGAGATCGAGACCATCCTAGCTAACACAGTGAAACCCCGTCTCTACTAAAAATACAACAACAGCAACAACAACAAAAATTAGACAGGTGTGGTGGCATGTGCCTGTAGTCCCAGCTACTCAGGAGGCTGAGGTATGAGAATCACTTGAACCCGGGAGGTGGAGGTTACAGTGAGCTGGGATTGTGCCACTGCACTGCAGCCTGGGTGACAGAGATAGACTCCAGTCTCAAAAACAGAAAAGAAAAGAAAAGAAAATTTAAAACTGTGTATGTGTCTTGCACTGTATTTCTATTGAGCAAAGGTGCTACAGAATGATTTCTGATTTAAGGAGTGTATGTTCTTGTTGGTGTAACATTATTTAATGGATCAAAAAGGTAATGAGTATGCCTGTACATAACCACATGCTAAGCTACATCATTCATACCTGCAGTATTGTTTGAGATTAGGCAACAGATTTTTATTTTATTAACTAAAAGATCCTCAGCCTAATGAAGGTCACAATAACAGGGCATTAGAGAATGTTTGTTGCTATTGTGTTTTTCTTCTCTTTGTTTTTATTTTATTTTATTTAAGTTCTGGGGCACATGTGCAGGATGTGTAGTTTTGTTACATAGGTAAATGTGTGCCATGTTGGTTTGCTGCACCTATCAACCCATCACCTAGGGATTAAGCCCAGCATGCAGTAGCTATTTTTCCTCATGCTCTTTCTCCCATCCCATGCCCCACCCCACTGACAGGCCCCAGTGTGTGTTATTCCCCTCTCTGGGTCCATATATTCTCATTGTTCCGCTCCCACTTATAAGTGAGAATAAGCAATGTTTGGTTTTCTGTTCTTGTGTTAGTTTGCTGAGGATAGTGGCTTCCAGCTCCATCCATGTCCCAGCAAAAGACATGATCTCATTCTTTTAATGGCTGCATAGTATTCTGTGATGTATATGTATGACATTTTTTTATCCAGTCTATTATTGATAGTAATTTGGGTTGATTCCATGTCTTTGCTATTGTGAATAGTGTTGCAATGAACATACACGTTCATGTATCTTTATAATAGAATGATTTGTATTCATTTGGGTATATACCCAGTAATGGGATTGCTGGGTCAAATGGTATTTCTGATTCTAGGTCTTTGAGAAATCACCACATTGTCTTCCACAATGGTTGAACTAATTTACATTCCCATCAGCTGTTGGTTTGTTTTTTTTTTTTTTTACTGTTTTGGCCAAGACTTTTAGGATTCCCCTTTCTTTCCAAGTGAAAATCCAGTATTATTTGCCTTTGTTCTTAATGCATTCTTAGGATAATAATGAAAATATGCAATGATATAAAATACCTTTAAAAATGCCTACTATCTACCAATTACTGGAAGAGGCAGGTTGCATTTGTTTTCTTACTGTAAATGAAAATTTTAAACTCATCTATTGGAAGTCATAACTCCTTGAGATTTTGACTATATCTTACACATAGAATGCCTTATGAATAATTATTGCTTAGTAAATATTTGTTGGATGGACAGATGAATGGATACTGCATATAAACAGTGTTTCTCAAGCCTGAGACTATAAGACAGAATGAGTTCTGGGGAGTTACTCAGAGACCTGCCTTGGATGTGCAGGACCAAGGGCAAAGCATACCACATCCTCCCAGAAAGCATCCATTTTCTTAATGGTAGGTAATTTAAGTCCTATTTTTTATCAAAGCAAAAATGAAAGTATTGTTTGAGAGACTGTCAAAAATCTCGTGAATTTTTAAGATAGAGTAAATAAGAGACTTCAAAGGAATGCCATCATGTTGCAGACTTTTTAAGGCTAAGTTCTCCGTCTCTGACACCTTCATTTTTCACCCACCAGCTAGTCCACACCTAGACTTTGGTGGAAAAGTTTGCATTGCTCTTAAAGGGAGCTTCCACCATCCTTAATATTAATAAAATAGAACCCACTGGAGGCAATTACCCCATGGGGGGTCCTGGGTTATTTTATAGGCCACCTCATACTGCATGTGGCTTTAAAATAGCAGAATTTTTTTTTCTGGGAGTATAGTGGTATGAGAATTTATTTCTACCTTTCTGCCGTTAAGTTACTAACCTTTCCACCATGACATTACAACCTAAAACTCTGAATTTCCAGGACTCGCAATGAAGTGCTCAATATCCTCACATTCTCCTTGCTAGCCTTGACATCTCCCCTGGCACAGCCAAGCTGCCTTCTAGAGTTAACATCAACTTTAGCTTAAGCATTATCTTACATGTGCCTGTCTCCTAAAAAAGGCCCAGGGTCAGCAGGTTGGAAGCAGGGAGAGGATGCATGTTAATTTCCCTGGGATGCTGGTAGCCTTAGTGGGGAACTTCAGCTCAAGTACCACTCCAGGTTTTTCTTCCTTCCCTCACTCATTCTTTCCCATGGGAGGAGGGCTGCCTTTCTGACTAGTGAGTTTCAGAGATGGAGTCAGGCATCCTTGGGGCAGCCCACTCCCTCTGCACTGGACACATGCATTCTGGTCTGGCTCCCTGCTGTGCCCTCGCAGGCGAAGCCTGGAGTGGTCCATCCACGCCAGGACCTGTACAGGTGAGTCTGCTAACTCAAGGGAAAGTGTTTGCAGACTCACATGGCTGCGGATGTGTGTCCATGTTCTCTCACACTGGTTTAGTTAGCTAGAAAGCTGATTCTTTGGATCTTCATTCCTCTGATTCTCGTGCCATTTTTATGCTTATTTTCAAACTCATGAGGGAAAGAAGGATATTACCCATGGACTCCTAATCTTCACTGCATCTTGTCATAGCACCAGAAAATGTGAAAGAGGAACACTTAGAGGACTAATACATCAGATAAGTGGGTTTATAACGAACACTTACTTATCTTCTGCTTGCGGTCTTAAGCTATCGCCTTGCTGGCCTTGTGTTTGGCAAGGCTGTTCCTAACTCCCGCTGGCTAGAAAATACTTCAGAGTCCATGGACTTCCCATCTCTTAAGTTAGACCTGCTGGAGACTGCCCTTTGAAGGCCAGTTATTTTCTCTTGGACTTGTCTTTGCCTGCATCACCCACAAAAGGGATGAACATCTATGGAGAAATCATATTAATGTGACAGGAGGGTTGGGAGACACCCATAAGAAATTTCTGCAAGATGAAGAAAGCTTGGACTAAGATGAAGGTGTAGAGAGAGGGAGAAGTGACATATAAAGGCCTTTCTAGCTCTTAAAATCACATTAGGATACCTTGAAATCTTGCTCTTGTGCTCATCTGTCTTCTCCCACCAAAACAAATAGCTGAACAAACAGTGTTGCTAAAAGGTTTAAAGTAAAATTTTCTGAAGTTAGTGCCAGGTGAGGAGGAAGAGCAGAGGGCAAAGCAGTGCACCTTAAAATAGAGTGGCTGAAATGAGACCCTACCATCTACTTACTGTAAATCTCAAGGGCCATAAGTAATAGCTTCTTTAACCCACGGATTAACAGCCCTCATGGGTTGGAAACAACTTCAAAGACCCTTGTCCATGATGAAGAGGAGAGTGCATGTGGTTAAGCAGGTTCACTGTGCACTGGTTAGCAATTTGTCTGAGTACAGTGAGACAAAACACCCACACACACAAGCTACATGAAGCAGATTTATTACTTTCAGATAGGCAGCTAGGGATAACAGAAGGCTAGAATTCATTTCGAGTCAGGCCTCAAGGCTCAGGAAAGATGCCAGGGCAGATGGATTCTCATCAGCCCATTCCTCACTTGCACCATATCTAAGGGATTTCAGAAAGAAGCCCACTCTGGGTTTTATACCCTGTGGGAAACATGACACTCTGGGTTAAAGCAGTGAAGGGCATCGTGTTTGGGGGGGAACTGTAACAGAACTGAGGCAGGTCCAGTCAGTCCCTGTCTATCTCAGGATGTTGCATTTCCAGCACATTCTACAGCAATTCTTGCAAACCATAAGCAAGAAAGAGGGAAAAGCAGGGTTGGCCCAAGGAATCTGTACACTTGAGAACAGGTATACAGAACCAGTGATAACAGGAGAAGACCATTTTACAGCATGTGAATTCAGCTTTCAGAAGCTTATCATAACTCACTGCTGTTCATTCAGTTATTTGCAGAAACCTCACCTTAAATCTTCCCAAGAGGCTGGTCAAAGCCAATGAACAGATTAGATCTTCTGGGTCTAAAATCAAGGCAGCTATAACTTCCAGTCTCTGTGCACCAAACTTATAAAATAAAATGTAGCGATTAAGTTTTGCATTAAGGTAACTTTAAAATTTCTACTGAGTTTCCATATTTTAATATGATGCTGAAATTCCTTATGCAATTCTTGATGACTATGCATTTGAATGACTGAATATTTAGCCGAACATTTTAATCTAAGTGTGAATGTGGAAAATGTTTAGAAAATGAATATTAAAAATGTAACTAAATTCTCACTTGAAAATAATCAAGGTAGAAAAGATTGATCTTTTTACTGAGAAAGTTTGTTTCATTTAGAGAAATCTTGTATAAAGTGAAATCATAATTTTTTATTTGGTTGTAAATGATGATACTAAACACTGAAGTCCTTAAATCTAAGGATTCAGAGGAAAACTGAAATGTTTAGTGCTCTAAATTATGGCACTAAACTTTCAGAAAACTCTGCACTTTAATCCTTCTGCACAAAATCCTTTCATACCCCATTTTTTTTGTTTTTCATTCTACTTATCCTATTTTCCCCTTTTTCCTTCTTATTAAATTATCATGCAGTAAAATTGACTTCTTTTCTGTGCAGTTGTAGTTTAACACACATACAGAGTTATTTAACCACCACCTAAATCAGAATTCAGAAAAATTCTATCACCTGAAAAACCTCCTTGTGTTACTCCTTGATAACCACACTCTTTTCCTCCAGTAATATCGAACAACCATTGATCTGTCTTCTTATTTTCTAGATTTCAAAAATTACTTATAAAATTTCTGTTAAAAATCTGGAAAGGAAGGGAATAGGTTGGCAACTTTAATCTCAACAAACTTTTAAAAGAATTAGATCACCTTTTCAAATCTTCTACCAGCTTTTCTTAACTGGGTGTCTTCATCTGAATCATGGTACTCAGAAAATGATTTCAGTGACTCTTTTCCAACGTCTCGCAAGGATACCCCAAAACTAGTAGTACCATTGTAGGTATGTAGGAGAGAAATTAATTCACTACATACAGTGGATGCTTTAGGGTGTCAGAACACATTCCTCTTGCAGAACAAGTTGCAAGAATCAACGAGACTAGTTAATAAACAGAAACTTATCCTAATATGCAGGTAAATATTTATATACAAGGTGATTCAGCAAAGAAGTAAAAAGTAGGAAGAACCCAAAGAGTATGAAATTAATAAAATGATGTATATAGATGATAAAATACTTTGTAGTTATTAAAATAGCTGAAGTCCTAAAAAATCTGTTAGATAAGAATATGCTCATTATAGACTGTCAAGTGAAGGGTATGCAGTGTAAGAGGGCAAAAACTGAGGCATTGTTGTGCAGGTAAAATGCATTGCCAGTGGTATAATCTTTTCATGGAGGACTTGTAAATGAGTATTATTTTGTTTTTTATACATTTTTCCTACAAATATTATATAATAAATTATAATTAAGTATAATCAAATAAAATATAGTTATTTTTTAATAACATAAGATAAAGAATAATTTGACAATTTTTGACCACTTATTTTGCGTATGATGGTCTAATATGTTCACTTGTCTAGACTTCAATCCCCACTTTTATTTTATTTTATTATTATTATACTTTAAGTTTTAGGGTACATGTGAACAATGTGCAGGTTTGTTACATATGTATACATGTGCCATGTTGGTCTTGTGCTGCACCCATTAACTCATCATTTACACTAGGTATATCTCCAAATGCTATCCTTCCCCCCTCCCCCCACCCCACAACAGTCCCCGGAGTGTGATGTTCCCCTTCCTGTGTCGATGTGTTCTCATTGTTCAATTCCCACCTATGAGTGAGAACATGTGGCGTTTGGTTTTTTGTCCTTGTGATAGTTTGCTGAGAATGATGGTTTCCAGTTTCATCCATGTCCCTACAAAAGACATGAACTCATCATTTTTTATGGCTGCATAGTATTCCATGGTGTATATGTGCCACACTTTCTTAATCCAGTCTATCGTTGTTGGACATTTGGGTTGGTTCCAAGTCTTTGCTATTGTGAATAGTGCCACAGTAAACATATGTGTGCATGTGTCTTTCTAGCAGCATGATTTATAATCCTTTGGGTATATACCCAGTAGTGGGATGGCTGGGTCAAATGTGCAGAAGCTCTTTAGTTTAATTAGATCCCATTTGTCAACTTTGGCTTTTGTTGCCATTGCTTTTGGTGTTCTCGACATGAAATCCTTGCACATGCCTATGTCCTGAATGGTAATGCCTTGGTTTTCTTCTAGGGTTTTTATGGTTTTAGGTCTAACATGTAAGTCTTTAATCCATCTTGAATTTATTTTTGTATGAGGTGTAAGGAAGGGATCCAGATTCAGCTTTCTATATATGGCTAGCCAGTTTTCCCAGCACCATTTATTAAATAGGGAATCCTTTCCCCATTCCTTGTTTTTCTCAGGTTTTCAAAGAACAGATGGTTGTAGATATGCAGCATAATTTCTGAGGGCTCTGTTCTGTTCCATTGATCTATATCTCTGTTTTGGTACCACTACCATGCTGTTTTGGTTACTGTAGCCTTGTAGTATAGTTTGAAGTCAGGTAGCGTGATACCTCCAGCTTTGTTCTTTTGGCTTAGGATTGACTTGGCGATGCAGGCTCTTTTTTGATTTCATATGAACTTTAAAGTAGTTTTTTCCAATTCTGTGAAGAAAGTCATTGGTAGCTTGATGGGGATGGCATTGAATCTATAAATTACCTTGAGCAGTATGGTCATTTTCACGATACTGATTCTTCCTACCCATGAGCATGGAATGTACTTCCATTTCTTTGTATCCTCTTTTATTTCATTGAGCAGTGGTTTGTAGTTCTCCTTGAAGAGGTCCTTCACATCCCTTGTAAGTTGGATTCCTAGGTATTTTATTCTCTTTGAAGCAATTGTGAATGGGAGTTCACTCATGATTTGGCTCTCTGTTTGTCTGCTATTGGTGTATAAGAATGCTTGTGATTTTTGCACATTGATTTTGTAACCTGAGACTTTGCTGAAGTTGCTTATCAGCTCAAGGAGATTTTGGGCTGAGACAATTGGGGTTTTCTAGATATACAATCATGTCATCTGCAAACAGGGACAATTTGACTTCCTCTTTTCCTAATTGAATACCCTTTATTTCCTTCTCCTGCCTAATTGCCCTGGCCAGCACTTCCAACACTATGTTGAATAGGAGTGGTGAGATAGGGCATCACTGTCTTGTGCCAGTTTTCAAGGGGAATGCTTCCAGTTTTTGCCCATTCAGTATGATATTGGCTGTGGGTTTGTCATAGATAGCTCTTATTATTTTGAGATATGTCCCATCAATACCTAATTTATTGAGAGTTTTTAGCATGAAGGGTTGTTGAATTTTGTCAAAGGCCTTTTCTGCATCTACTGAGATAATCATGTGGTTTTTGTCTTTGGTTCTGTTTATATGCTGGATTACATTTATTGATTTGCCTATGTTGAACCAGCCTTCCATCCCAGGGATGAAGCCCACTTGATCATGGTGGATAAGCTTTTTGATGTGCTGCTGGATTTGGTTTGCCAGTATTTTATTGAGGATTTTTGCATCAATGTTCATCAAGGATATTGGTCTAAAATTCTCTTTTTTGGTTGTGTCTCTGCCCGGCTTTGGTATCAAGATGATGCTGGCCTCATAAAATGAGTTAGGGAGGATTTCTTCTTTTTCTATTGATTGGAATAGTTTCAGAAGGAATGATACCAGCTCCTCCTTGCACCTCTGTTAGAATTCAGCTGTGAATCCATCTGGTCCTGGACTTTTTTTTGGTTGGTGAGCTATTGATGATTGCCACAATTTCAGATCCTGTTATTGGTCTATTCAGAAATTCAACTTCTTCCTGGTTTAGTCTTGGGAGGGTGTACGTTTCAAGGAATTTATCCATTTCTTCTAGATTTTCTAGTTTATTCGCCTAGAGGTGTTTGTAGTATTCTCTGATGGTAGTTTGTATTTCTGTGGGATCGGTGGTGATATCCCCTTTATCATTTTTTATTGTGTCTATTTGATTCTTCTCTCTTTTCTTCTTCATTAGTCTTGCTAGCGGTCTATCGATTTTGTTGATCTTTTCAAAAAACCAGCTCCTGGATTCACTAATTTTTTGAAGGGTTTTTTGTGTCTCTACTTCCTTCAGTTCTCCTCTGATTTTAGTTATTTCTTGCCTTCTGCTAGGTTTTGAATGTGTTTGCTCTTGCTTTTCTAGTTCTTTTAATTGTGATGTTAGGGTGTCAATTTTGGATCTTTCCTGCTTTCTCTTGTGGGCATTTAGTGCTATAAATTTCCCTCTACACACTGCTTTGAATGTGTCCCAGAGATTCTGGTATGTTGTGTCTTTGTTCTCGTTGGTTTCAAAGAACATCTTTATTTCTGCCTTCATTTTGTTATGTACCCAGTAGTCATTCAGGAGCAGGTTGTTCAGTTTCCATGTAGTTAAGTGGTTTTGAGTGAGTTTCTTAGTCCTGAGTTCTAGTTTGATTGCACTGTGGTCTGAGAGACAGTTTGTTATAATTTCTGTTCTTTTACATTTGCTGAGGAGTGCTTTACTTCCAACTATGTGGTCAATTTTGGAATAGGTGTGGTGTGGTGCTGAAAAAAATGTATATTCTGTTGATTTGGGGTGGAGAGTTCTGTAGATGTCTATTAGGTCTGCTTGGTGCAGAGGTGAGTTCAATTCCTGAGTATCCTTGTTAACTTTCTGTCTCATTGATCTGTCTAATGTTGACAGTGGGTTGTTAAAGTCTCCCATTATTAATGTGTGGGAGTCTAAGTCTCTTTGTAGGTCACTCAGGACTTGCTTTATGAATCTGGGTGCTCCTGTATTGGATACATATATATTTAGGATAGTTAGCTCTTCTTGTTGAATTGATCCTTTTACCATTATGTAATGGCCTTCTTTGTCTCTTTTGATCTTTGTTGGTTTAAAGTCTGTTTTATCAGAGACTAGGATTACAACCCCTGCCTTTTTTTGTTTTCCCTTTGCTTGGTAGATCTTCCTCATCCCTTTATTTTGAGCCTATGTGTGTCTCTGCATGTGAGATGGGTTTCCTGAATACAGCACACTTATGGGTCTTGACTCGTTATCTGATTTGCCAGTCTGTGTCTTTTAATTGGACAATTTAGTCCATTTACATTTAAAGTTAATATTGTTCTGTGTGTACTTGGTCCTGTCATTACGATGTTAGCTGGTTATTTTGCTTGTCAGTTGATGCAGTTTCTTCCTAGCCTTGACGGTCTTTACATTTTGGCATCTTTTTTCAGTGGCTGGTACCGGTTGTTCCTTTCCATATTTAGTGCTTCCTTCAGGAGCTCTTTTAGGGCAAGCCTGGTGGTAACAAAATCTCTCAGCATTTGTTTGTCTGTAAAGAATTTTATTTCTCCACTTATGAAGCTTAGTTTGGCTGGATATGAAATTCTGGTTTGAAAACTCTTTTCTTTAGGAATGTTGAATATTGGTCCCCACTCTCTTCTGGCTTGTAGAGTTTCTGCTGAGAGATCTGCTGTTAGTCTGATGGGCTTCCCTTTGTGGGTAACCCGAGCTTTCTCTCTGGCTGCCCTTAACATTTTTTCCTTGATTTCAACTTTGGTGAATCTGACAATTATGTGTCTTGGAGTTGCTCTTCTCGAGGAGTATCTTTGTGGCATTCTCTGTATTTCCTGAGTCTGAATGTTTTCCTGTCTTGCTAGATTGGGGAAGTTCTCCTGGATAATATCCTGCAGAGTGTTTTCCAGCTTGGTTCCATTTTCCCCGTCACTTTCAGGTACACCAATGGGACGTAGATTTGGTCTTTTCACACAGTCCCATATTTCTTGGAGGCTTTGTTCATTTCTTTTTATTCTTTTTTCTCTAAACTTCCCTTCTCACTTCATTTCATTCATTTTGTCTTCCATCATTGATACCCTTTCTTCCAGTTGATCGCATTGGCTCCTGAGGCTTCTGCATTCTTCACGTAGTTCTTGAGCCTTGGCTTTCAGGTCCATCAGCTCCTTTAAGGACTTCTCTGCATTAGTTATTCTAGGTATCCATTCGTCTAATTTTTTTTTCAAAGTTTTTAACTTCTTTGCCACTGGTTTGAATTTCCTCCTGTAGCTCGGAGTAGTTTGATCGTCTGAAGCCTTCTCTCAACTCGTCAAAGTCATTCTCCGTCCATCTTTGTTCCATTGCTGGTGATTAGCTGTGTTCCTTTGGAGGAGGAGAGGCGCTCTGCTTTTTAGAGTTTCCAGTTTTTCTGTTCTTTTTAGAGTTTCCAGTGATTTTATCTACTTTTGGTCTTTGATGATGCTGATGTACAGATGGGTTTTTGGTGTGGATGTCCTTTCTGTTTGTTAGTTTTCCTTCTAACAGACAGGACCCTCAGCTGCAAGTCTATTGGAGTTTGCTAGAGGTCCACTCCAGACACTGTTTGCCTGGGTATCAGCAGCGGTGGCTACAGAACAGCGGTGGCTGTAAAACAGCAGATATTGGTGAACCATAAATGCTGCTGCCTGATCGTTACTCTGGAAGTTTTGTCTCAGAGGAGTACCCGGGCATGTGAGGTGTCAGTCTGCCCCTACTGGGGGGTTCCTCCCAGTTAGGCTGCTCGGGGCTCAGGGACACACTTGAGGAGGCAGTCTGCCCTTTCTCAGATCTCCAGCTGTGTGCTGGGAGAACCACTACTCTCTTCAAGGCTGTCAGACAGGGACATTTAAGTCTGCAGAGGTTACTGCTGTCTTTTTGTTTGTTTGTGTCCTGCCCCCAGAGGTGGAGCCTACAGAGGAAGGAAGGCCTCCTTGAGCTGTGGTGGGCTCCACCCAGTTTGAGCTTCCCAGCTGCTTTGTTTACCCAATGAAGCCTGGACAATGGCAGGCGCCCCTCCCCCAGCCTCGCTGCTGCCTTGCAGTTTGATCTCAGACTGCTGTGCTAGGAATCCTTGAGACTCCGTGGGTGTAAGACCCTCCGAGCCAGGTGCGCGATATAATCTCCTGGTGTGCCGTGTTTTAAGCCCGTTGGAAAAGCACAGTATTAGGGTGGGAGTGATCCGATTTTCCAGGTGCCGTCTGTCACCCCTTTCTTTGACTAGGAAAGGGAGCTCCCTGACCCCTTGCGCTTCCTGAGTGAGCCAATGCCTCGCCCTGCTTCAGCTTGCGCATGGTGCGCTGTACCCATTGTCCTGCACCCACTGTCTGGCACTCCCTAGTGAGATGAACCGGGTACCTCAGATGGAAATGCAGAAATCACCCATCTTCTCTGTCGTTCACACTGGGAGCTGTAGACGGGTGCTGTTCCTATTTGGCCATCTTGGCTCCACCCAATCCCCACTTTTCAATCAAATACTTAGCAATACTTGTTATAAAAGTATTTTGTAGATCTGATTAAAGTCCATAATTCATTGACTCTAAGTAAGGGAGGATTTCCTTAGATAATCTTGATGGGTCAGATTCAAACAGTTGCAAGTTCTTAAAAGCAGAGTTGAGGCTTCCTTTGGAGGCAGAAATTCTGCCTGTGAACTGCAGCACCAGCTCTTGCCCAAGAGTTCCAACCAACCTTCACAGAAACCTGCCATGGAAATTTCAGACCTGCATAGCTAGCCCCACAATCACGTAAGCTGATTCCTTGCAATAAATTGCTTCAGATATATCTCCAACTGCTTCTGATTTCTGATTGAATCCAAATAGATAAAATGGGCCAAGAAATGTGCCAAGCTTATGCCATGAAATCACTCAGATGTACATAATATTATCCTCTGCTGTGTTCTGCGTCCCTTCAGAAACTGAAGGATCCCAGCATTTTCAGGTAGGTGGGTGAGGAAGTAAGACAAGGAAAGAAAAGCAGCAAATAAATGATGTACTCTCAAGCAAATTATCCCTGTGTGTAACAAGATAATGCTGTTGGAGAAATCTGAGATACAATGTAAATTGCTTCAGAGAAATTTCAAAGAAGAGAAGGGGTGGGAGTGAATGGATGTTTATCAACCAACTCTCCAGTCATCTTGGGTAAGGGGCTTCCAGGGGCTCTAACATCTGCTACACTCAGGACTTTCTCTGTCCTTGATCTCAGAACCCCTTGCCCAGGAAAAGACCCAGGAAGGGGTTGCAATGACAATTTGTATAAGTCTTTATTAAAGGTGAAATCTAAAGGCAGTTGGAGTGCTGGTGCATTGATGGCAGCTGCTGCATTTTTCTTATTTTTATAGATGAGAAAACTGAGACTAGGCAGTTAATTTACCCAAAGTCAAATAGCTAGTAAGACTAAAACTGATTTGTCTCCAAAATCCTTTTAAAACTTTTTCTATGGGGCCGGGCTTGGTGGCTCACACCTGTAATTCCAGCAGTTTGGGAGGCCGAGGTGGGTGAATCACGAGGTCAGGAGTTCGAGACCAGCCTGGCCAACATGGTGAAAACCCATCTCTACTAAAAAAATAAAGAATTAGCCAGGCATGGTGGCAGGCACCTGTAATCTCAGCTACTCAGGAGGCTGAGGCAGGAGAATCGTTTGAACCCTGGAGGCGGAGGTTGTGGTAAAATGAGATCGCTCCATTGCACTCCAGCCTGGGCAACAGAGTAAGACTCTGTCCAAAAAAAAAAAAAAAAAAAGGAAAAAAAAATTCTATGAAACACATAACTAATAATAATAATTTTTTAAACAAAAGAATCAGTGCAGACGGTAACACTCATGCCAACAGAGAATCAGATTGACTGCTATCACTTTCTTTGGTCACACTAATTTTTAGGAGTGTCAGCAATGCTTATTTATCCACATTGAATTAACTCAAATTTTTATATTTTTGAGACTCAAGATTCTCTCATTTCTTAGTAGTAAACACTTCAGGGTGTGCCTTGAACATATTAGCACAGGTAGGGGAAGTCTGCAGTTGGGAGCGTGGGTGTCCCAATGATGCTCCACAATGAGGGTCTGGAAAGATGTCTGCAGTATTTTATATCTCCTTCTGTCTTTTCCCTTATCAGGAAGTTTGTTTTGCTATTATGTTCTCTTAACACTCAGCCCATATGCATAATTCCAATAATGTCTGAAGCAAATCTTTTCATTATTCATGAGACATCTGCAGCACCTTTCTGAATACTATGCAAGACACTGTACAGAAGACAAATGTTGAGGAGAAAGTTAAGTACTTTGCCACATTTATTAGAGGAGTATTATTATTTCAATTCTATAGGAGAGAAAATGAAGGATCTGAGAGATTGAATATAATGATGGGGGACATGCCTGGTTTGGATTCAAAATCATGGCGTTTATCTTTACAGCAAATGTTCTTTTTATCATGCCATAAATAGTGCCTGTGCAAAAAGGACTGGATGACAGATTACCAACTAAGTTACATAAGAGGTACAAAATGTTGGGCAAGATGCCAGGAGGCTGAATTTGGTTATTGCCAAAAGAATAACTCAGGCAAGATGTATCAAGAGTTTCCTCTTAGAGAGTCTCAGGAACGTCTGTGTAGAGAAGGTGGATGTGATCAGGATATGCAGAGAAAGGGAAGCACACACAGAGTGGGAGTGCACCTGCCTGGTGAGAGCAGTGCTGAAGATTTTTATTGGTTCTGGGTGTTGAATGTGTGCACAGCCTTTCTGACTCACAGAATTGTAATTCTATCACATTGCTGTTCAAATGATGGCTCTTCTCTGAAGCCTTCACTGAACACCTAACAGAGTTAGCCTTGTTTTCTTAATGCTCTCAGAACATTCTCTTCTACGTTGCAGTGCAGTAGTCTGTCTTGAGGGTCCTGAATCTGAGATACATTTCTTAAGCTAAAATCCAGGATCTACCTCTTCCTAGCTGTGACCTTCACATTTGTTTAAAGCTAGACTCTTCATTAATGAATGAATTAATGAATCAAATCATATATCTTAAAGCAAAATAAACCTAACCAAATTGTACACGAACAAGCCTCTGTGTGAAATAATTTTCCATTTACTCAGCGCAAGTGGTAATGACCGGGACATGTTGTGTGGGGAGTTATTTTAAATACTAGGAGGGTAAAGCAGCTACTGTACATTTCTATCAGTAAATCTTCCAACTAAATATATTTTCATTTTCTTACCTGACTTAAGATAGCATAGGAGGCCATTTGAAGTTGATTCTAGCAACCAGGCCACACACACCCACTTTCAGGAGGTAGAGTTTAAATGTTTATAACCACACTCAGGTCCAGTGGGAAAGGTGTTTACAAGTGAAAAAACAAATACAATAAAACTTCTGAAATCTGCAACTTCTATACCCTTTTATGAAGGACAGCCTAGAGTAAAGCTTCAAAGTGGGTCTCTAGTCATGGGCTGGCTGGGCATGACTGAAAATGCTGGCTCTTACATTCATAAGGTGTATGACCTTAAAAATTACTTGACCTGTCTAAGCATAATATTTCTCGCCTGTAAAATGAAAATAATAATAACCATAATATTGTTTGTGAGGTTTGAGTGTGTCAATTTCTACGAATTTCATAGGATAGTAACTCACGAATAGTAACAGCTGTGTAAGTGTTGGCTGTTCCAAGATTGCTGCAGTGTCAAGGAAGGCTTCAGGTGGGAAGTCACCACTCTTCTGAGACCTGAAAGTAAAAAAGTTAGCTTGACATAGGCAAGAGTGATGGGCATGTCAGGTAAGGGGAGTGCAGCACGTGCAGAGATCTGGGGGTGAGCAAATATAACCCATGGTGGGATGAGGGTTCAAGGATACAGAGAAGGAAGCAGGCCAAGAAGTGAGCAAGCAATGGGTCTCAAATATCAGGGGAAGCATTAGAATTGTATCCCAGGCCAGGCATAGTGGCTCACGCCTGTAATTCCAGCACTTTGGGAGGCAGAGGTGGGTGGATCACAAGGTCAGGAGTTCGAGACTGGCCTGACCAACATGGTGAAACCCTGTATCTACTAAAATTACAAAAATTAGCCAGGTGTGGTGGTGTGCACCTATAATTCCAGCTACTCAGGAGAATTGCTTGAGCCCGGGAGGCAGAAGTTGCCGTGAGCCGAGATGGTGCCACTGCACTCCAGCCTGGGCAGCAGAGAGAGACTCCGTCTCAGAAAAAAAAAAAAAAAGAAAAAAATTGTATCCCAGATATGTAGATTGGAATGAAGGGTTGCAACGGGGGATTAAGAGGGTCAACATTTTCCTGACTTTTTCTCACCTGCTGGTAATGCTGGTGGATCTCCAACTCCATATTTTTACATGCAAGTTGACAGAAGCTGTGGTTCCTCTGATCTTGTTTGCAGCTTCTCTCCACTGACAAGACTCGAATTTGCAGCTCTAGTCACTTCTACCAGCAGCTACAGAAATGTGACTTTCCTGTGCTGTCTTTAGGCTGCTCTCATGGGACCAGAACATGTGGCTTTGGGGCAGGGGAAAATTAAGATCCTGCGACTTAATCTGCACTAAAAACATAATGGCGATTCTCTTCTTATGTGCAATTCAAACTAAAATGTTATTATTTTGAATTTCCAAAATTGAAACAGCTTTTTGAACTAAATTTCCTAGCTGTGTAATTCTAAAGAAAGCTTATTGACCTTGAATTTCTCTCTTGTCTCATGACTATTTTGCTTGTGTTTAAGGACATGATTAGTTTTATGTCGAAAGAAAAAAACCCAGCCAGATTTTAGGGTTTTTCCTAACCGCCCCAGATGGTAACTGGACAGCTCAAGTTTGAACAAAGTAGCTTGTGGGTTGCACCTAGAAGAATCAGCGGGAGAACAATAGGCAGAGAGTGTGAAACATAGTAAAGTATGACGGGCTGATTGGGTAAATAATGTCACCCAGTGCCACCTCACTATCTACACACCTGGTGGCCTTCACATCAGATACCCTGACTTCCTGGGTGTTAACCATAGTAACAGCCAGTCCTTCTGCAGCACACAATGTCCCATCACATTGCTTCAGCGTGTCTCCTTTCTCTGCTGATAAAGATTTCCTCTATCCTCATCATTTCAGCATTCAAACATGCTGCTATTTATTTTATCTTTAAAACACAGAAAAAAAAAATTCCTCCTGGCCACATTCTCCCAAACAGGTACCACCCCTCTTCCCTTTGCAGCAAAATCTTTGGCTCCATCTCCCGACTCCTCCTGAAGCCCTCAGTTCTCAGTCTGATTCAGTCATCAGTTGTCAGTGTGCATCTACTTTGCTTCTCAGCGACGTCTGACACCATCACTCCCTCTTCTTCCTTGAAATACCATTCTCACCTGGCTTCAAGCATGGTTCTCTCCTCACCTGGCTTCCAGCAGGGTCCTCTCTTCACCTGGCTTCCAGCACGGTCCTCTCCTGGTTTCACTTCTACCTCCAGTGGCTGCTATTTGGCTCTTTCATGATGTACTTTTCTCATGTCTCCTTCCAGTCTGCAAGGCCTCAGGAATCCAGGCTGCTACTTTGTTCTTTTCTTTCCATCCTCACTTCTCTGTGTTGCTCTCATCCAGTCTAATGGCTTCATTATTTTCTGTATTTTTTATTGTCTATATTTAAGGTGGACAACATAATGTTTTGATATACATATATACAAAATATACCTGTAATACACATGACATACATATATATGATTACTACAGTCCATCAAATTAACATGTCCATCACCTCACATACTAATCTTTTGTATGTGTGATAAGAACACCTAAAATGTACTCATAGCAAATTTCCAATAAACAATGCAATATCATTAACTACCATCCTCATGCTATACATTAGATCTCTAGACTTACTCATCCTACATTACTGCAACTTTGTATCTTTTGATATAGATCTCCCCATCCCCCCAGTCCCTGACCCTGGTAACCACTATTCTACTTTCTTTCTATGTATTTAACATTTTTTAGGTTCCTCATAAATGAAATCACGTCGTATTTTTCTTTGTGTCTGATTTCTTTCACTTACTATGATGTCCTCCAGGTTTGTCCACGTTTCTGCAAATGGCAGAATCTCCTTTTGTAATGCTGAATTATATTCCTCTGTGTGTGTGTATGTGTGCATGTATGTGCACACATGCCAGAATTTATCCATTCATCTGCCAATGGACTCTAGATTGCTTTCATATCTTGGCTTTGTAAAGAATGCTGCAATGAAGACAGGAGTGCCAATATCTCTACAAGGTGCTGATTTTATTTCTTTTGGGGATATAACAAGAAGGGGGATATTCTGGGCCCTATTATAGTTTTATTGTTTTTTGTTTGTTTGTTTTTAAATTCTACCTGGATGCTTTTGGTAATAAAATATTTAAGCCCAGCCCAGAATTGTAGACTTGTATATCCAACTGTCTACCTGAAATGTATTTATGGGTTTCCAATAGTCCATTTAAACTTAGCATTTTCTTTCCAGATCATTGACTTATCTTCCATGACTTAGTTTTCTCCATTTCCGTTGATGGCAATTCCACCCTTCTGGTGTGCAGGTCAGTAATCTTGGAATCATTCAGATTTATTCTCTCATATCCCACATTCAAACCTTCAGAATTGAGGTCCTCTTAATTCTCCCTTCAAAACGTATATCCAGAATCTCATCTTCCCCTCCTCTACTGATCTATTTATTCTGAGCCACCATTTCCATTTCCTCTTTCCTAGACTACAACATTTGCCTCCTAACTGATCTTCCTCATTGTTTTCTTGCCCCTGTACAGACTCCAACACTGCACTGCCAGGGTGATGCTTTTAAACAAACTACATGACTCACTGCTTAAAACCTTCCAGCAGCTTCTCACCTAACACAACATAAAGGCCAAAGCCCTTATAATGTCTAAGATTCTCTGTGAACTTACTTTCCTGTTACCTTTCTAAATTATCTTCCTACTCTTTTCTCACTGACTCTGTTCCAGCCTCACTGGCCTTGATATTCCTCAAAGGCATCAGACAGGCTTCCATTTCAGGGCTTTTGCTTTAGATCTTCCCACTGCTAGAATTGCTCCTGCCTCAGGTATCCTCATGGCCACATTCTTCCTCCTCTCCACATCTTTGCTCAAATGTCACCATCTCAATGACCCACCTGATCCTCCTACTGAACACTGCATTTCTAGTCTATGACCCCAACCAACCCTTTCTGCTCTTGGGACTCCTGTGGTTGGCTGAAAAATAAGTCCCCTGGGAGATACTATTATTCAGGAGCTCACGGAAAGTGACTTCTTACACAATCATCCTGTAAGAAAGTGTTTATAGTTTTCAAACCCACTTTGGGCCATAGTATAACAAATTCCATAGCATTTAGCTCATACAAAATTGATGTGATGATTGGGGAGCGCTTTGTGCCTATGAATAACTGTCTGAATGCCTCCTAATAATGATGTTCAGATCTGAGTATTCTCTTAAGAGCATTTGCACTTCTCTTCTCGCTCTCTTCAATACCTTTTACTCTTATGGAAAAAAAAAATAACTGCCCTCCAAAGAACAGGGTGCAGCCTCTGGTTGACCTAACAGATGGATTGCTTTTAGGAAGTGAGTGGGAGCTGCCCTATAATAAGAGAGGCATGCCTCTAAGTTTCACATCTTTTCTACCAGAATCTATCCTGCTAAAGTTTTTGACAAATTTGGACAACAAAGCTACATCTAAGTGACATATTAAACGTAAGGCCATGCAAACTTATTGCTTATATTTCTTTTTCTCTTTCTTATGTATAAATCAAATCCTATGTCATTTGAGATTTCACAGCTAAAATATGGTATGGGTATGCATGCATCTATGATGTGTGAATGTGTATACTCACATTGAATAGCTTTTCAAAGAATTATCATACTTCTATTCATATGGAGACATCATCTTTGGGAGCTAGAGGGGCCTTTTGAAGCCTTTTGTTTCACGCCCTTATTACAAAAATAAGAAAATTGGAAACTCAAAGCAATTAAATGGCATACCTAAGGTCATATTATGAGTTAATGGCAGCATTGATGAGTAATCATCAACAGTTGAAAACCTTCTAGAGTCTCTTCTCATAAAGTCTTTTGAAAAATGGCTGTCAGCTGATCAATTTGATAGTTTATTTGAAACAATGACAGTATTAACATGTTAGGTTGATGGCAGAAACTGGCTTGTGTTTGGATGTGGCAAGATGATGCAGAAGGGAGTATAGACTTCCGTGCTCAGTAACTGTGAATTATTGGCATTCTCTTAGGTGGGCACTTGCTGCTGTGGTTCACTATGGTTCTTTCCAACTCTCTCATTATAAAAAGTGAGCTGTTGTTCTGAGATTGCATATTTGCATACGTTGGCTCTGTAGGATCTTGTTCCTGATTAAAGGGCCCATTTCTGCCAATTCTCAGGGAAGGCGGCTGCTGCTGAAGGCTTGATAATCATTTTTTATGCATCAAGGAAGGCACAAGAAGCTTCAAACCATAATCATTTCTATAAACATAGACAAGCCGTAAATTGTGACTGATACAAATTAAACTATGTTCCTCGGTAATTATATTTTAGAGATTGTGCACCACATACCCAAACATAATTTTAAACTCAGAAAACTATAATTGCACGTTTAGTGCCTAGCACTCTTTGTACTCCTTGTATGTTTTGCTTTGCTTGAGTTATTCCAAGGAAATTGATTTTCTGGGCACATCATGTTCAGGTTCATTAGGCCATTGGCACGACTCTCACTACATTATTATTATTCTCATCATGTCAATCATGTCTTTCTGGAGGGGGACCCAGAACCCATTATGATAAGAAGTAACTAAGTCCTCCCAAATGTGTCTGCAATCTGTTTCCTCCTCTCCATCATCACTGTCACTACTATTGTTAAGGCCTTGGATATCTTTTCTCTGGGCAATTGTCACTGTCTCCAATTGGTCTCCATGTAAGCAATCATCCTCTATAGCTACCCTCTATGGCAGATGTATGATAAACTCTATCGACCATGACATTGGTAACAAAATTACTTTGCGTCATAGCTCTACAAACATGCACACACACACACACACACACACACACCCTACTGAAAGGTCAGTTTTACAATGCAGCACTAATGTCTGGTCTCACCTCCCTTAAAAACTGTGAAGGTTGTCCTGAAAGTTGGTAAAGTGACAGGAACTTAATTCTAGGAGGCCTATGTTTGGTCATGTGACAGTACCGAAGGCTGTATTTCTCAAAACCAGACCCCTAGACCAGGATTTGGGTCCCAGTAATTCATTTGGAAAGTGGTTCCTGGAATCAAAAGTGAGAAAATGGAAAAAGTCAGAGAAGGGATGGAGGAAAGCCATATAAATCAGGTCACTGCCCTGGACAAATGGGGCTCATCTTGCTGGCAGCATGCTGAGAACCTGGAACCAGGCACCTGGAGTTTCAGGAGATTGGCACACATCCACTGACTCTCATGTTCCATCGGTTAAGTGAAGATGTCTGCTCCTGGAAATAATGACAGACTAGTTTTTCTAGATAGGCTGGAAACATATACAAAGCCCTGAATACTGGGCAAAGGCGTTTGGACCGTGATCTGTAGACGAGGATGAATTATCAGGTAAAATGGCTCCACATCTTCAGGACATGGTCCAAGCTCGTTAGCAGGCTGTCATGGGGCCTCCATTAACTGGCACCCACTTTCCTCTCCAGCTTCACTTTCTTCCACTGTTCCTGCGGCACTTCATCATCAACACCGCTTTCCTGCTTGCTAACACTCAGACATGCACACACCCACAGGCTTTGTGAAGGAGTTTGTGACCCAAATGAGGTAGCTTGAACTGCTGTCATGCTCTTGTTTTCCTTGGCACACATTGCCTCTTCTGTTAAGACAAATCTTCCTTTCCCACTCTTCTTCCCTTGCACTCTGGTATCTCCCTGAGAACAACCACGCCTCCGGGATTCAGGCCTTGGGTATCCTTCATCAGACCTTCCTATACCCCTAACATTGCAGTGCAATTCCCTTCTCAGGACACATATCACACTGAGATTTACAACAAACAAACAAACAAACAAACAAACAAACAAAAAACCTGACCTGCGTAAAGACAAGGCTGGCTGTTTTTTCTGCCTCTACTCAGGGCTTCCCATCCCAGAGTCCGTGTGCACCAGACACTCTAGCTTCCCTGCTGGAGTTGCTGGTGCACAGAAGCTGCTCAGGAGAGACTCATGAATGAAAGAACAAGTGAGGACATAAATAAATAAAAGGACTTTGAGCAGAGGAGTGAGACATGCAAGCAGAGATCCAGGAAATTGATCTGATTAGAATACGCATGATGAACCGCAGGTGGGAGAGACCTGTGGGAGTGAGACTCGTTTTGAGGCTTAGGGGGATATGGGCTAATATGTGTCCATGCTAGAATGGTGTTAATGGACAAAAAGGACAAATATATTCTAAAGACATATGGAAAATATTAAGAAATTGGCAAAACACAAAAGAGACCTCTATTTCATCTTTTTGGGATATCTCTGCTTCTGTGTTATAGGTTTTGGAGCTTTGTAGTACACCTATCTCATTGCATCTAAGCTTTTGCTCCATGTAATACTCCCATCTGTCAATTGGGAGAAACATGAGGGACTTGGGGACCCCAGCTCAGCCCTCAGAGGACAGCCCAGGCTGCAAGGCTGTTAGCCGAGCTGGCATGCTTTGTGGAACAGATGAGCTTTTAAAAGATTCAAGTTTGGTTCAAAATTCACAACTCGTGAGTTCCAAATGGTTCTAAATTTGGCTGAATGCATTTTTCCCTAGCCGTGTGCCACTGAGCAAGACGTAGTGACTTCATCGAGTTAGAAAAACAAAGGGCTGATATTGCCTCTTTGCAGAAATAAACTTGATGAGGACAAAGGAAGTGCATTGCAAATACTACAGCAGCAGGCCCTTAATTTTGTGTATTTTCCACTCAAACAGCTTTCTCTGGCATCAACAACAAAACCATTCACTGGAAGAACACCGCCAGTTACCGGCTTACTTATAAGCAAAGTGGCACTAAGTGAGTTATCTTTCAGCTTTGTTGAACAAGCAAATTATATAGTAAATTAAATCACATTTTACTGTTGAGTTGGTGTGGTACAAATTAGGGAGTGCACTTTGATTCACCCTTACATCTCCTGCTTGTTTCATAGCCCTGATGTTCCAGTGTCAATATGGGAGAATTCAGCAGAGAACTTATGTGAATTCTGTTTTCTTTGTTGTGTTTACAAGTTCATTGCAACCAGCTCATTTGGGATAGCGTTGGCCTGAAAACAAAATGGCATGTTTTAGCTTCTCATCAATTATTTAACTGAATGATTTATTTATTTATCTATTTATCTATTATTTATTTATTTATTTATTTATTTATTTATTTTTAGTGCCCTCCAAGAAACCTAATGAAAGTATCCACAGAGGGAGAAACATAGCGACTAAGTCTAAAGGAAGATAAAGAGAGTGAATTCCTGGAGATAACTAGCTGATCTCCAGAGAAGGATGCTAGCCAGATTCCTTCTGGCAACATTATAGAATGGGAAGTGACTAGTCCCTAATTCCTGAGATTCATAGACTTGGGTTGAAGTCTTTTTTTTTTTAATTGAAAAAATTGTATATCTATCACGTACAATATAATACTTTCTTTTTCTTTTTATTTTTAAATTATTATTATTTTCTGAGATGGAGTTTCGCTCTTGTTGCCCAGGCTAGAGTGCAATGGAGCAATCTTGGCTCACTGCAACCTCTGTCTCTTGGGTTCAAGCAATTATCCTGCCTCAGCCTCCTGAGTAACTGGGATTACAGGCAGTGGCAACCACACCTGGCTAATTTTTGTATTTTAGTAGAGACGGGGTTTTGCCATGTTGGCCATGTTGGCTAGGCTGGTCTCGAACTCCTGACCTCAGGTGATCCACCCACCTTGGCCTCCCAAAGTGTTGGGATTACAGGCGTGAGCCACTGCGCCCGGCAACATAATGCTTTGAAGTACATACACATTGTGAAATGGTTAGATCTTGCTGCTTAACAAATGCATTACCTCACATGGTTATCATTTTCGTGGTGAGAACACTTAACATCCACTGTCTTTGCGTTTTTCCATAATACAGTATATCTTAATTAACAAGTTTGGAGGAGTCTTGACTGTAACATTTTAGCTGTGTGAGACTGGGCAGGTTGCTTTCAAGTTCAATGGCTTAAGGGAGGTTACAGGTGTTGCATGAAACTAATTCTATTCCAAATTTAGCGCAAAACAGGTATGCCATAGAGTTTTGTTTCTCCTCTTTTGTCAGGATCTTGTCTGAATGACTGTTTGAAGAATCTGAAACAACAGCTCTGCATGTCCTCCCTGTTCTCCAGAACAAAGTCTGTGTTTCAGAATGGCAGGTGTGGTTCAGTTGATATGATTATGATAAAGAAGAAAAGGAAAAATAAATGATAACCATTACTCCAGGTTTGTCAGAGTGAGGCCCAATGACACTCATTATTTATATTTTTCAGCAAAAAGGTCATGTGGGTCAGCCCACATTTTGGCATGTCTGACAAATGGGTCAGTGGAGATGAGAGTGTTAATTTATTTGAATGGATGTGTGGGAATGGTACTCTAAGGAAAAGGTACTATGCAGTGATACTCTGTCACAAAATTAACAACAGATTGACAAGGCCTCAGAGCATCCACCAGGTGTATCCTTATCCACCCAAATTCTGTAGTCATTCTGATTCTTCTAGGTGTCCGTTTCTCGTGATTGGGAAGGGCATCTAACTCTATCCTTGCAATCCTAAGTCTTCCAGACCACCTTCCTCAAGGTCGGAGTATTCTACTTGAATCACTTTACACAAATATTCTCCCTTATTTCAGGATTTACTTTTAGCTACAGCTCAAAGGACTCTATGACATTTTATTTTATATTTTATTATGTTACATTATATTATTCTATTTTATTTAGTTTTAAGGTCTCTTAACCTTTCTCAAGCAATTTTCTGGCCCATCAAAGAAAGGTGTTGAACCAAGCTTTCTGATGACCCATTGTTACTCCAGAAGCCTGAACCTACAAATGCCTATAGCAAGAGAAATCCTGGTATACATGTTAAATAGAAAAAGGATGTGTGTGCCCCTAAGTCCACATTTTATGTTTCACTGACTGGGTTGAATCACCATGGATATCAAGTAAGGAATGCCTGTCAAAGAGAGGGAACCCTATGAAATTGCCAATATCCAGCCATTTATTTGACCTACAAATATAATAATGTCATGCGATTTGACCTGTGATACTTCTTTTGCATGGGGGAGGGAGGTGGCTATTAGCAGGGCCTTCAACCTTGCACAGTTTTGTAAGGTATGCATTTGTTACATTTCACTCAAATAACATGTCTTTTTAGGTATCCCAATTTCATTCACTTTTCTACATTTGTACCACTCTTTCATTAGTCCAACCAACCATGAGCATAGTCTTTTAACCAGTCTACTGTCATCTACTTTGGCCTTTTGCTAATCGGTTCAATACAGCCTGAGTAAAAGTCTAAACTGTAAATCTAATTGTCTAACACCCTCTTTTTAAAAGAGGGTGTCTGTTGTCTTCTGAACTTTGTAGGAAAGTGCCAAAGCTCCTTGAAATGGTCAATAATGTTCTTCTTACTCTGACGTCTACCCGCTCACCAGTCTCATTTTGTACCTTATTTCTGGCTCTAGCCACACTGGCCTTCTGTCAGCTCTCTGCATTCTCCATACTCTTCACCACTCCTAAGTTCTTTCTATTAAAAGCAATGGCAAAAACTGCAAATACTTTTGCACCAATGTAATAAATGCTATTCCTATGTCCTGGAAAGCTCCTCCATCCCCTCCTCCTTGACCTCATTCCTGGTCATATTTGTCCAGGTTTGTCTTTGTCTAGACATCTTTTCTGAATTCTAGGAGTGGGCCAGAACCCACTTGTAGAAGCTTTTGAGGAGCAGTGTGCTTTTCTATATAGCATGTGCCCCCCTCCCTTCCTCTTTCAGACTTGTCTGAATGCCTAGTGGATGAAGATCTGCTTCCCCACACAAATTCTCTGAAGGTAAAACTCCTGCTTGATTTTACTGTCAACTTTATCTCCAGCGTCCAGCCCTGTCTATGACTGATGATCTATAAATATCTTAGAGTAAATGGCTAATGCATGAGAAAGTGGCAGACAAAAAGAAAAGGAGTCAGTGCTTGTTGGAGAACTTGATTATAGGAAGCGTTACCCAGGCTTTCTTTTACACCTATTTTCATGGCAATAGATTTCTGGTTTTGCTTTTTATCCATGAGAAGGTTTAACTCACAATATAGTAGGAACAAGGACTAATCTCAATAGTTAGGAGAAGCCGAGTTTCCCAGGAATTTCACTCATCAACGGCTTTCATCTCACAATCAGATAGCCCAGTCGTTTACTTCTAACTTGTGCTTTGGCAATTATTTCTATAGTGTGCCTGTGTTAACACAGGTGGGCTCTTGAGAGTAAATTCAGGGAACTTAGAGTCCTATTAATTCAATAATATCCTCTGTGACTATTTAGGTAAATGAAAAATGATCTGTCCATAGCAACAGGAAGTTTGTTCAACAACAAGGAAGTATTGGTTCATTTTGTTTTTTCCCAGCAGGTATTAAAAAGACTAAATCGGCTTAGTTAGCCTAGCTGTGGTTTAAGGTTTCCTTTGGTTTATCTTGCTACGTGACTATTAGAAGCCGTGGGTTCTGACTGGCCCACGCTACATTCTCAATGAGCACAAGCTTAGCCATACTGGCAGGCATTAACAACACAAGGAAAGAACTTCTGTAGCTGGGAAATTTAATGTCTGAAAAATGTATTTGACTATTAACAATAGTAACAAATAACAAAGTGAGACCAAGTGGCCCAGTTTTGAAAATAAGGAATTTATACCAGAGAGAGTAATTAAACTCCTGAAAGCACACTCTAAGTACAAGCAGGATAGGGATGAGATCTCAGGACTTCTCACTTTTCAAAGTATTCATGTTTTGTACTAGTTCAAGCTTTCATATTTTTACTCAGTTACTTTTTCATTAACTTATACTTTTGTCCCATTGAATACATACTCCGTGCATGAAGCTCCATGTTCTGATTGGGAGTTATCAAATCATGCTTTGCATTGTAGCTAAGCGAGCACAGCTCCAGCCCTATAACCAGAGTATTCCTTATTTTCCCCCAGGTTCATCTCTCCCAAGACTAAGCACAGCAGCTTGTATATTTTGGGTAATCAAGATATTTTTCATTCATTTTAATGTTAATAACAACACTAACAATAGCATTCATTTAGCAAACATCTACTGTGCTCTAAGCATTTTGCATAAAGTATTACTCTAATTACACAGACAGTTATTGGGTACCTATGTGAGATTGCTATAATTAACACAGCACAGCCTATGCATGCAAGTGATTTACAAGCCTACTAGGAGCTCATAGTCTCATCTTATTCCTATGACATGTCCATGAAGTGGCTCTTATTATTCTTCTCCCCTCCACGCTTTTGCTTATGATGGAACTGAGGCTTAGTAAACATAAAGTCAGTTGTATAGTCCAACATGACTGATGTGAGATTTTAGTCCACATCTTTTTGATTCCAAAACTCTTCTATGACATACTCCTTTTATTCAGTCATCGATTTGTCTATTTATTAACGCTTTGTACCAACCATGTGTCAAAAACAAATAGAGGTTACACTGAATTCTTTGAGGCATCTCACAGTCAAATAGAGGGAAGTTGAGAAGCCAAAAACAGTGACTAACAGTCTTTGTTTGCCTGGGTCTGACACTTTTCCTGGGACAGGGAACTTTTAGTGCTAAAACCAGGGAAGTCCAGGGTCAACGAAGATGACAGACAATTGGTAGAATGAGGAGAAATGAGGGAAGTCAGAACATCTAAGTTGTCTAGATCGGAAGGGACATAGTATGCTACAGTAAAGAGTTTAAATTATATCATGAAAGGCAGAAAAAGAATTTTGCAATGTATCGCTACGGAGCCACTAGTATATCCATAACTGAGCGTTCATTATACTCACAGAAAAAGGAAAGAGGTTTCTCCTCATGGGAAAATTCTAATTTTTTTGCCATGAATATTATTAACACTAACATAGAGAGAGAGAATTCCCCATCATTATTCCAATGCTGAGTCTACCTGGCAACTTTGAGGCATGAATGCTAGAAATAAATGGAGCATGTCATTGTTGTCTGAGTCATTGTGAGTGACAGACAGAAGGAAGACTCACAATTTAAAAAAAAATGAGAGGAGAGCTGGTTAATAATATTTCAAGATTTCAGAAAAGAATGGCAACTATTCTTTATTCATTCCACCAACATTGCTTGCTTCAATACTTTGAGCTTGGTGCTATAAATACAGCATTAGGATACATGCTCTGGCTTCACAAGCAGACAGAGGGACACCAGAATTTAATGAATAATTACCAAGTGGAGTGGTAGGCGCTAAAACAGAATCAGGGCGTATAAAGTACAAACCATAAGGACGGCTCGGGATATTACATAACACAACGCTTAACACTGATCCTTAAGGGCCTTAAAGTTAGAGGAAAGAAAACTATTTTAAATTTTTTGTATAGAACAGAGAACAGCACAGATAGTGAATGTACAATCATAAATGGTGATTAAATGAAGTGCCAGCACACTTATGTCTCTGTAACAGATATATGAAATATATATGTATATATATGTAAACATACATACTACACCATATGTCTGTGTATGTGTGTGTATATATATATACATATATATATACACACGTATATATATATGTATATATATATATATACACACACACACACACGAGAGAGTGTGTGTGTGTTTCCCATACTTATGAAAGTATCAGAAAAATGTCACTCAGACTGGCTTGTTCAGTAAAAAAGGATATCATTTTATGGAAAAAACCTAAAGGTTGAGATTTCATCCTCGGAAGGTCAAGACTCCATCATAACTCTCAGCCATCTTGTTCTTGCGTCTGCTTCATCCTCAGGTTTGCTCTTCTCATGGTTACAACATAGCTGCTATTTCTGTTCTCCTACTTTAGGAAAAGAAGAAATATTCCTTTATTTGTTTCTTAAATCTGCTACAACGAAGTACCACAAACTGGGTAGCTTAACACACATGCAAAAACAACAAACAAACAAACAAACAAACAAGAATTTGGAAATGTGTGTCTCCCAGTTCTGGAGGCTGGAGTTCTGAAACCAAGGTGTTGAGAGGGTCATGCTACCTCTGAACGCAATAGAGGAATGCTTCTTGCATCTTTCTTTCATCCAGTGTTTTGTCAGAAGTCTTTGATGCTCTTGGCTTGCAGCAGCAGACCTCCAGTCTCTACCTTTGTTGTCACATGCTGTTTTCCTTTTGGTTCTCTGTTTTTTCTCGTGGTCATGTGCTTCTAAAGAGACACTAGTCATATTGGATTAGGTGCCAACCCTACTCCAGTATGACTTCATCTTTACTAATTGTGTTTTTTAAGGACTCTATTTCCAAATAGGGTCACATTCTGAGATATGTGATGTTAGAACTTCAAATCTCTTTTTTTTTTTTTTTTTTTTTTGAGGTGGGGGAAGATTCAACTCATGACACTTTGTGCAACTATAGAATCTACATTTTTTCTTTCAGTTTGATAGGGTTATCTAAGGTCATATGTTCACTTTTGAACCAGTAACATTTACCCAGAAATATGATGAACATATTGGTTTAGACTAATAGGGATTCATCTCTGGAACTGAGGATGGCTTGACTCTCTGAATAAAACAGGGTTCTGTTAGAGTTCTATTAGACTGGAGAAGGAATGCTGAATAGATAACCAGAGTTTACGATAATATATGACTATGTATATACGTATGAAAGTATAATTCATCTTATAATGACAAAATTAGAAGCCAAGTGCCAAAACATTTAAGTCACTACAAATAAAGGATATTAGCAATTGCTGAGTATGTATTAGGCTTTATGCTGCACATCTGCATGTATATTATGATTTTCTTTAACCAAAGCTTTATGGGGTAGATGCAACATTTATCTACTTTATGGAGGACTAACTTAGGCCCTTAAGCAGTGTAAGATTTATCCCAAGTCCCCTGACTAGTGAGTCTCCAAATCAGGATTAGAACTCATGGCTCATGGTTTTGTATTCTCAGTCCTATGATGCTCTTTGCACTGTTCCATGGTGCCTCAGGGTGCAGTGAAAGGGAGGTTTTAATTTTCAATTGTCAAATTGTCTTATGTGTTTTATTTGGAGCCAGTTTTATATTGTCTTTGGACACTAGGAAATCAAAGTGTGAACAGTTTTTACTCTTTTCTATATTTGGAATAATGGGTGGGGGGATGTTAAGACAAGCATTATGGAGAGTCTTAGGTTTTGCCCTACTTGCAAACTAACAAGTTAGCCTGCCACAGTTTCATGGAAACTGGCAGGAGACACAAGAGTCCTGGGTCAGAGATAAAAGACAGTGTAATACTCACAGCTATATCAGTGGCTAGAATATTATTTTTGCACTGGTTCCCTAAGCCTCCATTTCCAAAGATCAAGAAAATTAGGAGAAAATACTGTCTTATACAGTAGAGTATGTTCCAGAAAAGAAATCCCAGAGATTAGAAAGCCTCAGTTTTATATAAGGAGACTGTAGAAAATCTGCCTAATCTTTGCCATAGAAAAAGACATTATTTTTATTACCCAGGAAAGTAAACAAACCTGCTCTAGAAGGAGAAAATCTCTTTCTCTCCCAAGGCAGTTTTTTTTTTTTTTTTTTTTTTTTTAAATATGAAAGTACTAGTAATGAGAGTCTGGAAAAAAAAAGTTTATTCCTTTGCTCAGAAGAGTGTGCAGAAATATAAGAGGTTCATGGACACTTGTCACCCAACAGGTTAAATCTTCTCCACCATGACTTTTTATCATTATAAATGTTCAATTTTAGAATTCTAATAATCCAGAGACAAGTTCAAAACCAGTATATAGCAACCAATAGGTGGTAGTAACTTGATTTTGCTTAGTGATCAGAAAAAAAGTTTTGCTAGGGCCCTTGAGATGCAGTTATTTTAGTTAAAAATCAATATGATTATTTTTCTTTTTAATATTTCTATAGAAATGTGTTTACCAAAACACTGAAGCATGAATTTAAAGGACACTACACTTAATGCATTGCATTCAGTGAGCCAAAGGGTATCTACAATGAACTGAGTTGTACTGGCACATAATTCATGTTTACTGAACAAATGAATTAATCAAATTATGACATCACCATTAAATCTAATTTTAGGGTTTTGCTCCACTTTCAACTTTATCTAGTTACCCTGAATTTTTGTACATCATTTGTATGGTAATTTAAAATGCTGTGGTATAAATAATGTTAGGTATATACATATATACGTGTGTGTTTGTATACATATATATATACACGAACACATATGTTTACAAATTAACTTTAATCTACAATTTGGTGGCAGTTAAATTGCATAGGAAGTGCTGAATCAGAAACCAACAGCCCATAGTGGTTGTCTATAAGTGCTTCAGATATCATTATCAAAGGCTATCCAAAAGAAACCATTAATTTGGATTAATTGGCAAATATGACATATTAGAAATAATTGTTCATTGGTGAAATTAGTAATGTTCAAAATAGGAGGATGACTAATAAGGTATTTATGATGCCTTTAGTAAGGTAAGACCCTTAGTAAGGTATTGATGATGTAAATACCTAGTGAGATGTTTACAATGCCCTTGCATGAATGTGGGATAAAAATCCAGCAGCTTCATGGTGAATCATCTTCAGAAAGTTTATGTTTAGAGCTAACTTCAATTGTCCCATATATTGAAGGACTCTGTTGCTTGCCAGAAAGGTGGCTTCATCCTCTGTCATATTAATGCACCAACTTTAAAACCTCAAAGTAATTGTTTTCTTTTTAGTGCTTATCTGAGTACCTGAATGTAGCAAGTGAGGACTACTTCATAAGAATAGTTGCAACTTTTTTGCCATGCTAATAAATTTTGAAACATTTAGAGGAATTTGGACTAAAGCTTGCTTCTATTGTAACACGCTGACTCATTGCCAAATTGTTAGGGAGAGGATGTATATCCTCTTCTATCTCTAACCGTAGGAGGTTACGAATATTTATTTAAAAATCATGACAATGGCTGAATCGACAGTTTGTGACGTCTATTCGAAATTTCTGTCAGGCATTTATATGACACTAGTCAAAGTCTTCCCACATGACACTCGTTTTGGGTTTATAGGCTTCAGAAATAGTGGGTCCTAATAGTCCTTATGGACATGTTTCTAGAATATTCTAGTATAAACATCCTATTACCAGGTGACTGAATGAAGCTCTCCATTTGTTTCTCCCAGTTCCTCTCCCTGGGTTAGTACTGTTTCTGTGTCTGTAGTGGCACATTCATTCATTTATTATTTCTCCAAATATTTTAATATCTCATATATGTCACAAAATAGATTAAGTGCTGATTCTACAGTAATTAACAAGATATATATGAGACACGCATGCACACGCAGAAAGAAAAACATATATACACACACACACACACATACACACACACAGAGAGAGAAAGAGAGAGAGAAAGCAATAATTACCCCCAAATTTAATATTTTTTGTCTGTAAGCGATAGTTTTTATCATTTTTTTAAATCAGAAAACAGTAATTTTCCCCTCTCTGGAGAATGATCCTCCCCCAACATCTGGTGTTGTCTTGAAATTTTGCATAACATGCAAAAGATGACTCATTAGGTGCCAAGTACCATCCTATAACTTTAACATGCTTGCTTATTTTAAAGGTTTCAAATCATACTTAAGCTCAGCGTACTATTGCTTTTGAGAGATAGTTCGAATATAACAAGGTTTTAAAGCAGAAACAGAACCCAGTTTGCCCACACCCCTGCAGGGCTGGAATGTCTGTCAGCAGAGCTGAGCTTCACCACCTACAGGTCCCTGAAGCCTCATGACCCAGTTTGAAATTGCAGCCCTACTCTTGGTGTCTCTAGAGCCCTCCTCTTTCCCTTGGAGTTATAATTTCCCTCTCGGGTTTGTCTTGACTGGTGGGTGTTCAATGTAGAGACACACAGGAAGGAAGCAAATGTGCCATGGCTGGTGGCTGCTGGTGAGGGCGTTTTCGTAGGAAAGTATGCAGGAGCCAGTTTTATTTCAAGAGCCTCCTGAAATATAACAGGTCAAATGGGTGATTGGTATTTTCTGGAACAGACTCCAAATCTACACGTTTCACTCAGCTTCTGCATTTGTGAAATGATGGGGATTTGTGCATTCATTCATTCAACCTAACTGTATTGAGTACTCAAATGCCAGACTTCACATGTTTTAAGCTCAAGAAACATGTTCCTTTTTTCAGATACAGACTTGAAAAACCTGATCAAGCTGTATCTGGTTTCAGATGGCAGTCTGAAGGAATATTTACTTTTTGACCTCTTCAAATTTTACTATCAACAGCAACAAAAAAAAAAAAAAAGGAAAAGAAAACTTCAATAAAAGGAAATAACCACCGCACCAAAATTAAAATTATGAAGAATATGTGTCAAATATGGAAACACTTGGCAGCGCTACTTGACACTAGCCTCCTCAGACCTTGGAGAGAGGGTACTGTTTTCTTTCAAAATAAGGGTCATAGCCCTGAAAGGCACACCCAGTAGCCTTTTGATCAGATGAATGAGATATGGAAATGTTGGGAGACCGAAGGAAAGATGGGAAATATTCTAATCAAAGCCAAGTCTCATTGCGTAGGTCTGTAAGAGAGGTATTTTGAAAGGAGAAGAAGGATTTAAAAATAGAGATTACATATATATATAAAGGACCAGATAGTAAATATTTTAGGAATTCTTGAAGCTTCTGTCACAACTACTTTACTCTGCCTTTGCAGTGTGAAAGTAGCCATAAACAATATGAAATGAATGGGCATGGCTGTGTTCCAGTACAACTTTCAATAAAACTTTATTTACAGAAAGAGACAGTAAAATGTGTTTGTTCTGGGATCGCAGTTTGTCAAGTGCTGGTTTAAAGAAAAGGGGTGTCACGCTTAGAGTTTGTTTTAAATTGATCATTCTGGTAGCTTTTGAAGAGGATAAATTTCAGGAAAGCCTGGAGGTTCCAAAAGTAGAAACCGGTAGGACCATATTTATGTCCTTGTTGATGTTCCAAGCTTACCACATTACCATTTGGAACGAGTTTGTCTCCCCTACCCCACTCAGGTATTTCAGGTCAGGGACGGTATCACATTCATTATTGTGTTCCTAGTGTGCTCTCATTTGGGGCCTTGTGCTTGAAAGATGCTCATGAATATTTATATATTTAATGGATGAATAAATGAATAAGTAAATTGGTTACTGATTGGATAAGTGCAGAGAAGAAGCCAGGCATTTTCTCTCTCACTGTTTTCTAAATTCAGTTTTTCTCACATCACCTTCACTATTTTAACCATACCAAAAGACTCCCTGTATCTATACAATATTTTGTTTAAATTATTCTTTTAAAACAATTCTAGACTATCTATTTTTAAGGAAATTTTAAGACACTGACAGACCTGGAAAACCAGTATCACTCATCACACATGGAAAATAAAAATTTATATGTGAATATAAAAATAAAAATAACTCACATCCACTTAAATCAATCTTTGGTATTGCCATTTAAAAAATCATTGATCTAATACAAAATGCTTGCTTTATAGACTGAAAATGTTGACTCATAGAAGTCACATGGCTTACTCAAAGCACAAAGCCAAGGAGCAAAACAGCTGAGCCTAGAAAGCCAGCTTCTCTGACTTCCTGATCAGTGCATTTCTGAATCAATCTGTCTTCATTGCAGGAAATAGAAAAAAATCTGTGCAAAAGGGGCTTAATGAGCAGTACTACGTGGTCATAGAATTATTGGATTCCAGATTGAATCCCCAGGAATGACTCCTTCTATAATATAGATATGGCTGTATTTATTTTCTATGGCTGCTCCGAGAGAAATAGGGAAAAACAAAGTGTTATTTCCTACTCCCATGCCAATACAACACAGAACACTTCACTTCTGCTCTCCAAAATGCATATAGGGATGTCTCTCCACCAGCGACCAGTTCTGCAGCAGACATCAGCTGGGTGTCTTTTAATTTAACTCAACCCTGATGCTATCAACCTGGAGATAGTGTCAGATCCCACAGGTTGAAGGTTCAGTCCCACAAGACTGCTCACCACTTCAGATGCCAATTGCAAGCACAGGTTGTGACTTGTGCTTCTGACCAACTGGCTATAAACAAGGGTTCCCACACCCTTTCCTTGGGTTTGATTAATTTGCTAGAGAGGCTCACTGAACTCAGAATATCTATAAAATATTGATTTTCATTATTTCATTTCTGATAATTGGTAGTTGTGGATTTTGTTACTTGTTTTTTTTCTTGTTAAGTATTGCTATGGGTTCATCAATATTATTGATCTTTTAAAATAAGCAACTTTTGTTTCTGCTGATTTTCTCAATTCTTTTCTGCTTTCAGTTTCATTTATTTCTTCTTATATCTTAGTCCTTTCCTTTGTTCTACATAGTTTAGGTTTACTTTACTCTTCTCTTTTAACTTTGGCATATGGAAAGTAAGAGAATTGATTTTAACTCTTTTCTGCCTAATATGTTCATTTAAATATATAGCTTATCTTCTAGACACTATGTTAGCTGCCTCTTAAACAATTTGTTATGTTTTATATTCACCATGACTCAGTACAATTTATTTATTAAACAATTAACTAACTAACTTTTTAAAAACATCCAACAATGCCCAAGCACTGTTTTAAATACTTCAAATGCATCAGTGAACAAAGCTGAGAAAACATTTTTCTTCACAGAAATTATGGCTAGCATGTTAATTTACAGAATTGACTTCCAACAAAGTAAAATTATAGTAACTTTGAAGGTGTCATGGAAAAAAAATAGAGCAGTATAGGGGGAATTTGGAGTATCAAGGGTTAGAGCGCTATAGAATGCCTTTTTAAAAACAGATATCCTGATGGGCTTAATTGATAAGATACCTTTTGAGGAACACTTGAAGGAGGTGAGGGAGTTAGGCTTGCAGATTTTTCTGTAAGAGCTTTCCAAGCAGAGAGAAAAATGAGTCCAAAATTTCCGGAGGCAGGAGCATTTCTCTTGTGTGTAAGGAACAGGGAACAGGCAAGAATGGCTGAATGGAATGAACGCCTTGTCATTCTTCCAATCTTCCAAATTCAGCTCAAGCAAACAACACTTCCCTAAACTCTCCTCCTGACTCCACATTTTCTGGTTATACATTACAGTAGTATTTTCTTGTGTCCTCCCATTATGGTTCTTATCCCAATATGTAATTATATATTTGTGTAATTATTCAGCTAAAAGATTCCACTAGAAGTATTCACAGATTTCACAGAAAGTGTTCACATTTTCTACTAGAATGTGTGCACCCTGAGAACAAAGATTTTGCTGTTATACTGTATATCCCAGCATATAAAATAGGACTTGGACTTTGTACGGATTCAGTAAATATCTGTTTTCTGATGGATTTAATGTAAGAATAGTTGGAGGGGTTGAAGTATACATGCTTTAATAGATAAATCCCACCTGCTGGCAAATGGAGTTTTCCATTTATGAGCTCTAGATCTACAAAGGATTTTCTAGGCTCTACCTCCTCCTATCTTGGAACAAAAAAGGAATTAGGGATTTCGAAGACTAGCAATTCAAACCTGTCATGGAAGAGGTATCAATAGGTTTTAGGGGCAAAAAAATAGTCACCAGTAGTAGTATTTTTTCTCAGAGATGTAAACAATTCAATACAAATGTACAAATGTACAAAAATTTATCAAATATATTAAGAGAATCACTTCTATTATATGTGACAATCTGTCTTAAACAAAAGTTGGACCATTCCAAAAATATTCAAAAGGTAACAAAGCATATTCTGATGCATGAGCACATAGTATCAACGTTGAACCTGTCACCAGCTACAGCATGTGAAATCTTCCAAAAGTCTCTGGTCTAAATTATGCACCTTGTTTTATAACTTCACTTAACATTTGTAATGTTATTCAATGCTGATTGCATATTAAACTTTAATACTAAGCTAATGTGTTCCTTTGTAAGTATTGTTAAAAGATACTTTAAATCAAAAGTATGCATTGCTTTGCATGAAATGCTCTTTGTGTTCTGTGGATAAGGTATAGTTTTACAAGTTTTCTTATATTTAATATCATTGGAAAATGGCAGCCATATTTATGTTTTAAATAAGCAAACTGAGGCCTAAAGAGCTCAGCTGATTCGTTCATCTAATAGAACTTGTTTCTCTGTAATTCCACAATATCTTCTTCCTAGCATGTTGAATTGTAAATGTTTATTTAAAAGCTTTATCTTTCTCACCTTATTAGTCACATGAGGGTACAAAGTGGGCAAAAGAGCATCTTTGTTTTTATAGATCCTAGAATTAACTGAGTTTTTAAGGATTTTGAAGTGTAATTATGACTGAAATAGGATTAAAACCAAGGCACTTGTTTTGAATAAAGCATATAGCCTTCCATCCCTGCTGTCTCTATTATTTGAGTTTTATCTTTTGGAAAGCATCTTTTTAATATTCTTCTCATAGACCAGTAAAAGTATATCCCAACTGTCCTTGCATATGTCTATATATGGTATAATTTTAGTATTTTTATCATATACACTTATATGTATATATACACACATGCACAAATATATAGGTACACACATACACACACATATATACACACACAGTCAACAGTTTTATTTTTCCATATTATTCAGCCATGTTTATGTTCTTAAGATAAATTTCTAGAAATGGAAATGTTAAGTCAAAAAAGAAAAACAAAAACAAAATAGGTCATTGATAGATATTTCCACACAATATTGAGATGTCTCTTATCTTGTACCTTTGTGAGTGCTGAATTGTATCATTCTCTTTTAAAATTATTATAGTTTTCAACTTTTAAAAAAATTTACTTTTGTTTTGTATTATTACAATTTACAAGGAAATAAAACTCCCTCTAGTATCATTGCATTTCTTTCTTTGTGCTTATGTTTTTCCCAGTTGTCTAAGGGAGGTGCTTATCTATTTGATTTTGATAACTCTTTATGTTACAAGTACCTCAATCACTTCCTGTCACATAGCTTTCACATTTGCTTCTCATGCTAGGCATGCAGCATTAGAAAAGGAAATATTCTACTGCATGGCAATTAACACCACATAAATTCTGCAAATAACAGTATGTATCAATATTACATTTTCTCAAGTTAGTGCAAAAACATCCAAAGTCTCCAAGAATCTGCTTATGGTTGCATGATATTATTTATGATATTCTTGATACCATTTATAATATTCTTGATATCATGATATTCTTGTTAGCATATATCGCATAGTGGAAAGGCACTACATTGCATTTAAAAACATGTATGTCATCTTGGAGAAATCTGTTACCTCCCCTGAGACTCCCCTTCTGTCTTTCTTTTTTCTTTTTTATTCTTCTTTTTTTTTTTTTTTTTAAGATGGAAATGGAGTCTCATTTTGCTGCCAAGGCTGGAGTGCAGCGGTGTGATCTCAGCTCACTGCAACTTCTGCCTCCCAGGTTCAAGCAATTATCCTACCTCAGCAACCCGAGTAGCTGGGATTACAGGTGTGTACCACCACACCTGGCTAATTTTTGTACTTTTAGTAGAGATGGGTTTTTACCATGTTGGCCAGATTGGTCTTGAACTCCTGACCTCAAGTGGTCTGCCAACCTTGGCCTCCCAAGGTGCTGGGATTATCTTTCTTTTTCCTTTAGTTCTTTTTTTCCCCTTTTTTTCTTTTTGTTTGCTTTTTTTTTTTTCATTTTGAGACAGTCTTGCTCTGTTACCCAGGCAGGAGTGTGGTGGCGCAATCTCAGCTCACTGCAGCTCACCTCAGCCTGGAGGTTGAAAAACTGGAGAAGAAAACCTGAGTTCAGACTTTCTATATTTAAAAAAATGGAAGTCTAGGTGTGGTGGTTCATGCCTGTAATCTCAGCAGTTTGGGAGGCTGAGGTGGGCAGACCACTTGAGGCCAGGAGTTCGAGCCCAGCCTGCCCAACATGACAAAACTCCATCTCTAAAAATAAAATAAAATAAAATAAATACACAGGCATTGTATCGTGTACCTGTAATAGCTCTGAGAAACTCGCTTGAACCTGGGATGCAGATGCTAAAGTAAGCCGACATCAAGCCACTGCACTCCATCCTGGGTAACTGAGCAAGACTCTGTCTCAGAAAGAAAAGAAAGAGTTTGAACTCAGTTTTTCTTAATACCCTTTCTGGCTTTGACTTTCTGTTAGTCCATTGTTGTTTAGATCCCCAAAGAATGATCTCACTCATTCAATCAATATCTGTTGAATCCATGCATTCAACAGATACTAATTGAAGCCTGTGCCAGGCACCATTCTAGGTGCTAGAGATAGAGTGGTAAACAGGAGGGAAAACATTCCCGCCACACTGTACTTATGGAGCACAGAAGGACAATGGAAATCTGGTGTCAGTGCACTGAAAGCAGGCTAGGGATCCGAGTGACAGGGATGCTCCTTGGAGAAGGAGCACAATGAAGTTTTCTCTGATTAGTGGGTAATTTACTCTCACCTCTGGATATCTTGAAAACCTAACAGAAGATTCTGTTTGCAACTGGGCAAGAGGTATTTTAGATTCATTTCAGATGTATTTTACTAAAGTCACCTGTGGACTATACTATGAAAATTTCCTGTATTGAATACATCCCTTTAGGTCTGCCTCATTCCTGCTTACTCCTCTTGGTTGCAAATTAATTATCTACCCCCACCTTTCACGTTCTCAGTCTCCTTCACATATAGGTCTCCCTGATTGTGTGGGATACACTGCACCATGTATGAAAGACATTTCTTCACATGCCTGTGCCCATAGCTGTGCTTCTTCTTACCCTGGGGCAGCCTGCTCACTGAACACTCAGTGTGCTCTTCCTCCGGTCACAGAGCTTGGCCAAATCTTTCTGCATTCTTTGCATTACAGTATGGCTACAGAACAAACCTCACTGTGATGGAGTGTGGGAGAAGTGATGTGAGCTTCCTCCAGGCTTGGTCCAGGAAAATCTTCCATTCGTTCCCCTACATTTTATTTTTCCACTCAGGCAAGCATCCTGTTGGAGGTGGCAAATCTGCCATCATCTTTTGTCCCTGAACCACTGAGCAAACTTAAACTCCAACTCCCCCACCCTGAAACCTATCCTTCACCTAGAAACTGCCCTTACCTAATCTGAGTCTGCAGAGTCATTACCTTTTGAATGTATGTGTTCCAATGTTTAGTCGGCTGCCTTCACTAACATCCCACTGCAAAGGCTATCAAATACTATGCCCTGCCTGAAGTGAACACTCAATGAGAATTTCATTTGATGACTTAAAATTGGGAAGAGCATGTGGAGTAACAGAATTAGAATTCCATGTATCACCTTCATTGTTTTTGTTTTGTTTTGTTTTTGTTTTTTTGAGACGGAGTCTCGCTCTGTTGCCCAGGCTGGAGTGTAATGATACAATCTCGGGTCACTGCCAGCTCCGCCTCCCAGGTTCACACCATTCTCCTGCCTCAGCCTCCTGAGTAGCTGGGACTACAGGCACCCACCACCACGCCCGGCTAATTTTTTGTATTTTTAGTAGAGACGGGGTTTCACCATGTTGGTCAGGATGGTCTCGATCTCCTGACCTCGTGATCCGCCCACCTCGGCCTCCCAAAGTGCTGGGATTATAGGCGTGAGCCACCGTGCCCAGCCCACCTTCATTCTTTAGTATCAAAGGTTTCTGTTGAAAAAGGCCCTACCAAAGGATGAGATAATTAAGTACTAGAGGGAAAGAGTTTCTGAAAAAAGACCACTTCCTGGTAGTGCAAATGGGATAATGATTTACTTGCTTCCTCATGATTTTTAATACCAAATTTTATTTACTTATTCTCTTCTTTAATGCCCTTCAGCATATTTACACAGATTGCTTCACCCATTTCCCATATGTACTCTCTTAGCTAAAGTGTTAGCTTTCATCCAGTTATGCTCCTGTCTCCTGTCTGTCTTCACCTATTTTATTCCTTAACATCCTCATATCTTATTCTGAGCAACTATCAACACCATCTCTCTCAACCTCCAGAGATCAACTAAATAGTCCACTTCCTGTCAGAAATCATATTTGCTGATGTGGACTGGAGTTGAGATTCTTACAAAGCACAATATAACCAGGAAAACTTTCTCCACCCAATAAATATTACTTGTAAAAATAGAGTTATGTACAAAAGTTATATAATAATGAATGTCAGGAGCTGAAAGTGGTGGTTGAGGTCATGAAATCCAATTCCTTTTTTCTACTTGTTTTATTTCCTTCTTCTTATACAGAAGTAGAATCTGAGGCCCAGAAGACCTTGGTGAATTGTCTAAGCCCTTGTAATAGTGATTGAGTAGGAAATCAGGCCAATGCTTTTTGCAGAATGTATCTTAGACAATTTAGAAAATAATTTGGCAATATTATTGAAATGAGTTTTCTTATTAAGGATGGAGTGTATAAATAAGAGCTACCTGTCATTTAGCTAGGTGCTTTAAATATATTACACATGTATCTAATCTTTACAGCATTTCCACCAGGGAGGTATTATTATCCTCATTCGAAAAATGAAACAAACAAACAAAAAAACAAAAAAACTGAAGCTGGGTGAGTGGCCTAATTCCTAATTAATTGATGTTAAGAAACTTATACAAACATTTAGTAAGTGGTTTAGTTAGGATTTAATTTGAAGCCTGTCTGGACTCCAAATATTCCGTTTCTTTTTCTCTGACG
Source organism: Homo sapiens (assembly GCF_000001405.40). Lineage (NCBI taxonomy): Eukaryota > Metazoa > Chordata > Mammalia > Primates > Hominidae > Homo > Homo sapiens. Next base: position 11,612,882 of record NC_000004.12, read on the forward strand.
TGGAGCCAGAATGAGTTCCATAACGATTCATGGCACATTGTCCTAGATATTAGAAAGGAATGAGATCTTAATCAATCTTTATTGCTTCAAAATATTGAAGTTTTTTTTTCCTCATTCTGAGTTAATCATCTAATGTATTCAACATATTGATTTTGGGGCACAGACATTAATAAAACAATCCTTAACCTCAGGGTGAAGTAACTCATGATGTAAATGAGAAACAATAGAGAAATAATATGAACTACAGTATTAAATGTTCAGCTCACAATAATTTTGGATTCTAATGCTATCAGCTCATTAAAATTTTGTCAGGTTTAAATGAGATATGTGATATTCTTTTAATTGGGGAGGGTATTCATATGCTAGTTTTAAAATTTATTTTTGTTTACTAATTAATTTGCTGATTTACTTATTTCTTCTTAATAAGGAACACTATGGATAGAGCATGGGTTTTGCTCTTCTAAATCCTGATTGATAGCATGCTTATTTTTATCAGTTAGGAGATGTATGGCCTTGAGCAAATAATTTATACATTTTGGGCCTCAGTTTCTTAAGTCATTTAGAAATGTTGGGCCTCCATTTCTGCCTAAGTAAATTGTGCTCCACATACTGGATTCCAAAGGTACTGAGTAAACAAGTTGAAATAGTGGATTTTAATGTAACCTGAAAACTCTGAAGTCCTAAAAAAAGTTTGTGTTTTAATAAGTGCATCATACAATTATTTTAAAAGAGCACAGATAGATTCCAGGGTGAACTACCGACCATGATAATGAGCACTCGTAGAAAATTGTAAATACAGGAATACACCTTTTCTTCAAAAAAGGAATTTAGAAAATGTTAGCTAATGCAGAGTCTATTAAGATTTTGCTGTTGTTGTAAGTTGGGATGGTGGAAATATTAGACACAAGATAGAAAGTATGTGGTCAAACTGTGTGTATTTTGGAGGCATATCTACATAGGAATGTTTGGGAAGGGTGAAAAGGAAAGTGAAAATTGATGGCAGAGATTAGAGGGCACTTAGAATCCTAATGAATAAGCCTACTTCTGGAGGTTCATTTCATTGTCAAAAAGCATAATATTATAATTAACGAAGTTTCTGCTGTGGTATCACAAAGAAATATCAAAGCTTCCTTTTACAATGGTGGAGGAATAAAAAGGAGTCAGTTTCTCTTCATTTTCCTGAAAGTGCTAAATGATTGTCATTTATCTTGGACATCAAGAATACTTGCTTGGAGTCCTGCTTCACAATTATTTGGCTATCTCAGCTTTTCCCAGGGATTTTGCTCTGGGAAGCTAAAGACCTAAAATTTGGTTCAGAGAGGCCATGGTGGAAAAAAAACCACAAGATGCTCTGATGCCCCTCTAGATAGAAGTTAAACTTCAAGAAAAAACTGCTCTGCTCAGTTCAGGAAAGCTTCATAGGGACCAAGGGAGTGTGGCATCCTTTAGATCTCATACTTTATAATTCATTCTAGGAAATAGGAGTCATTTTTCTCATGCATTATCCACAACCTCTTTCCTTCTTCTTTTTTGTTTACTGCTATCATTATTCATCGGATAAACACATCCATGTCTCTGAGGTCTAGACTCATGAACTCTGGAGGTCAAGCACCTGCTCTGTTCATCCTTTTGGATGAGAAACATTTACATGCAACGGGGCATTGCTTGGCTGGAGAAACAACTCTTCCGACTCAGCTAACCTGTATTTCTGGAAAAATCAGTGAGTCTACTAGATTCCGTAAAATGCCATTCCTGCTGACTCACTCCCTGCACTGGGCCAGTCTGTTCACCTCCGGTGAGTCTGAACATAGTTTTCTCATCTGTGACATTACAAAATGCAGATGGCTGCCTCTCAAAGTCCCCTGGCTTCTAAACTTCTCTGGATACAATGCCCATAAAGGAGGTTTCTACCATTACTTTTTTACTTCTCTACTTCTCTATTATTTTCCAAGACTTCTAGGACTTGAATAGATGCTTTGAACTCTACCTTGTGTGTTTCCTGAGCAATCTTCCTGTCCCTTTGCTGCAGCAACCATCTCCAAATGCCTTTCACCTAACCTGCTCTGAGCAGTTCCTCTCCATAGACTAATTAATCAGTCTTAACTTGTAACCTCAGGGTCCATTAAGAGAGTCTTTTATCACCCCCTCTTTTTATAAATATAGACACTGAGACCTAAAGATAGGTTGTCTTTTTCTTCAAAACACTTATATGAGGTAATTGAATCATTTATGTTTCTTTAATATGCATCTTTCTCCTGGAAAGATAAATATTACTGTCCGCGAGGACAGTGCCATACTTGTTTTTTTCCACTATCATCTCCACGTCCAGGCTTTACAAGGTTCTCCCCATAATAGATATTTTTTAAATCAATCATTGACTTGGGTACTTGAGTGAAGACTGTTAGGCCTGAGTTTTACAGTAAACGATGTCCTCAAATTTAGACTCTTGTTAATGTCTCCAAATGAAATTATATATGCACTAATACATAAAGTTACAGAATTGAGGGTGGGGGAAACTTTCTCATAGAAGTTTGTAGTTATGACCCATTTTCTGACAACTCCTGCTGTAGTGACCTAGCAAATTGTTTTATAAACCTCATCTTGAAATAATTATTATAGTATTATCTTCCTTGGTAAAATGAGTCATTATTAAATGAAAATATTTTTGAGCATCTGTCTATTTTTCATACATCAAAATTATCCAAAAATTAAGGAGGGTTGGATGTCTTTCAACCTCAGAGAGACTCTATTTATAAGTGAATAAATGAATGAAGTAACTGGATCTAACTCAGAGCTAAGCCTCATCCCTGGCTCTCCTGCCCCCTAATCCAGATCCTCGGTGTCTCGTGGGCATGCCACACACTCATTTCTGAGCCTGGGTGCCTGTTTCCATCTGCACGACTGCCTCCTCCACCCTTCTTAACTTGGCTAACTTCCCAGTCGTTCTGCAGGCCTCAACTGAGCAGTAACGTTTTCCAGAAACCCCTCCCTGATGCGTTTTTCCTTTATGCTGATTTACGTGTTTTTTACTTGTCTGTTTGCTCACCCCTTTATCCCTAAACCTAGTCCAATGTCTCCTAGATGATGAATATGTGTAATAAAAGTTCTCAGGTTGTTGAATTATTTAATTTTGTGCAACCTACACAACCAAGCATTAAGATAGCAAAGGTAAATACTTGTTGAAAGTGGCCCATTTCTCTACGTGAGAGTCTCTTGTGTTTCTTTTAGGCTGCTGTCAGCATATGAGGCAATAAGAGAGGTAAGCAATCACAAAAATCTTCCCTCCTTCCAGATTGTTACTCTGGACCCAGTGACAAAGGTAAGGACAGGTTCTCTGATTTAAATGGACTAACGGGCCTTGAATTCCATGATTTTCCAGCTGGATTTTCACTCTCATCTAGAATTTCTCTTCGCCTGTGTTCACTTGCCAGTTATCTTACGTGGATGGCTGGGATCACTCAAACCAAAGTTTATAGCAATATGGAGTTGCACTGTTATCTTGTCACTGTATAACAGCTTTTCACTTAGATGTATTTTGGTTCCTTCCCCAACTCTCCAAAATGCACTCATATTTTTCATCAATATTTATTTATTTATTGAGCACCTACTCTATGTTAAGCACTATTTTAACCCTGGTGCTACTGCAGTGAACCAGAAAGATAAGAATTCCTGCCTTCACAGAGTTTACATTTTAGTGCTTAATTTGTAATATTTAATAAAAATGTCTATGATTTATTTCAGCTGATATAGCAGATACTATTAATGTCCTTCTCTGTCCCCTTCTTCATTTCTAACAGATACCCAATTTTCATCAGGTAGGGGGTAGTCTTCTATTTCAGGGAAAAGTGGATCCTTTCTCAACCTCCGGGAGTGAGTCGTGATTGGACTTAGCCAGTCATATTGATCTTATTATTCTGGCAAGGGATTGTTTTGAAAATGGTCATGTGGGCTGGGCGTGGTGGCTCACACCTGTAATGCCAGCACTTTGGGAGACCAAGGCGGGCAAATCACATGAGGTCAGGAGTTTGAGACCAGCCTGACCAACATGACGGAACCCCATCTCTGCTAAAAATAAAAAAATTAGCTGGGCGTGGTGGCACACACCTGTACTCCCAGCTACTCATGGAGGCTGAGGCCTAATAATCTCTTGAACCAGTGAAGCAGAGGTTGCAGTGAGCTGAGATTGCACCACTGTACTCCAGCCTGGGCGACAGGCCAAGACTGTCAAAAAAAAAAAAAAAAGGCATGTGACACAATTTTGGTCAAAGAAACAACAAAGAGTGATCTCTACCTGGAGGGTCTGGGATGGTGTGTTTCATTCTTAAAATGAGACACAAGGTATGGTTGCTTGTTTTCTTCACCTCTGGACATTGGCATTTCCTGTGACACCTGGCATTGGGACAGCTATCCTGAGAAAATGGAGACTGAAGATGTAAGAATGGAAGAGAGTAATCTATGCTACTGGTGATGGCAGTTGACTTTTATATTTACCGTGAGACTCTTCTACTGCCAACTTCTTGTCTTTTGAGACATATATAATCTCCCCCACTTTTTAGTTGGGCTGTTGGTTGCTTACGGCCATAACTGACCTAACTGATGTGGTTGGTTGTGCAGCTCTGTTTATATTGTACCCAGCATAGTATAACATAAGAGCCAGGAGACTTCTTCTGTAAAAGGCCACATAGTCAGTACTTTTGGCTTTGTGGGTATCATAACCTCTCTCACATCTACTCAAGTTTGCTGTTGCAGTTGGAAAGCAACCATAGATAACCTCCAAACAGATGGGCAGGACTGTGTTCCAATAAGTTTTATGCATAGAAACAAGACCTAGGATGGATATGGCCTACAGACAATAGTTTGCCAACCCCTAGTATAGTGGAAAGCCTATGGATTTTGGCATCACACACAACCTGTCTGAAGTCCATCTCCATGTTCTTGCTATGTTTTCTAGTATATATTCAAATATATATATGAATTGTATATATTTAGTTATTTATATAATTTATCTTTCCCATTCGCACATAAGATCCATCTGCAAAAGGCCTTAAATACTTTTATTTAAAGTACTGGGTGTTTGAGTGCAGCAGTAGATACTACCACATGCTGCTGTACTCAGACACTCAGAAGAGGGCTGAATGACTTAATGACTGTATATTTGATTGAGATTCTGAATTACATTATTCCTATAAGGGGGGAGGGACTTCATCTCATATATGTTACCATAGCGCCTAAATAGGGAGTTTCCCACAAAAAAAAAACCTGCATGGAAATGCATTGATTACAGAAATAATACAGATTCTTCTAGTCTATTGCCACAGATCGCTCTCAAAATCTCAACCTTCTGCCATCTAAGTAAATGCTATGGATGATGGTACTGGCTGCATGATTGTAAACTAACATGCAGTAATTCTCTACTTGTCACCCTATCACCTGGAATATAATGAACTCCTGGAGAACAGGGGAAATTTTGTGATTAATGTATCACACATAATATCTTGAAACTACCTGAAATTCATTAAGTGCCTGCGAAAATTTAGTTTATTAGGCCTGTTGGTAATGGGTCAATACACTTAATTAACTTAAACATGGAAAGATACATTTAAAGGAAATAGACCCTAATTGATCACCTGCCAAGACTTCTACTTATAGATGTTTTTAATCCCCAAAATCCTCCTCTTGAGGGGCGCTTGTTAGTAGCATTTTACCCATGGAAAGAAGGAATCTTAAATGAGTTAAATAGTTGACACGCAGATCATGGGGTGGAGTTGCTATTCATAACCTGGCCTTTCTCTCTTAAGCCAGGGGCTCTTTTCAGAAGAAAATATTATACTTAGTAATTGTGAAGCTAACTTCCCAAGAACTGGGTTTCAAGGAAGAGCACTCATTAAAACCTGTTTCTCATGTTCTTCTCCTTGTTCCTCTTTTCATTCAGGGGATTTTCTATACTTAGTTCCAGGCAGTCATTTTGCTTTGCTTCTCATCTGACCTTTGATAGCACAGTCCAGTTCTTAACTAGGAGGCAGGCACTGATTAACTTCCACTACATTTTTTCAGTGAGTCCAAAGCATACCAGGAAGTCTACTAGCTAAAATAAAGTATACCAGGCAAGGAAAAGAGAACTGATGGAAAAACTTTGTAGAGCAAAGCAAGGTCAATGACTTCCTAAGTACTCATTCTTGGGTTTCATGAAAGTTTGAGGTTGTAGTGAGCTGAGATAGCTGCCACTGCACTGCAGCCTGGGGAACACAGTGAGACTCTATCTCAAAAAAAAAGAAAGTTTCGAATTCTAGTTATTTGTTGGGAGTTCTGTGGACAGAGTTAGGAAATTCAGGACGTTCTACTTAAACTTGGATAATGAGATGAAAAGGACATATACAGGGGTCCACATAGATTCAGATACTAGAGTAAGATTCGGCTCACATGAAGTCATCTACATTTTCCTACTATAAAATGCTCCTGATCTTATCAAGGCCAAACCTGTCACTTGTATACTGGGTTCCATTTGCTTTTGCTATTTAAGGCTTTTTTTTCTTTCATAATTATTTTTTACCTGAAATCGTCTCCTGCCTTATTTCATCTGATTTATTCTTTTTTTTCTTTTTGCTAAATGTAACCTATTCTAATATCTCCCACCTTAAGAAGCAAAATACTCCCAAACTCTCTTTGACACAACTTCCTCTCAACACTGTTCTATTTCTTTGCTTTGTGTTATAGCAAAGGTCTTCAACACATTTATCTGCTGAATTCATTTTCTCACTTTTTGGTCTCTCTTTATCTGACCAACACTGCTGTCTTTTGTAAAGGTCATTAACAATCTTCAAAATGCAAGGGCCAATTCTTCAGCTCCTTTAGAGTCAGTGTCTCTGTAGCCTCTCAGCAGCATATAGCATGATCAGTCTTTCTTCAAAATATTCTTCACTTGGCTGCATGAATCCTATGCTCTCTTGCTTCTCCTCCTTCAGCAGCTATGTCTCAGTCTTTTTTGATTGGTTCTATTCCTCTTTTCTTCCTTGAAACACTAATATCTATGGGGCTCTGTGGCCAGCCCTTTTCCTATCTAGACCAGGGATGTCCAATTGTTTGACTTCCCTGGTCCACAGTGGAAGAAGAAAAATTGTCTTGTATCACACATAAAATACACTAACACTAAAGATAGCTGATGAGCTAAAAAAAAATCACAAATAAATGTCATAATGTTTTAAGAAAGTTTACAAATTTGTTTCGGACTGCATTCAAAGGCATCCTGGGCTGCATGTGACCCATGGACTGTGGGTTGGACACGCTTGATCTAGACTGTCTACCTTAGAGATCCTATCCAAGCCCATGGCTTCACAGACCAATTACGTGTCAGTGACTAGGACTCTGACCTTTTAGTAGTGCTCCATGTTCAATAACTTTCTTGACCTCTAATAGGCATGTCAACATTACGATGTCCAAAATTCTTGACCCTTGTGTTTCCAACTTTCTCCTCCTCTAATCTTCCACATTTTGATAAATACCAACAAGACTCACTCACTTTTTTTCTTGGCATTATAATATCAACCTACTTTCAAGTTGTGTCAGTTGAAACTTCAGATATACCCCTAATCTGATCACTTTTCACCAACTCTTTAGTAACCACTGGAGTCCAAGCTTTTACTATCTCTCACCTAGACTGTTGAAATAGCCTCTCAGCTGACCTTGTTTTTGCTCCTCGCCACTGTCTCCCTCAGACAGTTATCCTCCCCAGAGTGGCCAGAGAAATTGTTATGGGCTGAATTGTGACCCTAAAAATTCATATGCTGAAGTTGTAATTCCTAGTACCTCACAATGCAACTGTATTTGGAGATACAACTATTGAACAGACAATAAGTTCAAATAAGTCTTTAATATGAGCCCTCATACAACATAGTTGCTGTCCTTATAAGAAGAGAAAATTTGGATGCAGACATGTGCTGCGTGGACAGAGGAAAGACGACATGAAGACACAGGGAGAAGGGAACCATCTGCAAGCCAAGGAGAGGCCTTAGAAGAAGCCAACCCTAGTGACACCGTGATCTCAGGCTTCCAGCCTCCCTAACTGTGAGAAAGCAAACTTCTGTTGCTTAAGCCACTCTGTTTGTGACATTTTATTATGGCAGCCCAAGCAAACCAAATAATGATCTTTAGCAAATGTAAATCATATCATATCACTCCTTTGTGTAAACTGTCTAATGGTTTTTCGTTTCCTTTAGAAAAAACATTCAAAGACTTTACTGCTTTCAGCAGACCCATGTGCTCAGGCCCTTGCTTGCTTCCAATCTCACTTGTTGGACTTTTATTTTCTCTCTATGTTCCTCAGCCATGCTGGCCTCCTGTTGTCCCTCTAATACTTCAAGGTTATTCCAATATCAGAATCTTTGCACTCTCTCTTGGTTCTGTGAATTCTCATGATCCCAACCTCTATAGAGTTCACTCCCTGGCCTCATTCTGAGATTCCACACCTTTAGAGACCTACTTTGACAGCCACTCCTAAAACACATTTCCCCAACATGACCTCCTAATACTCCATCATTTTACTCTGGTTTATATTTCTTCATAGCACTTCCTTCCATCTGAAATTATATGGTATATTTATTTACTGATTTTCTCTTGTCTTTTTTTCCCCAGCAGGACATAAAATCTGTAAGTATGAGAATGCTGTCTTGGGGGCTTATATGTAATTTCCCTTTACATGAAACCTTATATAATTGTGTCTACAACTGTTTCACCAGTGCCTAGAACTGGGCCTGGCATGCACAGGCTCTTAGTAAACATTAGTTGAATTAATTTCTTTCTTTGCACTCAGTATTTACTTTCACATACTGCTTTTAGACTTTTTAAGTTGTTTCACATAATGGTCATATAATAGGAACAGTTAACCTTCATTACTTGCTTGTGGTATGACAGGCATTGTGCTAAATAAGAGCTTTAACCAGCATTACATGATATGGGTGGTAGGCTGTTTAACTGCAGGAAGCAGTGATGCTCGCCCAGGGTAAAGACAATGGGAATAGTATGGCATGGTACTTCCTCTGCCAGGTACATCTGTTAAGGATGGGTAAGTTGAGGGGTAGCTGCTTTGGGACAGTTAGGTGCTGACACGGGAAAGCCCTTTGGAGCCCTCCATGACCAGCTTCACATAAAGGGTATCTGTGTACATCAAGAAGCTGAGGATTGATTCACCAGCTCTGCTGAGGCTGGCCATTGGTTCTCTAGCCCAGGCTGCCTGTTACCTGGCCTGAGCCAGGTGAGGAGCTCAGATGTTTTATTTCTGCGCTGGCAGGACACTGAAGGCTCCTTCCAGGGTCTCTCCCGGTTAGCCATCTGGGAGAGCTGGAGGCCCAGTTTCTGGGGCAGGCGTACCCTATTTCCAAAAATATTGTGGCAGTCATTGCAGTTGGAAGCATAGCAGGGTCTTCAGGCTCTTCTGCAGACCCACGCCCCAGGTGGATGGATGTTCTTACCTGCATTGCTTTACTCATCTTATTGAAACTTCACATCATCCCTATTAATTAGATACGAGTATTTCTAATTCACAGACGAAAGAAATTGTGACATGCTCAAGGCCATGAAGTGATAGGGACAGAAGTCAGTACCTCGTGTATTGTTCCTGGCCTTCCTCATTCCTCCAGCTCCATCATGCATACACATACACATGCACACATGTGCACATACTGCTTGCAAACTTTGTTCTAGCCATACTGACAAATTTTCAAGTCCTTAAACGCACCATGTCCTGCCTCATTTCTGGGTCTTCCTGTTCTCTGACTTCCTGTCTGGAAAAACTGGACTTCTCCTTAAAGGTTACTCTTGTTGACATCTTTCTGACCCCCAGAATCTCTCTATGTTCTCACAGAAACTTGCATTTCCACCAGTATAGCATGGTCAGTTAAGACTCTTTTTTTTTTCTTTTTTTGTGGCAAAAGACAAAACACCCAATGATAACTACTTTAGGAGGCAGGTCCTAGGGTTCTCCTGGCTTCAGGTATTGCTGGATCTGGCTCAAATGATAATGTAAGCTTTCCTTTTTTTTCTGAGGCAGAGTCTCGCTCTGTTGCCAGGCTGGAGTGCAGTGGTGCGATCTCGGTTCACTGCAACCTCCACCTCCTGGGTTCAAGAGATTCTCATGCCTCAGCCTCCCGAGTAGCTGGGATTATAGACACTTGTCACCACACCCAGCTAATTTTTGAATTTTTAGTAGAGATGGAGTTTCACCATGTTGGCCAAGATGGTCTCAATCTCTTGACCTCGTGACCCGCTCGCCTTGGCCTCCCAAAGTGCTGGGATTAACATGCGTGAGCCACTGTGCCCAGCCATAATGTAAGCTTTCTTTATCTTTCTGCTTCCCTTTGTGTATTGAGATCCATTATTGTCCGGGCTCCTGATTGAACAAGGAAAGAGAGAAACTGGAAGTCCTAGGTGTTTCTTGTCTCCCTAGCTCATCATCACAAAGGAATTTCAATTGATTCAGGAGAAAACAATATACACCTATGTAAACCTAACATATTCTGGTTCCTGCTGTACATCTGAAATGCTGGAGATAGGAGGGAGATCATACACATTCAAAATTCATGGAATGGTAGGGTTGCAAGAAAATATCCCTGGACAATAATATACACCCACAATAAACTTTTATCTTACCTTTTTGTAGTTTTTTTGTATTTTGTAATTCTATGCTAGTTGTGTTAGGGAAAGGATGGTTTCAGTCTTGCCTACCCCTATACTCCAAATGCTTAGCATGCTGCCTGACACACACTGGAAAAAATAAATATCGTAAAGTATATTATTAAACGAATTCTGACAACGTACCAAGTGGCCTTTTAAAACATTATACAACCTGTGTTTGCTGAAGTAATATAAACTAGGTTGCCAAGTCTATCTTGATCCAGTTGCCAAACCAACTCCAAATCTCCTGCTTGCTGAGAGTTACCTGAAGAGTAACATTAGACCTACTGTTTGGAACTTGCTTCCTAATGCTATTTGCAAGTAGCTCCCCCTGCCTGCCCAAGTGGACTTTCACAGAGAGTGTGTTTCTGAAAGCTGCAGCCACTACCATCTTTGACGCAGTGTGTCTGTCCTGTGGGAATTAGGACAGAAAGACTGGGGAAAAAGAAAATGAGACAAAATAAAACAACAAAAAGAAAAAAGAAACAACTAATATTCTATGTTCTTTATAATTTACAAAGCACTTTTCTACAACCAGTCTCATTTAATACTTGCCATGAATATTATAATTTCATTACCATTCTACAGATGAGAAAACTGAGGCTAGCCTGACATATTACCAACACAGGCTACACCTTGGCAGGATATTCTGCCTCTTTTTACAATCAGCCCGTGAAATTTCTATAGCAGAAAGATTTGGAAGAAACGTTAATGATTATATCACATACTTCATAAGCACCATCTGCAGAGGTAAATACTATTTATTCAAAATAATAAAATTGAGGGACACAGAGAAGATAATCTCTTGGCTAAAGGATAGACCACACCTCACCTTTGACTTTAAATTATAATTGGCCAAGCTGACCTCCTTGAGCTTCTGTGTCCTAAGATCTTTATCCTCTGAGTCCAGACCCCTAGGCAGCCTCCCACTTCCTATTCACTACAAGTCAGTGTATTGCATAGCCTTCTCCTTTCAGGGATGTGTCCTGGTGACACGCAGGCTACATCAGATGGAGAGGAAGATTGACTAACTCATGTTCCTGTTCTCTCGAGGTGACTTTGCCAGGGGCTCATGAAAGTGAAGCATGCTTCTTAGGTGTGTCAGGAGGCCTGTGCCTGTGCCAACAAACCTCAGCTTGCACCATAGGTGTCCTTCTATCTCTGATAACTGTAGGCATTTGGTCAGCTGAAGGCTCTCTCTGGCACAGTACTGAGAAGAACCCTGGAACTCCCTCACAGTGAGTGATAGAAATGCTTTTCTTAGAATCACACAGCTTCTGGGTACAGAGTAAAGACCAGGCAATGCCTCCACTAGAGTGCCTCCTGATTATAGAAACTCGAGAATGTTTACAATACATTTTCAAGGCTTGCATCTATTCAGTGATAGAGCTGGTATTTGAACACAGTTCTTTCCAACACCAAAATCTCTGCTCTTGCCCATATATAAAACATATCGGTCTGAGAACGTGGGGACATGGAAGGCACATATAGAATCCAGGGTGTTTCACTTGTTAAATGTTCCTTACACCAACTGAAACACTCGAGCTTGTTGCTCGTAGCAAGTGAAGCCCTATCTGTTTGGTGGGGTGGGAGTCAGGGGGAAGCAGTAATTTGTGCTGCTATTGTTCCTTCAAACAACATTAGGCTATTTGTAGATATTATTCCCCATGGTCAGAACAATGTCAGCTATTTTTTCTGTGAAGGTCCAAGTTGACCCCGTAGGCAGTAATTTCCTGCCTCTCAAACCCAGTGGGCCTGGGCCATTCAGGCAAGCCCCAGGTGGCCCCGGCATAGAAGGACAGATGCCGACCTTCTTGGACTCATGTCCTTCCAAGCAGGAATTGTGAAAGTGCAGGCGCCAAGAATTAAGGAAAAGGAGGAAAAAGCCTTTCTTCCGAGCTTAGTGTGTTTCCCATAATGCATGGGTCATTCAGTCCATGGGAATGTGCTGCCAAATGACCGCTGTGCACTGAACCTCATCGGAGAGTGGAACTGGGCTTGGTGGAGGGTGGTAACAGAAAAGGTTTGAAAAAATGAGATCAGCCCCTGGCTTAGTTTCAGGAGGGGTGGGGTACTTTATGGAAAGCATATTGGTCCTGAAGACAGAAAGACACAGAGTTGTGTGTGTCTGCCTTTGCTGTGACAATTTTCTCTGAGTTTCAAATTCCAGATGAAAATCATATGAAGACACAGCATCATGTCAGGCAATAGAGACAAAAGCATCAACCTTTCGGGATCATTTGATGGATTAAACAGGAAAACCAAGTAGGTGATCCTTGTTTCCTCGACCAGTGAATAGAAAAGTGTGGGCACATGGGGAAGGCAAGATCAACCACCCTGAAATCAGAGAGAATAACTTAAGATGAGTTTAACTTGAATTCAGCTATGTGGCATAAACTCCTGATCCTACAGGAAGATAGGGGAGAGGGGTGGGGTTCAACAGAGCTAAAGAAACCAAGAAAGGCTTCTAGGCAATGGAAGAACTTAAGGAAGAAGAAAAGGAATCCAATGATTATATTTTTAGCAATTCGTGTAAAGTAAATTTCTACAGTGTGTACACCTAAGTGAAATAATCCTCATAATACCTGTGCAGTGAGTTTCCTTGTAGTTGAAATTGTTGCCACATGTTCCAAGATATTTTAGGTTTCTTAAAGTGTGAGTCACTGATAGTTCATCAAAATCACCTGGATGCTGGTTAACGGAAGCTCTTGAATCCCCCTTCCTCCCGTCCTACTGAATCAGAATCTCTTAAGATAAAACCAGGAACTACATCTTCATAAGCTCCCTGGGTAATTCCTATAAACAACATAGTTACAGAACCATTGTGTGAGTTATTACCTGCACATTGGGAATTACCTGAGAAACTTGAAACGTTCTCATTCTTCTGTCCTACCCTCAGAGATAATGATTTACTTAATTAAATCACCAGCTAGGAATTGGGATTTATAAGAGCTCTACAGGACATTCCAATATCCAGCCCAGTCTGGGACTCACCGGCCTAAGGGTCCATTTATATTTATGACACACATGATTTTCATCCAGGTAGCACTGGCAGGTGAAATACAAGACATTCGGTTAAATTTGAATTTCAGATAAATAATGCATGCTCTTTCTGTTGTTGTTTAACTATATGTATGTTGCAGTTATTGCATGGAATATATTCATACTTTTAAAATATTATTCAGTTAATCTGGGAACTCTAAGCCCACGTATCTTTAACTCTAAATCACATCGCCTTTTCACTATTTCCTGGTGTATCAATTTCTTAGTTTTGAAGGATAGGTGAAATTTGAACAGGGCAAACTCATTACCAAAACATTGCTCACAGACACCTCCCAATAAAAGCAAATTAATATAGATATACAAATGCAAGTGAAAACATTATTTAAAGTGAAGTACTTTCATGAGCCAATTTTTATCTCGTGTATTAGTTTTCTCTTTGCTGCTATCATAAATTACCACAAACTTAGTGGCTTAAGGCAACATGCATTTATGATCTTACAGGTATGGGTCAGTTATGGATCAAGATCAGGTTTCATTGACCTAAACTTAAGCTATCTGGAGGGCCCAGGGAAGAATTTGTTGACTTGACTTTTTCGGCTTCTAGACTCCACCAGCATTCATTGGCTCATGGCCCCTTTCTGTGTCCTCAAAGCTGGCGATGTTGCATCTCTCCCACTGTTGTTCTACAGTCAGCCTCCCTCTGGCCATAGCTGGGAAAGGTTGTTCTCTTTTAAGGGTTAGATTTGGCCTACCTGGATAATCCAGGATCATCTTCTCATCTGGAGATCCTAACATTCACATCTTCAAAGCCCCTGTGTATCAGTCTGTTATCACGCTGCTATAAGGACATACCCAAGACTGGGTAATTTATAAAGGAAAGAGGTTTAATGGACTCACAGTTCCACGTGGCTGGGGAGGCCTCACAATCATGGCAGAAGGCAAAGGAGGAGCAAAGGCATGTCTTACATGATGGCAGGCAAGAAAGCGTGTGCAGGGGAACTGCCCTTTATAAAACCATCATATCTCGTGAGACTTATTGACTATCATGATAACAGTATGGGAAAGACCTGCCTCAGTGGTTCAATTACATCCCACCGGGTCTCTCCCATCACACGTGGGAATTATGGAAGCTAAAATTCAAGATGGGATTTTGGTGGGGACAGAGCCAAACCATATCACCCTGTTTCTGTATGAACAAACAACAAACATATACACAGGTCCCAAGCATTAGGGAATGAACATCTTTTGTGGATTGTGGGAAAGCATTATTCTGCCTACTATTTCTCCTAATTTATTTATTTTACCAGTTAGATTTAAAAATCAATTTTGTGAAAGCAATGCAACCTTATATATCACATAAATATCCTTGTATAACAGACTATACTTTTCTCAAAAGCTACTAGTAACCTCTTAATTTTTTTATAGCAGGATCAGTGAGAAAATGTTGTAAAGTGAAAGTTGAAAATATAGTAATTTATTTTAGTCAACACTTATAGGGTGCTTACTCTGTGCCAGCCACTATTCTAAGCATTTCAAATGTTCACTCATTTAATCCTCATGTAACAGCACAGTATAGTAAGTGCTAGTGTTACTATTCCCATTCTGCAGATGAGAGATCAAGCCCAGAAAAGCTTATAATTTGGCCAGATTCACCAGTTGGAAAGTGGTGGGGCTGAGTCTCAAAACATTTCAAACATTCTCCTCTCCTGGAGCCCTTTTCACTTTTGATCTAGTGACTAATGCAATAGGACTTGCTGCTTACTTAACTATAGAATGATGTTTAGATATTTCTACAACCTTTAGCTTGAAATCTATAAACTTGAGTAAATGATTATTAGATTGTTTAGTAAGGGAAATGTGACACTGCAGGAATGTTGAGTCTTAGTTTAATCTACACATTTAATTTAGGTTTAGGACTTGGTTTATGTTTGATATCAAACTATCATCAAATGGAACACAGCATATCTGAGCTGAAAGTAAGACAGGGTCATGAGAGGCTCAGCTATGACCCAAAGCCACAGACAGCCTCAGGCAGTTGCAGACCAGGGCCCCAGGGCTTTTATGTCCCAGGCAATTGTGAGCACAATAAAAATGCTCAGGAGTTGTGAAATTCTTGTTCAGGGGGCTGATGTTTGGAAAGAGGGTAAAGCCAAAATCCAAGATTAACACAATCTTTGCTCATTAGAATAGTCCAGCAAAACATTAGCAAAGAATTTTGCCCTTCCCAGCATTTCTGTATTCAAGTACAATGTGCTTCTTCAATGCAATTTATGTTTCTACTTATTGCATTGTGTGCATTTAAGCAAGCCATCCAAAATCCCTTTTGGGACAGATATTCTAAGTCAAATGCATACTCTCCAATGTCATTCTTGTTAGAGAAAGTAACTTACGGTAGGTAAATAAAAGCAGAACAAAACATACTTCTGGTTCAATGTCTCCTCCCCAAGTTCCCTTCATTCATCACAGAGGTACCGCAAATTCATTCAGTTGAAGAAAATCCAGTGAGTTCTATAATTAAAATGAAGGCATTGTATCTCTTTCTAATTGGCTGCTTATTTTCTGACTTTTCAAGGTACATTCTGTCTGCCTCTCCAGGTTCACTCTCTACCTTTGTTCACTCTGAAAGGTATCCTGAGAGACTGCCTCAAATGGGCTCTTACGCTCTGGCTTCCTATTGGAATTGGTCAATGGGATATAGCAGCAAGAAATGGGAGATCAAAGGAAGAAGAGCTGGGAGCTACTGGTTCTTAGGGTTCCCTGTCTGCCTCATGGGAGTTTGGCCACAGCCAAGGTGCTCCTCTTGGATTGCAGCAGCTCCTGTGGGCAGCACTTTCCTACAGTTTCAACTCTCGCTGGGTTCCCATAACTGCTTTCTCCTCTTGCCTCGGTGTGGCTTGAGACAACAATTCAATTCACGGCTTATTCTAGGTGCTAAAGATGGAGTAGAGAACAAAAGAAGAAGAAAACATTCCTTCTTTATAGGGTTGAGTAGCCAGGAGGAAAGAGACAGAAAATAAACAAAAATAAAATGTGCTTAATGATGACCAAGTCTATGAATAAAAACAAAGCAGGGAAGGATGCTAGTAAGTGCTGGGACAGGGAAAGGTGTGCCTCTGAAAAAGGTGCTCAGGGAAGGCATGGGTGATATTTGAGTAAAGACTTGAAGGAGGTGAAGGAGCAGCCATGGAGATATGAGACAGAACAACAGTTCTAGAGAAAGGAAGAGCATGTGTAAAACCAAAAGGCAACCGCATGCTTAATGAGTGCATAAAACAGCAAGGGGCCAGTGTGGCTGGAGAAGAGTGAGGGAGAACACAGAGAAGGGCGGAGAGGTCATAGGGACAGTTCATGTAGGGACTTGCAGATCATTTTAAAGAATTTGGTTTTTATTCTGAATGAGCTGGGACACCCTTGGACTGAGGAATGGTGTGATCTGATTTATCTTTTATTTATTTATTTTTACGTTTATTTGTTTTTTTGTTTTTGTTTTAGACTGAATCTCTCTCTCTTTTGCCCAGGCTGGAGTGTAGTGGCATGATCTCGGCTCACTGCAACGTATGCCTCCTAGTTTCAAGCGATTCTCCTGCCTCAGCCTCCTGAGTAGCTGGGATTACAGGCACAAGCCACCATGCCTGGCTAATTTTTTTTGTATTTTTAGTTGAGACGAGGTTTTGCCACGTCGGTCAGGCTGGTCTCAAACTCCTGACCTCAGGTGATCCACCTGCCTCGGCCTCCCAAAGTGTTGGGCTTACAGGTATGAGCCACCGTGCCTGGCCCAATTTGTCGTTTTAAAGAATTACTCTTGCTTCTGACTACAAAGCATTCTTGGCTCATGTGTAAAATGAAGGAGGATCACTTAGAAGTTATTGCAATACTCTGGAGAGATATTATGATGGCTTGAGTCAAGGAATAGATGTGCTAAAAATGGTCAGGTCTGGATATATGAAGAAGGGAGAACCAATAGGATTTCCTGATGAATTGCATCTGAAGGGTAAGGGAAAAGAGTTAAAAAATGCATTGAAGTTTTTTACCTGGCTAACTAAGAAAATAAAGTTGTCATTAGTTGAGATGCAGAGGTGGGGCAGGGCATGGGAAATAACAGGAAGTGAATTTTAGATATGCCTGGCTAGAAATGTCTCTTCCCCCTCCAAGGGAGATGTCAAGTAGACAGCTGAACCTACAAGTCAGGGTTCAAGAGAGACATCCTTGCTAGAAATGCACATCTGAGAGTTTCCAGAACAGGAATAGCATGTAAAGCTGGGCATCTAAATGTTCCCTAGAAAGCAGGTCAAAGTAAGGAAATCCAAGAACTGAGGCTCATTTAAAGGTCTTAAGGGTAAAAAGGAACAACATAGTCACTAAAAAAAAGCCCACCCTGAAGGAAACTTGGAGAATGGGTTGACCGAAAGTCAAGTAAAGAAAGTGTGGCCAGAAAGAGGGACAGATCTAGCATATAAAGTGCTAATAGATCAAGCCAGATGGACTGAGAATTAGGCCTTAAATAAGCAATATGGAAGGCCTTGGTGAATAAAACAGAAGTAACATTTGTGGATTAGTAGGCAAATATATGTATATGATTGTATATAAATACATTTGTATACATATATATGTATATGAGATACATAGAGAGAGCTCAAGAGAGAACAGGAGGAAAGGATTTGGAGAGAGTAAATGTAGACCATTATTTGAATACTTTAACTGTAAATAGGGGCAAAAACTGGGGTAATAACTGGAGGTTACGATATAAAATCAAGTCAGGGTTTTCTTTAATGGAAAAAGTAATATATAATTTTAATCAGACTTATCCCAAAGAAAGGGGAAATTGATGATGTAGAAAAAGAAAAAGGGACAACTGTTGGTTTCCTTCTTGAGTAGACAAAATAAGACATTAATATTGGATGGTAGAGCACCTGGCTGATTGAACCTGGTCCCAGGAAAATCAAAGTTGAATTATTTAGAGCGCTCACAGGAGATTAATGTAGGTCAATGATAAAAGATGATTCATATATACTTTTGATGTATGCACAGCTATTCATGAATATTTTTTGCTGAGTAAAACTATATATATGCCTTCATTTGCCTAAGAGGATACAAGTAAAATATGCAGATGTATGACTCAATAGCATAAGAGAAACTCTTGGGCTAGGAGGATTTGTTTACGGTTGAAGGAGGTCATCAAATTAGGAAACTTCTTTTATATTTTGAGCTGGAATCTCTTCTTCTTTATCTGTTATCTACTAAGCCCAGTTCTTCTCTATCTGTTACCTACTAAGCCTGGCACATCATAGTGGCACCCTCTGTGTCCTATGACAACTTTCCTGTGCTCTCAACTTTTGCCTACTTCAGGTAAACCATCTCAGTTTTTTCTAACATTATTTATTTTTATTTCTATCCTCTCCTCAATGTCAACCATTGTCCTCTGACTGTGTGTCTGCTTGCCAAAATCACTTTTGATGTGTAATTCTTGGAAGAGACCCCAGGATTCAGGTTTGATCTTACCAGCTTACTTTAACTGTTAACTCTCGTTGTCTTTTTCCTGGTCACCACATTTCTGTTAATGTTGCCTGGCATTTCATTAGTTCTCTTGGTAACGTTTTAGGCTGAAAGCTCATATTACTCATCTTGGAGTAACCGTAATATGTTGGGCCAACATTACCCTAAGGTAACTACATGCATGAGATCACCTAAGACTCTTGAACATCCTGTGGAGTATGTGTAGTTAGTATTACGTTACAAAGTAAAAAACAGACTCAGCAAGCTTATGGATGTGCCCAAACCCTACAGCTCACAGTCAACTGCAACCTGTTAACACAGCATGTCTGTCCTGAAACCTAGCTTTTGCATTGCCCCAGGATGCTTTGAAATCAAATGATTGCAATACAGATATGGATGAGGCAAGAAGAGATACAAAATGTTATGAAACATATGGGGACAAAGCTAATTCCACTTTCCACGATTGCAGTTATTTCAGTAACCCTCAAGGCCAGGAGCCCATCACCTCCCATTGGTGGATGGATGCACCATTTTCTGCAGGATAGTAAGAGCTGGGCTGAACCAGGAAGTAGCCTCCTTGGAGGGCAGTGCTGGATAGTTAGTCACTGCTCTCCCCGAAAGCCGAAAGACAACGCCCTGGTGCCAATGAGGCACCTTCCTGTCCAAGGGTGTGTGTGAGAACCGGAAATCAAGAGCTGCAAGTCACTGCTCATGGGACTAGTTTCGGCCTAAGAGACCTGGTGAAAGCCAGACTTTAAAATGTCACTTTCAGGATGCAGGTTTTTAAATTGGTAGGTGTACTTGATAATATTGTAAGCTGAGTATGTGGGAAAAAATACAGTGTGGTCCACAGAAATGATCACAAGATACCTAAATAGAAGCAATAGGGTCTGCATAGGATTTTAATAGAGCTATCATAATGGAGAAACCTTGTGATTTTGCCTAAAAACAAGCATGAAGCATTTAAAATTTTAAAGTAATAATTACTGTGCCCAACAGACACATGGTAACCATTGCATCCCCAGCCCATCTTCGATCCCCAACCCTTCACTAGCAGCTCTCCTCACTTCCCTCATCTTTTATTCCCCATGTACGTGTAGCTAGGAGTGGAGTGAGGTTTAGGGCAACATTATAAATATCATACCAGGCCAGGCATGGTGGCTCACGCCTGTTTTCCCAGCACTTTGGACTTTGGGAGGCCAAGGCGGGCAGATCATGAGATCAGGAGTTCGAAACCAGCCTGGCCAGCATGGTGAAACCCCATCTCCACTAAAAATACAAAAAAAAAAAAAAAAAAATTAGCCAGGCATCTTGGTATAGTCCCAGCTACTTGGGAGGCTGAGGCAGGAGAATCGCTTGAACCACGGAGGCAGAGGTTGCAGTGAGCCGAGATCCTGCCATTGCCCTCCAGCCCGGGTAACAGAGCAAGATTCTGTCTCAGAAAAATAAATAAATAAATATAAATAAATAAATAAATAAATATCATACTAAATCATTCCTTTTATCAAAATGGCCTAATCAAAATGACGGTAGGACAGTGTTCAGCTCTGAGGTGGACACATGTCAATATAGACCTGTGAGTCAGAGCATTTGGGCGTGGATGGATACCTCAAAAGAATTTCAGGTGCTCAGAGGACAAGCCCAAGAACAAGTCACAGGGCACAGGTCCCCAGAAAAAAAAATTGGGGTGCAAAAGCTACAAGCAAAGTTGCTTAGCAGGGACAGGGTTACCTAGGTCTAAATCCTGTCTGGCTTGATCATAGGACAAGTGATAAAGATAAGTGCTCAGGCAGAGGAGGTGGTGAGGACAGATTAATATTTACTGAGTCCCAACATTTTGCTGGGTAATGCCCTAGGCACTTCAAAGCTTCTGTTCTATTTGATCTTCACACTAAACAGACCTGAAATGAATTTGTCCCATTAATATATGGGTAAACTCAGGCTTGGAAAGTCAAGTAACTTACTCAAAGTCACTGATGTTATAAATGATGTTTCCTACTTGGGCTGCTCGATTCCAAAGCCTGAACTTTTTGCAGTGTATCACTGGCTAGAGAAAGACTCACAGCCTCAGGATGTAAGTCCACTTCTTGAAATTTGAAGCTTATCAACAGCTAGATGGGTCACAGGTTTTATGAATCCAGAATCTACCAATTTTTAGCCAGATCACCCCTACCCCACTGTCTAAGCCATCCCCACCGGATCCTGAACATTCCCTGGAAAATTATTGCATCTGCCATGTTTTGGCTTACAGAAATGCCCTACTCCTTTCTATATCAATCAAAGTGAACTTTCACTTTAAGGACCAGCACCCAAGCCATATTTATCTCAAGTCCTTCCAAGGTCCTACAAAGCTGAACCAAGCCTGGCCCCACCTGTCCCACAAACACACTCTGTATCCTCCTGCCTCACCCTCAACTGCACTGCAATCACTGGTACACAGCTCCACCCCTTAGTTTCAGGGAAGCCTGGACTAATGACAACAACCAGGTTTCTGAATGGATCAAAGGTATTATCAGACATACGTCACTTCCTACACTAACTACGTAAGTCATTTTCTCTTGCTCTGCCTCAGTTTCTGTGTCTTTAAAATCAAGGATTGATAAAAACATGTGCCTAGTGCTTAGGATTGCAACTGGCACAAAGAAAGGAGATGAGACTTGCACAAAATGTGATCCTTTGTGTCTCATCTTGACCCTGTGTCCTTCAGACACTTTTGTTCAGCCCCAGGCCAGGAGGCTTTACTGAAATTTTATGTATTCCTTTGAAGCTGCCCCAGCACTTGCCAGAGAGGGTTTCATGTGTTTTAGTTGAGCTAACTGTAACATGTTCCTAACATTTTATACCTGAAACACATGACTCTTTCATTGGTGCAATTTTATATGAATATGGGTAACACATATGCTAGGGCTGTCATAACACAGTGCCACAGGTGGGGTGGCTTCAATAGCAGGAATTTATTGTCTCACAATTCTACAGGCTAGATGTCCAAGATTAAGGTGTCAGCAGGGTTGGCTTCTCCCTGTGACTTCACATGGTCACCCCTCTTTGTTCCAATCTCCTCTTCTTTAAGGGACATCAGCCATTATCAGTGCCCATCCTAATAGTTTTTTAACCTCAATTTCCTCTAAAAATCTTAACTGAAGTTAAGGCTTTAAAATATGAATTTGGGGGAGGAACAGGATTCACTGGTTGTTGTGCAAACACTCCAAGCTGAAGCCTTTTACTGGAGCAGAGAGGACAAGACAGCATCGGCCTAGGCTTAAAGTTATTCCAGCTTTGCCTGCCTTGCATGGGGGGGCTATGCATGAGACAT
This sequence comes from Homo sapiens, assembly GCF_000001405.40. Classification (NCBI taxonomy): domain Eukaryota; kingdom Metazoa; phylum Chordata; class Mammalia; order Primates; family Hominidae; genus Homo; species Homo sapiens. The sequence goes on from NC_000004.12 coordinate 11,635,356, forward strand.
GGCTGGGAAACTTGCTAGCTGAAGAAACCATAGGAAGAATGAAATTCAGGAAACAGGGACACATGAACCCTGCACACACAGTGAGCTCACAGGTGGCCGCTTTGTCATGAGAAGTATTTCACCCTGGCCTCCTGGGAGCACTGAGTGTGGTAGGGACAGCAAGCTCTGAACTTAGAGAAAAATGAGTTTCTACCCTAGCTTTGCAACCAACAAGAAACAGAACCAGTTACCTAAGCTTTGTGAGTCATTGCTTTGCCATCTGTAAAATGAGCTAATGCTAATACTTGCTTAACCAACCTGTTGTGAAGATTGAATTACATAATGCCTAGGGAAACATTTTCCGTAATGCTGGATACATTCTAAATGCTCAGCAAGTGAGAGTTATGGTTGGGATTGTTAATAATAACAGCATTGTCCTTGTTACTGTAATACATAAAGTTATTATTATTTTACAGAGTTGGAATAGGGCGCTTTCTTTTCATCCCATCATACTGACCCTCCACTAGGGTTTATGCTCTTCATGAAGGGTTTGTAAGGGAGCAGATGCCTTCTGCGGTGCAGGCACAAACCATCTCATAGGATTCTGGATGGTAAACTTAGATATCACAGTTACAACCCAATTATTTTTCAGATGAAGGACCGAGGTCCCAGGAAGGGAAGTGACATTGTAAGGTCCCTTGATGGCTCATTAGCAGAACTGGGATTAAAATCCTGATATCTTAATGCCTAGTTTCAAGCACTCTCTTTTGTATTCCCACTTTCTCCAATACTGTAATCCCTCCACCAGATCACTGCCCTTTCAGACACTGTGTGAGGTTAAAAGTAGTTCAGTATACTAATTTGGAATTCTGGGCCTGTCATGTATTAACTGTGCGACCTTGGATGAGTAATTTAACCTCTTCCTACCTTAGTTTCTCCTCTGTAAAATGAAAGTTATAATAGGGCTCATTTTGTAAGATTGTTGGTGAGGGTTAAATGAGGCCATACATACAGCTTGCTTGCTTAGCATGATATCTGCTGCTTGTCACGTGTTCTTTGGCAATTCCCTGGAAATAGTTAAACGTGTCAGCTGCATTTTGCAGCTACGAAGCGAGAAAAGGAAGAGAAGGCAGAGGAGTAGAGTGTATTCATGGAATCTAAGCTGGGGAAGATGGGTGTGAGGGTATGCAGGGCAGTGGAAAGTGAGGAAACAGTGAACTGTAAATAACGAAGAAATAGTCAAGAACTCAGTATTATAACTGTCTGCTTCTGTGCCGGTCTTCCACCACTAACTGGTGGAACTGGCTCCTGGTCACCTTTCTGAACCTTTCTACCTCCTGCTCTTGACATTGTACCTGGTATAGAGTTTGGCACCATAATTTCAGTGGAATGAGTGAGTCCATGAATATGCAAATGCAGGAATGTAGCCAGGCTCATCCCATGGTGTCAAAGTTGATCACATTCTTTTCTGAGTAACGGAGGAGAGTTGTGAGCCCGCTGCCACTTTAAGTACAGGGGATGCAGGGAGTGATGTGCTGGAGTCAGCATCAAGGACATCTCTGCCCAACTATGTGACTAGGTGGGCCAGGGGCTTATAGGTAGACATGGAGGAAATCTTCACACCAGAGGAATTAGCAGGTGCTACTGTTCAGGGCTTCCCTCCCACCCCTTCTTAAACATTTATCAGTGTAATGGCTCTTTCTTGCACTGCTATAAAGAACTACCTGAAGACTGGGTAATTTATAAAGAAAAGATATTTAATTGGCTCACTGTTCTGAGGTCTATGCAGGGCTTCTTCTTCTGGGGAGGCCTCAGGAAACTTACAATCATGGTGAAAAATGAAGAGGAAGGAGGCACATCTTACATGGCTAGAACAGGAGGAAGTGAGTGAAGGGCAACGTGCTACCCACTTTCAAACAACCAGGTCTCACAAGAACTCACTCACAAGACAGCACTAGGGGGATGGCGCTAAACCATTAAAAACCACCCCCATGATCCAAGCACCTTCCACCAGCACCTTCCCCACCTTCAACACTGAGATTACAATTTGACATGAGATTTGGGTGGGGACACAGAACCAAACCAAATCAATCAGCACTTCAGTGAGGCAGAAAATGCACCCAAGAAATCTCAACTCATTCATTCTGGATGCTGTGGGGGCTCTTCTGAGCTCCCCAGCAAGCATGATCTTCTCTTCTGAAAATTCCTCCAGGCTTCACCATTTTCTCTGACCCTCTTTCAGTTCTCAGTTCTATGAACTGGGGCTTGGGAATTGTGAGTCATACACACAGACCCCTTGGAACTTAGTGAGAATTTTGTGGGGAAATACATTTTAAAATATTTTAGTTTAAAATTGTCTTGGAAAAGTATGTAGCAGTATCAAATAGACATCATCATTTTAAAAAACTACGTACTTTTAATATCCCTATAGAATAAATACGAAAAAATGTCACAGCTTTCTCTTGATTGAGATAATAAATTGCTCACCAAACTTATTGTAAATATAACTGGATACAGAATGTAATAATATAATTTTCTCTGAAACAGATTTGAACAGATGTATGTTTAAACTTACATCCATCACTAGTATCTGTGTATCTTAGGCAAATGTACAAATCTCACTAGAACATACTTTCCTCATTTTGAAAATGGGGAAATAATCTGCAAGTGAAGTGTTGTCTTAATAATAATGTTTGCAAGGCTTCTACATCAGTGTTTGACACAAAGAAGGAACTTGGAAAATATATATGTTTTTAAAAGATAATTTTATAAATAGGAGAATTAGCAATGCCAGAGCCCGAGGTGGTCCATCTTCAGTTTTTCTTCCTAGAATTGAAGATGTAAACAGCTTAATGATGGACTAAAATTCACAAATGGGTCCCTAGCTGCTGCATTTCCCCCAATTCTGATAGCTGGAACTTTGAGAAGTGCTGAGGCTATAATGTAGGTTCATGAAGGAAAGGTTATAGGAAATGAGTGTGCATAGCATTTTCTGGAAACCAAGTGCTTAAAAGAAGAAAAATGTTGGTCTTTTTAATATAGGTCAAGAACAGAATTTCAAGGATAATTAGAGTTATGCAATATTATAAAAGTCACAGCATTGCAAAACTGAAAACTCTTCTAAACACAAATGTATTGAGCACCTATTATTTCAATTAGCCTTTTACAAAATGCTAAAGTTGGAATATCCTATAGGCATCCTTGAAACAATGCAAAGGTGACCTCAATGGTGACAATTCCGACTATTTCAATAGGACAGTTCTTCAGTATGCAGGAATGTTTTCCTCATTGTGAGTATCTTAGCATCCCAGCCTCACTTACTGTGTGAGTATGACAATAAACATGCTTCCCCACACTTCTTCTATGTGCCCTCAGAGAACAGTTGTAGACCCACATTAGGGCCATGCGGCTACCTGCCACTTATTTCTCAGATGAGGATAGAAGATTCAGAAAAGAATAGTGTCACATTCAATTTCAAACAGGTGCTCCCTCTCAGTCCTGATTCTTGCACCAGGAGGCTTTTCGGATTCCACTGCTACATGAAGTATTTTTTAAATTAAGTCCCTGATGAAACCCTTTTTTTTTTCTTGAGAATCAGAAGTTAGAATTGAAAGGAAAATTGGAATCTGTTTTGTCCAACCTCCTCATATGGCCAAAAAGAAAATGAGGAACAGAGAAAAGGATAACTTAGCAGATTTAATTCAGTCTCTGGGGGAATAGTGATAATTCAAGCCATTGCTGACAAACAGATGTAACCACTTAATGGATTTACTTTGCCCAATGCCCAGATAGAGCCAATTTATCAAGACAGGGAATTGCAATAGAGAAAGAGTTTAATATGTATAGAGCCAGCTACACAGGAGACTGGAGTTTTATTATTACTCAAATCAGCCTTCCCCAAAATTCAGAGGCTAGAGTTTTTCAAGGATAGTTTGGTGGGTAGGTGGGTAGGGAATGGGTGCTGCTGACTGGTTGGAGTGCAATCATAGAGGTGTAGAAAATGGTCCTCCTGCCCTGAATCAGCTTCTGGGTGGGGGCCATAGAGGAGTTGCTGCCTTGGGTGGGGCTATCTGGTCATCAGAAATGCAAATGCTTGAAAAGACATTTCAAAAGGCCAATCTTAGGTTCTACAATAGTGATGCTATTTACAGGAGTATGTGGGGAATTTGTAAGTTTTGTGATCTCTGGAACAATGGTTGATTATTGTTTAACTAAGCCTAGATTGTAGCAGAATTCAGGCCCCTCTCATCCTACTAATCTGGTGGCTTTTCTTCAGTTTTACAAAGGCAATTTAGTTTTAGGAAGGGCTATTATCATTTAACCTATAAACTAAATTTCTCTGAAAGTTAGCTTGACCCATGCCCAGGAATAACCAAGGGCAGTTTGGGGGTTAAAGACAAGATGAAGTTGGTTAAGTAAGGTCCCTTTCACTGTCATAGTTTTCTCACTGTTATAATTTTTGCAAAGGTGGTTTCACAGATACCCCAGTGAAGCTGGTTTATCGTAGAATAAACGTTAACATTTGAATAGACTTCTTGAGGCTGGGGAAATAAAAGGCCCTGGGTGACCAGATGATTCTGTTCTGTAAAACAGGCTTGACAATAGTAGCATGGTTGGGCCTGGAGTTAGGGGATATTTTGTATGGAAAGGAATTTAGTTGATGTCTGGACTGATATCTAAAGGCCTGAATGACAAAGTCTGAGGGAGGGTCTCTAGTATTAAAACATCTATTTATCAACTTCAAGTTAGCAATAGTAATCATAATAGCTGTCATTTCTTGATACCTGCTCACGTCCCATGCAGGTTACCTTTACAAGTGGAGGTAGGACTCGCTGTATCCCTACTGTAGGTCCATTTTTCAGATGAGTATATTGAGGTTCAGAGAAGTTAAGTAATTGTCCAAAGTCACACAGATAGTATCAGCAGAATTAGGATTCCATAAATATGTATGGAATTCTTTCTCTATCTCACTTTCTGTAGCAGTGGTTGGGGATATGCAGATACACAAGAATGGACCCTTGCTTTTGAGGTCTCCAGCCCAGTGGGGAAGGCTGCTGAAATGGGGACATTTCAACTGTAGAGTCTTTGGGCTCCTACTGACCTATAAGGGCTGAGAAAGCAGAGGTGGTCTAGGCTGGTTGATGATGGAAGTAAATTTCAGGAGTTTTCTTAGAGGACTCCAGCATTAGTGTAGTCTTGGAAAATGAGTAGGACTTGGCCAGATGAAGGAATAATGAGACTATTGAGGAGTAGGGACAAGGATGGAGTGAGAACTTCTTAGGATATGCAAAAATCCAGAAATCAGAAACAAGGCTTTTTTGTGGAGCTACAGTATTAATGACTAAAACATGAGCCACATGTTTCAGAAGAGGGCATAAAGATATTTCCCCCTGCCTAGGTGACCACAGGATAAACAGCCTGCTCAAATAAAGGACATATAAGCAGCACAGTCGAATAGGAGGTACCAGGTTTTAGGGTCAGTGAATCATCATAAAGGTTCTCCTGTCTTTTCGTCTCTAAATACCAGGGAGCTGGAGCACAGCTCAGAGGGTCAGAGGTGGGAGGCAAAGTGCTGCACTCTTGTTCAATAGTTTTCTTGGCCCTCCTTGTCTAGATATTTTCTGCCTTCTAAAATTTTTCTTGCTTCTCTGTTCTCTCCCCTTTTCATCCATTTTCTGGCTACCTTGTTCCCATTCTTGACCCTCTCTAGCTGTTTATGTTTGTCCATTTGCTCTCTCATCAGAATAGAAGTTACAGCTCTGCCACATCCTCAGTGTGCAATTCGGAGACATCACCTAACTTATCTGGGCCTCATTTTCCTCATGTGCACAATGGGTATTCTCTCTTATGGAAGTGAGGAAGACCAAATTTAAGACAGCTGCAAACTTTAATGGACCAAGCAAATCTCTTTTGTTATTGATATTGTAATCCAGAAGTCATAGTTAAGAATAAGGTTGCATCATAGAGTTCCTAAATTTTGTGGCTTCCTATGTGTAAATGGAAGAACAAAAAATACACCTATTTGCATTTAAATACAAGTCTAAATCCCTCCCAAAAGTGGTAATAACCACCCCAAATGAATTATACATTTTCTAATTTTAAAAGGCCGTTTTATGGAAATGAGGCTATTTGTGCTGCATAGTATGCTCTTGTTGTATCAATGCAAATGCCAAAGGGTGTGATTTATCCAGACTAAAACACCAATGGGAAAAAGAAAAAAAATAGGATCTCCTTTGCATTACATTTTAAACACTCGGTAAGTACTTCACCTGTAAACCCCTCCCCTCCAGGGAAAATAAGTAGCCATGTGGGCATTTCATATTTTTCAGCTGTGCTGGGTGACAACGATTTGCTGAAGTTATCCAGCATGGAGTGTGTGGTAAATCCTGAAGAAATGCAATTTCATTTTCAAAGATTCAATGAGAGCTGATTTGTATGTATAATCCTCTATAATTTTGTGAATGCAAGTCTTACGTTGTGTTTCTAGTCACTGTTCCCAAAACCTGAGTGTGTAAATCCAATTTACATGTTCAATTACATCCATTTGAACAGTGGTCTTTAATATAAGTTCCCATGTTAATTTTTGGAATCTATGACAGCGACCATCTTTTGCAGCCACTCCCTGCAGGAAGGGCTATCATTACTAGAAAGCATGTGACTTTCAGACTAGAAATCAAATGCCCTCAATGTCTGTAGTTGTTCCTTGGCCTCTAATCACAGACTCTATGCATATGCGGGTTGGGAAAAGAAAATAGGGGTAAGGGGAGAGCTGCAGAGAAAAGGTTTTCTGAAATATTTCTCTTTATTCATTGAGGAATAATGCCCTTTCAGATGTAAAATAATTCCCAGGGAAGAAGAAAAGCCTACCAAAAAATACAAAATGCTAATGATGCTTTTCCCATGAAGTATAAATAAGCAAATACTTTTTTTTTTTTTTCCAAAACAAACTACAGAAAAACAAGAAGAAACAAAAACAACTTTCTCTGGGAACAAAATTAAAATATATTGTGTGTGACATCTTGGAAGTCCTTTCATCTCTTACAGTTTTACTTTTTAAGTACTAAAAGTAGGAGGTTGTGCTAGTGACATTTAAGCACAGTAGTAGAACTTCCTTCTTTTTAATGAGAAGCAAGTGGAAACCCAATAAATAAAACGAGAACTTGTATTTTACTAGTAATATCTATTTCACATAAATAATGTTTATTTATTTACCAATTATGTGTGTTTTTTAAATTATACTTTAAGTTTTGGGATCCATGTGCAGAACGTGCAGGTTTGTTACATAGGTATACATATGCCATGGTGGTTTACTGCACCCATCAACCTGTCATCTACATTAGGTATTGAAACTATTGCTATCCCTCCCTTGCCCCCCACCCTCTGACAGGCCCCAGTGTGTGATATTCCCCTCCATGTGCCCATATGTTCTAATTGCTCAAATCCTACTTATAAGTGAGAACATGTGGTGTTTGGTTTGCTATTCATGTGTTAGTTTGCTGAGAATGATGGTTTCCAGTTTCATCCATGTCCCTGCAAAGGACATGAACTCATTCTTTTTTATGGCTGCATAGTATTCTATAGTATATATGTGCCACATTTTCTTTATCCAGTCTATCATTGATGGGCATTTGAATTGGTTCTGTGTCTTTGCTATTGTGAATAGTGCTGCAATAAGCACACATGTGCATGTGTCTTTATAGTAGAATAATTTATAATCCTTTGGGTATATACCCAGTAATGGGATTGCTGGGTCAAATGGTATTCCTGGTTCTAGATCCCTGAGGAATCACCACACTGTCTTCCACAATGGTTGAACTAATTTATACTTCCACCAACAGTGTAAAAATGTTCCTATTTCTCCACATCCTCTCCAGCATCTGTCGTTCCTGACTTTTTAATGATTGCCATTCTAACTGGCGTGAGATGGTATTTCATTGTGGTTTTGATTTGCATTTCTCTAATGATGAGTCATGATGAGCTTTTTTTTTTTCATGTTTGTTGGCTGCATAAATGTTTTCTTTTGAAAAGTGTCTGTTTGTATCCTTTGCCTACTTTTTGATGGGGTTATTTGTTTTTTCTTGTAAATTTGTTTAAGTTCCTTGTAGATTCTGGATATTAGCCCCTTGTCAGATGGCTAGATGGCAGAAATTTTCTCCCATTCTGTAGGTTGCCTGTTCACTCTGATGGTAGTTTCTTTTGCTGTGCAGAAGCTCTTTAGTTTAATTAGATCCTATTTGTCCATTTTGGCTTTTGTTGCAATTGCTTTTGGTGTTTTAGTCATGAAGTCTTTGCCCATGCCTATGTCCTGAATGGTATTGCCTAGGTTTTCTTCTAGGATTTTTATGGTTTTAGGTCTTACGTTTAAATCTTTAATCTATCTTGAGTTAATTTTTGTATAAGGTGTAAGGAAGGTGTCCAGTTTCAGTTTTCTGCATATGGCTAGCCAGTTTTCCCAAGACCATGTATTAAATAGGGATTTCTTTCTCCATTGTTTGTTTTTGTCAGGTTTGTCAAAGATCAGATGGTTGTAGACGTGTAAGTTTTTTTCTGAGGCCTCTGTTCTGTTCCATTGGTCTATATATCTGTTTTGGTACCAGTACCATGCTGTACGGGTTACTGTAGCTTTGTAGTGTAGTTTGAAGTCAGGTAGCGTGATGCCTTCAGCTTTGTTCTTTTTGCTTAGGATTGTCTTGGCTATATGAGCTCTTTTTTGGTTCCATATGAACTTAAAGTAATTTTTTTTCTAATTCTGTGATGAAAGTCAATGATAGCTTGATGGGAATAGCACTGAATCTAAAAATTACTTTTGGCAGTATAGCCATTTTCATGATATTGATTCTCCCCATTCATGAGCATGGAATGTTTTTTCATTCGTTTGTGTCCTCTCTGATTTATTTCTGTAAGTTTCTATCTCTCAGCCATCCTTCAGCAAACTGCATACCTCAACTCTGTGTGTAATTCAACTCTTTGTGTGGTCCTCTTATTGAAGCTTCTCCTTCTCTGCTTTTTCTTCCTCCTTTCTTATCCCCTCTCCTTTTTCTCCTTCTTTCTTCTTCTTTTTCATCCTCCTCTTCCTCTTTCTTGTTTTCTTCTTTTCCACCTCCTTCTTTCTCTCTTTCTTTATCTTCCCCTTTCCCTCTTTTTTGTTCTTTCTTTGGAATCCACCTCCATTTCAGAGCACCAAATGCCTTTAAAAAAGAAAAATGGGTAATAAAAAATGCCTCCTGGGAGAACCTAGTCATACTTTTAGCCTCATACCTAACTTTGTCATTTGCTCAGCATATTGCTTTATTGGATATATTCATTCATTGCCTTGGTTCCCCTTGGAGATGTCACCATTCATCCATCAACTTGTAGTTCTTTCCACATTGTTACAGTAGACAAATAAAAAGCAGCTCTCTAGGGCATTGTGGGTTAATTTGCCACCAACTATCCTCATCAATTCACTTTTTTTCCGCCTAGAAATTTTAGGCTTACAACTGCCTCCTTGAACTCTCATTAGGAATTCTGATTCATGACCTCCTTCTAATAATTTTGGCTTCTGATCTCAGCTCGCTTGTTTGCATTGAAACCAGTGGTATAGATTGAATTGTATTTCCTCAAAATTCATATGCTGAATCCCTAATACCCAGTAACTCAGAATGTGGCTACATTTGGAAATAGAGCCTTTACAGAGGTTATTAAGTTAAAATAGGACCATTGGAGACACTAGGAAACCCTAATTCAACAGGACTAATGTTCTTAATGGAAGAAGAAATTTAGATACACAGAGAGATACTAGAGGTGTATGCATACAGAGGAAAGACTAAGTGATCACACAGTGAGAAGTAGCCATCAGCAAGCAGGAGAGAGAGGCCTCAGAAGAAACTCAACTTCCCAACACTTTGATCTTAGACTTCTAGCCTCCATAACTGCGATAAAATGAATTCTATTTTTTAAGCCACATAGTCTGTGGTACTTTGCTAGGGTAATCCTAACAGCCTAAAAATTAGATTGCCCTTTACGTCTGATACTTGGTACTGCTTTTCAAGAAGCACCAAGTATCTCTGACTTTCTTCTTGACTGCAATTCATTGTTCACCACTTATTTGTGCTTATTTATACTTCTATATAATACTAACTCTCTCTGCCCAGCCAGCCCAGTCTGTTTACTACACATTAACTGCGTTCTCCTTGTAAACCAACCCTAAACCCAGATGTATTCCTCTTTGATTCAACCCCATCCAACCTGGCCTTTAAGAGGAACTTTGATAATGCTTTCTCCAAACATAGTTAAGTCAAATGAGCTTCAAGACATTGCTTAAATAACATCTTCTCAATGAGGCCTACCCAGAATTCCCTATTTAAAATTGCAAAGATCTCTTCACCCCAGCATTCCTTATCCCCTTTTTCTTCATCTATTTTTTCTTCCAAATATTTTATTGTGTACTTTTATGTATTTATAATATTAATGTCTTATTATGTCTTACCTTCCTGGAATATAATGCTATAAGACCAAGGTTCACTCTTGTATTCCAGGATTATAGAATAATGCCTGACACACACAGGCAAACAATAAATATGTGTTTAGTGAATGAATGACATATGTAGAGTTCTGGGGCCATGTCTTTCTCACTGAGCTCGATGGTGGCTTCTGTATCTTCCTTGACGTTTTGAGTCTCCTCATAGAAATTGATGCTTGAGAAGATAACTAAAATGCATGTGATAAAATTTTCTGTCAAACTTCTTGGCTATATTGAGGAAAATAATGAATGCCTGCAATTATCAAAGCCTATTGGAAAGAATTTTAATTAAGTAGTGGATGATAACTCAGGCATGATTTGGGTAGATTTGCCTATAAACAAGCAAAAAGATTCTATTCTATACAAATGGTGTATTTTTCACTCACAGACTTGACCAGCAGTAGAATAATTTCTTTAGTTTGGAAAATTTCAGGTTTACATTAATATAATTTCATCATAAACTATCACATTTTTCTCTCTGCTTTCAAGTACATAATTCATTTTATAAAGAGCTAAAGATGTTTTTAAAACAATTTAGGAGAAAGTAAGCAAAATAAAGGTCTAAAAATGTTAGCAAGAAAGCTAACAAGTTTCTTATAAGAAACCAGGAGAACTTAACTGTTTACAGTCTCCACTTTCCTGCAATGACATTGTAGGAAGAACACTGCATTTGTTTCAGCTCTTGCGAATTGAGCAAGGTGAATACGCTATATGCGATGCAGGCTCGTCCTCTGCAAAATGGGAGCAACAATAGTCTATCAAGTTACTGAGTAGCATCACTGAGAAAGCACAAAGGAAACTCTTGGTACACCATCTTGTATACCAAAAATAGTTTAAAATGCTCCTGAATACTGCCTTTGATTTGAGTGTCAAATTCCTGTCATTCAGTTAGACTCACATCAGGTCTCTCATGAACCTGAAATGTGTGCTTCCTTTACCCATGATGTCTCCCTCAATGTTCTACAAGTCATATTCATGTTCATTATCCTCACTTCCATCCTTGCCATTCTTTCACTTGTATCTTTCTGCCCATGAAAATCTTTGCCTGGAGAATTGTGTTAAAGAAGAAGAGGAAGAAGAAGGAGAAGGTTAGAAGAAGAAGAAGAGGAGGAAGAGGAAGAGGAGAAAGGAAGGAAGGAAGGAAGAAGAAAGAAGGAAGAAGGAAGAAAGAAGAAGGAAGAAGGAAAGGAGACTTCTGTCAATACCCATCCAAGCTTAGCAGGATAGGATGTTGTGCTGTGACTCTTTCATAATGCCTGTCACTGGCCTGGTATGGGTACTGGTGGAACGTTTGCAAGACACTGGCTGTTCTAGAGTAAGGTGAGGTAGATGCAAAAGGAAGGGGTGAGAGGTCACATGGACAGCTGTCAAGGAAGGGGAAATTAAAAACAACCTTGAAAAGCCAAGAAAGCCTTTTGTGTTTGACGTGTTGTGTTTGACGTGATGAGAAATATATAACCAATTTGATTATAGGTGTGGCTCTTTGCAGGGGAGACATTGATTAGACATTGGAAGAAGTAAGGAAAAGGTAGATTTATGGGGCCTGTGAATATCAGATGAAAAGGATGGTATGAGCTGAAAATAGAAAAGCCTGCTTTTAAATCACTCTGTGAGTAGAATAAGAACATAGAGAACAGCTCATCTTTTACTTAAGACAGTCTATAAAAGCTAAGAGGGGAAGACTTGCTACTGACAGAATTAATGAGTTCTCTCTCTCCACCAGTCCCTAAGCTCTTCCACTCAGACAAGGAACCTCAGGGGTCCCAGGGAACAGGGGCCTCAGGAATAAGGAGAGAGTCTTTGACCTTGTCAAAATGCATTTCTGCCTGAATCAGGACATGGCTATTTATCTTGTGAGACAGTCCCTGGTCAGGGTGTGAATAGTTCTTTCTTTGTGAATTTTGGTGACTACATCCTTTCAGAGACAACTCCCCAAAGATGTCATTCTCCTCACTGAGAGTTATTTTCACACACACAACTGCAAATTCTGAGACTGTCTAGAGGAATTCAAATACAATCCCTTGCCAGAGCCTCAAAATCTTCTGTCAATTAATATGATGACTTGACCTCTGAAATCCACAAGCCTGTAAACAAAAAGTGGGTTTATTTTAATCTAACAAAAAACTAGCTATAACTTCCAAGTATAAAAATCAAGTCGCCTAGATTCTAGAATGCAATAATAGTAACTCTTCATTCTTGCTTCACATCTAGTTTTTTTTTTTTTTTAATTTTTATCAGCATACCCCAGACATATATTTAGAAGTTAGATACACGCTTGGACATCTATTGCTTCTGTGTTGTTTTGTAAAAAAAGGGTGAAAGACAACCCTACGGTATTGGAGTTAGTATTTTAATTTTACAAACCGAGGCTAGATTTCAAAGTTGTTTTATTTTTGTCTCCAGAAATAAATATAAAATCAGTGTTATTTGATTCTAATCTTAATTTCCTGTTTTGGGGTTTGAAAAAAAATGTCTATAACAGGGTTGAGGGTCGCTTTTCTTCTTCTCTTTGGCAAAACGCTTTTCTTGTCAGCTTGGATGCTCTTCAGTACTCCTTCTAAATTTTACTCCTACTCCAAGGGTAACTTGGCTTGCCAACTTGTTCATCAAAGCTGCCCTGCACTTCTCAGGGGAATACTAGCTCTCTCCTTCTCAGGACTCTTCAAGACTCACTGGGAAAGTGTCCTTACTGCCCTTTATGGGTCATGATTTGCCTTGATGCCCCATTGTTGGCTCAAGTAGATCATAAGCAATTCCTAGACAGGGGCCAGGCAACACCTATTATGTTATGAATTGTGTTATAAATTATGGTATGAATTGTATTACCCCCAAAATTCTTATTTGGAGTCCTAGCCCTCAGCACCTTATATGATCTTATTTTGTTTGGAAATAAGTTTGTTGCAGATGTAATGAGTTAAGATGAGGTTGTGCTGCAGTAGGGCGAGCCCAATCCAACATGACTGGAGTTCTTATATAAAAAAGGAAAACGTGGACACAGACACTGTATTAGTCTGTTCTCATGCTGCTAATAAAGACATGCCTGAGGCGGGATAATTTATAAAGGAAAGCAGTTTAATTGACTCACAGTTCCACATGGCTGGGGAGGCCTCATAATCATGGCAGAAGAGGAAAGAAGAGCAAAGGGACATCTTACTTGAGAGCCAAGCGAAAGGGGAAACCACTTATAAAATTGTAAGATCTTGTGAGACTTACTACCATGGGAAGAGTGTGGGGGAACCACCCCCATGATTCAATTATCTCCCACTGGGTCCTTCCCACAACATGTGGGAATTATGGAAGCTAGAATTCGAGATGAGATTTGGGTGAGGACACAGCCAAACCATATCTGACACCCACGGGTGCCATGTGAACATGAAGGCAGAGATTGGGGCGATGCGTCTGCAAGCCAAAAAACAAAGATTGCCAGGAAACCACCAGCAAGCAGCCGCTAAGAGAGAGGGATGGAACAATTTCTCCTTCACAGCCTCAGAAGAAGCCAACCCTACCAACATCTCCATCTTGGATGTCTAGCCTTCAGAATTGTGAGACAATACATTTTATCAAAGCCACCAGGTGTGCGGTACTTTGTGACAGCCCCAGCAAATGAATACACCTTCCCTCAATGTCTCATAAATCATGCTTTGGTATAATATTGGGAGTAAGAAAAATGTATATTCTAATACAATCTGTGTCACATGTCAGCTATATGTTACTTAATTTCTCCAAATCTTAAAATTATCACATTAAAATCAAATCACTGACAATGCTTACTTAGTTTCCTTTCCTTTTGGTGAAAATTGAGTAAGATCACCCATAAAAAGACACTTAAAGTGTAAAGCACCTGACAAATGTTAGGTATGAACATTTTCATAGATAGCCACTGAATTTCTGTTGATGGGTTGAATAAAGTGGAATTAATGTGCCTTCTGTGAAAATGAATTTAGACACGGTCATTAGTGATGACCAAAAAAAAAAAAAAAAAAAAAAGCATACTGATACTCAGCAGAACTCGCCACTTTTGTTATTTAGTGCAAATACTCTCAAGCACTGTATCTACAAGGGCTTAGAGTCTTATTTGTTGAGATTACATGCTCCAAACTTTCTTGCTCCAATCTGGTCGCCACATCAGCAATATCTAGTGTTACTAGGGCACTTGCTAGAAATGCAGAATTCCAGGCCCCACCCCAGACTTCGTGAATCAGAGTCTGCATTTAATAAGATTCCTCATGTTAAAGTTTGAGAAAACTGCTGTAAAACATGTCTCCTATGTAACTCATGTTTTTAGAACATAAAAAATCATGATTAATACTTTTTTTGCAACCAAATGCATGCAACATAGAAAAAAGTCCAAGCTTTAGCATTTGACAGCTCCGGTTTTTAATGCTACAGCTGCCATGAAGTCCCTTAATATGTTGTGACTGAAACAAGATGATTTACCTTGTTAAGCTTCAGCCTTATAGCCTATAAAAGGGGGACAACAGAATATATATATTTTTAATTTTATTATTATTATACTTTAAGTTTTAGGGTACATGTGCACAATGTGCAGGTTTGTTACATATAACAATTACATTTAACTTGCCTGGGTCTAGAATAGCATTGAGAGATACTGCATGCAAACCAAGAGACATACGTCAGGTATTAAAAAAAAAAAGTCTAGGGGTCTGCATTTGTCCAACAAGTGCCCCTTCTGGTGCTTAATTTCTGATTGGTTAACCACCGTAGGGAAAGAAAACAAATTTGTCATGGGGGTCAGTGATTTCAAAGGAGGCCAAGTAATTTTATATCGTTTGTAAATTTTCTCATTAGAAAAGGTACCTATGACTTGGATAGCAGAAAAATGTGACGCTCACTGAGACTGTGCTAAGATCCCGGAGAGGAAGCCTCTGAGTTTTTCCGCAGCTCCAATCTTCCTTTGGAAGATATAACCATCCCTGAGATCTGGCATATGTTTCGCCAACTTCTTATCTGTCTCCGATGCCGTGGCACTCACAGCAAAAGGCGACATTCACTTAGAACTCTCCGTGGGAAACACCTCTTTGAGCCGCCCCCGGTTCAGGCATCACTGAACAGAAGTGTTTCATGTCTGCCGAGGCTGCTTTCACATGATTTTATTGTTTTGATCTTTTGAGCATCTTTTCAGTGCCAACACCGTCAATACATTCTTCCGAGAGAGGTCATCAGAGCATTGGTAATGAGCTGAGCAGGAGGCCATGTCATCTGAGTAAGCTCTGGGGAAATAGAGGCACTTTGTTCCTGAAACTCACATGGTGTGACCTGCTTGCTGTGCGAAATGTTAATATTTTGCTTCGTGCTTCCTTCCCGGTGCCACTGCCAACACTCAGAAAGCTTCTGGGGAGTTTGCTGCACATTTTGTGAAGACTGCATGGAGCCAAGCCAGATGTCAATGTGTGAATCAGAGCACTTCTCTCGAATTCGTGACTGTTCACTTGATTCTTTAGCACCTCCACGGAGGCTAAAATATGCCTGTTTGGAGGTGATATTTACTTTCTTTTCCTTAGTCAGATGATAAGATTATGTGGTGTGTGGATGACGGTGGCAATGATTACCTTTTCTCAGTAACTACAGTAAGAGCTCACGTCACAACATTGCCTCCTTAAGATCCACTGGCTTCCTCACCCCTCTGATGGAAGTAGCTTCAATTTTCTCAATGAACCTAGAGGCATTGGTCTATTCTAGTCAGATGTCTTTAAGATTTGGCGAGTCTCTCTTTTTTCTTTTTTTGAAACGTTTCACTGAAATAAAACTAACCTCTGGATTCACTGATGAAATACAATTATATTTATATATGAATGAAAGGTAAATAGATGTATTTATCTATATATCATAGTTATACATGTATCTTCATACATATGAAATATAGATATATATTCATACATATTGAAATATAGACATATGTACACATTCTATATTAATGTTTTATGATACAAATAAAATCTATAAATACATATGATACAAATACAATATATACATTATATTATACAATATATAAATTTATATATAGTATAATATATAAGTACAATACAATGGTATTATTGTATACTATTGTACTTATACAATAAGTACAATATTATGTATATATTGTATATTGTACTTATACAATAAGTACAATATTATGTATATATTGTATATTGTACTTATACAATAAGTACAATATTATGTATATATTGTATATTGTACTTATACAATAAGTACAATATTATGTATATATTGTATATTGTACTTATACAATAGTATAACATTGTATAATACTATTGTACTTATACAATAAGTAAAATACTATGTATATATTGTATATTGTACTTATACAATAGTATAATACTATGGTACAATACTAAATACTATTGTATTTATACAATAAGTATAATACTATGAATATATTGTATATACTCACACAATTATAAAAAATTATATATAAATTTATTTTTATATAAATAAATTGTTCTATATAGTACAATACTATTTATATATTGTATAAGTAATAAGTACTATATAAAGTACTTTATATATTGTATATTTGTATACAATATATAAATAGTATTATACTATATATACACATATATACTGTATATACATGTATATGGTGTACTTATACAATATATAAATGTATATAGTTACATATGTATTACAACACATAAACAAACAATCAATAAGTATTGTTTGTCACTGGCCTGGCATAGGTACGTGTAATTCTCCATATAGAATTACACTGTCACTGGTCTGGAGCAGGTATTGGTGGAACATGTATAAGACACTGGTTGTCCTAGAGGAGGGTGAAGTAGTTGCAAAGGGAAGAGGTGAGAGGTCATGTGGACACTTGTCAATTGAGGAGAAACTAAAAACCACTTTAAAAAGGCAAGAAAGCATATTGTGTTTGAAGCGATGAAAAATCTATAACCAATTTGATTATAGGTGAAATATATTGCACATGTTTGATTATATATAAGAATATAGAAATGTATTATTTACCTGCATATTGTAGAATGAAATGTAAAGCAACTGACACTATACATGGCAAATGCTTAGTTCTTTTTCCTTCCTACTCTGCCCTTTGTAGGAATGTTCTAGTAAATTCCCTACATGGAGCACACATTATCATTGCTATATTTTGGAAAATGATCAGATACACAAAAAGTAACTGGAGTAAGGATGAACTAGACTGAATTAGGTGGTGCTGAGACCACAGAGCAGATATGTCTTCCAAAGAGAAATAGCACCTGGGCAAATAAAAAAAGTGAGCCATATGAACTTCAGCTTTTATCTTTCCTCAACTCTTAGGAAGTGTAGCCCAGCAATACAGCAGAGTAGACAAATACTATCACAACCAGAAACAGGCAGTTATGACAGGGGACTGCTCAATGTTACAGAGGAAGTTATTATAAGAAGAAGTATAGTTTTAATAATGATGATCCTTGCAGTTTTAAAGTTCATTTTGAATTTAAAACCAACTTCAGATATGTAGGGGAAAGTGTGCCAATGTCTGCAAGTTACTAGAAAGTACATTAAAAAAATGTGGATTGATGAATGGAGTGATGAACAGATGGACAGACATGTCATAAAGCAAGTATAGTAACATGCAAATGATAGATTTTTCCATTTATGGATATATGGATGTTTTTGGTACAGTTCTTTCAGCTTTGCTTTATGTTTGAAAACTTAGTAACAGAATGATGAACAAAGATGATTTAATGGACCTGACCCCATACAATTTTTCATGCACGTCCCTGTGAAGAGACCACCAAACAGGCTTTGTGTGAGCAACAAGGCTATTAATTTCACCTGGGTGCAGGCGGGCTGAGTCTGAAAAGAGTCAGCTAAGGGAGACAGGGGTGGGGCCGTTTTATAGGATTTGGGTAGGTAAAGGAAAAAGCGGGGTTGTTCTCTGGCAGGCAGGAGTGGGGGTCATAAGGTGCTCAGTAGGGGAGCTTTTGAGCCAGGATGAGCCAGGAGAAGGAATTTCACAAGATAATGTCATCAGTTAAGGCAGGAACGGCCATTTTCATTTCTTTTGCGGTGGAATGTCATCAGTTAAGGCAGGAACAGGCCATCAGGATGTGTACATGCAGGTCACAGGGGATATGATGGCTTAACTCGGCCTCAGAGGCCTGACATTCCTGTCTTCTTATATTAATAAGAAAAATAAAATGAAATAGTGGTAAAGTGTTGGGACAGAGAAAATTTTGGGGGATGGTATGGAGAGATAATGGGCGATGTTTCTCAGGGCTGCTTCCAGCGGGATTAGGGGCGGCATGGGAACCTAGAGTGGGAGAGATTAAGCTGAAGGAAGATTTTGTGGTAAGGGGTGATATTGTGGGGTTGTTAGAAGAAACATTTGTTGTGTAGAATTATTGGTGATGGCCTGGATATGGTTTTGTATGAATTGAAAAACTAAACGGAATAAGAGAAGGAGAAAAACAGGAATTAAATGTCTAAGAATTGGGAGGACCCAGGACATCTTATTAGAGAGTGCCTAAGGAGGTTCAGCGTAGTCCTGCCAGCAAAGATTATTTATTTACTTCAAGAGTTAAGAGCGGCAGTTTGGGGATAGCACCAGGAGATATCAGCTGTGATGGCTTGGAGAAACTGTAAACTGGCAGTGTAAACAAGAGCAGGGCATGTATGAGTAGTTGAGAACGGTGAATAGGAGTATCACTAGACAGAAGATAGTAGGGATGACAAGTTTTTTGGGACACAGTCCAAGTTGGTCTGGTGTCTGGAATAAGACTGGGGCCTAATAAAAAGGAGTGTCTATACAGGAGCTCATATGGGCTGTACCCTGTAGCATTCTGAGGACAGGCCTGAATTCTGAGAAGCGAAAGTGGTAAAAGTATTGTCCAGTCCTTTTTAAGTTGGTGGCTGAGCTTGGTGAGGTGTGTTTTTAAAAGACCATTAATCTGTTCTACCTTTCCTGCAGACTGAGGACCGTAAGGGATATAAAGGTTTCACTGAATACTAAGAGACTGAAAAACTGCTTGGCTGATTAGACTAATAAAGGCTGGTCTGTTATCAGACGGTATAGATGTGGAAAGGCTAAACTGAGGAATTATGTCTGACAGAAGGGAAGAAATGACTGCGGTAGCCTCCTCAGACCCTGTAGGAAAGGCCTCTACCTATCCAGTGAAAGTGTCTACTTAGACTAAGAGGTATTTTAGTTATCTGACTCGGGGCATGTTGAGTAAAGCTAATTTGCCAGTCCTGGGTGGGGGCAAATCCTCGAGTTTGATGTGTAGGGAAGGGAGGGGGACCGAATAATCCCTGAGAAGCAGTAGAATAGCAGATGGAACACTGAGAAGTTATTTCCTTGAGGATAGATTTCCATGATGGAAAGGAAATGAGAGGTTTTAAGAGGCAGGCTAGTGGCTTGTACTATAGCATAGCCTGCCTTTGATGGTGTGTGGTGATTAGGCCTGATGGAACTTCCATCAATAAACTAAGTGTGATCAGGGTGAGGAACAGGAAAAAAGGAAATATGGGGACATGGGGTGAATGTCAGTTTGATCAGAGAGATGCAGTCATGAGGGTCAGGTGTGGTACCTGGAATAATGTGGGAGGCCGGATTGAAGTCCAGGCCAGGAACAATGGTAATTGTGGGAGACTCAACAAATAGTAAGTACAGCTGAAGGAGCAGGGAGCAGAAAGTATATGCGTCAGGTGTGAGGAAGAAAATAGATTTTGGAAATTATGAGAGCTGTAGAGAGTGAGTTGAGCATAGTTTGTGATTTTAAGGGCCTCTAAAAGTATTAGGGCAGCAGCAGCCACTGCACGGAGGCATGATGGCCAGCCTAAAACAGTAAGGTCAAGTTGTTTGGACAAAAAGGCTACAGGACATGATCCTGGTCCTTGTGTGAGAATTCCGACTGCACAGCCCTGCACTTCAGCTGTGTGTAATGAAAAGGGTTGGGATGAGTCAGGGAGAGCTGGGGTGGGGGCAGTCTCTAAAGCTGTCTTCAAGGAATGGAAAGAGGAGTGGGGAAAGGATTTAGGATCTATGGGGTCAGCTAGGTTTCCTTTTGTGAGTTTATATAATGGTTTTGTTAGGATGGCAAAACCAGGTATCCAAAGGCGAAAGTATCCAAGCATGCCTAGGAAGGAAAGGAGTTGTTGTTTTGTAGAAGGGGTTGGGGTTTGAGAGATCAGTCGGACACTATCGGCAGGGAGAGCACATGTGTTTTTATGAAGAATTATGCTGAGATAGGTAACAGATGAGGAAGAAATTTGGGCTTGACTGAAGTAATGGGGGCTGTCTGTGAAGACTTGGTGCAGTACAGCCCAGGTTATTTGCTGAGCCTGATGGGTGTCAGGGTCAGTCCAAGTGAAAGCAGAGAGGCTGGGATGAAGGGTGCAAAGGAATAGTAAAGAAAGCACGTTTGAGATCCAGAACAGAATAATGGGTTATGGAGGGAGGTATTGAGGATAGGAGAGTATATGGATTTGGCACCACAGGGTGGATAGGCAAAACAATTTGGTTGATAGGGCGCAGATCCTGAACTAACCTGTAAGGCTTGTCTGGTTCTAGGACAAGTAAAAAGGGGGAATTGTAAGGAGAGTTTATAGGCCTTAAAAGGCCATGCTGTAGCAGGCGAGTGATAACAGGCTTTAATCCTTTTAAAGCGTGCTGTGGGATGGGATATTGGCATTGAGAGGGGTAAGGGTGATTAGGTTTTAATGAGATGGTAAGGGGTGCATGATCGGTCGCTAAGGAGGGAGTAGAGGTGTCTTAGGTGGGGAGATACAAGGGGAGGATGTGAAGGAGGCTTTGAACTGGGGGAAAAGGCAGCAATAAGGTGTGGCTGTAGCCCAGGAATAGTCAGGGAAGCAGATGATTTAGTTAAAGTGTCTCAGCCTAATAAGGGAACTGGGCAGGTGGGGATAATTAAAAAGGAGTGCTTAAAAGAGTATTGACTAAGTTGGCACCAGAGTTGGGGAGTTTTAAGAGGTTTAGAAGCCTGGCCGTCAATACCTACAACAGTTATGGAGGCAAGGGAAACAGGCCCTTGAAAAGAAGGTAATGTGGAGTGGGTAGCCTCCGTATTGATTAAGGAGTGGATGGACTTACCCTCCACTATGAGAGTTACCCGAAGCTCGGCGTCCATGATGGTCTAGGGGGCTTCTGAGGCAATCAGGCAGCGTCAGTCTTCAGCCACTAAGCTGAGAAGATCTGGGAAGGAGTCAGTCAGAGAGCCTCGGGCCAGAGTTCCAGGGGCTCTGAGAGTGGCTGCCAGGTGAGTTGAACAGTCCGATTTTCAGTGGGGTCCCGCACCGACGGGACGTGGCTTAGGAGGAATCCCAGGCTGTGGGCATTCCTTGGACCAGTGGCCAGATTTCCGGCACATGTAGCAAGCTCCTGGGGGAGGAGGTTCTGGAGGAACCCCTGGCAGCTGCGGTTCGGGCATTTGGAGTTCTTGTGTGCTGGAGATGTGGCTGGGGTTTGTCTCACAGTGGAGGCAAGGAATTGCAACTCAGAAATACATTGCTACTTGGCTGCCTGTACTCTATTATTGTACACCTTGAAGGTGAGGTTAATTAAGTCCTGTTGTGGGGTTTGAGGGCTGGAATTTAATTTTTGGAGTTTTATTTAATGTCAGGAGTGGATTGGGTAATAAAATGTATATTGAGAATAGACGGCCTTTTGACCTTTTAGGGTCTAGGGCTGTAAAGCATCTCAGGGTTGCTGCCAAACAAGCCATGAACTGGGCTGGGTTTTTATATTTGATGAAAAAGAGCCTAAACGCTATCTGATCTGGGATGAAGAAAAAGGAGCATTAACTTTGACTATGCCTTTAGCTCCAGCCACCTTTTTAAGAGTAAATCGCTGGGCAGGTGGGGGAGGGCTAGTCGAGGAATGAAACTGTAAGCCGGACTGGGTGTGAGGAGGGGAGGTGATAAAAGGATTATAGGGTGGAGGAGCGGAGGCTGAGGAATAATTGGGACCTAGCTCAGCCTAGCGAGGAGGGGAGAGGTCAGATGGGTCTGTAGAAAAGGAAGATTAGAAAGACTCAGTGACGGTTGGGGTTGGAACTGAGTGGACAGGCAGGAGGGAAAGAAGGAAGATTTCGGAAAAGTTGCATTCGGAACAGAGACTAGGGAAGGACTGATGTGTAAAAGAATGCCTGGATGTCAGGCACCTCAGACCATTTGCCTATTTTATGACAAGAATTATTTAGATCTTGTAGGATGGAAAAATTGAAAGTGCCATTTTCTGGCTATTTAGAACTACTGTCGAGTTCGTATTGGGGTCAAGCAGCATTGCAGAAGAAAATAAGACGCATAGATTTTAGGTCAGGTGAGAGTTGAGGTTTTAAGTTCTTAAGAACACAGGCTAAGGGAGAAGAAGGAGGAACGGAAGGTGGAAGGTTGCCTATAGTGAAGGAGGCAAGCCCAGAGAAAAGAGAGTAGAGACACGGAGAAGGGGTGGGGGGTTCTTGCCCTCCAGAAAAGCAGAGAAGGGCATGGAAATAAGGGGTTGGGGCACAGAGATAAGAGGTTGGAGCATGGAAATAAGGGATCCGGGTGCAGAGATAAGAGGTCGCGGTCCCTGCCCCTCCCCCAGAAAAGCGGGACTTGCCGCTAAGGGTGAAGGACCAAGGCAGGCATCCCTGCGTGGTCTGAAACCTGGGTGAATAATCAGAGAGGTGTCCCTGCAAGGATTAAACACCAAGGGAAGGCTGCCTTCCCTAGTCCATGACCGGCACCGGAGTTTTGGGTCCACTGATAAAACGTGTCTCCTTTGTCTCTACCAGAAAATGAAAGGAATTGAAATTAAGAGAAGGGAGAGATTGAAGTGTGGCACCAAGATTGAAAGGAGAAGGAGGTTGAGGGATAGTGAGGGAGGTTGGAGAAGAGAGTAAAAAGAGGCTGCTTACCTGAATTAAAATTGGTGTGATGTTCCTTGGGCTGGTGGGTCTGAGGACCTGAGGTTGTAGGTGGATCTTTCTCAGGGAGCAAAGACGGGGGATTGATCTCCCAAGGGAGGTCCCCCAATCCGAGTCACGGCACCAAATTTCATGTGCGTCCGTGTGAAGAGACCACCAAACAGGCTTTGTGTGAGCAACAAGGCTGTTTATTTTACCTGGGTGCAGGCGGGCTGAGCCTGAAAAGAGAGTCAGCTAAGGGAGATAGGTGTGGGGCCGTTTTATAGGATTTGTGTAGGTAAAGGAAAAAGGGGGGTTCTCTGGCAGGCAGGAGTGGGGGTCACAAGGTGCTCAGGGGAGCTTTTGAGCCAGGATGAGCCAGGAGAAAGAATTTCACAAGATAATGTCATCAGTTAAGGCAGGAACAGGCCATTTTCATTTCTTTTGTGGTGGAATGTCATCAGTTAAGGCAGGAACAGGCCATCTGGATGTGTACATGCAGGTCACAGGGGATATGATGGCTTAGCTTGGGCTCAGAGGCCTGACACAATTACCTCTGCAATCATGGAAGCCAGTTATTATCTGCCTTATTTCTTTCCTGAGAAAATTAAATCTCAAATAAGTGGTGAGTGTGGTAGTTAAACGTGGCAAGTCTATTGCTACATATTGGTTGGGCGAAGGGTTGAAATTCTAACTGCAGTTTCCAGCATGAGGTCCAAACTTACTGGATGACTAAAGTGGAGCTAGTTCAGGCTTTGGAACTGACCTACACTGGAATTCCATCTTCCCATATTCCACATGATCTTGAACAGGTATCATTTTAGAGCTTCATCTCTCATCTATAAAAAGAGCTTCAGTTTTCTCATCTATAAAAAGGATCTAATAGTACCTATCTTATAAGATTGCTTGGGACATTACACATAATCTACATAAATATGTAGACTACATATTCCTTTCAAACCCACATGTGTTTCTGCTCTTTCCATTTTCAGAGTCAAAGTAGCTCAAGGTAAGAAAAAATGACAATTTAGAAGTGGACTAAATCGATAATATTCTTTTTTATCCCCCAAGGGAATGATTGACTTTTCTTTATTTTTGCTGTTATTCATTCTACAGAAACAGGACCCTTTTATTCTTTGTTATTTGGTGGAATGAATAATCATGACTTTTTTTTTGACATTTTAAGTTTTTTAGTTAAATTTGCATTGTTTTTGTTCTACTTATCTGTGTATTTAGCACTTTAAGATTAAGTATCAACAGCAGGTTTCTCTTTCTCTGTTTTCCTGTCTATTTAATCTTTTTTTCGTGATTTTTAATAAAAATGTTAATTAAGATCCAAATGCAAGCTTACCTCCTGTTGCTTTATTACTCAGAACTCTGAGCGTCCTTCTTCCCTTCCGCTCCAGGCACCACTGCCTCTGTCTAAAAGTGATGGGATTTCTAGTTTTTATCGAAGATTTTGTTTAACTCTACAGTTAAGCCTTGGTTCCAATATCTTGAATTTAATTCATGGTATGTGGAAAAACAAATCTGTCTTCAATTTGCAATACTGGCCAACTTGCTCACATAAACGATCTAAAACCTCACCTCCTCAATTCCCTTCATCTGCAAATCACACAGCCTTTTCCTAATTTCCTGTCTTGAGAATGGGTCTCCCCATTCATTCCTCAGTCTTCATTACCTTTACCTCCCTAACTCATCCTCTCTTTTCCTCCTTCATCTATAGCTCCTCACACTCAGGGATTTCCATAGCACAGCAGAACCAATCTGGAGTCTGGATGAGCAGATTTAAAGCAAGGTTCTCCACCTCGGCTGCATGTGAGAATCCTTTGGGGAGATATATAAACTGAAACCACACAACTCCCAGATATTCTGCTTGAATTTATCTGGGTGGAGGCCATGCCTCAGACATTTGAAAATCCTTCCAGGTGGTTCTGAGGAGAAGGCAAGGCAGATAACCACAGATCTGGTAAATAAAATTTCTTAGAAGTGGGGCTAGTTCATGAAACAGCGCTTTTAGCAACACCTGGCCCCATCACCAAGTTTTTTTTTTTTTTTTTTTTTTTTGAGACAGAGTCTCGCTCTGTCACCCAGACTGGAGTGCAGTGGCACTATCTTGGCTCACTGCAAGCCCACCTCCTGGGTTCACGCTATTCTCCCACCTCAGCCTCCTGAGTAGCTGGGACTACAGGGGCCCACCACCATGCCTGGCTAATTTTTTTTTTTTTAAATTTTTAGTAGAGACGGGGTTTCAACATGTTAGTCAGGATGGTCTCGATCTCCTGACATCGTGATCTGCCTGCTTCGTCCACCCAAAGTGCTGGAATTACAGGCATGAGCCACTGCACCCCGCCATCACCGAGTATTTCTTATGTCTCAAAAAACTGAGATCCACTGATATTGATTATTATTTTGAATATAGAGAAAATAAGAGCCTCTACATAATAGGGCTATTGTGAGAATTAATTGGTTTAAAAATACGTGGTAATAACTTCAAACACTTTTACAGTAGCTCTTGAATAATTTAAGGTGCTATCATTGTAATTGTTATTATTGCTCTATCCCTTATAATTTAAAAACTTTTTGTTCTGGGAAAAAAAATTATTCTCAGAGAGGCTAACTGACCCAAATTTACATAACTAGTCTGGCATAACAAGCACATACATCCAGAACTCCTGTCATCTATCTGCTTTTTAAGCTTCTTATTTCCAGCATGCTATGTCATTTATTTGCTTTAAACAGTTAAGTTGCTATATAAAGAAGGTTACTGACATTGGCAATTATCAGAAACTCCAAGTTAAAAAATCAGGACACTCAGTACAAAGTGCTTCATTTTTTTGTGTCCCTACACCTTAGCTCTTGCTTTGAGTTCTGTGGCTTTCAGCATTCAGTAAAAATTTCCTTGCAGGTTCCTTTCAAATGCTATCTCCTATATAGTCGCTCTACTGGTGTCCCAGGTAATCTCTCTCTTTTCTGTGATCCCAGCACGCTCTAAATATCTCAGTTATATTACTTACAAACATGTGTTGTTCTATCTTCCTTAGTTTTGTTTGCTGGAAAAGACCATAGTTTATTAAATGTATACTTCAATAACTCTAAACCTTTATTGGCCCTGTGGTCAAAACATAATAGGTGGATAATGAACATATTCTTGTTGAATGAATTAAGAAAGAGTGGCCGGGCGCGGTGGCTCATGCCTGTAATCCCAGCACTTTGGGAGGCCGAGGCGGGCGGATCACGAGGTCAGGAGATCGAGACCATCCCGGCTAAAACGGTGAAACCCCGTCTCTACTGAAAATACAAAAAATTAGCTGGGCGTAGTGGCGGGCGCCTGTAGTCCCAGCTACTTGGGAGGCTGAGGCAGGAGAATGGCGTGAACCCGGGAGGCGGAGCTTGCAGTGAGCCGAGATCCCGCCACTGCACTCCAGCCTGGGCGACAGAGCGAGACTCCGTCTCAAAAAAAAAAAAAAAAAAAAAGTGAGTGAGTGGCTGCTTGAATG
Source organism: Homo sapiens (assembly GCF_000001405.40). Lineage (NCBI taxonomy): Eukaryota > Metazoa > Chordata > Mammalia > Primates > Hominidae > Homo > Homo sapiens. Next base: position 11,662,208 of record NC_000004.12, read on the forward strand.
AACTGATGAGTGAATAAGGGAATGCGTTTTCGCTCCTGGGCTTGTTATAATCTTAAATTAGACAAACTCAGATACCCAAAGTCATAAGGTAGAGATTTTCAGGGACCCAATGTGCTCTTAAAATTTGCATTTTTCTATAGCTTACCCAATCCCTAATTCTCATTATTCAAATGACCATCTACTCTTAATTTAAGGGATGAAATATTAGTGCCCCTTAGAATTTTTGTAAGGAGCAGAATTGAGATTTTAGGAAATTTGCAAGGTTTCTTTGGGTCTTATCTCTAAAATGATGTTGCTGGAAAGATTAGTATTTTTTAAATTGTAATAATGTAGAAATTTGATACTTTATTGGTGAAATACATTTTTTTAGTGAAAAAAATGATAAACTTTCCATTAGAAAAAATGGAATAACGATAAACTTCAATTAGAAAAATGGAATAATGAGCCAGGCACGGTGGCTCATGCCTGTAATCCCAGCACTTTGGGGCGCTGAGGCAGGCAGATCATGAGGTCAAGAGATCGAGACCATCTTGGCCAACATGGTGAAACCCCATCTCTACTAAAAATACAAAAAATAACTGGACATAGTGGCGGATGCCTGTAATCCCAGCAACTTGGGAGACTGAGGCAGGAGAATTGCTTGAACCTGGGAGACAGAGGTTGTAGTGAGCCGAGATTGTGCAACTGCACTCCAGCCTGGCAACCGAGTGAGACTCCGTCTAAAAAAAACATAAAGGCGGGGGGTGGGGGTGGTGGGGGAATAATGATGAAGTTTTCAATTAGAACAGAAATGTTAATGTACATGATTTTAAATTTTGATTTTTTTAAAATTTCCTATAAATAGGAGAAAAAAAGGACTTAGAAAAAGAAGTAGATCAGGATCCAGGGTCTTTAATTTTCTCCCCCTACCCTCCATGGATAAGGAACCTAAGCAGATGATAAAGACTTTAAAAATCCAAATAGGTATGGGAAAGCCTGGCAACAAATGTGGCGGTGCCATGCTTTCTCTGACATAAATATGGAGGACTGCAAGTTTCTAGGAGAACCCTGCTTGTAGCCATCACAGTCTCATGCTGGCTGATGCAAGGTGATGACACAAGTCCTTGTTGGCTGCATCTGTGGGAAGCAGCTGAACAGTGAACAAATCGCAGCATCCCTGTCTTCCCAGGGCCTGGATGTATCATTCAGGAGACCCAGATGACCCCATGAAGTTTTTGAAAGCAAGGAGTGAAGAATAAGGAGTCCCTATAGACGAAGTCTTCTGGACTCAGTGTCGGAACCATGGACTCTTGGAGGTGCTCACACAGTACTTTCCAAAAGGTGTTCAGAGGCAGTGCACCACTAATCCACTGTCTATACCAGTTTCGTCAATGAATTAGTGAATAAAATAATCATTTTATAATGATCCACTAATCTATTGAATCAACTGGTGTAGCCATTGCAGGCATGGACCACCAAGGGTCCAGAGGATGCACTGTGTGCACCCGAGGACCTCCCCCAACCCACAGCTTCTGTGAGGACACAGTGAGCTCCTTCCAATACCCCTATGGCTTCTTGGATAAGAACTTTTAGAACAACCATTACCTATAAGGTTCCTGGTATGACTGCCTCAGTGAAAGGTTGCTAGATTATCCTTAATTTAGTCACCTTCCTCCTAGATCAGAGGAGGGGGAAGGCTCTAGTGAAAAACCAATCATTTGTAGGTAAAATAAAGGAGCTGCATTTTCTCTGGGGCAGGGGATTGGAAACACACACACACACTAATGATGTCTTAAGCAATTGGCATATGCTACTATATGTCTACATGTAAGTGGCACTTTGTTATTTTAATGTTCATGTTTGATAGTGTTCTGAAAAAAAAATCTTATGTCTCAGATGTTTGGGTACCTGAAAAACAATTTAAAGACTTGCTGAAATGGAAAATTTGTGAAGGCTCCTCCAGCATTAATTGTGATTTGGTTAATTTAATTTAGCCTAAAATAAAGTTCTAATTTTTATTAGGCATTTCTATTTTTATCATTTGAAAATTGTGTTATGTAGTCTCTAATTTCATCAGGGAGACAGAAACCCATAATATTAATTTCTCTGTCAAAAATTTAAACAAGATGAGAACACATGGACACATGGGGGAAAACAACACATGTTGGGGCCTGTCGGGGGCTGGGAGGAGGGAGAGCATCAGGAAGAACAGCTAATGGATGTTGGGCTTAATACCTAGGTGATGGGTTGATCGGTGCAGCAAAACACCATGGTACACATTTACCTATGTAACAAACCTGCACACCCTGCTCATGTACCCTGGAACTTAAAAGTTGATGAAAAACAATTAAACAAATAAATTTAACTTAGGCTACCAATCCAACAAAGGTAAAAGGCTCAACACACTTAGGCCTCGACTTAGAGCATGTGTACTAAATGCACCATGATTTTCTTCCAGGGTGGGAGAGTGAACCAAATGTAGCTATACACATGTATGGCTTATATAAAAAATCTTGAGTGATAAATTTCAGTTTTTGCCATTTCCATGGTTGTTTGATTTTGGACAATAGACTTTGACTTGCTTATTTCATCTGTAGCTCATCTATTACTCTACCTACTGGGGATCTACAAGTGAAAAAAATCATGTCGAGTGCATAGAGCATTGCAAATGTGCTTATATTTTTCATAGGTCCTCATATCTAGAATAGGACAGATTCTCACATAATAATGATTATGAGAGGTGGACACTCAGGGAAATGCCAAAGAGATGACTTATTTGCCTTTTTCCTGCTACTTTAATGTGTTTAATTCTTTTACTTGTTTTAGCTGATTTATGAGACCCCATTCCCTCATTCTCATGTGTTTTTTACATTTTCTTTTAGCACCTGCTATGTATCAGGCATGTTGCTAGATATTGTGAATGCACTGATTTTTTTTTTTTTAAGTTTGTCTCTGGCCTTTGGCAGAGTATAAAATGGTGGAGGCGAGACAGAACTCTGCACGAGCATTCTAATGTACTTGGTAAGCGAATACGAAAGATATGCCTTAGGTAGTACAATCATGGAGAAAGGCCACATAACACAATTTAGAGAGGTTGCCAAGGCTTTTGGGGGAAGTTGCTGATGGAGTGTATCTCCAAAGATGCGTATGCAAGATTAGGCGATGCAGAGGCATTTTCCTGAAGGAAAAAACAGATGTTCCAAGCCAAGTGATCAACTTTGTTGGTGATGCTGGAACATAGAGGGGAAGGTGGTTGGTGATACAGAAGAGGTATCCTGAGATTAATTACAAAGGGGCTTATATTCCCAAGTGTTTTTCCAGAGCCTACTATGTGTAAGCACTCTTCAAGAAACCAAGGGTCAAGCAATGAACACGTCAGATGACCTGTCTCTTGGAGCATATGCTGTAATAGGAAGAGATAGACAATGAAGTGTAAGCCTAAATTTAGGAGATAACTTGAGATTGTGATTAGTACTATGAAGGAAATAAATAGGGCATTGCCAAGAAAGTTACAGATGCTGGAGAAAGAGTACTTCAGAAAGAGTACCTGGAGACGGCCCCTCGGAAGAAGTGATCTGAAATCTGAAGGTGACAAGAAGCCATCCAGGAGAGAACAGAGAGAAGAACATGAATAGAAGAGAACAGAGTGTGCTGTGCAATGCCACAGGGTGGGTTGAAAAAGAGCTTGGTGTACTTGAGAAACAGAAAGAAGACCAGCAAGGTTGAAAGATGGAGGTGAAGAGGAGAATGGTAAGAGGCGGGGTCAGAAAGGCAGGTGGTGGTGAGGCTTTGCGGAGCCTTGTGAACTCAACAAAGATTTTGGGTTTCATGCTAGGTGTCTGAGGGGAAGTCTTTGGGGGTATTTTAAGCAGGAGAATGGCATGATCTCATGCATTTTTAAAAGGTTACTGTGGCGACTCGATGGAGGAAGCACTTTGGGAGCAACTGTGGGCAAAGGGAGGCCAGGTATGAGGCTTTTGCCCTTGTCCAGGTGAGAGGTGATGATAGCTTGGATGCATTATTTCACTGGTGTTGCTCTGTGAACAGTGAAGGTGTGGCTGTGAGGTGACACACTTGAGGCTGCATGAAGTGTAATAATGAGATGAAAAGAAGCGCATTGTTGGAAAGAGGCAAGGAACTAATTTCTCGTTTCTTGATTTGTTTCTGTCCATGGACAGTTTGCAGTGATCATGCTCTGTTAGACAAGACAGAGAGTCAGTTGGGCAGGTAATAGCACATTTGCAGTAGATAAACTGGAATACTGAGAACTTAGGTAGCTTCTGTCAAGGTTGCTCATTTAACTTGTAGATAAAGTCAAACTCGAACACAGTTTGGTTGGACTCCACATTTAATGTTCTTTCCACTAAATCACAACCATCATGTGTAATACAACAGTTCACAGAGTGCTGTTTGGGAGGCTGAAGGTTTAGCAGTCCATATGTGGTTGACAGAATAGTTCTCTAAAACTCTACACATTACTTTTACTCAAGGATCCTCCCAAAGGCCAATTGTGAGTAGTTCCAAGGGTTTGTCACCAGAGTGGATGAATTCAGGTGCACTACATGTAGCCTTATCCACTGTATCTCTTCTTATAACCAAGGCAATATGTAAATTAATTAAATAATAATAAGAGAAGGTTGGGCGCGGTGGCTCCCACTGGTAATCCCAGCACTTTCGGAGGCCGAGGTGGGTGGATAACGAGGTCAGGAGTTTGAACCAGCCTGGCCAACACAGTGAAACCCCATCTCTACTAAAATACAAAAGTTAGCTGGGTGTGGTGGTGGGCACCTGTAATCCCAGCTACTTGGGAGGCTGAGGCAGGGGAATTGCTTAAGCCCAGGAGGCGGAGGTCACAGTGAGCCAAGATCACGCACTGCACTCCAGCCTGGGCAACAGAGCTAGACTCTGTCTCAAGGAAAAAAAAAAAAAAAGAAGATCAGCAGGTCATAGTGGTGTTCAGTTTGGAAGCAGGAAAATAGTAAATACAATTTCTAAGTTCTGATTTACAGTTTCTACAAATGCTAAGACTGAGTGAAGAAAAATCTGCCCCATTTTGGTGAGAGCTTATCAACTCGGTAGGCAATAGGATTTTTGTGATATGATTACATCTTTGTTCACAAATGTTCTGAAAAGTGAAAAATGAAAGGAAAACAAAAAGCACATGGGAAGCGGGTACAGTACTGCTACTTCCTGCAGGGAGCATGGTAAAAAGGCACATTGATTCCAAGCAGCTATTTATTGAGATTTAAAATGTTTGCTTGAACAATTTTCAAAAATTTGAATTTGGTTAGGGCCATATTTTATATTGCATATGCTAAGGCACAGTCTTTTATATAGAAGGATTAGTAAGTTCATGTGCCATTGTGGCTATTCTTAATCCACTTTGGCGGTCCCCTTCCAAGTTTTCCTTTTTTTTTTTCTTTGAGACAGAGTTTCACTTGGTTGCCAGGCTGGAGTGCAGTGGCGTGAACTTGGCTCACTGCAGCCTCCTCCTCCCAGGCTTAGCCCACTTTGTGACTAACCAGAACAGATACTGACAACAGTCAATGAGACCCTCTTGGTGCGAATGCACTTAGCATCAGCCTGAATACAAGCACTTTGTCTAGGAAACTTATAAACTATGGAATTACTCATGTAAGTATAAAAATCATGCAGTATTCTAAGAATTGGTATTATTGATTTTCCTTTCTTTCAATCCTTATTGTTAGTCTTGTTATAATTTATACAAATCAATTTTTTGTGTGTAGCTTTTGGACTTAGAGTATGTTCCTTGGTTGATTTGATCATATATCATCTTGGGATTAGAGATTTTTAAAAATCACAGAAATCAATTATTCTAATAAAATGCAAGGCCAGGCACGGTGGCTCACACCTGTAATCCCAGTACTTTGGGAGGCCTAGGCAGGCGGATCATCAGGAGATCAAGACCATCCTGGTTAACATGGTGAAACCCCGTCTCTACTAAAAATACAAAAAATTAGCCGTGCGTGGTGGCGGGTGCCTGTAGTCCCAGCTACTTGGGAGGCTGAGGCAGGAGAATGGCATGAACCCAGGAGGTGGAGCTTGCAGTGAGCCAAGATCATGCCACTGCACTCCAGCCTGCGCAACAGTGCGAGACTGTTTAAAAAAAAAAAAAAAAAAACCCTTTTCTTGGTCTTACTTTGACATTAATTTTGTGGATTCATTGATCTCTCTGTTGTCAGCACCAAAACATCCTTATTTTTATAATGAGGGGATGGGACAGAGAAACTAAAGGCTTAAGTTCCAAATTCACCTACTAAATAGTGGATGACCAGTACAAGAAGCCAGCTCTGCCAACTTGCCCCTTTTGCCGTTGGCTTAACAGAAAGATCACACTGTTTTATTACTTTATTCCTGGCCTCCTAAGACTAAAATGAAATTGAAAACTTCTATCACCTGGCGACATCCTGATCATCTTGATGCTATGTAGGACTTAGCTAATGTGTGTGTTTGTGTCTTAGTTTTAATAAAAAAAGTTTAAAAAGTAAAAACAATTAAATTAAATTAGAAAGCATATAGAATAAGGATATAAAGAAAAATATTTTTGTACAGCTATATAAGGTGTTTGGGTTTTAAGCTAAGTTTTATTACAAAATAATCAAAAAGGTAAAAAGTTAAAAGTGTATGAAATTAAAAATATATATAGTAAGCAAAGATTAATTTATTATTGGAGAAATTTTTTTAAAATAAAACTAATGTAGCCTAAGTGTCCAGTGTTGATAAGGTCAACAGTAGTGTGCAGTCATGTCCTAGGCCTTCACATTCGCTCACCACTCATTCACTGACCCACCCAGAGAAACTTCCTGCCATGCAAGCTCCATTCACAGGAAGACCCTTATACAGGTGTACTCTTTTTCTCATTTATGCCATATTTTTACTGTTTTGTTTTTAATGGAAACATAATTGCACATATTTATGGAGCACAGGATGATATTTTGATACATATACACAATGTGTGATGAACAAATCAAGGTAATTAGTATACCCATCATCTCAAACAATTGCCATTTCTTTGTGGTTAGGACATTCAAATTCCTCTTTTCAAGCTATTTTGAAGCTGACAATACATTGTTGTTGACTACAGTTGCCCTACTCTGCGTCAGGATGTCAGAACTTATTTTTCCTCTCTATCTGGAACTTTTTACTGGTTGACTAATATCTCCTCATCCTCCATTTCCTCATTCTTTCCAGCTCTGGTAACCACTATTCTACTCTCTGCTTCTATGAGGTCAACATTTTCAGATTCCTTGTGTAAGTGTGATCATGCAGTATTTGTCCTCCTGTGCTTGGCTTATTTGACTTCACATAATTTGCTCTAGGTTTATCCGTGCATGTCACCAATGACAGGATACCCCTTTTTTTTTTCTTGAGATGGAGTCTCACCCTGTCACCCAGACTAGAGTGCAGTGGCATGATCTCGGCTCACTACAACCTTCACCTCCCAGGTTCAAACGATTCTCCTGCCTCGGCCCCCTGAGTAGTTGGGAATACAAGCGCAAGCCACCATACCTGGCTATTTTTTTTTGTATTTTTAGTAGAGACGGGGTTTCACTGTATTGGCCAGGCTGCTGTCAATAGGATTTTGCATGTACGGTCATCAGGGGTATTGGCTTGTAGTTTTCTTTTCTTTTATCTTTTTCTTTTTTTTTTCTTTTTTTTTTTTTTTTGGTTTCTTTGTCTAATTTTGACATCAAGGTAATGTTGGCCTCTAAGAATGAGCTTGGAAGAATTTCCTCCACTTAAATATTTTGTAATAGCTTAAGAAGAATTGGTATTGTGTGTGTGTGTGTGTGTGTGTGTGTGTGTGTGTGTGTTTTCTTTTGAGGTGAAGAAGTCCCACTTTGTCGCCCAGGCCAGAGTGCAGTGGCCCAATCTCAGCTCACTGCTCCCTCTGCCTCCTAGCTTCAGGTGATTTTCCTGCCTCAGCCTCCAGAGTAGCTGGGACTACAGGTGCATGCCACCATGCCTAGCTAATTTTTAAATTCTTAGTAAAGATGGGGTTTCACCATGGTGGCCAAGCTGGTCTCGAACTCCTGACCTCAAGTAATCTGCCTGCTGCAGCCTCACAAAGTACTGGGATTACAGGCATGAGCCATTGTGCCTGGCCCAGTACTGTGTTTACAGAAAAAAAAAAAAAGGTAGAATTCTGCAGTAAATTATTCAGGCCAAAAGCTTGTTTTGGTACCTTTTCTATGTTTAGATAAGTTTAGATAAACAAACATTTACCATTGTGCTGCAATTGCCTGCAGTATTCAGTATAGTAACATGCTATACAGGCTTGTAGCATAGAAGCCATAAGCTATACCATATAACTTGGGTGTGATGTGTAGCAGGTGCTACCATCTAAGTCTGTGTAAGTACTTTTTATGATGTTCAAACAATGATGAAATCACTTAATGATGTGTTTCTCTGAAAATATTAATATACTCATTGTTAAACAATGTATACCTGCCATTGTAAACCAAGTTTAATTGTTAATAGCATATTTGAATATTTGAAAGTGGTGCCCTGAAAAATCTCAAATATGATTCACATAGGTACAAGTAAAAAGATGTGGAAAGGTAAGGAATTCACAGACTCAAAGGGAAAAGATGGACCTCTGGTACTTATAAAATTTTAGAGAAAGGTGAGACATGCTCACAAATTTATCTTCTCTACTCCTTTCATATTCACAAAATCTTAGTCAATATTGATCAAAGAATAAATGTTCAGGTAAAAAGAGAAAAAAGTAAGGTTAATATTCTCATTTATTCATTTTTTATTTAGGTAAAATGTATTGGGTTTTAAGAATGTATGCCTAGGATAAAGAAGTCAAAAAGAGAGTTCCTGTACCTTGGGGCTCGTTGCTCGTTAGGAAATTAAGCCCCAAGTACAGCTGTAATACAATGAGCCCACAGCATGAAACAGAGCTTCACAAATTTTACTAACCGAAATTTCATCTTGGAGAATCATTTGGACATTTTTACCAATCAATCTTTTTATTATTTATTAATCATAAAACATTTGTAACGAATATACATTATCATTCATTAGATACATTGTAATATTTCAACTGCATTAAAACAAATACACCAAATTAGTGAAATAAAGGTGTCCATTCATGTGACACCAAAAACCCCATTACCTACTACCAGTGATAGGTATCCAAAACTCACTGGAAGATTAATATCGAAGGCATTCATATAAAGTTCCACAGGAACACAAAGAGAAAGGAAGGAGAATCATCATGAGCATATTTGCACTTTGAAAAAATCATTCTGGCACAATCAGGGACAGACATGTTGTGGGAGGGAATCTGAGGCTACAATTCCTCCTGAGAAGCTACTGGAAGTGCCTCTTTAAGTAAAGATCAGCAACTCTCCTAGGACAGTCTTACCGGGGATAGACCAGCAGAAACAGGTATGAGAGATGTTTAAATGGTAGAATTATCAAAATGTGGTGCCTACTTAGAGTGAAATAAACATATAATAAGAGCTCCGATAGGGCCTTAGTTAACTAGACTAATAATGTGTACCATTAACCAGGAGAGAAAATCAGGAGAAATAATACAGATGGGCCAGGAAGGATAAATAATTATTTCTGGGATCAATGGTACAACCAAGAGGAAAGCCCCACAGGCAGTAGTAAATGCCATTCTGGATTCCTGAAAACACTGTTTACAAATAAGAATCTCAAAGGCAATAAGCACATTATTAAAAAGGTTTAACCTAACTATTATTTTTAAAATTAAACAGCAGCACTATTAAAATGAGAAAGTATTAAAACTATAATTCTCAAATTTAAAAAAAAAGCCAAAGAAAATGGGCACTCGTAAGTGTCTGGTAAAATTTTAAATAGTTTAACCTTTCAGTAAAGCATTTTGCCAGTAAATAGCCAAGGCTATGAAGGTGAACATGCTTTTTGTCCCAGCATATATGCATCTAGGAATTTATTCTAAGGACATTGAAATATATACTTGTAAAAACATTAATAAGAATGTATTTATAAATTATAATTATGAGAAATTAAGAACAATTTCAAATTGATAAAAAGTAAATGATTAAGCCCACTGTGATATATTTATGTAATAAAATAACATATTAAAGTAATAATAAGTGATGTGAGAAAGTGTGAACTTTTTTGCTAAATTAAAAAATACATGCTCTAGAAGAGCAATTATGATCTATATATTTTTGAAGGTAAGTAAGGATATTCACCAAACTCTTAACAGAGCTTTTTTATGGAAAATAAACAATAGTAATGTCTACCTTTTATAGTCACACAAAAATGAAAACAAAGAATATATACATCACATATCTAAGGTAACAAAGAGCTTCTGGGACTGGGATGAAACCTGCCTCAATCTGAGCTTCCACTGGTTGAGTCCAATCCCCACTCTTGAGTAGGTCCTTTTTATATTGCATGTGATACTAAAATAGGAGAACAAGAATGCTCCTCCAGCCCTTCCTCACCACTGTCCTGAATCACAAGCCTACCTGTAGGATCGACTTCTGATACTGATCAAGTACTAAAACTGGAGTCTCATATAGTCCTTATTTCCTCTCTGCTCTCATCCCTTAGCCTAGCTATTGCCCTTATTTAAGATAACCTGAAAAACATTAAGATGGCTATTGATAATAATGATTCTGTAACCATTATATTATTAGAGTAACTAATAGTTGCTTTCTATGATTATCCATTTAATTTTAAACCACTGTATAGTTTATAAAGCACTATTATGTGAATCATGTCATGTAGTCCTTATAGAAATAGTGCAGTGCATAGAATGTTTATTAGGGCATTTTTTAATGGACAAACTAAGAAGTGAATAACTTGCCCAAAGACATTTGTTAATGATTGGCACAGCGACTTCTGACTTCAAAGTGTCCGTGATATTTGGACATGGATTTTGGAACTGCTCTTCTTATCAGCTTTGCAATCCTTCACCTTTTTGCCTTAGTTTTTCATTTTTAAAATGGATGTAATACTTTTATTTCTTAGGGCTGTTGCGAGGAAATGGAAATAGACCAGCATCATAGGGAAAAGACATACTTTTAGTGTCCTTGGTTGACATATTAGAATTCTGCAAGTGATTGAGAATAAAAGAGTAGATCTTGACAAACTTTCAAAGTGGTCCTGTAAAACTAATGTTCCAATTCTAAACCTGACCATCCTGGCACCAGGGAACACATGGGCACCCAGGTTAAGGTGACTCTACTCTTGGGCCCTCTGGTGCTCCCCTATCATAGAACTCAGCATACACCGTGTCCTGGTTTGCTTGCCATCTGCGTTAGTCCGTTTTCACACTCCTGGTACCAATTTTCCATATCAGTCCATTTTCACACTGCTCCAAAGAACTACCTGAGACTGAGTAATTTATAAAGAAAAGAGGTTTAATTGACACAGTTCTGCATGTCTGGGGAGGCCTCAAGAAACTTACAATAAAGGTGAAAAGTGAAGGGGAAGCAGGCACCTTCTTCATGAGGCAGAAGGAGAGAGAGAGCGTGAAACGGAACTGCTAAACACTTTTAAGCCATCAGATCTCTTGAGAGCTCACTCACTATCATGAGAATAGCATGGGGGAACCACCCTCAGGATCCAATCACCTCCCACTAGGTCCCTCCGTGGACATGTGGGGATTACAATTCCAGATGAGATTTGGGTGGGGACACACAGCCAAACTATATACCATCATTTCTTCAGTAGAATGTGAGCGTCTTACATTCTTATGCTTCTGGCCTATGCTCTCGCCTCTGTTCCCCTGCTTTTAGAGGTATCCTGACATGTTGCAGCCCCAGATGAACAGTTTTCAAATAAGACACGATTCTGTTGAGGAGATGCAAATCTGCTCTAGGCAGCTCTGGAGCTAGGAAAGTGATCACATGGGAGGGATCCAGCCAGTTTAGGTGTTTCTCTTCCAAATAGCTAAAGAACTTAGAAAATAATATAGATATGCAGATATTTATATTTAGATAACAGTTATACATTTGGAAATTTGATAATTCAAGAAAAGTAGAAAGCAAAAAAATATTTTCCAACCATCCATGTTTAGACATCATTATTTTCTTCTTCATCTTCATTATTAACATTTATTGAGTATATATATAATATGCATATATACACACACAAGCCCTATAGTAAATATTTTATGCATATTAAAGTATTTAATCCCTACCATTCTGTATTATAGGTTAAATCATTATCTCCATTTTACAGACGAAGAAACCTGAAACAGAGATAAGTTAAATTTGAGTTGCTCAAGGTCCCACATCATTTTGTTGTGTGCGTGTGTGTGTGCAGCAAGCAATATCAGCATGCATTTTCTTTAAAATATATTTATTTGTCATTTATTCAACAATTGTTTTTTGAGTAGCCACCATGTACCATACCCTGTTCTAAGCGGTGACAATGGAGAGAGAAAAAAATAAAAAAAACACAAGACAAGAGGATTTGTGTGCACAGAGGAAGCGGTAGAGTATAGGGGTGTATTGTCTGGTTTCTGGAGCCTGCCTTCTGAGTTCAAGTCTTGGCTGTGGTGCTTGGTAGCTGTAAATTAATCTTTCCATACTTCAGTTTCTTCATTTGTGTAATGGGGATAATAATATCACCTACCTTGAAGGATTGTGCTGAGTACCAACTGTGTAAATACACGTCGTTTTCAGAAAAGAGCCAGGCACATAATCAGGGTTAGGTATGTGTGTGATTTTACTTTTTGGAGAGAGAGAAGAATGAATATTTAAACAAATCTATGTAACAGTCATGAGAACTATGGAGAAAATTAAGGTGAGGCAATTCCAGATAATTTTTAGGTGACAACCTTATATGGGTGCTCAGGGCAGGCCTATTGAGAGGTGGCCCTCAAACTCCAACATGAATGACAGCAAGGGACAGCATGAACCCCAGATAGGAAGAAAACCTAACACTGACATATTAAGGGCAAAGTATGCTTGCTTAATTGTCAATAGCAGGAGGAAGGCCAGTGGGGCTAGAATGTAGTGAGTGAGGAAGAATGGTATGAGAAGGAGCAGGAGGTATGGTCAGAAGCCAGACATAGAGCTTGGCAAACCAGCATTTGGGTATTATTCTAAGTGCATAGGATTCCATTGTGGGATTTTCATCAAGAAGTGACATGATATGATCTATCTTTAAAATATTTCCTCAGAATATTCTGGAAGAATGGCCTATAGGAGGGCAATTTTGGAGGCAGATAGAATAGTTAGGAGACTCTTGCAGTGGTCCAGGCAAAAGATGATGGTAACTTTGTTTACAGTGGTAAGAGTAGAGACCAGGAGAAATGAATGAATTTGTGGGTTTTGGAACTAGAATTTAACAATATTACTCATGGATTGAGTGAGGTAAGAGCACAGTGAGAGAAACAGACCATAAAACATGTAACTCCTCATTATTGGCACAGCAGTTGACCAGTTGGTGACGTCCGTCATGAAACAGGGAGACTGATTACCCAGCCCTTTGCAGAGAAACATTGCCGCATGTTCTCTGGACATGTTAAAATTGAGATACCTATTACAAATCCAAGAGGATATGGTAAATAAGCAGCTAGACATCTGTGGCTAGAATTCCAGGGAGATACCAGGCAGGAAATGTAGATTTTTAATTTACTGTAATATAAATTGTATTTAAAGGACCGAAGTAGATGAAGTCACCTAAGAAGTATGTTTAGATGAGGAGAGACTGAGATAAGGACCAAACTTTTATATTTAAATGACACAGAGTTACTTTTCCTTTCCTGCTACCTGCAAATCTCGTTCTTTTTCCCCTCCCTGGAGGTAATGACAGTATGATTTTGGTATAATTGGTGTGTGCCTTTCAAGTCATTTTATAAAAGATTGATGATACAATATTTCATTAGCAGGAAATCTTTATGAAGGACAATGTCATAAACATATGAGTGTCATCACCACTCAAGAGATCAAATATCACCAATAGAATTGAAGGTCCTAAGCTCTCCATCCTCATCTCACTACCACGCTTTCCATGAAGGCATAAACTCTAAGTTCAATGTGATCCCTCATTCTCTATCCATGGTTATGACATGTCAGTTAGGTTTATGTGGTCATGAACTTCGTTTAACTATCATTCTAAATTTATTCTGTAGTTTACTTTGTTTCACTCAATATTTTGATTAGCTCATGCTAATACATGCAGATCTAATTAATCACTTTTATTGTTAAATGGTATTCCCTTTTGTGTCTATTTCCAGACTTTGGCTCCATTTTCATACTAAATAATCTTCAGGTTTATTATTACCAATGATATGAACAAGAACATTCTTGTACCTATTTCTTGTGACACAGAAAGCAAAGTTTATCCAGGAATAAACTTGCTAATCATCATATATTTGCTTAAACATCTATAGGTAATGTTGAATCACTTTCCAAAGTAATTGTACCAATTATACTGATACCACTAGTGTTTAGGGGCTCCCATTTTCCCACATCTTTGCTAAACTTTGGAATTGTCAGACTTTTAATTTTATTGCCAATTTATAAGGTATAAAATGTTATTTCTTTTTTTGTTTGTTTTTGAGACAAGATGACTCTCTGTCACCTAGGCTGGAATGCAACGGTGCAAACTTGCTTACTGCAGCCTCAACCTCCTGGCTCAAGCAATCCTCCCACTTCATCTTCCCAAGTAGCTGGGAATACTTGGCATGCCACCATACCTGATTATTTTTTAAAATTTTACTTTAAGTTTCGGGATACATGTGCAGAAAGTGCAGGTTTGTTACATAGGTATACATGTGCCATGGTGGTTTGCTGTAACTATCAACTTGTCATCTAGGTTTTAAGCCCCACATGCATTAGGTATTTGTCCTAATGTGCTCCCTTCCCTTTCTCCCAACCCCCACAACAGGCCCTGGTATGTGTTGTTCCTCTCCCTGTGTCCATGTGTTCTCATTGTTCAACTCCCACTTATGAGTGAGAATATGCAGTGTTTGGTTTCTTGTTCCTGTATTAGTTTTCTGAGGATGATGGCTTCCAGCTTCATCCATTTCCCTGCATGGGACATGATCTCATTCCTTTTTATGGCTACATAGTATCTGATGGTGCATAGGTACCACGTTTTCTTCATCCAGTCTCATTGATGGGCATTTAGGTTGGTTCCATGTCTTTGCTATTGTAAATAGTGCTGCAGTAAACATACATGTGCATGTGTCTTACAGAAGAATGATTCATATACCTATGGGTATATATACAGTAATGGGATTGCTGGGTCTAATGGTATTAGACCCCTTCCTTACACCTTATACAAAAATTAACTCCATAAAATTCAAAATCATAAAAACCCTAGAAGAAAATCTAGGCAGTACCATTCAGGACATAGGCATGGGCAAAGACTTCGTGACTAAAACACCAAAAGCAATTGTAACAAAAGCCAAAATGGACAAATGGGATCTAATTAAACTAAAGGGCTTCTGCACAGCAAAAGAAACTAGCATCAGCGTGAATAGGCAACCTACAGAATGAGAGAAAATTTTTGCAATCTATCCATCTGACAAGGTCTAATATCCAGAATCTACAAAAAACTTAAACAAATTTACAAGAAAAAAACAACTACATTGAAAGTTGGGCAGAGAATCTGAACAGACACTTCTCAAAAGAAGACATTTATGTGGCCAAAAAACATTAAAAAAAGCTCATCATCACTGATCATTAGAGAAGTGCAAATCAAAACCACAATGAGATATCATCTCACACCAGTAAGAATGGTGATTATTAACCAGTGAAGAAACAATAGACGCTGTGGAGGCTGTGGAGAAACAGGAATGCTTTTGCACTCTTGGTGGAAATGTAGATTGGTTCAACCATTGTGGAGGACAATGTGGCAATTTCTCAGGGATTTTTTTAAATTTTTTGTTAGGACAAGGTCTCCCTATGTTGCCTAGGCTGGTTTCAAACACCTGGGATCAAGGGATCCTCCTTTCTCAGCCTCCCAAAGTATTGAGATTACAGGCATTAGCCACCATGCCCAGCCTAAAATATTATTTTACTGTGGTTTGTAACTTGTTTTTCCAAGATTACTATTGAAATGGATCATATTAGCTATTTATTTATTCATTTATTGGCTAGCATATTTTCATTTTTTAGCAAAATATGTTTTGTTGAAACATATGTTCATGTTATTTGGCCATTTTTCTATTAGGTAATTTGTTTTTTTTTTACTGATTTCAAAAATCATTTATAGAGGTTGTAAGTGTGGTAACTGTTCCAAGCTTTCTTTTTCTTTCTCCACTATTTTTAATAGCTAATTTTGATGAAGTAAATTTTAATATTCCATGTAATTGAATTTATCCGTCTTTTACTTACCGTTTTATGCTTGTTAGTGCTTATTTAAGAGGTTGTATTGGCATAATTTTTTTCCAAGAGTTTGAAATTTTTTCTTTATGAGGACTGTAGAAAAATTATTCTGCTTTCTCTTCCATTTATTCCCAAAGATAACTCATATTGGCATCAAGGTTAGATTTTTTGTTGTCTGGATGTTCACTGAGAATGGAGCTCCATAATATCCTGGGTTTACGGGGTCCTATTCTGAGCCTGTCTGTGCCAACTGCTCCCCTTCCACAAGCCTATAGGGTCTTGCCTTATGTCCCTTTGATGTGCTGTATTGTAAAGAAGGCTCAAGGTGAGCAGGGATTATACAACACTTCTGGGGCATCTACAAGCTTCACTGACAATTTATTACTCACCAGTGAGAATTCTACTTCATTTTGAGCCCTGAGGATTTCTAGTATTTTCGTACAATCTTGTTTATTCACATAAATATATTTTTAAAGAATTTTTTCACACAATTTTCATGTTTCCTAGAACACTGTTTCTTTAATTTTCTTTTCTTTTTTTATTTTTAAACTATATCTAGATTATTATTTGGTTAGAAGCAAAAGTCTCTTGACTATTTTTAACCATTAAGTATGTGTCTGAGAGAAAATAGAGCTTATTTATTTTCTTGCTTATTCAAGTATATAAAAGTGCTGTTAAAATAAGTTTCTAGGATCTATCCATCTATAGCTCATTTCTTTAACAGGTAAATATTACTTCATTATATTAAATTAATCTCCAAATGTACAACTTTAAGGGAAAATTTCTATGGACAATAAGAAAGTCCTTTGAAAATAAGTAAACATATTAGACTAATCAAATTTCAGTGGCTTTGTTCCTAACTCTCTGCACCTACATAGTGGAACTTCCAAGTTACAAGGAATCAAATAAACATTGCTTCAATGTGTGACTGGTGTTCACATCAATCCCCACCCCATTAGATCATCAGCCTCAAATCCTTGTTTTGTTGCTTCCAATTCCTAGTCTTCTGCCCTATGATGGCTCTTTTCAAACTCTTTAATCTCTCAGAACACATAAATCTTGATGGTGTAGGGTATGTCCAATCATAATCCAGAGCCCACATAGCTCCTGAAAGGAAGTTCTGGTTTTGAGAGTAGAATTCTTACCTCAGAAAGTGTTATTATAATCACCAAAGCTAAAATACTATAATTTTGTCAAGCCTTCCTGGGATCCCAGATGGTGTACTAAGGAATTGACATTTTAAGGGGGTGGGGATGGGGGAAAGGCTTTCTATTCCCTTATATAGATGAAGAAACTGAAGTTGAGAGGTCAGAGAGGCTGTTCATCCTAAGGAGCAGAGTTTGAGCATGAGGAACTTATTCAGTTCTCTCTCTCTAACAAGTTGTAGAACATTGCCCAACACAAGCAAGAGGCTTTCTGGATCCAGTTGCTGCCCAGTGTCCTAGTTAAACATGACATTTTCTCAATCATTCTGCCTGAAATTTCTCTGATATCTTTTTATAAAGACCTTGCTGGCTCAGTCTTCATGCAGCCTCAGTACTTTGCATTATAATCCATTAGCTTATGATGATTACAACTAACGCAAAACTTAGAGATGTAAAGCAACAGCCATTTTCTGCATCTCACAATACTGGAGGCTGCATGGATGTTTCTTCTGATCTGGTCTCCCATGCATCTATGGTAAGCTGTGAGACAAGCTGATGGCTGCACCTGAGATGGTCTCTCTCATACATCTGGTAGCTGTCTGGCTGTCAGCTGGGATGCCTTGGTTCTCCTCAGTCTGGCTTCCTGGCTCCAATAGGCTAGCTTGAGCTCTTTCATAGGGCAAACTTAGGGTTCCAAGAACAGCAAGAGGATAGCC
This sequence comes from Homo sapiens, assembly GCF_000001405.40. Lineage (NCBI taxonomy): Eukaryota > Metazoa > Chordata > Mammalia > Primates > Hominidae > Homo > Homo sapiens. The sequence goes on from NC_000004.12 coordinate 11,680,367, forward strand.
TCAATGCAACAGTGCTCTCTAAGCCTCTGCTTCAGGCATTTTGCTGAAGCCCTGCTGACCAAAGCAAGTCACATGGCCAACTCAGTTTTATGGGATACCTTGATGGAGGTGATTTGCACTGCCACATAGCACAACAGAGTGTGCTGCAGACATGAAAAGATTTTTATGGCCAATTTTGCAATGTCTCACAATTAAATTTGCTATTTTTGTTTTATTTGCTAGTTCACACATTCTGGAAATAATGAAGGTATGGCACTCCTTCTATGTGAACAAGTCTTCTGCAGAAATTCTGAGATTGCTTTCTTCAAAATGTCCTCTGTGGGAGTGTTACCAACGCCTCTGGCTTTGGTTAGAAAAAGATGACTTTCAGGACTTAGCATTGATGGAGAAAGTCTCTCCCTTATTATTCATAAACTGTTTGTTCCCTGCATCTGCTCAAATGTCTCCACTCCCCCATCCTATCCCCTTCTGAGTATTATAACTGGGGTCAAGAATGACTTCCTGACTATCTTGCTGTGATTCTACAGTTCTACTGATTTATACTCACTTAAGTGGGCATTACGTTAGAGTTGGGGTTAATACCTTCTCTAATTCTCTGATAATGAAGTTAGTCATAGCCTCTAAACAAACTTTATTTTTTAGTTAACAGACTTTGTTGATTATTTTGAAATTCTAGTATATATAACTCCTCATTAGCCATAGCCACATACTGCATTACTACCAGCAAAATAATAATAATAATACCATCTACTACATATTTTCTAAATGCCAGGAAACTTATATATAATAATTTTATCTCTTTTATGACTACTTACTCATGATGAAACAGCATCTGAGAAATTATATTGATTTAAAATCAAAGGCATGGTTTCAAATTCAACTCTTCCAATTACTGGCTGAGCAAACCTATCAGACCTACACATATTTAATCTGTAGAAATGGCTGTTAAGTTAATACACAACTGAAAATGTTACTGTAAAAATGAAATTAGGTAGCGTACGTGAGGAAGCATTTTAGGGTGATGAAGAAGAACATCCATAATCCTGAGAGTCAGTGTGGTTCAGCAGGAAACTAGAGGCTTGAGTTTATAATTAGCTTAGCTGCTTTCTAGTTGGAAAGAAAGAGAAAGAGGAAAATGAAGAAAGATTTAGAAAGGTAAAGTCACTATGCTTTGACTCTGATTTCAACTGTACAAAGATCTTTTGAGCACATACAACCTGACAGACACCAGGACACCCAGAAATGTACACACTATAGAAGCTGAATCTGGGATTAATGGGACTTTTACCAAAATAAACAAACAAAAATAAAATAATGATTTTTCAAATAAAATGAAACATCTAAGTTTCAGTCCTTGGACTAGAATGCTTTCCCCCATGTATCCACACAGTAAATTCCTAAAGTTGTTTTTCTTTAAAGCAGGATTTCCAGTCCTGAGATACGATAAAGGGCCAAAGACTGAGTAGGACAATATGCAAGTGCCCCTTTTTAATCATGTGCTTTCTTTCTTACCACACAAACGTAAGGGCATGAATGGGAGGTGGCAACCTCACATGTAGCTACACTACTTTCATTCCAGTCATCTCTGATTAATTACTGGCTTCAAAACTGTGAGTGAATGCATGAGCCCCTCCATCTCATCTCTCAGATTTACCCTGCACAAATATGTTCTTGTTCATTAAGCATTCATGAACATTTTTTCAAAAGCACATTGAATTATTCACACACAAATAGATGTTCAGGAATTATGTAACTGTGAATGTTCAGCATGGTCTGACAGTGGAATATGCTCTGGCAGTTCAAGAATTCAAGTTCAAATATATTTCCTACCTGAGGAAAAAAGAAAAGATTTGTGCAAGAAGAAAGAGTTTAGCTTTCTGGTAAACAATGTCAGTGAAGATGATGTCTTTGCCTCAGTTTGAAGAACATAAAATGTAAAATTTCTATCATAGCCTATATATATAATATATGTGTGTATATGTATAAACAAATATATGGCAAGACGTGTACATGTAAACATAAACAAATATGTCTGAATGTAGTTTTATGAATTTTAATAGCAATTTAGTATCTTTGGACAGTTAATATCCTCTGTGAACCCCTCCTTGAAACGAACAACATCTACCCCTATTTTCAAAGTGTCATGTCTATACTTTTTTATAAAGAGGCTGAGAGTGAACATGGTAAATCTGATCACTTAAAGAGAGAGAGAAATCTGCTAATATATACTACTCAAAGATTACTGCTCAATCTCTCCTTTTTTTTTTTTTTTTTTTTTTTTTGCCAAAAGCAGTAATCTAATAACTTCAATTAAACTTTCAATGAACTTCAATTGAGAGCCTTCCTGGAGGCCTTTTCCTAAACAAACCATGCATAGTACCACAGAACAGCTTTTTGTTTTGTTTTTATTTATTTATTTTTTGTTACTTTTTCTCTCTTCTATTTTTGGTCTCTTTCCAAAGAAAGAGCAAATCAAGTGATTGACATTCAGTGAAAGAGGGACCTCCTTACCTGCAAAGAGCTACTTCATTTCTCAATACAATTATTTTTGTAATTACTCTTTTGAGAGGGGGAACCTCTATTATAAGAACACAATTGCATTAGAAAACTAATTAGAGATCCTTATTCTTTCAGTACATTCAGGCAGAGAGTTGTATTTGTAAAATCATTTTCTGCCAAAAAAAGTGCTTCTAGCTTCATGCTTCATTTTCATAGAAATCAATATAGAAAGATTGACTTCTCCTTCCCCCACAGAATGCAATGAATGTAGATGCTCTCAGGAGTTGGACCGGATACATTCTTACTGAAATTAGGAAACATAATGAGGAGATTCACCAGCTACTGTGTGTTGACACAAGACTCAAAAGAAGCAGGGAGAGAAAAATGAATGTTGTTGATGCCATCACTTGAGGAATGTAACACAATGGGCTGGGCTGAGTCTGCAGAGAGATGAGATGCATCCTCCCAGAACGAAGGTGTTCTCTGGGTACGTCTTGCACTTTGCAAGTGTCTCTATTGATTTTATCTGTAAATTTCAGGTTTATTCTTTTTGGAACCTCCTTTCCATGAGATCTGTGGTACAACAGACAAACTGGGGTCTCTGTTCCTTTCCACGACTGAAAGGTACTTTATCAAATTATTCCATTTTTTTTTTTTTGAATGAGACATATTTCCCTGAACTGAGCCTTCTGCCTCTATGACAGAATAATCTTGTCTACAATGATAAGCACTGTTGGGAGCAAAGCATTTTGTCTGACATAGTTAACTGTATGCATTAAGAAATTCTGAGCAAAACAATGACTGCTTTCTCATTTCAGTTTTTTTTAAGCATCTTCAAAGGATATTCTGTATATCAGCCAAAAAATTGAATCTTTTAATCAACTCATTTAAGAAGGGTTTTATTCAATTCCACAAGAATGGTTATTGTGTGTAATAATAAAGGAACTGCTATTTATTGTCTACAATGTTCCATGAATTAGATAAACAGTATCTCATTTTAATTCCTATAATAGTTGTGTCGCATACTAAGATTTCCACTTGACAGCCTGGAAAATTCAGGTGCAGAGAGGTTAAGAAATGTCTTCCGGTTGTATAGTGCTTGAATTAGCATCCCTTCCTCAGAAAATTTGGCACCCCTGCTCAGTGGCTTTCTCCTCACTGCCTTCCAGAATAGGAGAGTAGGGTCATCAGAGACTGTTCACACCAGGTTCCTCTGTTTTACCCAACTCATCTTAACTCACTCCCCTGCTGCTTCTTGACAGATTCTCTCCATCCCACAACTGACTGAATTAATTACAACCCCAATGGAATGTACTTATGCTACTCCTATCCCTCTCTCATGAGAGCAAGTCCTAATATTAGCAGCCTCCTCTATTAGGATGACTAGGTTTAAAATTTGTTGTCAAGAGGCTGCCCTTTTACTTGCCAGGTACTAAGTCCCTACCCTTAATCCCAGCCCTGACACAGTCACTTGTTCTTTTTGTACACATTCCTCAGACTCACTGCCAACCCGTATTTCCATGCATCACTGTTTCTGCAGGTTAAGATGGTAGCTAATTAGCATGACTGATGGGCCCTCTCCTACCCGCCAAAAAATATTGGTATGAAAAGGCTCACAATAGAATGACTGTTGAAAGTGTATAGCTATGGACAATGAAGTCCACAGGACAAACTTCCAGGAAGTGGTAGTTTGTGATACTGTATTCTATGTAAAGATACATTGAGAAACACATTCTTGCATCTCTACCAGATGTGCCTGACCTTGAACCAGAGCATGGTGGGAGCATGTTGGTGCATCCAGGCTCTCCATGGTTACTGTCCGCTAAGTGTTCCCATGGTAGACCCATTCTTTCAGCAAAGTGTAACTCAGGAACACAGTCAGGAATCTCTCAGGGAACGTTTTAGCCTTTCAGTCTTTAAATCCCAACCTAGCGCTGCCTCAAACACTTTTTGATTGTATTTCCTTTGATACAAAAGAGGAATGCTTTCATGTTATCAAAAGTATGCTAATCATAAGGAAAAGTAGTGAAAAATAAAAGCATGAGACAGAATGAGAAGCTCATCTATAGGCCGGGATACCTTTAATTTTAAAGATCTTTTACCATCAGTCAAATTTTTCTCCTGCTTTCATTATGTCTAAGGTAAAAAGTGTATTTCTATTTGGGTTTATACAGAATTGGCTCCTGAGACTAGGATTTGAGTCAAAGAGTGTGTCTAGGAATTTGGGAGATGATCTCAAGAGGCACTAGTAAGGGAAGGGGGAAGGTAGATCAGTCAGGGTAAGAAGCAAATAAAAGGTGTGTTTTGAAGGAGATTAGCACTTGAGTTGATGTGTGGACAACTTGAGTTCAACTATGCCAGGGAACTCTGTAGAGCATATCACAGTTATCCTACCTGGGGATTGAGGAAGTTGGGCTTCTTGTCCTTGAATTTTCATCTGTCAGTAGTAGAGGGGTACTCCCAGAGCTGCAGGCTCAGTAATTCCAGCTTATAATGAAGGCTGAGAAAAATCCCTCAGGTAGAGAGCCCTACCTGCCTTCAGTGAGAGACTGTTGGCAGGTGCTAAGATGATTAGTGACAAGGGAGGTGAGCAGAGCAGCAACAGAACCTGCTACAGTGTGTTATTTTACAAACTGAAATAGAAGCTCTGTTCTGGATGTCTTGCCACCTTTAAGAGGCAGTGTGTAGCAACAGAAAGGCTAAAAGCTTGAAACTATAGAGAACGGACCTCCGTTTGAATCCCAGCTCTGCCAACAAAGAACGACATAACCCTGGGGAAATTACTGGTGTTCTTGAGCCTTAGTGATGGACAGCAACAGCTGTATCTCCACGCTATTTTGATAATTCAGTTAAGGAAAAACTGCAGTTAAAATGCCTGGTCCACCGTAGTGTCTTGCCTTGACAATGTTCCCAGCCTCCCCTCTTTGTGTGATGTCCTGGGTGTGAAGCACTTGCTCCAGGCCCTGCATAGGCTTCTCTAGAATTTCCCTAATTCCAGTTCACAAAGCACCCTGGATTAGTTTGTTTTCAAACTGCTGATAAAGAGATACCCAAAACTGGGCAAATTAAAATAGAAAGAGGTTTAATTGGACTCACAGTTCCACATGGCTGGGGAGGCCTCACAATCATGGCAGAAGGCAAGGAGTAGCAAGTCACATCTTACGTGGATGGCAGCAGGCAAAGAGAGTTTGTGCAGGGAAACTCCCGTTTTTAAACCATCGGATCTCATGAGACTTATTCACTATCACAAGAACAGCACAGGAAAGACCTGTCCCCATGATTCAATTACCTCCCACCAGGTTCCTGCCATGACACATGGGAACTGTGGGAGTTACAATTCAAGATGAGATTTGGGTAGGGATACAGCCAAACCATATCACAGACCTTTCCCCCAGAGGATCAATTCACAGAATGACTGTACCTTTCTCATGACACCTCATCCAATTTTCTCCTGGAAATGAAATAGTTTTAGTCTTTAAAACCAGCAGAAAAGCCAAAGGTAAATACATTAGTTGCATTTGTACAATATGTCACATACTGATCCAAATTTCCCACCCCAGCAGCAAGACAGAAACCTGTATGTTTAGGGTTTCATGATGCTGAGGATAGAAAACAATGTTTCAGATGTTCTCGAATCAAAGGAGGAAACTGAATTAAGATACCAGTGGTTAAGAAGTCCATAGGGATGGCAGGTGGTTTAAAGGAATGTTTGTGTCAGTAAATAGGAGAAGGAAATCTGAATTGCTTATTGAAGCAATGGTAGGACAAAAGCATTTAAAGAGGTTTATAGTGTGGAGCAGTATATGGTGCTTTGGAAGAAGAACTTCTACTATCTTTTTCACACATATATCCCCCAGCGTCTAGAATAGTAAACAGAGTGTAATGTGGCCCACAGAAAGTTATTGGATGAATGAATACATGGGTGAGTTCTCTGAGGCAGTCCCTCTTGAGGGGTTTTTGAAAGGGCAACAGTGAAAAAAAGGTCAGGAAGAGTGCTACTGTCTACAAAAGCAGTGGGATATTCTCTCATGCTTTTTACCTTACAAACCATTGCTCTCATATGCAACAGCAAATTCATTTTCTTGTCATTCCCTAGACCAATGTGATGCTTCGTTAACTGCCCATGTACTTTGTGTTTTCATTGTTGGAGACTTTCCTTCCTTTGAATTATACAAAGTAGTATAGCAGTCCCATGAACCCTTGGTACTCCCAGCTCTCCAGAATACATTTGAACACCCTTCCACACCATCAACACACACACACACCTGGTCTGGGATGGTTTCCAACATAGCAAGATGCCATCTCTGCAAAAACAAACAAACAAATAGCTGGGTGTGGGGGCACATGCCTGTAGTTCCTAGTTGCTTGGGAGGCTGAGATGAGAGGATCACTTGAGCCCAGGAGTTCAAAGCTACTGTGGGCTATGATTGTGCCATTGCAATCCAGCCTGGGTGACAGAGCAAGGCCTTGTCTCAAAATAATAATAATAATAAAAATAAAGTGGTGCTGGAACAACTGGGCATCCACATATAGGAAAAAAGAAGAATCTAGATACAGATCTTCTGCCTTTCATAAAAATTAACTGAAAATCAATCATAGGCCTAAATATAAAATGCAAAACTGTAAATTCCAGAAGATAACAATAGAGAAAAACTAGATCACCTTGAATGTGGTCCTGACTTTTTAGATACAACATTAGAAGCATAATCCATGAAAGAAAAAAAATCATTATAAGTTGGACTTCAGTAAATCGTTTAAAACTTATATTCTGCAAGATAATTGTTAAGAGAATAGAAAGATGAACTAAAAACTGGAAAATATTTGAAAATGCCTATTACATAAAAAGGACTAGTAATCAAATTATACCAAGAACTCTTTGAAACTCAACAATACAAAATTAAACAACCCACTTAAAAATGGGGAACAGGCAGCTCACTGATATGCAGATGACAAAAAAAAACAACACTTTAAAAGATGCCCAACATCATATATCATCAGGGAATTGCAAATTAAAATAAGATACCATGATATCCCTACTAGAATGGCTTATATTCAAAACGCTGACACTACCAATTTTAGCTAAGGATGTGGAACAATAGGAATTCTCATTCATTGTTGGTGCAAATGCAGAATTGGTACAACCACTTCAGAAGAAAGTTTGTCAGTTTCTTATGAAACTAAAGAAACTCTTACCATGCAATCTAGCAATTTAGCTCCTTGAGTTTCACTCAAATGAGTTGAAAACTTATGTCCACACAAAAACTTGCACACATATGTTTATGGAAATTTTACTTTTATTTTCCAAACTTGGAAGTAACCAAGATGTTCTTCAATACATGAATTAATGTATGTGGTACATCCATACGATGGAATATTATTCAGAGATAAAGGGTAATGAGCTATGAAGCCACAAAAAGACATCGAAAAACATTAAATGCATATTGCCAAGTTAAAGAAAACATTCTGAAAAGGATATTGTATGATTCTAACTATATGACATTCTGGAAAAAGCAAAATTACGAATACAGTAAAAGTAGTGATTGCCAGGGGTCAGGGGAGAGAGGGAGGTATGAAGAGAAGGTGGAGTGCAGGATATGTTTAGGGCAATGAAACTATTCTGATGATACTATAATGGTGGATACATGTCATCTTACATTTTTCAAAAACCATGGAATGTATAACACCAATAGTGAACTCTATCTAACATGAAGTATGAACTTAATATATCAATATCAGTCCATCAATTACAGCAGATATACCTTATTAATGCAATATATTAATAACAGGGGATACTGAGGGGACGGGTGTGAAAGTATATAAGAGAACACCTTGGATTTTTACTCAATTTTTCCATAAATCTAAAATTTCTCTAAACATTAATGTCTGTTGAAAGCACTACAAACTAATTCACCAAAATAGTCAGGCAACCATACCTTTGTAGTCTGAAGCTGATTATATCTGTATCTAAGAAAACTGCTCCTTGGAGAATTTATACTGTGCATTTTATAACATTGTAAAAGTCACACATATTCAGAAAAGCAAAAAGGAAATAAAAATAAAATTCTCATGGAATACTACCACCCAGATACAAGGAACATTATGTTGGGTGAATGCTTAGAAATTAATATTATGTATTTCTTTGGGCACTATGTATTTCTGACATTTAATTTGATAAGATCTTGCCTTAACAGTGTGTAGGCATCCTGACACCAAAGACTGCATTTTTCATAAAGTTTATTTCACAGCACCATGCATAAAGTATCTGGTAAATACATTTTTCCTAATTGATTAATCCATGGGGTACCTCTTTGCAGACATGCTTCAGCGATAACAGTTCCTCCTGCCTTCAGTCTCATATTTGAGTTTAGGGTCAACTGAGTGAAAAGAAAGTGGTTGGATAAGCAGAGAGCTCCACGATTGTCTCAGAAGTGGGATAATGGAATGGAAAGACCTAATCAAGCAGGTTCTCATTCAAGACTCCCCCTTTTCTGGGCACAGTCCTAAAAAATAATTCCTCTAAGCCTCAGTCTCCTCTTTATAAAACGGGCAATTATTAAAAATGCACCTTCCTGTTCGCAGTAAATCCAGTAATCCTTAATTTTTCATCTCCATACCTTTCTTTAGCTAACATAGGCGATCTAAATCTCTTTGGTAGACTCTTGCAAAAGTAGTTAAATAGTTTTATTTTTACTCTTCATTCCAGTTTAAACTGCTCTTTCTGACCGAATACGCTGCAGAGTTGAAGGCCTGCTATTTATAAACAGCGTGACTCTCCTATTTTCAAAGGGACTCTATTTTTAACTTTCGCAAAATCACCAAGATTTTGTGTCTGTTAAAAGAAAAATCATGCAGCAGAGATTTTTAAAGTAAAGAGTGGGATGCAAAACTATTTCCTAGAGAATAAAAGCACACACTTTTAATTTTTAAAAGTACTTTATAGGAAGCTAGGTAACTAGATTATCTACCAGAATGTTAGATCTGAGAGGGAAACAACAAATTATCTGGTTCACACCTTCTATTTATGGATGTAGAAATTGAGTGCTAGAGAGAAACCTTGTTCAAGGTCGCTCAGCTACCTACTACGAGAACTAGAATTAACACCAAAGGGTCTTAGTCTGTTTCAGCAAAGACAAATAAATAAAATGAACACTGAATGAAGATAACTACTCATGAGATAATGTTATTAATAAGTCATGGTTAAATACACAATTTCACTATCCTCTTTCCTGATACCAGTGAGGGAAGATTTCCTAATACTGGGACCTCTGAATGGGACTTATTTTCCTAAGGGATAGCTTTAAAGTATATATGTAAGTTGGGAAATATTTATGTACAGTTTTTCTCTGAACCTTTCTTTCCATGTGCCAAAGAAGTAATAGTACAGTGTTCCAGCCATATTAGGCATCTCTTTCTTTGTACACTTTCTTTATTCTTCTACGTAAATGCTGGATTCAGATTTATGCTTGTATAGGGGAAGGCATAGGCCAGTCTAGAGTTAACATGGGCACAAGTACACTCTCCCATGATTTCTACTTCTCTGTATTCACCTTTGTTTCCATCACTGCTCTGTGAAATACTTTGGATGGTGAGTTTCAAGTTTAAGCTTAGAGAGAATGAAGCTACCCTGGTCTTAATCCTCAATAAACTCTGTCTCCACACAGTGCATCAGACCTCACTATGATCTCTTGCTTGGGACAAAGATCCAGCTACTGGTAAAGTGTTGTTCTGCCTTTTATTTGCCTTATTATTTAGAGCAATGGTTTGCAGAAAGAAGCAGGTAACAAAGACAGGGTATTAGTGTTCCTAGATTACCTGGACTAACTCCTTCTACCATATTAAATAATCTTAAATAACCTCAAACTTACATTAGATCCAGTTGGGTCTCTTACATGGAGCACCTATAATGAATTCATTAGACACTGTCTGAGCTGTGTTACATGCATTCTTTCTAATCCTCAATAGCGCCGGAGGAAATAAAACTCTGAGATTAAGGAGTAAAATTCTAGACTATTAGGTTGCAAAGTGTTCTTACTTCCCAACACTAATGGATAGAAACAAAGGCTGATACTTAACAAAAGGATAGATTGTATTTAATATTTAATTTACAATTAATTTATTCAAATTCATTTTTAATTCAACCAACACCACCAGCAACCCTAACAGCATTTGTTAAGGATAATATTATCCATTTTACAGTTGTGGAAATTGAGGCATATGAAAATTATATGAGTTGCTCAAAGTCCAACAGTTTCGTTGAGACATAACAGAGGCTGAAGCCCAGGGATGGCAATTTCATAAATAACTCTTCCATAACAGCAGCACTCTAGATTTGGCTTGAGCAATGATTGATGCTCCCTTTGAGAAAGTGCTTTATAAAGACACACACATTTGTGCATGGTGTGCCTGAAGTTCTGGGAATGCACTACAAATAGGGTAATCAGGCAAAGTCACAGAGAGCCAGCTCAGGAAGAACTAGGAAGTTATTAAGATTTCTCTATCCTGGCCATGTCATGGTCGGGAATAAATAGCAGCTTTCAATAGGGATGTCTGAAAAACAAAATCGGAAGGAGGTGTTGTGACTAAGGTCTTATAAATCCCAAGGCTTTCCTGACCAAATGGAAGTTCATGTGCTGGGTAAACAGAAAAAGTCTAGTGACAACCAAAGTATGTGATTGAAAGAACTACCAGCTACAGTCAATAAAGGTGATTTATTTAAAGTCAATTACTTGAAAGTCAGCGGAATCAGTGTTGTTTGTTTTACCTTGAGTACTATGCCCTGTCTTTTCTGCACTGGGAAAAATGAAAAGGACCCAGGTAAAATGTCACTTCTGTGAAAGCTTTGCTCATCCCATAGTTAGTTACTCCGTTACATATCTTGCATATTACTCTGTATTATAAATATAATAATTTACTAATCATTCTCTGCCTGAGTTAGTTTGGTTTCTACCAGGGAAGTAGCCCTACTATAAGTAATATGAAATAGAGGATTGATTTTGGGGGTAAGCCACACATAATTGTGGGAGGTGAATAAGTCTGAGGAAAGTTGTTCCTTCAGCATCTGGCAGTAGACCTAAAGTCATTGAAGGTCAGCAAAGCCATCAGTCGGGGAAAAAATATAAAAGTGAAATTGGGGACGGAAAGGAACAACTGGAATCTGTAAAGAAAAAAAAACCTATGAGGGAAACTGGAACCCACATCTGCACTGCCTCCAACATCAGCAATGCAGTTGGCCATGAAAAGAAGATGATGTCCTTTGCCACAAGGCTAAATGCTAATCTGGTTCAAGACTTAGAGAAGATGAAAGAGGAAATCCAGTAAAAGTGGTGGAGCTACTCCAAGCCCAGCTACTGTCCCATGATAGCAATTAAATCTAAACCTCAGCAATAACATGGAAACATGCAATGTTTTTGTCACCAGAAACCAACATTTGCTGGGTAATAATGGCTCTTTCACTTCCACATTCTACATCATGATTAACTTTCCTTGTGTCAAACCTAACCTGGATTTGTATAAGGAAAGGGATTCTGGAAAGGTACAGCTTAATTAAGTTGACATGGTAAAAAACAAAACAAAACAAAAAACAAAACTATTTTAGACTATAATCTCAAAGAGATGCTGCATGCCTTATTTTTTGTAACATCTAAAAGTGCATAAATTTGTTTCTGAAAGATGGTTGCAACTTGTGAAAGTTTAAAAAAATCAGCCTCCAAATTATGTGACATGCAGTGTCGTCTATGTATCCTCCACTTGAATCTGTGATCAGCTATTTCTTGACCAATAGAATATGGCAGAAGTAACGCTGTGCCCATTTTGGGGGTCAAGGCCTAAGGAAAGGCACTTTTCACTTCCTGCTTCTTGGAATATTTGCTCTTAGAACTCAGCCATGCTGGAAGAAAGCCCAAGCTACATGGTGAGTCCGTGTATAAATGATCCACCTATTAGCTCCAGCTGGAGTCCCAGTGGATCACCTGCTGGACATGAAAGTGCAGAGGCCTTTGCAATGTCTTGTACTTAGCAACTGTCTGGCTAAAATTGAAACATTAACTTCGGGATAATTTGTTATAAAAACATATTTGGAATAGATTACAATACTAAATATGGTATACTACCATATTTTTAAAAATTGACATTGGCTTTGAGATTGAGCAATGGGGAGGAGATAGAAAGACCTTGAGGAGGCTGCTAGTAAAAGCCTAAAATATTTCAAGAGGGCTGTCATAGAGGGCTTAGAGGAAAGTAAGAATGGGATAATGTTTCTGGAAGCTGGAGGAAAGAGGATACTTGTGTGGTGGCAGAAAGTCTACCAACACTGTCACTTGTGTTAATGTCATAATTAGGAAATTCAACTAAAGATCTCAAGGATCTAGTTAAGATTTCCAGCCAGTGTGTTGGTAAAATGCTAAATAAAAAGCGTTTGGGACTTGCTGTATTTTAAATTAAAGCTATTTTCAATTCCCAGTCTCTCCAGACAGCAAATGATTCTAAAATTACACATGGCTTAGGTCAAAGATCAAATACAGGGTAGGATGTTCTGTCACCTGATAATAATTTAAGCAGTGGCTCATGAAAACTTTCGAACACTTAAAAGAGCCTTTGAGGATTTTAAGTTGACAGCTCACAGGTCCTTTCCATTAAACAATAGGGCTTCCGAAAATTCATTTTCTAACAGCAGCTTCACAAGAAACTCAAGGTGGAGAAGAGCTTTCCTAAAAGAGCTTTGTGATTTGGCTAAGTCTAATGGAGTGAACCCACATAAGAGTAAAAAAAAATTCACAAAGATTTTAAAATAAATTTCTGGTGGAAGCACCACCTACTTGGAAAAAAAGAAATAGAGGCTGTATAAAATGAAAACGGTGTTGGGAAGCAGGCTGAGAAGTCTCATTCGTTGCAGAGTCAATTTTCTTATGCAAAATGATGAATGACTTATGGGAAGGAACCATGAACTTTGAGCACAGAGCCAAAGTTTGGGAGAATCACTGTTATGAAGGAGGAAAGGGCCCTACAGAACATGTGTCTGGCTGGATTTCAGAATTGCTATGGACCAGTAACTGTCTGTGCTTTCTGTTTTCTCTCTTTTTCTAAGACAGAGTCAGTAGCAGTTATTCTGTATCTGTTCCACAGTTGGATTTTGAGTGTGGTGTGGAGAAGGGATTGGGGGGAGAGGTCAGATAACTTGTCTCTAGTTTATACATTTTTAGATTGAGAGAAACCAGAAGCCAAGGATCTGCACTTTAGGAAACTAATTTAAATAAAAACATTTGAACCTTGAGGATGAGTCTGACACCAATATGCTATTAAATTCTTAAGAGATCTTGGGGATGAGTATATTTTGCGTTTTGGAGAAACGTTCATAATTTGAAGTTGGTGGCCAGACTCTAGTGGTTTTAAAAACTTACTGTGATATTCTTTGATATTTCTCCTATTGAGCAATGGGGTCTATGTTCCCTTGAAACTGGGCTCTGTAACTGTGCTTCTAATAGATTACAGCAAAAGGGACCCTCTGACACCTTTCAGGCCCAGGCTACAAGAACTTAGCCACTTTGACTTCCTGCTCTTGGGATAGTGGCTATTGGAACCTAGGTACCTTGTTTTAAGGATGCACCAGTTACATGGTAAGTCTGTAGGTAGGTGTTCCATTCCCAGTTTTGATCCCTGCCTGTAGTCAATATCAACAAGCAGGCATGTGTTATAGAGGCTTTTGGCATAACTCCAGTACTACTCACTGTCTAGCTAAAAATGCACAAAAGTAAGAAGCACCAAACTGAACATAATCAAACCCCAGAATTTTGAGAGATACTAATAAATAATTGTGATTATTTTAAGCCTTAAGTTACGAAGAAATTTATTATACAGCAATAGATAGCTAGAGTAGCATTTAATTATGTCTCACGAATGAATGAAATAACTAATGATAAACTCAGGAAGTTTTTTTTTTTTTTTTTACTAGTAATCATATTTTATGGAATGCTTAATGTCCTGGTGAAGAAATTGAATACTCAAAGGTCAACTAATTTTTTTCTAAGACATGAAATTAAGTTATTTTCTTTAATTTTCCATTCTCATCCATTTCCTACTGTAGCATTGAGAAACCGTATTTATCACAAATGACACATTGATTAAGAATTTTTTTTTATTATACTTTAAGTTTTAGGGTACATGTGCACATTGTGCAGGTTAGTTACATATGCATACATGTGCCATGCTGGTGCGCTGCACCCACTAACTCGTCATCTAGCATTAGGTATATCTCCCAATGCTATCCCTCCACCCTCCCCCCACCCCACAACAGTCCCCAGAGTGTGATATTCCCCTTCCTGTGTCCATGTGATCTCATTGTTCAGTTCCCACCTATGAGTGAGAATATGCAGTGTTTGGTTTTTTGTTCTTGTGATAGTTTACTGAGAATGATGATTTCCAATTTCATCCATGTCCCTACAAAGGACATGAACTCATCATTTTTTATGGCTGCGTAGTATTCCATGGTGTATATGTGCCACATTTTCTTAATCCAGTCTATCATTGTTGGACATTTGGGTTGGTTCCAAGTCTTTGCTATTGTGAATAATGCCGCAATAAACATACGTGTGCATGTGTCTTTATAGCAGCATGATTTATTGACCCAGTAATGGGATGGCTGGGTCAAATAGTATTTCCAGTTCTAGATCCCTGAGGAATCGCCACACTGACTTCCACAATGGTTGAACTAGTTTACAGTCCCACCAACAGTGTAAAAGTGTTCCTATTTCTCCACATCCTCTCCAGCACCTGTTGTTTCCTGACTTTTTAATGATTGCCATTCTAACTGGTGTGAGATGGTATCTCATAGTGGTTTTGATTTGTATTTCTCTGATGGCCAGTGATGATGAGCATTTTTTCATGTGTTTTTTGGCTGCATAAATGTCTTCTGTACTGGTACCAAAACAGAGATATAGATCAATGGAACAGAACAGAGCCCTCAGAAATAACGCCACATATCTACAACTATCTGATCTTTGACAAACCTGATTAAGAATTTTGTCTGTGATTTTCATCATGCTAATATGGACTGGTCTTTCTGTTTGAGTGTTGAAAATGTAATCTGGATGCACTAGGAAATAAGTAGAATATAAAAGATTAGCTAGATTTGCTAAAAAAAATTTTAATATATACATAAATTTGTGACTCAGTTGTCTTTGTTTTATTGTGAATCAAGTGATGACAATAAATGTTTATTATATACATTTTTTTTCCAGGATGCAACATTTAAAATATACTCTTTTCCTCCAGGACTCAATCTTCCAATTAGGGATCAAGATTAAAAAAAAAAACACAAAATAGGTTCATACACAGTGTCATGTACAGAAAGGTAAATTATACTCAAAATCAGAAAACTTTTGACCTTGATCAAGGATTGGCAAAAAAAAAGAGTCAGATAGTAAATAGTTTAGGCATGGCAAGACCTACCATCTCTGTTGCAGCTCCTCATCTCTGCTGTTCTAATGTGAAAGCAGCCATAGACAGGAGGCAAATGAATGAGTGAAGCTGTGTTCCCTTTAAACTTTATGTTCAAAAGCAGGTGGCCAACTGGATTGAGCCTGCTGGTAGTAGTTTTCTGCCTCTTGTTTTAGACTTTGCATTGCCATTGGTTAGTTGTGTAACCCAAGGATACATCAAGCTCAGAGCTTCATTTCTCTTATCAGTAAAGTAAGAATAATAGTAGCAACTTCCTTGACATTCCCAGTACGAGGAGAAATAAGAAAATACTTGTGAGCTTTTTTGGAACTGTCTACTGTGTGGTAGACATGTTAAGTTACTTGCCATTATTATATTTATTTCAGGTCTCCTGGCTCTATTCTTTTAGCTATTTTTCTATACCTTTTTGTGAAATGGGAAATCATGGTTACTCCTTTTCATTTTGGGTTGGCAAGAAATTTTGGGGGTATGGGCATCTCTGGCCCTCTTGGACTTGATATTCTAAGCAGCATCTTCATTCCATGGCTTTTGATATGCTATTTTATCAATTGTCCTTCCCTGCCCCTGTTATCTAAATTAGCTGTCACCACTTTCTTTGTTATACCCTACTTCATTTTCTTTATAGTACTTATCACAGAAATTATCTTGTTCTTTTAAATCTTAGCCTCATAATTATCTGTCAGCTCCATTATGATATCAATTTGATTATTTTCTGATTCACTTAGTAATATATCCTCAGCACTGATGAATGTACTTTGCCATATATTACAAATTTGACACACATTTTTTGAATGAATTAAATGAATGAAATGTGCAATATTATCTCATCCTATAGGCAAAAGTAGAAGTTCTTCTGTGTATCTGGCCTGGCCACTCTAGTTTCTGGAGTCTGGATCAGATATTTTACTTTCATATCACTTAGCAGATTACATATATCTACTATAATATTTAAGATTTTATAAGAACATTGATGGAAAGTCATTGGAAATGCTTTCAGTATTAAACAAAAATTATGCACTGTGCATTTCACTTGAGCATAATAATCTATCTGGTGCTTAATGATATTATTTACAGACAGTGTCTCATTTCTGCTTATTTGGTTGTTATAGTTCAGCAACAGTGTGCTTTGTCAGCTGCATATCTGCAGACGGTCTGCCAATATGGTCTTTTCCAAATGCCTTATATACTGTAGTTGCCAATCTTCTGTGTATGTCTCTCTCTCTCTCTCTCTCTCTCTCTCTCTCTCTCTCTCTCTGTGACTTGATTCTCTTTAGGAAGGTAGTGAGGCTCAGGGACCACTTTTTTTTTTTAATCGAACATGCACTAGCCAAATTGAGTTTAAGCTGAAGACTGCCTTTTGCAGAGAGACATAGATACTGTTGCACCATGTAACACCGTCACTCACTGATACTGGATAAAGCAGGTCAGAATTTCACTCAGAATCCATTTCAGCACCAGTAATAGGTTGGCACAAAAGCCTCAGCATTCATTACATGCTTACTGAACCTAACACAGATTTTCTGAGGGACGCTGAAAAATAGAAACAAGGGCAGGTTGCTCAGTCACCTTTAAATCAGATTTTTTAAAAAGTTGGATTCCTAAAAGCTAAGGAGGTGTAGGTCTTCACGAAAGGTGTAGAAAATCTGCTTTGTGTCTTTTCCATCTTTAAATGTTTATGATCCAGTGAAAAGTCAGATGTTTAGGGTTTTCTTCTTTAACAGAACTGTGGTGAAGAGGCAATGGCTTTAACATAGATTATATGTGAGTTCCATGTAGTTAGAGAAAGCAAAGAAAATTGTTTTTTATATGTTCTTGCCTTTTTTTTTTTTTTTTTTGGCCTCCTCTCTGTTTCTAATTTAATCTGGCAGCACTCTCTGAAGGTGTGGTAAGAGATAAAGCGTGACGGTTGTTTGGGCTGGCTTGCCAAGTGATTTGAAAGGCTTCTTAAGGATTTTGAATGCTGTCTTGAAGGTAACTGGTAGACACTGACAGGTTTTAGGCAGTAAATTACTTTGTCAAATTTACAATTTAAAAGCTACCTCTGGCTACAGTGTGGGAGATAAATTGGAGTATGCTGAGAATAAAAGCAAGGAGAAGATTTGGGAGCCTGCTGCCACTGTCTATAAGAACCATAGTATCTCTGAAATAGCAAACAGGAATCCTGTGAAGAGAGTGGGGAAGGAAGAGCCCAGTGTTGAGAAAAGTGGTTTTGGGGAAAACTCTTCTCAGTGGTGGCTTTTGAGCAGAGCCTGGCGTCTACCTTGGTTTACTAGTATGTCCCGAGCTCTAACTGCTACCCACTGAAATACTACCACCCTAAGGTAGGGAAGAGTCTGCAAAAGTTAACCTGATCAGTATCTATTCTGAAATAACTAAAAGGAAAATTGCTTTGAGTCTTAGCTTGGTCCGAAGAAGCTCAGTTCAGATGTTTGCTAGTTCTTTATATTCAGATTGTGAATACGACTCAGTGTATTTAAGGGAAACACACACACACACACACACACACCCAACCTGCAAGTCCCATGCATTGTGTGTTAAATATGGAACTGGCTGGCACAACCACCAAGATGGGAGTCATCCACCCCTGTAGATTACTACCTTGGACGCTGCTCTTTTCAGATCCTATACTTTATCTTCCCTAACAGTCATTGGAATGTCACTAGAACTTGATGAGGGCAGGGCAGGAAGCTGAGTCAAAAATCTCAGGAAAGCTAAACCACAGTAGAATTTATAAACCTTAGGATTCATATCTTAGGTGGGGTTGGGCTGTGTGATCTAAAATGGGAAGCGCTGACTCACTGCATTTTGAATAATGACTGGAGGCTCATCTCACAGTATGCCACTTCAATTACAACTGAGGGCTTCTGAATCTGATTTCTAAACACCATGGTCTTGCATCATACACAAATTTGATTTATACGATTAAACTATGCATGCTGGCATATAATGACAGGATAATAATCATGCTGTTGATAATAATGATAATGAAGAGGGAGAGAGATGGAATATGACAATGAATAGAGCACAGGTGATTCTACCCCTCGTTTATCTGTTCCTCTGAATATGTCCTTGATTGTGACAAGTGAGAGAGGAATGTGCTGTTGCTTCAGTTGTCTGATTCTTATAGTAAATATTCATATTTTTTCCTGTTTCACATGTTCCTTGGAAGAAAATTAACAACGTCTTCTATGCTGAAGGAAACAGAGACCAATTTGTATGTACACAGGAGGGAAAGCTGATTGTGTTAGGCAGATAAAAAATAATAGTGTTTAATTTTGTACCTTCTCAAAAGACTTTGGGGAGTCATTTCAACTT
Source organism: Homo sapiens (assembly GCF_000001405.40). Lineage (NCBI taxonomy): Eukaryota > Metazoa > Chordata > Mammalia > Primates > Hominidae > Homo > Homo sapiens. Next base: position 11,699,633 of record NC_000004.12, read on the forward strand.
ATACAATTTTAATTGTATTTGTTGATTTCAGAACCTAATGTTATTAAGACAAGGTTAATAGGCTTTTACATATCTGCTACAGACTTTTGGGGTGCTCTTCATTTTCCGTATCACAATTGATTGTCATGAACTCTGAATTAGAGCAGATAATATTTCCATTTTGCAGATAAGAACCCTGAGACTCAGAGAGATAAGAAAATTATCAACCAAGTAACAATTCAGAGCTAGGACCATCATTAGGATTTCATGGAAGTATCTTTTACTCTCCACCTGATGTTCTGATCTAGAATCTTGCTTTACAGCCCTGAAGGTTTCATCCTCCGCTTGAATGAGTTATGTTTAGGTTCCTATCTTCGAAGGGCATATTGTTCCCAGGAAACCAGTCCTTAGAACCCACACATGATGACTTTTACTAAGACATCTATTGAATGGTCTCAGTTAGAAGCCTAACTAAGTCCTTATTTTAGAAATCAGCCATATGAAATCAAAGTCAGCAAGTTTTAGTAAGAAGAAAAGTCAAAAATGAGGCCATCTTAGAAGACTGTGTTCTTGACTTGGCTCTGTCTCTGTTTAACTTATGTAATTCTGGGGAAGTCATATGCCTCAGTTTCCTCACTGGTACATGGAGAAGTAATGTCCTTCTGGCCTATCTAGTAGAATGATGTGGTATTTAAGTGAGATAGCATTTGCAAGACTGTTTCATAAAGGTAGGGTACTGTAACGTAAAAGATCTAACCACCTGTAAGGGATACGTTACCCAGAATCCACTTTGGCTCTTCTGACCAGTGTCTTTCCCACCCCTGGAAGGCATCTTTTTTTCAAATTTCCCTTCCTTAGAGTGCCATGCAGCAGCAGCAGCAGGAAGAAACAGCCACAGATATTTGGAAAAGAATAGAAAAATAGAACTCTCTCTTAAAACTTACTTGGAAGCTTGCTATTCATTCATTCATTTGTTCATTCATTTATCTCTTCATCATATATTTAATGAGAACCTATTATGTAAAAAGCTAATATATGGAAATGAAAAAAGTCTCTGCCTCAAAAGACATTGTCTAGCAGAGAGAGTATGCATGTACGTAAGCTACTTAAACACAGGTTAATATGAGTGTCCATGGGTGGGCGCGAGTGTGGGTGCATGCACTTCTTAGGAATAAGCTATTGTGAAATGATAGGTCACAGCTGACCAGACTGGCAAGGCTTTCTTGAGAAGGCCACCCTTCTATGGAATCTGCAGGATAAACATAGTAGTCCAGAGAAAGCAGAAGAGAAATGAATCCCAGGAGAACATAATCCCTGCTTCCTTCTTATGAGTAATGATGATGCCAGAGTAGCAAGTTTGAGATGTCTGTGCATTATGACATTGAATCCTCATAAGCCTCCTGGAAAGTAAGTATTGTACTGTTTATAAGAACAAGAACACATTCAGGAAAAGTAACATACCTGGGCTACTCAGCGGGTGAATGGCTGGAATTTGCAACCAGATCTTTGTGAAGCCCAAGGCCATAATGTTAACCACTATGATTCAAAATTTCCAAGCAGACACTCCAAAGTATCTTGTTTAGAATGGCACAATCAGAAAGTGGTCAAGCTGGAAATCACAGCCACTTCTGTCTGGCTCCAAACCTTGTTCCCTAAACTCTCTGCTGATCTGGAAACACATGTGCAAATGCTAGAATTTGAGAATATCCCTTTTTGGAGGCCAAAACAATTCTGTTAATTTGCTAGGGCTGCCATCACAAAGGACTACAGATTGGGTTGCTTAAATAACAGAATTGTATTTTTTCACAGTTCCAGAGGCCAGAAGTTCCAGATCAAGGTGTCAGTAAGGTTGGCTCCTTATGAAGATTTTGAGGGAAAATCAGTTATGTGCCTCTTCCCTGGCTTCTGATGGTTTTCTGGCAATCTTCTGTATTTCTTAACTTGTTAGGAGCATCACCGCAATCCTTGCCCCCTTCATTTTCACATAGTATTCTCTTCGTGTGGGTGTCTCTGTGTCTAAATTTCCCCTCCTTATAAAGACACTGTAGTCTTGGATTAGAGGCCTGCTCTACTCCAGTACAACCCCATCATAACTAAATATATCTGTAATGACACTATTTCCAAATATGGTCCTATTCTGCGGTATTTGGTGGTAAGACTTCAACATATGAATTTCGGGGGACACAATTCAACCTTTAACAGTCACCCTCCATTGTTGAAGCACCCAACGCATGTAGAAAATTTGCAGGAAATTCAGGCTGAGAGACAAATGAGCATCCCGAAGATCTTATTGTAGTCTCCCTAAGGACTTGGTTCTGTATATGACAATGAACAGAATTTTCTGTTTACAGAGAGAAGACTCAGCTTGCGAGTCTTGGGCTGCAGCTGCTTCCACTAAAGTAAGAGTGCTACCCTTAAACACATCACAGCCTTGGTTCCTCCCCTCCCCAGGTTTTGCAAGGACACAAACAGGAGAACTTGACTGACAGCCATTATGCATAATTGACTAAGCAAGAATCTAACTACTGGCTTGCTCTCCCTCTGCATATAGGATCCTCACGGGGGCGCCGTTCCAGGAATACGCCTGCCAGGCCCAGTCCTGGGCCACCTGTGTGTCTTGAATCATTCATTACCAGGTGTCCTCAACTCAACTTGCAAAATTGAAGTGTCTTAAGCCAGTTAAAGAACTCTGCAAAGAAGAGGCATGGTGCATCCAGTAAAGCCTCGTGTGAGAGGGACAATGATCAGGTTCAGGCTTTGGGGTAAAAAGAATGAGCTTCAGTTGGAGTGACACTCCGGCTTGCTCTTGTCAGGACATCACCCCACATTACCCTTCATCTTCTGTCTCCCACAGAAGGCCTCGCTTCCAAGCTGGATTTGAGTCACTATCATTATCCTCTGAACAGACTTTCTCACAGTTCTTTTTTGCAGACAGTAACATACTGGGGTTAATTTTAGATATCACCAACTTGGAGTTTATTTTGGATTCCAGAAGTTTACATTTAGGTCTGCTAAAACGCACAACCTGCAGGGGTGGGTGTATGTGTGTGTGCGTGTGTGCGCGTGCGCGTGAAACCCATCAACTTTCTTTAATAACTCTGAATATGAGTTATTTCAGAATATTTTCAATGGATTGCTAATGTTGTGCCAAAATTAAAATGAAATTTTAAACCAAAAGAACTTACAGATGAATTGCAGAGCTCGTTTGCTTTTTACCACATTCTTTCAATTGTGATTTTTTTATCCATATATATGTGCGTGTGTGTGCATATATATATATATATGCCACACTTTAGTTTCTAAAGCTTTATTTTTGGTCATTGTAAGAAACAGCTTTGGCTGAGTGTGGTATGTTCTCATCTTCATAACAATTCTGTAGGTTAGGTCAGTTTCTTAGAAATTAGAAAACAGGCTCAGAGAGAGATGACTTAAGTTGCTGAAGGCCATTTGGCAGGAGAGTGGCAGAGCAGGCATTGCCATGATGCTTCCTTGTTTCAAGACTTGTGTTGTTTTCATTACACACTATTTCCTCAGGGCTCTGTGGTTAGGCACAGTTTGCAGAAGGGCACTTCCTAATGGAAGCTCCCAAACGACCCTGTGTGCCACTGTGTGGAGCTGAATGAATCTGTATGATGGATAGGATCTTCAGATAGGTTGAAAAAGTTAAAATACGAACTCCTCAGACACATTCCACCAAATAGTATTTGGCAACAAGCACTGGGAATGCAAATTTTCTGTGCGCATAACCCACACATTTGCAATGATTGGTCAATGATGTTATGTACAGACATAGCAGAACTATCATTAGATTTGAATGTAGAATGCCTGGAGTTTTGCTCTGGCTCTGTTATTAGCTGGGTATTTTAAAGCAAAGCAGTTCATCTCTCTAGGCCTTAACATCTGCATTTGTAAAATGAGGAAAAAATCATTTCATTGTGAGAATAGCATGTCAAATATTTGAAAGCACTTTACAACCTATGATAAGGTATAAATGAGGCTTTAGTCTTCCTGAAAAGTCAGACGTAGAATAAACTTTCACTTATTGAATCACATTTTCCTCCAATAAGTTCCATCATTTCAATGAGCTGTTCAAAAGGGGAAAAATATGTGGGATTTAACATGGAATAAGAATAACATTTAAGAATGGCTTAATACTGGATTCAGAAAGGATTTATCTGTTACGGTTCCATAGTTTCTGTGCCTGCCATTTTCCTTCAATGGTCTAGCAAAGAATTAATGACACTCAAAATCAATCCACTTGCACTTTGTGCATATTTTAAATATCCATTAAAACAAATAGAACCAAGTAAATAAATATTTTTCTTAATACTGCTACCAACTGCAGTTTTATTAGCTATAGTCACACTTAACCTTCAAATAGCAGGCCCGGGGTCTCCTAATTTCTTAGTCAATCTTGGCAAAGCCTGACATTATATAGGAGGCTTGGCTAGGTGTGATTCACAGTTGATTATTGGTTCAAATCCAGAGATTGTAACATTAAATTTCGTACTATAACTCCAAGTGCCTATGGGTAAGCCTCCTGTCTACCTTTCTGAGCACAGCCTACTTCCCTATACCCCTTCAAATGTACTTTCCCCATCTCTTGAATTTCTTGATTATCTTTTCAGGTTTTTCCTGAATATAAATTCCTTGTCTATTACCCAGACCTCGAATCTAGGTCTCATTACCTCATTTCTTTGGCACTTCATACCACTACTTGTAACCTCTGGCATTACCTTGCAATACCCAGTGGAATCCTTTTCCAAATTAGACAGGCCACCTTGAGCAAGAATCAGCCTTATCTTGAAAACAAGACTTCTCAGATTCTCCCTGATCTGTATCTTCTTTTCTAATTCTTCTGGACTACATTATGACCTGGATCCCACCTCTTCTCATTTATTCAAGTTTTTCACTTCAGCAATTCTTTCCTGTCCTGTGTCATCACTGTTGTTTTCTTTCTGTTAGATCATTCACATCAACATACCAGCATTCAGTATTATCATAAAACAAGAGGACAAAATCTTTGGTTTCATATGCCTTCTGGCTCCTGTCCCATTCCACTGCTTGTTTACAGTAAAGCTCTTTAAAAAGTGTTTTCTTTACTCACTCTTCATTTACATGTCTCCTTTTTCCTGAACCCATTATTAACCCACCAGATCTTGAAAATGTTCTTGTCTGTCACTTAGTGCCTTGTCTATTACTAAGTCCAGTGGCTAATATTCTCCTTGCATACCCTATCAGCAGCATAACACAGTGGTCTATCTCATCTTAGACTATATTCCTTTTTTAGCTCTCCAGAGACCACTGTCAATTCTCTTTGTACCTTACTTTTCCTCCTCACTTTCCTCTACTAGTCTATTTTCATTTCTTCACTCTCTACACACAAGATTGCCAATGGGGTTAGACCTGGTTTCTCCTTCTCTCTTTCTCTTTCTTTATCTCTCTCCACCCTGTCAGATTAATTGTGATGCCACTGTAATGCCATTTCTAGTCAGAATAAAACTCACCTTTTCTTGATGTTTGGTTTATAACATTTGACAAACACACACATTCATGTACTCACCACTACAAAGGAGATGTAGAACCCTAAAAAGTTCTTGAATGATCTGTCGGAGTCATTCCCCTTCATCTCTGCAAGTCCATTGCAGTAACTGATATATTTTTATATGTCCATCGTTTTCATTCTCCAGGATGTCATGTAATCAGAATCATCAGGACCATATTGTAGCTCTAAATCTGGCTTCTGTTTAATGCAGTGCATTTGAGATGCATCCATTTTTTTTTCATGTATTCTTTGCTTGCTAAATCCGATTACCTTATATGGATTTACCATATTCTGTTTATTCCCTACTTGATAGATATCTGGGTTGTGTCTGGTTTTTGGCAATTATAAATGAGCACTTTCACATACATTATTTGTTTTTGTTTGAACATATATTTTCATTTTTCCCTGATAAATACTTAAATGCAGTAGAATTAATAGGGAATATTATACATCTGTGTTCATAAGAAAATACCAAACTGTTTTCCTAAGTTGTTATACCATTTTTCATTCTCACTAACCACGAGAGTTCATGTTGCTTTATATTTTTATATTATACCATTTTTACACTCTCACTAGCCATGAATGAGAGCTCGTGTTGCTTTAAATCAGCTTGGTATTGCCAATTTATTTCATATATTAGAATTGACTTTAAATATTAGAATTGGTATATTGTGCTAACCCAAAGTTATACAAGTTATACAGATTATATTCTTTTTTTCTAAGTGTTTTATAGTTTAAAGTTATATATTTATATCTATGATTAATTTTGAGTTTATTTTTTATATGGTGTGATCTATGAGTAGAGGACTTGTTTTGCCCTATTTTTTGTTTGTCTGTTTGCTTGAGACAGAGACTCGCTCTGTCGCCCAGGCTGGAGTGCAATGGTGCGATCCTGGCTCACTGCAACCTCCGCCTCCCAGGTTCAAGCGATTCTCCGGCCTCAGCCTCCTGAGTAGCTGGGATTACAGGCATGCTCCATCACGGCTGGCTAATTTTTGTATTTTTAGTAAAGACAGAGTTTCACCATGTTGGTCAGGCTTAATGCACAGTTGCTCCAGCCTTATTTATTGAAAAGTCTAACAATTTTCCACTATATTGTCTTGTATTTGTTGAAAATAAATTGACCAGATATAAGTAGGTCAATTGAATCCCATTGATCGTACATTTAGTCTTTAATTCAGAGCTTAGCAAAACCTGCCCCATTGCCTCTTTTTATGTGATCCAAAATTTAAAAATTTCTTTTACATTTTTAAATAATAAGAAAATCAAATGATGAATAATATTTTATGACACTTGAAAATTGTGTGAAATTCAAACTTTAGTTTCTATAAAGTTTGATTAGAACATACTCATGCTTATTGGTTTATATATTGTTTATGGGTGCTTTCACATTAAATAGCACTAGAATTGTGACAGAAAACCTATGGCCCACGTAGCTAAAATATTTACTCTCTGGTATATCAATAAAATATTTACCAACTCCTATTTTCAATGATACCACACATTCTTTTTTTTTTTTTTTCTTTATCTTGAGACAGAGTCTTGTTCTGTCACCCAGGCTGGAGTGAGGTGGTGCAATCTTGGCTCACTGCAAACTCCGCCTCCCGGGTTCAAGCGATTCTCCTGCCTCAGCCTCCTGCGTAGCTGGGATTACAGGCGCCTGCCACCATGCCCAGCTAATTTATGTCATTTTAGTAGAGATGGGGTTTTGCCATCTTGGCCAGGCTGGTCTTGAAGTCCTGACCTCAGGTGATCCACTCGCCTTGGCCTCCCAAAGTGCTGGGATTACAGGCATGAGCCACCACACGTGGTCCACATTCTTGATTGCTGTAACTTTACAATCAGTTTTTGAAATCCAGTAGTGTGAGTTCTCTGTCTTTGTTCTTTATCAGAGTTGTTTTAACTATTTTACTTTTATTTTCCGTATAAATTAAAGTTAGTCAATTAAATATGTATATTTAATTGACATTTATATAAATTTATGTAGTTTTATATAAATTTATATAGTTATATATAAATTTATTTATATATCAGTGGGAATATTGATTCTGAATGTGCTGAATCTGTGGATCAATTTGGGTAGACTGACATCTGAACAATATTGAATCTTTCAACCCATGAGCATGGTGTAGTTCTCTATTTCCTTAGATCAACATTGTTTACTTTCATTAGCATTTGTACTTCTCAGTACAAATGTAAATCTTACATATATTTTCATTAAGTTTTTCCTAATAAGAGCTGATGCTTTGATGCTATTGTAAATAGTGCTGTTTTGTAAATTTCAATTTTCATTTGATCACTGCTAGTATAGAGAAATACAATTGATTTTTCTATATTAATCTGGTATCCTATGACCTTGCTAAAATCATTTATTACTGCCAGTAGCTTTTTTTGTAGATTCTTTGGGATTTTTTATGTAGACAGTCATTTTGTCTGCAAAGAGAAATAGGATAATTTATTTCTTTTCATTTGGTATGGCTTTTATCTTTTTTTTTCTTTTTTAATTTTTTACTTTAAGTTGAAGGATACATGTGCAGAACATGCAGGTTTGTTACATAGGTATACATGTGCTGTGGTTGCTTGTGGCACCTATCAACCCATCACCTAGGTTTTAAGCCCTGCATGCATTAGCTATTTGTCCTGATGCTCTCCTCCCTCTCCCCCCATCCCCCAACAGGCCCTGGTGTGTGTTATTCCCCTTACTGTGTCCATGTGTTCTCATTGTTCAACTACCACTGATGAGTGAGAACATACAGTGTTTGGTTTTCTGTTCCTGTGTTAGTTTGCTGAGGATGATGGCCTCCAGCTTCATCCATGTCCCTGCAAAGGACCTGTTCTCCTTCCTTTTTATGGCTGTATAGTATTCCATGATGTATATGTACCATAGTGTCTTTATCCAGTCTATCATGGATGGGCATTTGAATTGTTTGTGTCTTTGCTATTGTAAATAGTGCTGTGATAAACATACGTGTGCATGTGTCTTTATAGTAGAATGATTTATATTGGGTATATACCCAGTATTGAGATTACTGCATCAAATGGTATTTCTGGTTCTAGATTCTTGAGGAATCATCACACTGTCTTCCACAATGGTTGAACTAATTTATATTCCCACCAGCAGTCTAAAAACATTTCCTGTTTCTCCACCGCCTCGCCAGCAACTATTGTTTCTTGACTTTTTAATAATCACCATTCTGACTGGCATGAGATGGTATCTCATTGTGGTATTGATTTGCATTTCTCTAATGATCAGTGATGTTGAGCTTTTTTTCATATGTTTTTGACAACATAAATGTCTTTTTTTATTTTTGAGAAGTGTCTGTTCATGTCCTTTGCCCACTTTTTGATGGGGTTGTTTTTTTTCTTGTAAATTTGTTTAAGTTCCTTGTAGATTCTGGATATTAGACCTTTTCAGATGGGTAGATGGCAAAAATTTTCTCTCATTCTGTAGGTTTCCTATTCACTCTGATGCTAGTTTATTTTGCTGTGCAGAATCTCTTTAGCTTAATTACATCCCATTTGTCTATTTTGGGTTCTGTTGGAATTGCTTTTGGTGTTTCCATCATGAATTCTTTGCCCATGCCTATGTCCTGAATGGTATTGCCCAGATTTTCTTCTAGGGGTTTTATGGTTTTGGGTTTTACATTAAGTCTTTAATCTATCTTGAGTTAATTTTTCCGTAAGGAGTAAAGAAGGAGTCCAGTTTCAGTTTTCTGCATATGGCTAGTCAGTTTTCCCAGAACCATGTACTGAATAGGAGATCCTTTCCCCATTGCTTGCTTTTGTCAGGTTTGTGAAAGACCAGATGGTTGTAGATGTGTGGTGTTATTTCTGAGGTCTCTGTTTTGTTCCATTGGTCTGCATGTCCAACTGTAGCCATGTAGTATAGTTTGAAGTCAGGTATCATGATGCCTTCAGCTTTGTTCTTTTTGCTTAGAATTATCTTGGCTATATGAACTCCTTCTTGGTTCCATATGAATTTTAAAGTAGTTTTTTCTAATACTGTGAAGAATGTCAAAGGTAGTTTGATGAGAACAATGTTGAATCTATAAATTACTTTGGGCAGTATGGCCATTTTCATGATATTGAATCTTCCCATCCATGAGGATGGAATGTTTTTCTATTTGTTTGTGTCTTCTCTTATTTCCTTGTGCAGTGGTTTGTAGTTCTCTTTGAAGAGGTCCTTTATGTCCTTTGTTGGCAGTATTCCTAGGTATTTTATTCCCGTTGCAGCAATTGTGAGTGGGAGCTTCTTCATGATTTGGCTCCTTTTGAATTATTTCATTTGGTAAAAACATCAGTAGGATGTTGAATAGGAATTGAGAGACCAGTCATCCTTGTATTGTTTCAGTGTTACAGGGAAAACAGTCAGTCTTTCACATTAAGAATGTTCTTAGCTAGAGAGTTTGTAGGTGCTTTTCATCAGATTGATAAAGGTTGCTTAATATCTATTTTTCTGGAGGCTTTTAACATAAATGGATGTTGAATTTTATGAAATATTTTGTCTATTTCTTGAGATCATATTTTATATATAGTCTTAATATGAAAAATTACATTGATTATCAAGTGTTAAAACAAACTTACATTTCTTGGTAAAACCAACTTGGTCATAAGTTTTATCAGATTTAAGGTCTGTGTTGATGTTAATGAAGGAGGGTATAATGAGGCATGGCTGATGCCCACTTCAGGGCATGGCCTGAACCAGTATTTCAGGTTAAATTTTAGAGTGTCCTGACTGAGGAGGAAGTTCATTCAAATGGTTGGGGAGCCTTAGAATTTTATTTTTGGTTTGCACTTTTCAAACACTCCTCTCCTCCAATAACATCATTTCTGAACTTCTTTTGATTAACGGTTTCTTTCAAAGCTTCTATTATTTTCTCAATTTCTTTAAGTGTCTTTAAAATAGTTCGCAGATAAAAATCTGTTTTATAGATATATATTCTGGCAGAATTTCATTGTCTGTACAGACTTTGTTCTGCTCCTTGTATTTTCTTTTTCTTACAATTTCTTCATATAGAATTCTTTTATGTTTCTCATTTTACATAAAATTACTTTTCCAGTACTTTTTAAAGGAAGACAGTGGGATAGAATAGCTGTTTTAAGGTTTACTGCCCTAGAGCGTCTTCTTTTGCTGTTATTTTTGTTGTTTATATTTTGATATAATAAAAAATGGCTTTATACTTTCTGATGGTATCTTCCAATATTTTGGGGGTATTCTCTTTTCTTTGTCCCTATTTGGCCTGTTTTGCTCAATTTGTATTCTTCCTTCAGCAATTATTTCTTAGCATATGGCTTTCTTCTAGTATGGAGCTTCAAGTCATTAGTTTAGAGTATACACAGGTCTCAGACCACTCCAACGCATTACTGTAGAACGCTTACTTCACCCCTATGTTGAAGTCTATGGAGCACACTTCCTGTATTGGTTACTGTACTCAGACTTCCCAATGATTGCTTTTGGTGACTCAGTGAAGCACTGTTTAAATTCCTCTTCAGGAATGAAAGATTTATTCTTTCAGCTGCTGAAAGTATTGCTAAAAGATGGGCCTCCATCTGTTAGGACTGACTGTGGGGATTGCCACAGCTAAAATAATCTTACTCACCCAAGGTCATAAAGCTTTGTAGGATTAGCTCATACTTAATGGCTAATCAATGTGGAAAAATAATAACGTCCAGGCAACCTTGCCCAATCTTAGAACAACTGTAATTATCTATTCCAACTCCAGAGCTCCCAGGAGATTTGCTGAAGCCCTCTTTAGAACTGTATTACAGCTCCACTCCCTCTGCCCAGTGCTACTTCTCTTCCCTCCCTTCCACAGGCATGGATCCCAAAAGCACTTCCTAAAAAAAGCCTGTTATGCAAATATCCCTCTCATTGTCTTTTTTTCCTGGTAATGCAAACTGCAACAATACCTGTGGCAATTTTGCAGCTCTTCTCTTTTGAAGCTTCCAGGTGCCCCATTTTTCTCTCTTCTTTCTATGACACAGATGCTAGTGTCACATGAGTCTCTTTCTACCACACAGATGCTGTGTCACATGAGTCTCACAGCTGTTGGTTGTTTGTCCACACCTGCTTACATTTTGGGGATTTATGGGGCTATCCAATCACCCAGTTTTATTGAAAGTTGTCCATTCGTGTTTGTTTAGGTATTTTAGTTGCTCTCCTTGTTTTATTTGCGGATGGGGAGATTTAGATTCTGGGCCGTCTAAAAACTATATTGCCTCTACTGCTATTTTTTTCCACAGCATTATTTCTCACTGAACAATACTTTTGAAAGTATGTTTATAAAAAGAAGGGTGAAAATTAGGTGATGTCCTCAAGAGGAAGCAGACTTAGAAGACATTTTTGGGTTAAGGAATAGCCATTAACTGTATTCCTTACTTAATGCTGGATTTGGTGCTAAGGAGATATAGAAATATCACTGAATATGCAATCATAAGACCTGAGTTCATGTTCTGGTTTTGCTAGGTGACTTATAACCCAGTTAGCAAATTGCTAATTCCAATTAAATATACATTTCACTATCTGTGAAACGGAAATATTAATACCATCTTTGCCTCTACCACAGAATTGTGAGGCTAAGAATGCAGTATTTCAAGTGGAAACCCTAAATAAACATGAAATAAGAGGAGCTTTCTGTATGAAAGTCATGTAGGATGTGCACAATTTAACAAATAAAACCACTGATGAAACTGACACAAAGCCAATAAGACAAAACACTAACTGGCATGCATTAATTCCAGCAACATAATTTGTGATGTATTCCAAGTGGGATGAACGAAAATAGTTTGGGACTTTTCAGTTTTACCATCAAAGCCTCCAAAAGGTTCAAAGAAACAATTTTTAGAGGTTAGTCTATGAAAAGCATACTTGACTGATGCTGTTGATTTCAGAATGCAAATATATTTTTTTCGGCATAAGGAAAGAAGATGAATGAAGAACAAAAACAAAAGAGCCCATTTCTTCCGTAAATCTTTTAGTGATCTTGCAACAATGAGGACTTTTTCTCCTGGGGAGACAGGGTTTCTAGGAGGAAATATGAAAAGAAAAATTAAAAGGAAGGAAAAGTAACACAAAACAAAATAACCTTAGGGCTCTGAGATATGCCTTCATTTTTGGCTCTGTTTTATTTCTTAATTGTTGTTTATTTCTTTTTTTTTCCACAGTCAATTTTCTGGGAAAAGACAGAGCTTTTTACAATGTAGGCACTCAGTCTCGATCAATATTTATTGTAGCATGTGTGGTTGCAAACATTTTTGCATAGCAATTTTGCAAATGATTTTTTAAAATAACCCATGGTTAGGTAACCAAAGGCAGGATTTTGAGGCAAAATAAATAATTTTACTAAGGAATATTGGTGAAAATCATACAAAAATAACCCCTCCAAATCATGGGGTTTGATACTATAGAACCACATATGATTTCTGATCATTATTTGGAACTATTAAGATTGAATGAATAGTCGACTTTGAGGATTTTTATATATAATATTACCTGGAAACATTGTTTTCTTATACTAGAACTATTGCATTTACTCAGCAGGATCATCAATGCATAGCACAGTAGATATAACCTAACAAGGTGTCACAGGTAGCTAAGGCTACTGTAATTGGGATTAAGGCATAAGGGTTCAAGTACAGAAACAATAATATGTGTGGCTTGTTGGAAATACTGTGCCTATATAACAAAAAACAAAAGTGGGCCAGGCGCTGGTGGCTCACGCCTGTAATCCCAGAACTTTGGGAGCCCGAGGCGGGTGGATCACGAGGTCAAGAAATCGAGACTATCCTGGCCAAAATTGTGAAACCCTGTCTCTACTAAAAATACAAAAACATTAGCTGAGTGTGGTGGCACGCACCTGTAGTCCCAGTTACTCAGGTGGCTGAGGCAGGAGAATCACTTGAAGCCAGGAGGTGGAGGTTGCAGTGAGCCGAGATCACGCCACTGCACTCCAGCCTGGGTGACAGTGTGAGACTCTATATAAGAAAAAAAAAAAAAAAAAAGAAAGAAAAAAAGTGACTATCCCCAAAAAAATCATAGAGAGAAGCAAGATATCACTCAGAGGAAGATAGAGCAGTCATGGTAATGCCTAAAGGGCTCTTTTTACTGCCCCTTTTTCTCATTTCCAAGAACACCAAAAGTCGGGGATGGGCTACAAAGTAAGAGAAATAATCTAGAACATAGAAGTGAGGACATGCTACAGAATTAATCTAACTAAGTCAATAGGCTCAAAAGACTTTCATATGATCCTCAGTGGAGAAGTAGAGGAAAAATAAGGTCCCAAGAAAAGGAAACTCTTCAGCAAAAAATTAAAAACATACCTTAGCTTTAGATGATTTTGAGTTCAGGTGTCTAGTCTGTGACAGATAAATTATATATCTGATATTTATTTTAAAGTCTTGAAGTTGATATCAGAGAAACATTGGCAATGATTAGCCAAGAATTCTGGGGAAACAGATTCTTGAAGACTTGGTGAGCAAATTTTTTTTTTTAATTTTTAAAAAGGTGACCACACAGATATCAAATATTCAGTGCTAGTGATTTGAAACAAGTATTTAGCACAATGCTTATCACAAAATAAATGAGAAATAAAAATTTATTGAATTATTAAACAAATCAATACCTGATAAAAGGCAGGAGCCATTAAAACACAGCACTGGTTCATACAGAAACTAAACCTACTAGAATTTTTGACAGGTATTTTAGACTCAGAAATAGATACACATTTTTTAACCTGGATTTAAGAAGCCATTTCCAAAAAATCTCATGAGTCCATCATGTTCAAGATCTAGAAATGTGCATTAAGTGACAGTGTAATAATTGGTTTCATGGGGGATTGCATAAATCATAAGGTAAGAATTAATGAATCAAAGTAAAATTGACAGAGTTCCCTAGTAATGCATCTGATGGTCTTGTCTTTAACCCTGCAGTATTCAACATTTTAATTAAACCCAGAAATGGTTATAGGAACATAGATAGTCACTGATGTCATGCAACAAGGACTATTAAGTATCCCGCATGATAGAATCAAGATTCTCCAAGGTCCTGATGGTGACTTTCAAGCTAACAAAAAGAAAAAGAAATCATTCACATTTAATTTTTTTAATGTAAATAAGAATTCCTGAGTTTAAGTTGGATCTCTTCATGCTCCTATATCTTATCTACCTCCTTCAGATGCCCAAGAAATGGAGCATAAACATAAGGAAAACTTGGACCTGTGTGTACTTCTCATTAATACATAAAATATGATCTGTTCTTGGTCACTGTTTTCAGGCTCATATTGAATTTTTCTTTGTGTTAAGGAATATGGAATAGTCCTCTTCTATTTCCTCCTTTTCTTTTTCTTTTTAAATTGACACATTTTTATCGTACTTAAAATACGAGGTAAAATTTGATGTTTTGATACATATATAATGATTCAATTAGGATAGTTAGTGTACCTATCACCTCATTCATTGTTGTTTATTTGTGGTAAGAACATTCAAAAATTTCTCTTCTAGCTATTTTGTAATGTAAAACACTTTACTTTTAACAATAGTCACCCTACTGTGCTGCAGACCACCAGAAATGATTCGTCCTAATAGGAGGTTTGTACCTGTTGAACAGCCGTTCCCCGTTCTTCTTCCTCTGCCCCACTTCCCCATCTCTAGTAATCACTGTTCTGCATTCTGCTTCTTTGATTTCAGACTAAAAAACATTTATTTTAGATTCCACATATGAGTGAGATGAGGTATTTGCCTTTCAGTGCCTAGCTTTTTTTCACTCAGATGGTATCTTCCGGATTCATTCATGTTGTTGCGTTACAGAATTTCCTTGCTTTATATGGCTAAAGTAGTCCATTGAGTATATATACCACTTTTTCTTTATCCATGCATCCATTGTTGAACACTTAGGTTGATTCTATATCTTGGCCACTCTAAATAGTGCTGAAATAAACTTTTTTATTTTTAATACTTGAGGGTACATAGTAGATGTATATATTTATGTGGTACATGAGATATATTTATACAGGCATGCAATGTATAATAATCATGTAAGGGTAAATGAGATATCCATGACATCAAGCATTTATCCTTTGTGTTACAAAAAAAATCCAATTATACACTTTTATCTATTCTGAAATGTACAATAAATTATTATTGACTGTAGTCACCCTGGTGTGCTATCAAATATTAGATCTTGTTAATTCTATTCAACTATATTTTTGTACCCATTAAGCACCTCCACTTCCCCCAGTCCCCTACAAACACTACCGTTCCCAACCTTGGGTAACCATCATTCTACTCTCCATCTCCATGGGTTTGTTTTGATTTTTAGCTTCCATAAACAAATGAGAACATGTGAAGTTTGTCTTTCTGTTCCTGGCTTATTTCACTTAACATAACATCCTCCTGTTCTATGCGTGTTGTCTCAAATGACAGGAATTCATTTTATTTTTAATGGCTGAATAGTAGTCCATTGTTTCTATGTACCACATTTGTTATCTATTACTTCTGGATTTATTTTTCAGATTATTCAGTGTTGGCATGTAGAAATGCTATTGATTTTTGTATGTTGATTTTGTATTCTGCAACTTTACTTATTTGTTTATCTGTTCTAACAGGTTTTTTTGGTAGAGTCTTAAGTTTTCCCACATGTAAGATTACATCATCTGGCCAGGCGTGGTGGCTCACACCTATAATTCCAGCACTTTGGAGGCTGAGGCAGGTGGATCATGAGGTCAGGAGTTCATGACCAGCCTACCCATGGGCAGGGCCTGCTGAAACTCAGAGCCCACTTGTTGGGATGGATTATTCACTTCTGGCTAGGGCTTGTCTAAATTCTCCCTCAGTGGAAGGCAGCTGTGTCCTTCCCTGTGTTTCCTTCTACTGTGACAGGGCAGCACAGTGTTCTAATGGAAACTACCATAATCACTGCCCTCTCCCTTCTCCAGGTGAATAGATTCTCTCTCCACACCACATGGCTGCTGCCACGGAATGGGGATGGGGTGACATACGTGATTCAAGACTGTTTTTCCTACCCTCTTCAGTGCCTTTTTTCTTAATATAATGTTAAAACCAGGTACTGTGATGGCTCACCTGAACTTTGTTCCTTATGAAGGTATTTATTTGTGTGTGTAAATAGTTGTTAAATTTGGTATTCCTGCAGTGGAGACAATTGCTGAAGGCTTCTATTCAGCCATCATGCTCCACCTCCTCTGCTCCAGCTGCTTTCATTTTGAATTTATACACAGTAATGGGATTGCTTCATCATATGGTAGTTCTATTTTTAATTTTTTGAAGAACTTTCATGCTGTATTCCATAATGGTTATACTGGTTTATAATCCCACCAACAATATGTAAATGCATCCTTTTCTCTACATCCTTGCCAACACATGGTTTCTTTTGTCTTTTTGATAATAACCATTCTACCTGGAGTGAGGTAATATCTCGTTGTGGTTTTGATTTGCAATTCTATGATGATTTGTGATGGTAATCTTTTTTTTATACACCTTTGGCCATTTGTATGTCTCCTTTTGGGAAATGCCTATTAAGATATATTGGCCATATTTTAATTGACTTATTCTTTTTGCTGTTGAGTTTTTTAAGTTTTGTACATATTCAGAAAATTAAACCTTTGTCAGTTTCATAGTTTGAAAGATATTTTTTTCTATTCTATAGGTTCTCTTTCCTCTGTTGTTTCCTTTGCTGTATAAAATATTTTTAGTTTGATATAATCCCATTTGTTTAATTTTGTTTTCGTTGCCTTCCTTTTCATGTAAAATTTTAAAATTCTTTCCCAGTCCAATATTGTGAAACATTTCCCCTGTGATTTTTTTCTAGGACTTCTATAATTTCATGTCTTATAGTTAAGTCCTTAATTCATTTTTAACTGCTTCTTGTATGTAGTCAGAGGTAGGAGGCTAGTCTCACTATTCTGCATGTGTATATCCAATTTTCCCAGCACTACTTATTGAAAACACTATCTTGTCTTCAATATGTGTTCTTGGCTCCTTTGGCAAATATTAGTTGGCTATAAGTGCGTTCATTTATTTCCAGGCTCATTCATTTATTTCCAGGCTGTCTATTGTATTCCATTGGTCTATGTGTCTGTATTTATGTCAGTGCCCTGATGCTTGGGTTACTGTAGTTTTGTAATATATTTGGAAGTCAGAGGTATGATATCTGCAGCTTTTTTCTTTCTGCTCAGGATTGCTTTGGCAATTCAGGCTCTTTTGTTTTTCTAAATGAATTTTTGTATTGTATTTTATATGTCTGCAAAAAATGTTATTGGTATTTTAATACACATTGTGTTTTATATAGTTCGGTGCACCAGTGTTGGGTGTGTGTATATATATATATACATATACATATATATATGTATATGTATATATATATATACATATACATATATATATGTATATGTATATATATATACACAGATATATGTATACACACCTGTTATTTTTGTTGTTGTTGAGTTGCTCCTTTTATCACTATACAATGACTTGCTTTGTCTCATTTAATTTTTTTATTTAAAGTCTATTTTATCTGAAATGAGTATGGCTACTTCCTTTGCTTTTTGGTTTCCATTTGCATGGAGTATCTTTTCTTATTCCTTCACTTCAGTCTGTTTGTCTTTAATAGAGAGAGGAGTCTCTTATAAGCAGCATATAGTAAGGTCTTTAAGAAATTATTGGCCGGGCGTGGTGGCTCACGCCTGTAATCCCAGCACTTTGGGAGGCCGAGGCGGGCGGATCACGAGGTCAGGAGATCGAGACCATCCTGGCTAACACGGTGAAACCCCGTCTCTACTAAAAATACAAAAAATTAGCCGGGTGTGGTAGCGGGCGCCTGTAGTCCCAGCTACTCGGGAGGCTGAGGCAGGAGAATGGCGTGAACCCGGGAGGCGGAGCTTGCAGTGAGCCGAGATCGCGCCACTGCACTCCAGCCTGGGCGACAGAGCGAGACTCCGTCTCAAAAAAAAAAAAAAAAAAAAAAAAAAAAAGAAATTATTCACCACTCTGTCTCTTTTGGTTGGGAAATTTTATCCGTTTACATTCAGGTTTATTGTTGATAAGTAGAGAAATATTCCTCTCATTTTGTTAATTGTTTTCTGGTTGTCTTGTAGATTTTTGTTCCTCTTATTCTCTTGCTGTTGGCCTCTCTAATTTGGTGGTTTTCTGTATGCTCAGCTTTGTTTCCTTTCTTTGCTTCATCCATACATTGGCTGTAATTTCTTTCTTTATGCTTAACATGTGGCTAACGTAGAGTCTTGTAGTTATAATAGACTATTGTAAACCTATATGTTGTTGTTTTTACCATTTGACTTTAAATCTTCATACTAGAGGCCTGAAAGATTTACATAGCACCATAATATCACTGAAAACTTCTGAGTTTGATTTATGCATTTATTTCTATTGGTATTATACTTTCATGTGTGTTCATGATAGCAATTACATCTTTACTGAATATAGTACTATTGGCTGGCGTTTTTTTTTCTTTTGGCACTTCTAATATATCACTTTACTCTCTCTTGGCCTATAAGGTTTCTGTTGAGCCCCTGTACATGATTTCATGCTTTTCTCTTTAGCTTTTGGAATTATCTCTTTATCTTGTCTTTGACTTTTGGCAGTTTCATTATAATGTGACCTCAAGGGTAACTTTTTGAGTGCTATGTCTTTGTAGACCCTCACTTTTCCTGGATCTGAATGCCCATATTTCCCCAAGACTTAGAAAGTCTTTACCTATTATCTTATTAAACTGGTTTTTCATGCCTTTCTCCCTTTCATCTCCCTCTGACAATTCTATAGCATGAATATTTGTTTGCATAATGTTGTCCTAGAGGTCTTATAGTCTTTTTCATTCTTTTTAAATTGTTATTTTTTTTCTTTCTGACTGGGCTATTTCAAAAAACTTGTCTTTAACTCTAAAAATTCTTTCTTTTGTTTTATCTAGATTGTTATTGAAGTTCTCGATTGCATTTTTAAAATTTCTATTTTTGAATTATTCAGCTCCAAGACTTTTGTTTATTTTTATATAATACTTATCTCTGTTGCATTTCTCATTCAAATAATGAACTGTTTTCTAATTTCATTGAAATTTTGTTTATGTTCTCTTGTATCTCACTGAGTTTTCTGAAGATCATTATTTTAGAATTGTTTTTCAGGCACTTTGTAAATATCTTTTTCTTTGAGTTCTGTTACTGGAGACTTATTGTGCTCCATTGGAGATGCTATTTTTCCTTCTTTTTCCATGTTTCCTGTGTCTCTATGTTGATATCTATGCATCTAGTGGAAGGGTTGTTTTTTTCTAATTTTATGGAGTACATCATATGTGGGTCCTGTGGGTTCTTTGGGTATGGTGCATTGGCTTTGGTTTCAGTTGGACTCAGTAGTGTGGTCTCCATACAATTTCTTCTATTGTGATCCTCATTGGTGGTGTCTGGGATTGCCTCAATGACTTAAGCTACAGAAGTTCGTGATAGTGGTGACATGTTTTTGCTGGGGATGAGGGCACCAGGTTGGATTTCTAGCCCAGTGTAAGTGGGCATGGAGAGCCAACAGGCCATCTGGTGAGCTCTCTTTGTGGAGCTGGGTTACCACTGGACTGACTGTCGAGCTATGTATACACAAGCAGGCTGGCTAGTTGTGTGGTAGTCTTTCCAGAAAATCAGGGCAAGTGCGGTGGCATGGTTGACTGTTCAACAGCTTCCCTTCTATGCAGATCCACCAGTTTTCTGTGGAAAGGTTGTGGAGGTATTGTATAGATTTAGATGCTAGGATCTCAATAATTCTGTCAGATCCAAGCTGTAGGCAGCCAAGAGCATGGTGTTCCAGACATTCACGGAAATGTGATGGAATGACAGCAGGCACTCAAAGCTGAAAACAGTCAGTGGCCCCTGGTCCCCAGAGCAGGATACGCTTTAGTAGTTTGTCCGGTTTCAAGATGGCGCTGTGCCAGATCAGCTTAAGAGTGGAGGCAAAGGGTGCTCAATGTGGGCTCCTTTTCTAAGACAATGCAGCCACAAAACCTCTCAAATACTCTCCAAACTGGATTGGAGGCCTGTGAAGAATGGGAGACCCTCCTGAATAAAAGGAGGAAACAGTAGAGGGTTCTGGGGGAAAAAAAGACACAGATGGAGCAGCAAAAGTTACTGATAGATATCAGAATTCAGTCAAGAACTGAAAAAAACAAACCAAACAAAGTTTGACATAGAAGTAGGGAGAAAGATTTTATTGCTGTGTACAAAAGTTTCTCATTCTCTTGGAGACATAAGGGAACAAATTCCACTCTTGTGCCTTTTTCATAAAGCACGGAACTTTCAGGCTATAGACACAAACTCTTGGCCAGCACTCTCTCTAGTGGTGGACCTATGAACTACCCCTCTGCACTTTTCTCAATTCCATGAAAATGCAGAAGACATCCAGTATTTAATAGTTGTTTATTACATCTGGGGAAAGAGAAATACATCCATAATATTGCATATCCACATATAAAATATAGATGTATTCATATGTATAAAAATCCATACATATATATTATATATATCATACAAATATATTATATTATATTTATATAATATATCCAATATTTTGGATATGTGTGTGTGCATATATCATGCATATATATATATATATATGTATTTCCAATAAAGAAAGTAATTTCCAATAAAGTAAGCATTTCCAATAAAGACAAAATTATATCCATGAGATCCCACCTAATAGGAAGAAGTGGCCCCTGCAGAGAACAAACTTGCAAAAATGTTCAGGGACCCAGAAATCAATGATAAGGGAAAGGATCTGGAACAGGCAATGTATAATTTGCTACCTTGAATTCTGATAGTTCACATAAGCAGTCTATGCCTCAGTTTCCTTAACTGATCTATTTGGATTGATCATATGTCCCAGCTTGCCTGGGACAGTTTTGGTTATGCCAATTGTCCCATATAATTATTAAAAATTCTGATTTTACTCTCTAAAGTGTCCCATTTGGGTGATGAATGATATGGTCACCCTAGTTATGTGATCCAAGGGTACTTTTTATATACTTTCATGGGGAGAAACGATTAAGCATGGAGCAATTGAGGTACAGCCAGGGGTCAAGTGCTTGGTACTCAGTGCATTTTTAAACTAAGGTTTTGTCTGTGGAGCTAATTTCACCAATGATCGTTAAATGTCTCTTTGTATCTTCAACATGTTATGAAGATGAGAGAATGGAGAGAGTATAAGCTCTGGATCTTATCAAATTAATAAAGTTAATACTACCCAGAAAGCAGGAAAACCCTCTTGTATTACACATTTCTTTGCATTTTCTGGCCTCTTGAAATCCTTAAAAACATTTAAAATCTTTCACAAATAACTGAGAAACATTGACAGTTCCACTATATTATAAAAAGGTATGGAAAAGGACAGAAAGCAATGATAACGAATGCATCATAATTTGGGTTTGGGTTAAGCTGGGCATTCCTACAGCCACGCATTTTATTTCTATAAAAATACACATATGAAACAACTTTAATGTCAAATAACAAGTGATTGGAGGAGTGATTATAGAGCATCCATACAATGCAACATATTGCAGCCACTAAAAATGATAGCATGCAGTTATATTTATTGACATGGAAAAGAGCTCATAGCATACCATCAAGTGAAAAAAGCTATTGCTGACAAGCAGGTGCAATATTATTGTAAATTTATGTACAATTACATAATATATAGTTGTATGTGTTTACATGGTTTAGAAATGTCTAAAGTGTTCATCCACATATTAATAGTGATTATCTCTGGGTGGGGTGATTGCAGAGGACTTTTATTTCCTTTCTATTTTTTAAACAATGAACATGTTTCCTTTTAAAAAACATAAAACATACAATTTACATGAAATTACAAAAGGAATTTCTCTTAAACTATAATTCAGAGGTTGAAATACTTATGCACAGATGATGAGAATAGGCATTGATATACGAAAGCTAAATAGTCAGAACCTACACACAATTAGAGCTCTTTCTACCGTCAGTATCTGCGCCTTCCTGTAGCCCCATTTCTTGTAACTACCCCCCCAACACCACCAAGAAAAAACAGACCCTAAATGTAGCACCACAATTCCTGTGGTGCCAGTCTTAAAAAAGGTGCCAAATGGCCCCGTCCCCTGATTTAATACCTTTGTGCAAACCTGTCCCATCTCATGTGAGCTGGACTTGGTGACTAACTTCAGTCAATAGAATTAAACAGAAATCACATGCGTAAAATAGAAACTAGGTCATAAAAGTAGTATGACATCACCCGGAATCTCTCTATTGCTCTAGTTGTCATGTCAAAAAACTACTTAGACAGACTATGAAGAGATACATAGGGTGAGAAACGGAGGCCTTCAGCCAACAGCTGGGAGAAGCTGAGTCCCATCAGCCATTCAAAAGACTGCAGCCCCAGCCAAGAGTTTGATGTAACCTCAGGAGAGACCCTGAGCCAGAACCACCTAGGTAAGCCACTCCCGGATTCATGACCCACAAAATGATGTGGGATAATAGATGTTTGTTGCCACATGCTGGTAAATTTTGGCAAAATCTATTACAGAACAATGGATAATCAATACAGTTTTAAACTTATTTGAGAAGTTCTGTCTCAGGAACAAGTAGCTAAGGAACCCTAATCTCAGCCAGCCTTTCCTTCCATGCCAGGCTCACTTGCTTCTGCACTGATAAAAAGATTCCTTGAATCAGCTGTTATGTGGTGGTTTTTTTTCTTTAATATCAATCATGTTTCTTGTTCTTGGCACTTAGTATCCAAGTCGGATATCTCAAAGACAAGTGACAGTTGTTTTTAGGTTGAAACTTTGCCTGAAATAGGGATTCCAGATGCACTGCTTGTTCTGATCTCTGAGTCCTGACTGTTCTTGCATTTAGTTGGTACTTCCTGAATTTTCTGGGCAGAGACCCATGTACTACCTGGACATCTTCCTTTGGCCAGTGATACCACAGTACACATTTGTAAGCACCATTTCTCTAAAACAGTGCAAGTGGGGGGAGCATTTATTGACTGTCAGTGTTTTAGATATGACTTAATTTAATTATTCAAAATGCTCTGAAAAGTATTTTCATTTTATAGACAAACATTGAAGGTTCAGAAAGGGTAAAAAAATGTCCTGGATTATGGAGTTCGTAAATGCAAACTCATATTTTTAACTCATACATATTTGACTCGTATACGCATGTACTTAACCCAAATAATGCATGGTCTCCCTAACAAATAGTTCTTTGTGGTAAGCCAAGGGGGAAAAAATCTTTCTGACAGCCTCCTTAGCTGCTTCCCTGAGATCCTTTCACCTGTATATTCATTCCTCTTCAGTGGTCATGATGTGTCTGGAGTTGGTTCCTTCCGGTGGGTTCTTGGTCTCTCTGACTTCAAGAATGAAGCCGAGGACCTTCGCAGTGAGTTTTAAATCTCTTAAGGGTGGGACGGACCCAAAGAGTGAGCAGCAGCGAGATTTATTGTGAAGAGCAGAAGAACAAAGCTTCCACAGCGTGGAAGGGGACCCAAGCGGGTTGCCGCTGGGTCCGCGGCTTCATTCTTGAAGTCAGTGAGACCAAGAACCCACTGGAAGGAACCAACTCCGGACACAGTGACAAACCTGACCACAGCAAGGAAAACATTACTATTATTCATGCCACTGGCAGGTGGGGTCTGGAATTGTTTTGCATGACACTTTCCCGGTAGATGCTCCTCCTGGGCCTATTCTAGTATATCACTATGCTACCTGTCCACCAAAGTTTATCCACGTGCAGCTTCTTCCTCAGCTTTACAGTAGGGACTCTGTTCCCCTGCTAGGACGGAAGTCTTCCATGTCCCAATCACCTGATTTAAAACTCTGACAAGCTATATGGCCAAGTCCTTTTCCTGGGTGGGTATTGACCTTGGCTTCCAGACACCTTTCCCCCTTGATTTATTTCCAAGAATGAACAAAGAAGAGCAGATCAGGTACAAATAGACACAATCGTAATATTGTCACTGACTGCAGCTTCTGTGTAGTTCTATCCCACACACTGTATTCATTATCCCTTTATCATCTTGGGGTCATTTTCATCGCATTAAACCCCTAAACTAATTGTCCTAAACTTTAGTGTGCATGAGATTCACCTACTCCACTACTTCTTGCTTCTACGAACTTGGAGAAGACAAAGTTCTTATCTAATCCTCAGGTTCTTTTTGTAGTGGTGATTTTTAATGAGAACTATCCTATAATGTGGCTATAAAAATTAAATGAGATAATCCATGGGAAGCATTTGGTATGCCTCAAGACAAATAGCAAATGATAGTGTTCTTTGTTATTAAAAGGCACAGGTGGGGACTTCAGATGCCCATTTTTAATAAGCAACTCTAGCGATTACAACACAAATTGCCATTAGAGCATACTATAAGAATTACTAACAGAATATAACTAAATCTTGTTTGGTTATTTTGATATTATTGATCTTATGCATTCTCTAGTTTCTCTTCTCCTTAACCTTTGCATCTAACTCACCAGGGAATGTTCTCTCTCTTTTCAGAATTTTCCGCTTTATTTCTGAGATGCTAAATGTCTCTCGCAAGAGATTTTATTTATTTTTTATTTTTTTTATTTTTTTCAGACTGACAACCTGGCAATAGTGACTGCATGGAAAGTGGCCTGCAGCTCTAACCCATATTCCATCAGAGCCCTTTCCTCTAGAGTTAGTCCATAATCTGTATTGGCTGTTGTTTTTTCCATATCCACTCATATAACAAATATTTCAGGATGTAAAGTACATCTTTTTCTGGAATAAGAGCCCAAAGATTATGAGCTACTTGTTAGTCATGGAAATGTCTGTGGTTTAGTATTAAATTTCAAGACAAACAAAAGGCACTTCCATTTTGGTTATGATGGATAATGGATTTTGGAATTATTCTTTGCTTGTACAAACAACAGTGGCATGAAAAATGGGACAAATAAATGGAACTAGTTTAGGTCTTGGCAACAGAGATCTCAGAATGCATGTTGTTTTTAAATGTCAGAAACATTCATCACGATAGCCCTTATATTGGAAAATAAAATGTTACAATAATCTTTAAAATTAAAGCAAACATAGTGACTATAATAAAATTGCATTAGAAGCCAATTAAATATTTCTAAAAAATACCCAAAATATTTAGTAATAAGTTGGAAAAAAGCAATAATCTGTAATAGTATTATTTATAATTAAATCAATATTAAATACTAAATAATGCAAGATAAAATAATAATTACATATAATTTCCAATAGTATAAAATGACTATAATATTTAGATAAAATTTGTGGAATTAAGCTGAAGTATTGCTTGGAGAAAAATCTATAACTTCAAATGACTTGATTAAAAAAGAAGAAAGGTTTAAGATTAATAATGTAAGTTTAAACATTAAGAAACTAGGAAAAGAAAGGTAAATTGATATTAAATAAAAGGAAGGAAATAATAAGGATAAAAATAAAAACACATATACAAGAATAGCAAATAGTCAACAAAAACAAAACGTCATCCATTGAAAGGACCAATAAGATTAATACACCTCTAGATTAAATGATCAAGAAAAGAAAGAGAGAAAACGCAAATTATCAATATCAGGAATGAAGGAGAAAACATCTCCAAGAATTCTAACAATATTACAAGAATCTGAAAAGATAATTATGAAATCTTTTGTGCCAATAAACTCTTCAACTTAAATTAAATAGAAAAATTCCCTAAAGTCATATTCTCAAAACTGTCTCAAGACAAAATAGAAAAAGCTGTGTGCCTATTAAAGAAAGCTAGTTTCTAGTTAAATATATTTTAGTCAAGGAAACTCTAGGCATACATAGCTTCCTTGATATATTCAGGCAAATATTTAAAGTACTGCATATCTGTTTTTAAGAAGATAGAGAAGGAAGCACTTTCCAATTCATTTTTTGTACTATCATTACTGTGACAGCAAAACCAGACAGGTATTACAATGAAGGAAATCTCGAGACGGATCTCTCTCAGGAGCAGATGCAAAAATTCTTAACAAAATAAATATTAACAAATCATATCTGATAATAGACTGTAATCAAGTCACATTTATTCAAGGCATGCAAGGTTGGTTTAACATTGCAAAGTGAATCAATATACATTACCATATTAACAGATTAAGAAAATAATGTATTTAGTCATTTCAATAAATGCAGAAATATTATTTAATACAAATTCTCAGCAAACTTAGAATAAATGAGGACTTCCTCAGCCTGATAAAGACATGTATAAATAATCTTCAGCTAAGATCTTATTTAATAGTGAAACCAAAATAAAAAACAGGAAAATAATATCCATCCATTAAGAGGGATATTGCTTTCCCCATTGTGTTGGAGCACCTGTCCAGTACAATAAGAAAACAAACAAGCAAACAAATAGTATGTGTAGTTTTTGCAATAACATAAAGATGATAAAGGTTAGGAATAAGCTAAGGGATAGATTTATAAGAACTTAATAAAAAGTATAAAGCATTGCTGAAATAAATTTAAAAACTCAAATAAATGCAGAAATATACCATATTCACAGTTTTGAAGATTGAATATTGTTCCTGGGTTGGTTCTTTTCAGAATGATAAATAGATTTTGTACAACACTCATAAAATTACAGTAGAGTTTTGCCACAGTGATTTGAAAGTCATATGTTCATTGTAAAAGTCATGTATTAATTTCAAAAGTTATAATTGCCAAAACTGTTTTAAAAAGGAAAAAAATTGAATTTAATATAAAGCTTCAGTGATCAAGGGAGTGCGAATTTTGCATAAAGATAAACAAATAATAGATTAACGTAACAGATTATAGTTTCTACAAATATACCTATAATTATCAAGTTAATTCTCAACAAAAGGCAACAAACCAATTCAATGAAGAAAATTAACATTTTAAATAAGTTATGTAGAATCAAATTGATAGCCCTAGGGAAAAACTATTCTCAACCGTTGGTTCATCCTAGGTGCAAGAGTAAATTTGAATGGATCTGATGCATTAATTTTAAGGTTAAAATTATGGTTTCTAGAGGAAAACAGGAAAGACATCTTTGTGATCGAGACAAAGTAGAAAAAGACTTTTTTGAAATCACAGTTCCATAAAACATTAAAAAGTGATGAATTGAACTTTATAAAAATTAAATTCCACAGTTCATCAAATGAATCTTTATAAAATTAAAATGTATCATTAGCACAGATATCTGAGAAAGGACTTTTTCCAGAAAAAAAGAACTCCTGCAATTTAAAAAAAGGGGAATGATACCTAAAGCCAATAAGCACATTACATTTTTTAATGTGCTCAGCATTATTAGTCAAAAGGGAAATACAAATTCAAATCAAATTATGATATCATACAAATCCACAGGAATAGCTAAAGCCACTACACCAAAATGCTGATGAGAATGTGGAGCTATAAAAACTGTTTTGTTTTTTTTTTTGAGAATGTAAAACATTATAAGCATTTTGCAGTACTCTGGTAGTTTCTTACAAAGGTAAATATTCAGTGATCAAACTATTCCACTACTAGTTATTTAAACAAGAGAAACCAAAACAAATACCACAATAAGACTTTTATGAGAATGTTCAGAGCAGCTTTATTCATAATATAAAAATAAAACTAAAAATAATTCAAATATCTATTAACAAGACAATGAATAAATAAAGGATGATATATTTATAAAATGAAATACCATTCAGGAATATCAATATTTGTATGAATGAAATGACATGGGTGAATCTTAAAAACGTGATGTTGAGCTAATACATTCTGACCAAAACAGTACGTATTGTAAGATTTCATTTATTTGAAATTCTATTATAGGCAAAGCTTAATTTATGGAGATAGAAATCAGAGTAGCAGTTGCCCCTGGGTGGGAGTTTGAAGCCAGACTGCCTTGGGATGTGGCAGAGAGTCCAGGCTTTCCGAGATGTTGCAAATGTTCTCTTCTGACTGGGGAGAGGTTATATGAGTATATGCATATGTTAAAACATATTGCAATGTAAATTTAAATTCTGTGTATTCCACTCTATGTAACTATATTGGTGTACTTACTCTGTCATAAGAGAATACCATAGACTGAGTGGGTTAAACAACAGAAATTTATTTTCTCACGGTTCTGGAAGTCAGAAGTTCAAGAACAAGGTGCCTTCAGAGTTGGTGTCTGATGAGGCCACTCTGTCTGACCTTTGCTGTGTGCACACTAGGGAGAGAGAGAGCTCTAGTATCTCTTCCTCTTCTTCTAAGAACACCAGTTCTACTCAGTTAGGGACCTACTTTTATGACCTCATTTTACCTCACCTTCTTAAAGACTGTACCTACAAAAATCAAAAAAGAAAAAGAAAAAAACTTTATCTTCAAAAAAGTCACACAGAGAGCTAGAGGTTCAACATATGAATTTAGGAGAGACACAATTTAGTTCATGGCAGTAACTTATAGACTTAAAATGGAAAAAAAAGGCAGCGAAAAGATACATTTATGTTCTAAGGGAAGTTTCATTTCTAGTTATATTAAAACTAAACATTATTATTATTATTTATTACTATTATTTGAGACAGTGTCTCACACTGTCGCCCAGGCTGAAGTACAGTAGTGCGATCTAGGCTCACTGCAGCCTCCTCCTCCTGGGTTCAAGCAATTCTCCCACATCAAGTTCCCTAGTGGCTGGGACTATAAGAATGCACCACCACACCTAGCTAATTTTTGTACTTTTTGGTAGAGACAGGATTTCACCATGTTAGCCAGGCTGGTCTCAAATTTCTGACCTTAGGTGATCCACCTGCCTTGGCCTCCCAAAGTGCTGGGATTACACACGTGAGCCTGGCCCTAAATATTAAAAATTAAAATACACTTTATTTCTAGTGATATAAAAATTAAAGTGATAAAACATCCAGGGTCACATATTTATCAAGTATAGTAACAAATGCTCTGAAGAATCAGTCAAAGGAAGCCGATTAAGTAGCTTGAATTCAACACAATTGAGCTGTTTCCACTATGCTGGTCTTACTGGCAATGACACTTTAGTTAAGAATGGAGTGAGGTAGATTACCTTTAAGTGAGGCTTTGATTTTGCCAACTTAATACAGAGCCGCATCTACGACCATAAATTATACCTCTCATTAATCCATTTGTCCTTCTGACATATTAGAATGATTTTTCAAGATTCCACATCAATCACACACCTTCATGTATTACATATGTGACAAATTACTATTTGATAAAATCTAATTTAACTCCATACAGTCAATGTTCCATAGGAAATAAGCTCTTGAAGGCTGGGCAAAATTGAGAAGCTTGAAATATTATTATATGTTTTTTTCCTTCTACTCCATGGGGATCATTGTGTAAAGACCCATAGGAAATGCTTTCCCAGATGTCCTCCCAGGAATATCTCCTGTACTACAACTGGAAAAAGTAATATTCTTTCTTCTATCTTTGCATTAAACATATATTGAGCATGTTTTCTCTTTCTAAGCACTGCCAGTAGGTGCTGGTCATAAGAAATAAACACAAGTAATTTTAGCCACGAGAACACTCACACACCCATCATTCCATGAGATGTGGTGGTTTCCAGCAGAGACAAGATTGTGAAACTGTGTCTTGGGCTAGTGAGGAAAATAGATGTGTGAACTTTGACTGTTTGAGTAAACTGCAGTTTACTTGGTAGAGGTAGAGTGAACTTTGACTGTTTGAGTAAACTGTAGTTTACTTGGTAGAGGTAGAGTCAGAAATGGCAAGAAAATCCCAGGTGCAAGGAATAGCAGTGAAGCTTTTAAGACTTAAAAAGAGCATGGAGCATTTCTAGAATTTGGTGGCTCTGTGTGCCTTTGTGGAAGACAAGATGGGAAAGGTAGGGAGAAGACAGAATATGTTGAACAGTGTTGAATATCATGCTTTCGTTCTTCTAGACTTTAGTGAGCTTAAGAGAATTTTTAAACTGAATTGTATCATTAGATTTTTCTCTCAGAAAGGCTGGAGTCCCAACTATAAGGAGGGTGGGGGGAAGGGATCTAGCTATAAAACCACTGTCATTGGGAAATTGGATTACATAGAGGCCAGCACTAAGGTTGTTTGCAATTATTTTATTGATTGCTTTAATACTTAGTAGACCACAAGGAATCAGCTAATGAGATAGTTACAAGGAGTATACAGAGAACACATTGACATCTCGATAATCTAAGAGCATATAACCCATTAGTGGAGGCAGACAGGTGAATGAGTACTTAAAAATATCAGGGGCATCTTGACATTTTTTCACGATCACTTTATTTCCAATGTCTTCGGTGAGCAAAATAATACCAACTTCTCACCTTTATTAGGCATTTTGTAATTTCCAAAGCATGTCCACATACATTTTTTCACTTGAGCTTCACAAAAGCCTCTGTAATGGAGGAAGTTATCCTAGGAAGAAACTGGGGCTTATACAGAGAAAATGATTTGCATAACAGCCTAAGAGTAGTCAGGAACAGAGTTGAAGCCAGAATGTAGTATTTATTCCAGTGCACTGCACAGCTTCTCTGTGAACTCTAGTTCAGTATTTACAATCATCTTCTTTATTTGTTTTGAATCTTCAAATCCTGATTGTTTACCCAGCAGGTCCATTGGCCCTCTCTGACCTCTCCTTTCCCATGGGTGTGCTGGTGACTGTCAGTCTTCTAGAGCTATACTGCTGTCCAGCCCTGCTCCATATTACTTTGTGTCTTCCCGATTCCTGTTTGTATCATCAGCCTCTGACCCACAACTTGAGCATCCCAAATCCTTGGGCCTATCTTGTGCTCCATTTGACTGTCTCCTTCTTACACCTGGACTTGACCTACTTGAAGAAAATTTTCAAGGGGTAGAGAATTTCTCCTCGAGATCAATATTTTGTTTTAACTCTAAGCCTAGGTACTCGGATTCAATCAGGTCTTCTTCTTTTGTTAATGGATCTAAAGTGCAATTGTATTATTTATAATCCTTGGCCATGCAATGTATCATTGGTCCATGGATTACACTTTTTCAAATTTTCAAAAAGTGATTACAATTAATTTGAAATAATGTCATAAACATCCATGAATCCACAGTTAAGGAAGAACATTAACAATAACTGTATAGGGTCCTCTTGCATTTATTTTTCTTATGTAACCCCATCTCAAGTAACCACCATCCAAAATTCTCTGTGCATCATTTCCTTGTTTTCCTATTTGTGTGTGGCATTTCAAGCAAGCACTTGTTTGTTAATAGTTGTGTTCAACTTTATTTTTAAAAAGGATTTACAGCATACATAATATTTTTCAAAGTATTTTTAAAATTTGAATATATTTTTGTAATTCATCTATACTGTTCATTATTATTATACCACATTTATTTTTAGGGCCATAATAGTAAATATACAACAGTTTATTCATCTCATATCCTCTCTATTGGCATTAGGTTGTTTATAGGTTTTTGTTAGTTTCAAAGATTTTGTGCATGATAGTGGACACATATCTGGTGAACCTGTTTAAAAGGTTCCCTTGGTTCTACATGTAGAAGTAAAATATGTACTTTTCTCAGTATTTGAATATACAAGTTTACAATACTCAGCTATTTTCTTAAGAGATTCAGCCAAGTTTACATATCAACCAGTAATAGATAAGATATGCTATAAATTTGTATCTTTCTAGCATCTGATATTGTCAGACTTTTGAAATTTCACTAACCAACTGACTGTAAAATATAGTAGCACATCATGGTCTTAAACTGCATCTTTCTCAACACTAATGGAGCTGGATATACCCTCATATTCTACAAACCATACATATTTTTATATTTTATGACAAACTTATTCAAACTGTCCATATTTCCCTGGGGTTTGTGTTTTTCTTTTAAACTTGTATAAGTTCTTTATATAGTCTTTGTTGTGTTTATTAAATATGCTTTCTCTCAGCTTCTAGCTGATCTCTGAAATAAATATGATGTACTGTATAAAGACTAGTTTGGAGAAAAACTGTGTCATAAATTTTAGTGTTAACACTTATTCAATGTGTGACCTGTGGTTATTCAGCACCTCTTGACTTAAGTTGTATGTTAAGTAGTCAAAAATTCATGCTGCTAGTGATAATTAGGAATCAAATAACATTGCTGAGCTCTTATTATATGCCAAACACTGTGCCAGGCCCTCGGTTAGGGAGAGGTGACACATTCTCTGACCTCGCCCATGAGTATGGTGTAATGAGAAGCGGATGAACAAACAATTATTGTGAACTGTAATAGTGTGACGCAGTTGATAAGCACAGGTGCTGTAGAAGCTTGAATCCAATCTAAAACAAACTTTGCAAGAAAAGGCTGGCAGCATGGCCATGTATTTATTCAAGCATACATGCATTCATTTACCAAACATACAATGAATACCAACTCTGTGTCAGATACTTTGCTAAGTACTATAAGTGTTATAAATGGAATTCACATGAATTAGAAAATGGCTAACTTTTGGGGAAAAGAGAAAATAAAGTGTTAAAGAACTCCCAGGTTTTTACCTGTGTGAACTGTGTTTATGCACAAGGGGTTGTCTCTACTTTAGGCTTTAATCTCACCTCCTATTACTATTAAAAGCTCATTGGTCCTACTAAATTATCAGCTTGTTAATAAAATTAATATGGAAGATTATATTTTTATTCTCAATTTTTTACTCCTTTTCTGCAATAAGATTAAACAATTGGGTCGCCTGACATGTGACTTACCCTGTGACATTGACCTTGGCCATATGACATACTTTGGTCAATTAGGTGTGAGCACATATTTTTCTTGTCAGAGACAGTGCTTTAAGTTTTATTGCATTTTGTGGCTCAATGTCCTTGAGTTTCTGCCCATGGTCCATGGCAGGAATTCTCCTGCAGTTTGGGTGCACACATAGAGCATTTCTTAACAAAGCCTCTGCCAATCTGCCCCCCACTGGCAGAACACCCTAAAACCTTGATGGATTCCTGCTTACTTTTCCCATCAGTTGAAATGTTAGCGACTGCAGAAAGTCTTTGCCATACCCACTGTATATCTTCCCACTCTCCCTTTAGACTGAGTGCTCCTTAAAATCAGGAACCTGTTGATATCATTTTTCTGTCATTGTCCACCAGCCAGTGTTTGATACGAAGGAGGTATTCTGCAAAGAGTTGTTGAATGAGTGTATGAATGAGAGGCCTGAGATTCCCAAGAGAGAGGACTTGGAGTCTCATGGACAAACTTTTTCACACACATTCGCTCCTGACTATTGAGTTTTATGAATATTTTAGTAATCTACAGAAAAAAAGGTAATTGTGGCTGGGTTGACTTCGGGAATCATTGCATAACAGAATTTTTCTAAAAAATGCACCCTTGAAAGATTTTGTCATAATAAACACATCATAGCAATAATAATTTTGCATAATTTTACTTTTTGATCATTTAATTATTTCATTCCACAAATATTCATAGAGTGACTCTTATGTACCAAGTTTTTCATTTTACAATTGAAATAACTGAGTACCTAAAAAGGAAAAAGACTTGTCTTGTTCGAGATTAATAACTCTGAATTGTAGCTTAATGATCTCTGGGGGATAGGGGACTCCCTGAAAACAAATTAAATTGTGGTTGTTCTGGAAGACCCTAGTTCTTCTTCCTCCAGGTTTCACGTTCAAAAATGGAAGTGGATTTTGTACTGAGACAGATCAGAACTCTAGTGCATTTGTACATGTGTGTGAGAGTGTGTGTGTGCATGTGTCTGTGTGTCTCTGAGTATGTAACCATGTGTGTGAGTGGGTTTGGCCATCTGTGTGTAAGTGTGCATGTGTGTGTGACCCAAAATCCAGGAATTCCACCCTGCTGAGCAAAATGTATTTCATCAGTATTTATTCATACATACTACTGAAATTTGAACTGTCTTTTGAAGTTGACAAAGTATTTTAAAATTTATTATATTTTGCTCTAGGCAGAGGTATTCTAATCTTTTTCATTTCAGAAAAGGTAACCAAAGCAAATATAATGACTACCATGGATTCAGAAATGTCAGCGTGCCAGGCTCTGATCACAGGGCTTTGCAGATTTTTAACTCAGCTAACACTCATATCAACTATGTAATATAGACTCTATTGATATATATTCACCCTCTTATGTTAATATCATAACCAATTAATATCACCCACATTTATCTGGTGAGGAAACTGAAACATAATGTATTCAGTAACCTGCCTCAGGCCACACACATAGCTGGTAAAATGTGGTACTGTGATTTGACCTTGGCACTCTGTCTCCAGAGCGAAACTGAACTACTCCAAGATACTAGTGATGCTTCATCCATCATTTCCCAACCTGTAGGTGGAAGATCAAACTTCTGACTTAAAATTTGTAACTTTTCTCGTCCTTTTTTAAAGTCTCATATCCCTGCTAACATTTTTGTTTACAAAGCACATTTACCATAATTCATTTATTTATAGAACAACAGATGGGTGAAACAAAATTACCTTTCTTCAGTTCACAGATTAAAAACTGGGATTCAGGCTCAGAATATTCAAGAGGCTTACCTGGGGTTATACCGGCAGTTAACAGCAGACCTGAGACCAAAACCTAAGACACACAAGATGCAGGGATCCTCAACTCATATGACCTCTGTGGTCCACGTGCTTATTTTGAGTTCTGCTATTCATAGTGAGCTATGTTTACGGATGTCTTAACCAGTGTGGGCTGCTGTAACAAAGTCTCATAGACTGAATGGCTTATAAACAACAGATATCTGTTTCTCACAGCTCTACAGGCTGGAAATCCAAGGTCAGCATACCAGCATGGTCAGATTGTCATGAGGGCCCTCTTCCAGATCACAGATGGCCACCTTCTTGTAGCCCCACATGGAAGGAAGGAAAGAGAGCTATCTAACTCCTCAGCCTCTCCTTATGAGAGTACTAATCCCACTGATGAGGGCTCTACCCTTGTGACCTAATTACCAGCCAAAGGCCCCACCTCTGAATATCATCACATTGGGATTAAGGATTCAACATATATGAATTTGGTGGTGAGGAATACAAACATTCTGTTCATTGAGACAGACACGGTATAATTTCTAACTTTACCTTAATAAAAAGATAAATAAACCAAAGTGACCCAGAATGTCTTAACAAACAAGCCATGACCATTGTGCCACTGGGGTCTTAGAGCAGATGTCATGGAAATAGGCCAGATGTAAGGTGATTGCAGTATTTGGAGATACATAACTGAAAATAACACTTGCAGCCCCCACGCACCCAGAAGTTTGTATCTCAAAGCAAATAGAAACAATGGAATGTTCACAGTGCTGACAGCCAGAGCGATAAAGGCTAACACAGGGAGCAGGGGAGACCCTTATTGGAATTCAGTAGCAGAGGTTTTGATAGGCACCATTTAATTAAATATATTATATCAGACCCATGGACTGTTAATTCTTTTGTAAGTTAGTTCAACTTCCATGTCAGGTAAAATGTGGCTCTTTTTTGTATTGGGATCATAGGCCAATCCATATCATGTATCAGTTATCTATAATTAACATTAATTGTGACAAGCTGTACTGTTGTTATCTAAAGTTATAGGACTATTATACAGCTTTGTTGAAGTTGCACAGCCAATTCAAGAGTAGCTTTAATTGCTAATGAATGTAGTTCCTTTTTTTCAGTCATTTTTCTCTTACACCACTAGCCATACAATCTATTAGTCATTCCAACTACAAATTCCAAACCTAGATTTCTGTGTTGCCTGACATTTTTCAGAGCTTGTCTGTAGGTATTTTCTCACAGTCTTCTACAAAAGACTTAGAAATAGATATCACTGTTTCCCTTTTAAAATTTAAGAATTCCCTTTTAGAATTCCTAAGGCTGGAGAAATATAGATACTTGCCTGAGGTCACATGGAGAATGCAGCAGAATCTGATCAGGATGCAGGAGAATTTTAACTCCAACTTGAGACTTTTTCTTCTGTCACACATGGGGTCCTGATTAAAAACAAAAACAGAAACAGAAACAGGCAGACAATTCTTCCAATGCCTGAATATACAAAATGCAAATATATACAAAGATGCCTCTATATACAAACACGTAAAGAAATTTGGATTCTTCCCTACTATGCTCATATTATCTCAGAGCTAGCTGACTCTGTTAATGCCTCTCTATTAATCCTCTTATTGACTATAGGATAAAATAAAGCCCTTACTCCTCAACCTGACTTTTACCATCTGAACCATGTCTATTTCTGCAGTCTTATCACCAACTCTTTTCCTGTACTCACTGCTCCTTCCATCACATAGGATGACTTACAATTTCAAACCATGTCCATGTTCTTTAGTAATTCTGCCTGCATTGTTCCTCCAGACAGCCTTGCAATCCCTTTTCCATATGCTTGGTTAAAACTTACTGTTCATGATTACTCAGATCATATGTCAACTAATTAAGTATACCCTTTGGATTCCATCTTTGTGCCATATATAGTGGTAGGCCGGGGCGTTCAATCTTTTGGTTTCCATGGGCCACATTGGAAGAAGAAGAACTGTCTTGGGCCACACGTAACATATATTAACACTAAAGATAGCTAGTGAGTTAAAAAAAATTACAAAAAAAGACCACATAAACTTTCAAGAAAGTTTATGAATTTGTGTTGGGCCACACCCGAAGCCATCCTGGGCCACATGCAGCACACGGGCTACAAGTTGGACAAGTTTGTGCTAGGCACTGAAGGTCTAGATAGAGTGACCAATTGACCTAGTTTGCCAGGAACTGAAGGAGCTTCTGGGTTAAAGAATGTATAGTGCTAAAAATGTAATAGTCCTAGGCAAAAAGTTGGTAACCAATATCTAGAGGACAAATTGACTCCTCAATTTCATTCTCTCATCCCTAGGCATTGAGATATTGCCTCTTCTGGGTTGCCTGGTTCCTGTCTCTGCATTTATCTTATTGCTTTAATTATTGGTGTATCAACTGTCCACTTCCCAAAAATATGTGTGATATGGTTTGGGTTGGCTCTGTATCCCCACCCAAATCTCATCTTGAAATGTAATTCCTACGTGTCCAGGGAGGGTCATTATGGGAAGTGATTAGATCATGGGGGCGGTTTCCTCCATGCTGTTCTTATGATAATATGAAAGCTCTCATGAGATCTGATGGTTTAAAAAATAGCAGTTTTCCCTGTGCTCTCTCTTTCTCTCCTGTTGCCTTGTGAAGAAGGTTCTTGCTTCTCCTTTGCCTTCTGCCATGATTGCAAGTTTTCTGAGGCTTCCCCAGCCATGCAGAACTGTGAGTCAGTTAAGCCTCTTGTATTTGTAAATTACCTATTCTCAGGTAGTATCTTTATAGCAGTGTGAAAATGAATTAATACAGAGAATTGGTAACAGGAGTAGGATACTGCTATAAAGATAACCTGAAAATGTGGAAGCAAATTTGGAACCAAGTGACAGGCAGACGTTCGAACGGTTTGGAGGGCTGAGAAGAAGACAGGAAGGTATAGGAAAGTATGGAACTTCTTCAGACTTGTTGAATGGTTTTGACCAAACTGTTAATAGTGATATGGACAATGAAGTCAAGGCTGAGGTGGTGTCAGATGGAGATGAGGAAGTTGTTGAGAAATGGAATAAAGGTAATTCTTGTTATGCTTTACCAAAGAGAATGGCAGCATTTTGCCCCGGCCCTACAGATCTGTGGAAATTTGAACTTGAGATAGATAATTTAGGGTATCTGGCAAAAGAAATCTCTAAGCAGCGAAGCATTCAAGAAGTGAGCTGTATTGTTCTGAATGTTTTCAGTTATATGCATTCAAAAAAAGATGGTTTCAAATTGGAACTTATGTTTAAAAGCGAAGCAGAGTATAAAGGTTTGGGAAATATGCAGCCTGACTATAAAGAAAAAACTCATTTTCTGGGGAGGAATTCAAGCTGGTTGCAGAAATTTGCATAAGTAATAAGGAGCCAAATGTTAATAGCCAAGTCAATGGGGAAAATCTCTCCAGAGCATGTCAGAGATCTTAACAGAAGCCCCTCTTATCACAGGCCCAGAGGCTTAGCACGGAAAAATGGCTTTGTGGGTTGGGCCCAGGGCCCTTCCTCTCTGTGCAGCTTTGGAGCTTGGTGCCCTGCACCCCAGCCACTCCAGCTGCAGCCATGGCTAAAAGGGGCCAAGATACAGCTCAGGCCGTTGCTTCAGAGGGTGTAAGCCCCAAGCCTTGGTGGCTTCCATGTGATGTTGCGCCTGTGGGTGCACAGAAGACAAGAGTTGAGCTTTGGAAACCTCTGCCTAGATTTCAGAGGATGTATAAAAATGCCCGGATGTTCAGGCAAATGTCTGCTGGAGGGGTGGAGCCCTCATGGAGAACCTCTGCTAGGGCATTACAAAGGGGAAATGTGGGGTTGGAGCCCCAATATTGAGGTTGCATGGGGGCACTGCCTAGTGGAGCTGTGAGAAGTCTGCCATACTGCAGACCCCAGGATGGTAGATCCACCGACAGCTTGCACCATGTGCTTGGAAAAGCCACAGGCATTCAATACCAGACCATGAAGGCAGCTGCAGGGGCTGTACCCTCCAGAGCCACAGAGGCAGAGCTTCCCAAGGTCTTGGGAGTCCACCCCTCGCATCAGTGTGCCCTGGATGTGAGACATGAAATCCAAGGAGATTTGGGAGCTTTAAGACATAATGACTGCCTGGCTGAGTTTCAGACTTGCACGGGGCCTCTGGCTCCTTTGTTTTGGCCAATTTCTCCCACTTGGAAAGGGAACATTTACCCTATGCCTGTACCCCCATTGTATCTTGGAAGTAACTAACTTGCTTTTGATTTTACAGGCCCATAGGTGGAAAGGACTCTCCTTGTCTCAGATGAGACTTTGGACTTAGACTTTTGAGTTAATCCTGGCTTGAGTTAAGATCTTGAGGGACTGTTGGGAAGGCATGATTGGTTTTCAAATGTGAAAAAAAAAATGAGATTTTGGAGGGGTCAAGGGCAGAATGATATGGTTTGGATCCGTGTCCACTCAAGTCTCATCTCAAATTGTAATCTCCATGTGTCAATGGAGGAACCTAGTGGTAGGTGATTGGATGATGGGAGTGGTTTCCCCCTTGCCATTCTTATGATAGTGAAGAAGTTCTTGTGAGACCTGATGGTTTTAAAAATGGCAGTTTCCTCTGTGCACTCACTCTTTCTCCTGCTGCCTTGTGAAGTAGCTCCTTGCTTCTCCTTTGTGCTATGCCATGATTATAAGTTTCCTGAGGCTTCCCCAGCCATGCAGAACTGTGAGTCAATTAAATCTCTTTTATTTATAAATTACCCAGTCTCAGGTACTATCTTTATAGCAATGTGAGAATGAACTAATACACTGTGAAACATTGAAGGCTAATGGTGGAGGAGGATCATGTACCTTCTTTACTCATCCCAGATCCTGGCTCTGAGCCTGTGTATAAGAAGTGCTCTTTGAATATTGGCAAATGATTTTGCAGAAAAGACCTTATATTCTCTCAATGGACACTCAGGAATTGGATAGTGCATGTGTTCTGTAAGATGGGAACCATCAGTGCCCTGAATATATTGAAGGGTCATTTCCTGAACCCAGATATGCTCCATTCTCTCAGTTTCTTTAGTTGTATAGAAAAAAACAAGTTTGGATGAGATCACTTCAGACAGTACATAAAATGGCTATTTCTGGTTTTGTTTTTGTTTGTTTGTTTTTGTTTTGTTTTTATTTTGTTTTGTTTTTGAGATGGAGTCTTGCTCTGTCGCCCGGGCTGGAGTGCAGTGGCCTGATCTTGGCTCACTGCAAGCTCCGCCTCCCAGGTTCACACCATTCTCCTGAAAATGGCTATTTCTGAAAAACACATAAGGAAGGTGAATTGCTGAGAGAAGAACTAGAATGAAGAATAAGAGCAGTGGGGAGGTGTATAGTAAGTGGTGCAATTAATGCTTTTTATATTCAATATGTAATTATAGCAGAGATACAATGATTCTTAAGAGAGAAATGGCTGAATCTACTCACAAAAATGGCAACTTACTCGGAAGGTTTTAGAGTCAAGTTTCAGGAAATAAGATAAGAACTATTCCACACTTACACAAACTGTTCCAGAGAACTTGGAAACAGATGATTCACTTGAACTTATTTTATGAAGCTGAGATAATCTTGGTATCAAACCAAGCCAAGACAGATGATAAATGAAAATTATACAACAATTCAAGTTATGGACATAGTTGTAAAAATTTTAAACAAAATATTAACAAATTGATTCCAGTAATATATGAAAGATTCAGGACTCATTTGGGTGTATGCCAGGAATGCTGGTATAGTTTAATATTTAAAAATCTTTTAAAGTAATTATCTTCATTAGTCCATTAAAGGAGAAGAACCATAAAATCACTTCAATAGATTCAAGAAAACATTTGCTAAATTAATTTTTTAATATAGAGAAAACCTAAAACATTTAGGCAAAAAACATATAGGCAAGCATTTTAATAATCCTGGATTATAAATACATACA
This sequence comes from Homo sapiens, assembly GCF_000001405.40. NCBI lineage: Eukaryota > Metazoa > Chordata > Mammalia > Primates > Hominidae > Homo > Homo sapiens. Next base: position 11,740,606 of record NC_000004.12, read on the forward strand.
ACATAATGAACTCTACATAAAAGACACCTTAAAAAGTGAAACAAAAGACCATAAACTGTAAGAATATATTTTCAATGTGTGTAACCAACAAAGAACTAAGGTCATCAGTTTACATAAATCCTGGACCATACCTCTGTTTTAGTACTAACACACAAATGTATAGATTTGCTTTTTTGTTTGTTTATTTTTAGGAGATGATGAGCTCCTGGGCAAGACTGAGGTTTGTGTCATTTTGCATCCCCAGCACCGAGAAGAGTACCTGGCACTTATTGGTGCGCAGACAATGTTTACTGCATGATTAGAAGGTTTAACTGGAAAAACCTACTAACCTCTGGTATGAGTGGTCCACCATGTACAAGATAATGTGCTGAGTCAACTTCAGTAGTTTATAAATGGTTAACCATTCACATCATTCAGGGCTTTAGGTTGAAACAATACAAACACCACGAGACAGTTTAGGATGATATGACAAAATGCTATTGATTGAATGGCTTAAACAACAGACACTTATTTCTCACAGTTCTGGAGACTGAGAAGTCCAGAACAAAGTACCAGCAGATCTGGTGTCTGGTGAAGATCCACTTCCTGAAGGTTTCCAGATGGACATCTTCTCCTTGTCTCCTCATATGACTAAGAGCAGAGAAAGAGGAAGCAATTTCTTTATAATTCTCCTTACAAGGGCATTAATCCCATTTATAAGGACTCCACCTGTATGATCTAATCATCTCCCAAAGGCCCTACCTTCTAATACCATCCCATTGAGCATTATGGTTTCAACATATAGGTATTTTTTTGAGTTGGAAGGGGACATAATCATGCAATCCATACCACAACCGAGTGAATGCTTCTTTAGGCAGAAAAAAAAAAAATCCTTACTGAAAAGATAGGGAGTGAGTCATAGATTTCCAGGAAGATTGGAGAATCAGGCTCAAAGGACAAAAATAAGGAGAGGCTCCTAAGCCAGAACCACTGCACAAATGAAGCTGCAGACTTAATCTAGTGAGGGCCTGAATGCTGTTGCCACTGCTTCCAACACTGTACATGAGATCTCCACTGTGCTGTGGGCCATCCCTGGTAGCTGATTCTCCTACTGCACCTCCTGCCCACAAGAACATAAAAGCCTCCATTCCTAGGTCGTTTCTGTCCCTAAGACCAGACACATTCCTTGGCTGGTAGGCAAGGTCACAGGCCTTTATATTTTAATGAGGGATTGGAAAGTTAAATCTTGGCCTCTATCAACCTATAATTAGGGACACGCTTTGTCTGTATGTAGGCACAGCCTTCAGGTGCTTTGCCGTCCATGAAACATTATATGTCTACAACATAGCCTTTCAGCTTTTGGACACTGAAACCCCTTTTTTTCTAGGTCTAAGAGCATAGTCTGAGTTCAGATGAAAGAAAGGGGTTCTCAGATTGCTCTTAAGAGTCAGACCTCAGCAACAACCATCTTAAAACTCCAAGCTTCTCAATTTGGGTGGGAATTCCTCCCAGGAATCATTTAGAAATGTGTTGTGAAGTCTGTTTTTTGTTATTCACTTTTAGACCTTACTATAATTTGATGTGGGGAGAAAGAGAAGTGAAACAACTCACAATACACACAACACTTTATGAAGCAAAGACTTGTCTTACCTCATGCACACATCTTCTGAACGCTTACCATCACCTTCCCTGGGGTGAAAGCCCTCACTGCATGGCTGCTGTCACACTCTATGTGGGGGCCCAAAGCCAGGCTAAACAGTCCGTTGGGGAATTTCAGAACCAAACTTTGTTATTGCACTTGGCAAGGAGAAGGGAAAATAGCTTGATCTGGAAATATGTAGACCTGGATTATAGTCTATTGCATTTAAATTTATCTTGAATTGAGGGGACTATCTGAGACTGGGTCAGGCCCCAGGGCTACAGACTTCAGAAGACCACTGGCTCTCTACTGCTTACCTACTCCCATGACTTGGGGGTCAATTTCATCATCATTTGAACTTAATAGCATCTTCATTTATTTTATTTTCAGTGCTATTTCTGTGTGTGTGTTTGTGTGTGTATATTAACACAGTAACCTTTAGATATTATGTAGCTAGAAAGGTTTTATTCAATAAAGTTATTTTACATCCTAGGCTGACATGTACTTTACAACACTAATGGTCATTGTGTTTACAATTGTCACCCATTTTACTGACCATATTATTTGCTCTGAGTAAAAATATATATATATATATAAACATACATATAAACCCTACTGAATAAGTATTATCTTTGATCTTAGAATTTAAGCTTTTTCACAATATCGTTTATGGAATTGTATAGTAACTAGAATTCCTAGCTATAACTTCTAGCACTCTTTTCCCTATAGAAGGAATAAAAAAGTCATAATAAGAATAACTAATGCTTACATAGTGCTTGGTGGTTTATGAACATTTTCAAATCTTACATACCAATGAAGTAGGTATTACCAATGTGCAACTGCAGTTTATAGTGTTTGAATCATTTGAGCAGAGCAATGCAGCTTACACCAATTGGAGTCAGGATGTCACACCAGGTCTTGAGCCTCCCAAACCTGTTCTCATCACTGCATGGCAATTGCTTTCATCAAATGTTATTTTGAAAATCCAGTATCTTCTTCCTACAGTCATTGAGCATCTTTAAACTTGAGGAGGAGAAAACAAAAGTATCATACAATTAGATCAGAAAAATATATTTTTCTTTTTACTGTTTACATGCAAATATTTGTTGGAGGACATCATCCAAAGTGAAAGGAGAAAAATGTTACTTGAAACCACAGTGGTAACAGATACAACATCATTAAAGGGCAGCTGTGGACACATAAATGTGTGGAGTAAGCATTCTCATTTGTTTGATGATTTCCTGAACTGGGGGCGATTTGATCAGCACATTGGAGGAAGGTGGAGGGAGATAACACAATTGCTGTAATGACCTAATTTTCCAATAAAAGGGTTTTCAGAATCCCAAAATAAAACATTGTGGTATATAATGAAAATAAATTGAGCTGCAGTGCTGATGAAAACAATATCATTGGTGACGCTTTTCCATATCCAAGGGAAAACTTGGAGATTTATTGCTTGTATCGGACCTAGTTCATATCACCAAAGTCTGATCTCTTCAATACATTTACCATATGTGTAAGCACTAATCTTTTTTTAAAAAAATAGAACTTCTATGGGTAAAACGTCAATATAAAAACAAAATGAAATAACCGTATGATATGACTCATCACTTTGATAGTTTCTGTTTGTTGGTGTTAGTATTCAAGTGGTTGTCAACAATTTTTGCATACAACAATTATTATACATTTAATCCTGATAAAATTCAGTTAGGCGATTATATATATATAATATATGCACATATTCCTATGCAATTATTATTATTGTCACTTAAGCAAAGATAATAGAGACTGGCAGCAGTTAATTGACTTGCCAAATATAACAAAGCTGGAATTCCACCCTGCTTCTCTGACCCCAAATCCTGAGTTCTTCAAAATTCTTGGTGCTGCCTGTTTTACAGCATATCAAGATTTCACTACAATACAAAGTAACCCAGTCAATGACCTTTCTCCTCAGTTTTCCTGTTCACACTAAATATGCCATAAATATAGAGCCCCTTCCTGCCATATCCTCTAGTAACCTTAGTCATATTTCTTTGAGCCAATGACTTAACTAATTCTGTTTTCAGGGCTTAGCCATGGAATAAGTTTCATCCATGTGTCTGGTTCGTATTTCTGCTATTCATTTTTCCAAAATCACTAAGTGTCATCTTTCGTCCTTTCAAGTTTAGAGAAAAAAAAAAAAAAAAAAAAGCAAGAATTTCACTTAGAGTGTGACCTAGAAGTAAATTATGTTTCTTAATGGGCAATAATCATGAAATAAATCTGATTTTTTAAAACTTAAGGTTTTGAGCCAATAGATCTTAGATTATATGCCTGCAGAGTACAGGAGCAAGTGGGTTGGCCATATAAATGTTTTGCAAATAGAGAGAAAAAGCTAAGTTAACTTTTTAGAATTATGTCAGTCATGAGGTATTTTTCCTTAATTTCTTTCTGATAATGTTAGCTACTCTCATGTGCAAACAGAAAAAAACCTGAATGCACATAGTAAGTAAGCAGACATCAACAACAGCTACAAAAACAAAAGCAGTGACAGTTTGGTTGAAAAGCTGTCTACTAACTACCTTCTCTCTAGTGCCCATCATAATAAGATGACTTTTATACACCATGTGGGCATCAAATCACATTTTCTGATAGTAAATACTTTCTTATTTTACATGATGAAATTAAATACATGATAAAACCATTATATCACAGAATTCTATAAAGACACTCTGAATTCCAGGATTGTTATCACATAAATGGGTTTGTGATCCACTGAACTAGATATTAAATATCTCTTACAGTGGTGGTGGTTTATAAGTTTATAGTATGCAATATGCTTTTTGAAATCAGGACTTTCCTAGAAAATCAGTCAGATATGATCATCCTTGTATGTATAAATTGAGAATGAAAATATAAAGATACCCAGAAGACTTTCATCATGACAAAACTTTATGGGGAGAAAAAAAAGTCTTGAGAAAGTTTATCCTCCTCCTCCTCTTCTCTCTTCTTCCTCGTCTCTCTCTCCCTTTTCTTCTCCCTGTCCCTCTCTCTCTCCTTCTCCTTGTTCTTCTTCTTTGTGTAGGAGTCCGAAGCATTTAGCATCATCACTGGGCATATAGTGGATGTTTACAGAAATGTATATAAACAATCTGCTGTTCAAGGGTGAGTTTTTCAGTCTGTATTCCATTTCAAGCCCTGTGCGATTTGTCACTCTCATCTCAAATAGCTTTTTTTAATGTAGGGTAGTATATGAATGTTGGCTAAACATTAAGTGTAAGTGCACAGAGTTCAAGCACTTTGAGAGATGCATCGTGTACAAGTATGGAAGAGAAAATGATAGAAATCATTAAGCATGATGGCTCTAAGAGTAGCAGACAGAGGATTCAGGCAAGTTGGAAGAGTGGGAGCTACGAGCAGAAAAGCCAGATTAAGGGTATCTTAATACCTAAGGTAAAGTATGATAAGCCACGTGAACAGAATCAGTGGAAGTCAGCTTGAACAAGCAAAAGGAAACTTAAATCAGTTTTAGATGGCAAAAGTAACAAACTTTCTGCCGGATAAAATAAGAGTCAGTCAATGGAAAAGGGTATTTTAGTATAACTTCATAAAGAAGTCTTTACAAAAAAGTTTGTGTTGGGAGGCCAAGGTGGGCGGATCACGAGGTCAGGAGATTGAGACCATTCTAGCTAACACAGTGAAACCCCGTCACTACTAAAAATACAAAAAAATTAGCCGGGCATGGTGGCAGTGGGCGCCTGTAGTCACAGCTACTCAGGAGGCTGAGGCAGGAGAACGGCGTGAACCTGGGAGGCGGAGCTTGCAGTGAGCCGAGATCGCGCCACTGAACTCCAGCCTGGGCGACAGAGCGAGACTCCGTCTCAAAAAAAAAAAAAAAAAATTTGTGGACAGAAGACCTGGGTTTGAGAACACTGAATTTGAGGGGCTTGCGGGATACACAGGTAGATCTATCTAATCAGAAATGACTTTGTGCTAAGTAACTAGCAATGATGGGGCTGTAGGGTCAATCCCTCCACTTGCCTTCTTCTCCCATCTGCTTTTCAAGTTAGGCTTTCTTAGATCAACCACGTTGCTGGAAAGATATATAAATTCTTCCTTTCCAGCCCCAGACTGTGATGTGATCTTCAGCAATTAAACATGTTGTTAAGATCAGCTTAAAAAGAGTGGCTGCTGTCCTGTCCCCAGTTTTTTGGAGGCTATCCTGGTTTAAGAGGGTTGTCCCAGAGTAATTATTTACAGGACCCCTTTTCTCTCAAAAAAAAAAAAAAAAAAAAGTCCTGGATTCATCACCTTTGCCATTATTGTCATCATCATCATCATCATCATCATCATCATCATCTTAGTCATATAGATGATGTTTACTTTGCATGATCTCTAACAGCTTTAAATAACATTTGCTGCATTATCTGTTTCGATCCTCACAACATCTCAGTGGGCAGGTGGGGACGGAAGTTGACCCCATTTTAAAATAAGGACACCGATGTTTCAGTAACTGCACAGTAGCACAACTTTTTGGTAAGGCAGCAGCGTGTGAATTAGTGTGTTTTGAGTAGAAAATTGTGAGCTTTTTTCACTATACATTCATTTATTAATTTGACACTCTCATCGCCTTTTGACTGGATGATCTCATGGGGTAAAAATCCAAAAACTCATGATCAGTGGGAAGTTATAGATGATGCGAGGCAAATTTTAACAGGAACATTTTAAGAGACACACCCTTGGTTCACAAATTCACATTTGCATGCCAGATGTTTCCTTTTACCTGCCAAGCTCTTTTCCTCCTTATCGGCTTGAGGCTGAAGTCAGCAACTTTGCTTCACCTCTTCTGGCTGGGCAGGGTAATAGGAAATTTTTTTTAAAATGTATCCTCAGGAGGCATCATATTTAAAAGGAAATCCTTTGAAAGTGAACACATTTTTCTAGCAAAGAATCAAAACTTTGACCTGGCACTGAAAACTATTATCACACAAGTGAATATTTCCTTTTTGGTTTGCAGAACATAACTACTAACTTTTCTTCATTTAATTTTCACCAACTAAAATAGGGGTTAGTGACAGCAAGTATGAGGGAATCTAATGCTCTCCTGAGTCTTTCAGATGCTGAAATGCACATTTTCCCCATTACAACACCAGGTTCTCTAAGATGAAATTATGTTCTCAAATTGTATGAAATGGTTTAAGGGAAAATACATCTTGCTAGACCTGGAGAAGTCTTTGAGTTTCATTACAAGTTGAACTAGGAAACTCTGAGACCAACCCTTACCTCCGAAGAACGAAAAGTTATTTGACCTTGAACTAAATATTTCCTTTCACTGAGTCTCAGTTTCCTTACCAAGGACTCAACAGTAATTATCTGAGAACGACCAGATTGTAGGTATGTTGTTTGCTGGACATACCTACTTGGTTACAGAAGTATACCCAGCTCAGCCATTATAACCCATAAGCAGCCATAGGCCATACATAAGTGAATGAGGGTGGCCATAATCTAATAAAACTTTATTTATAAAAACAGATGGCAGACTGGGTTTGGTCTTTGGACTACAGTTTGCCATTTGCCAACCGTCTTTAAGGGGAAAATATCTACTGCACAAACTTGTTCTTAGAATGTTATTAACTAAAATACGTGAATCAAGATATATGAAGTAAATGATAGAAGGTCTGACGTTAAAAATGACAACTAATTTCTTACATTTTCTCTCAACATTTTTCTCCCAACTCACTCCATTGAGATCCCCTACAAAATGGCATGCATTGGCTGACATTTCATACCTGTAGCAATTCTTCCTTTGTTTCCTTGTTATTTTACTACTTTGGGAGGCAAAGTTAGAGAACTGAGAATATTAAGTTTTTAAAGCATGAAGCTTTGAACAAATTTGAGCTCTATTCAATATGTGTGTGTGTTTAAAGCATGAAGCTTTGAATTTGAGCTCTATTCAATGTGTGTGTGCGTGTGTGTGTGTGTGTGTGTTTAACATTTATTCCTTTTAAAATGGAACTTAAAACAGCCCTTTTAGTGAAATTCACAACACATAAAGAAGCCTGTGATTTAGGCCAAAGTTCCAGTTAACAGCTGTGGGTCTTTGTTTAACTGACAATAATAATGAGGAATCCGCCTCGCAGGCATTTATTATTTTAAGCTTGACCTCGTGTGCTTACATTTTATGTCCGTCCCTGCCAGCCTCTATGAGTGAGTCACTAGAACAGCCCCTTCATTTTTCTGAATCAGTGTATTGTCTTCAGAGCTTGCCTTCCTGACTTCAGTTTTTCAATTGCTTTCTTTTCAAATTATCTTACACACCTCTTTTTTCCCCCAAGTATCTTTAGAGTATTAATGCAAAAGACAGATTACTCAGAAACGCTAAAATATAGTAGATTGAAGTTAAAACACACTAAGTTTGCAGTCAACTGGTTCCAATTCTACGTCTGACTGTATTACTGATTACCTACATGTCCTTAAATGAAACACTTTGCCAGGATGACTCTTAGACTTCTCATCTATGAAATTGAGATGAAAATTGTTATTCTTCCTACCATCCTGCATTTCCTGTGTGAATAAAATGAACACTAGCTATGAACACAAAACACTATTAAATTTCTCTTTTTTTCCCTGATTATAATTATTGCTAAAATCACCAAAAAAGCTATAATTTAAATAACACTTAGTGTGGACCTGGAAGTATACGAATCATTGTGCATAAATTAACTTAGCTAAAATTCATAACTAATGTATCAGGTAAATATTTTTCCTCCCATCTTACAGAGGAAAAATCTACGAAGTCTAATGGTGAAGTGATATGGCCAAGTCTCACTGTAACTAAATGAATTGGAGTTGAAACTCTGAAATATTAGACTCCAAAGTTCTTTATCTTAATCAAAATGAAACTTAAACTGAACGTAAAACTTTACATTTTTAATTGACTCTTACAATATTTTAAAGTTTAAATTTAAAAATAATTATGTAAAAGATATGTTTTCTCTTTAACATTTTTATTCTAAAAAATTAAATAAGCATAAACACATTATTTACAAAGAATTCTTTTCTCCTCTTGCAATCTTTTACATTTTATTGTTAGTTTTTATTGGATATTTACAAATAATATTTGAATATTAAGTACAAAGTGATGTATGATACATGTATACAATTTGGAAAGATTAAATCAAGCTAATTAACATACCTATTACCTCAAATACTTATCATTTATTTTTCCTGTCTAACTGTTGTACACTTGGACCAACAGCTCCTCATTTCCACTACTCTCTAGTCTCAAGTAACTATCATTATGCTGTCTGCTTGTATGTGTTTGATTTTTTTATGTTCTACATGTAAGTGAGAATATGTGGTGTCTGTTTTTCTGTGTCTGGCTTATTTCACTTAGCATAATGCCTTCCAAGTTCATCCATGTTGTCACAAATGACATAATTTCTCTCTTATTAAAGGCAGAATAGGATTCTGTTGTGTATATATATCATATTTTCTTTAACCCTTCATTGGTTGATAGACATCATCATCTGGCTATCATGAATAATGCTGCAATAAATGTGGGAATGCAGGTATCTCTTCAATAAGCCAATTTCAAATTCTTTGCATATATACTCAGAAGCAGAATTGCTAGAACATAAGAGAACTCTACTTTTAGTGTTTTAAGGAACCTCTATACTGTTTTGCATTATGGTTGTACTATCTTACATTCCCGCCAAACAGTGTACTAGGGTTTCCCCCTTCCTTCACATTCTTGCCAACACTTGTTATCGTTCAGCTTTTTGCTAGTAGCCATTCTGACAATTGTGAGGTGTTAACTCCCTGTAGGTTTAATTTGCATCTTCCTAATATTTCGTGATATTGAGCATTTTTTTTTTTTTACATTTCCATTGGCCATTTCCATATCTTTCTTTGAGAAATGACTACTTAGGTATTTTCCCACTTTAAAAATCAGGTTATTTGTTTTTTTACTATTGAGTTGTTTGAGTTTCTAACGTATTTTGTATATTAACCTCTAATTAGATGTATGGCTTACGAATATTTTCTTCCATTCTGTAGGTTGCCTATTCACTCTGTTAATTGTTTACTTTGCCATGCAGATGTTTTTTTAGTTTTAAGTAATCTTACTTTTAGGGCTCAATTCTAAAAAATCATTGCCAGACCAATATTGTATAGCTTTTTCCCTGTTTTCTTCTACTCGTTTTACAGTTTTATATCTTATGTTTAAGTTTTAATTCATTTTGAGTTGAATTTTGTATATGGTATCAGAAAAAGTTCAATTTCATTCTCTATGTAAACAGCTAATTTTCCCAACATCCTTTTTTAAATAGATCATGTTTTTCTTATTATGTACTGTTGGCACCTTGGTCAAAAATCAATTGGTCATAAACTTATGGGTACATTTTTGAGCTTTCTATTCTGTTCCATTGGTCAATGTGTCTATTTGCATGAAGCATCCTTTTTTATTGCTTCACCTTCAGTCAACGTATGTCCTTAAAGATGAGGTGAGTTTCTTATAGACAGCATATAGTTGACTATTTGGTCTTTTTTATTTTCATTTATTTATTTTATGTATTTGGCTACCCTGTGTCTTTTTTATTAAGGAACTTATTCAATTTACTTTCAAGCACATAGAGAAGAACTTATTATTGTCATTTAGTGATTTGTTTTCTGGTTATTTTGTATATATGTAATGTCCTTATTGTTCTTTAGTTGTATCCTTTTGTGGTTTGATGGGTCTCTGTAGTGATATGCTTTGAATCATTTTACTTATGTTTTTAATATTTATTATATATTTTTATTTTGTGGTTACCTTAAGATTTACATAAAACATGTAACAGGCTATTTCAAGCTGATAGTAAGTCAACTTTGATCTCATATGACAACACTATACTTTTATTCCCCCTTATATTTTACATTTTTAATGTCAAAATTTACATTATTTTGTAACTTTTGTTCTCTGCCAATTAATTTTAGCTATAGTTCTTTTAATAGATTTGTCTATTAACCATCACAGTAGAGATGAAATTCCTTTACACACTACCATTTTCAGTGTAGGGTGTTCCGAATAGGATGCTGTATTGCTTATGCCATTGAATTTTGCACTTTTATATGTTTTATGTTATTAATTAGTGGCCTGTGCATAGTTTGAATAACTTCCTTTAGTAGTGTCTGTAAGGCAGGCCTAGTGTTGATGAATTCCCTTAGCTTTTGTTTGTCTGGGAATGTTTTTATTTCTCCCTCATTTATGAAGTACAGCTTAGCTGAATAAAATACTTTTGCATGGCATTTTTTTTTCCTTCAGGATGTGTTGGAATATATCATCCCACTTGTTTCTGTCCTCCAGGGTTTCCGTTGAAAAATCTGTAGTCTTATTGAGACTCCCTTTTTTGTGATTTTTTTTTTTATCCCTTTCAGCTTTCAGAATTTTTTGTCCCTAGATTTTGTAGTTTGATTATGACGTGCCTTAGTAAACTCCTCTTTGGATTGAAGACCTCTTCGCTTTCTGTACTTGGATGTTGGCATCAGATTTGGGAAGTTTTTAGCTATTATTTCTTTAAATATTCCCCTTTGGACCTTTTCTTGCTTTTCTTCTGGAAATTCTATTATATAAAAATTAGATCTTTTGTTGATGTCCTATAATTCTCATAGACTTTCTTTATTATTTTTCACTCTTTTGATCCTCTGGCTGGATAATTTCAAATGTTCTGTCTTTGAGCTCACTGATTCTTTCTCCTGCCTGTTTGCACCTGCTGTTGAAGTTTTCTAATGCGTTTTTTCATTTACTTAGTGTATTCTACCTCCCTAGGATTTCTTTTTTTTTTTTTTTTCTTTTTCAGACACAGTCTCACTCTGTCACCCAGGCTGGAGTGCAGCGGCACCATCTCAATTCACTGCAACTTCCACCTCCTGGGTTCAAACGATTCTTGTGCCTCAGTCTCCTGAGTAGCTGGGGCTACAGGCATACGTTACCACGCCCAGCTAATTTTTGTATTTTTAGTAGAAATGGAATTTTGCCATGTTGGCCAGATTGGTCTGGAACTCCTGATCTCAAGTGATCTGCCTGCCTCAGTCTCTGAAAGTGCTGGGATTACAGGTATAAAGCACTGCACCTGGCCTCTTTTTTTTTTTTAATTTCTATTTATTTGTTAAACTCATGATTTGTGTATGTATTATTTTTTACATTTCCTTTAATTTTATATCCACATATTTTATAGTTTACTACATTCAAGAGGATTAATTCCAAACTATTTGTCTGTTATTTCATAGGTATCAATTTTTTAGGGCTCAATGTTGGAACTTTGTTTTATAGGTGTCATGATTTCCTGGATGTTTGTAATCCTTGAATTCTCCACAATTGGGGAGATAGCCACTTCTTTCAGGTTTTACAAGGTTTTCTATTTTCTTGGCAGAGATAGACTTTACTGTTTAATATAGGCTGTGATTCTAGGTGGAACTGAACCCTGGGCCTCCTTGTCAGGTGAGATGACTGATTTAATTCTGCAATCAAGCAGAGCTGATGGCTGGGAACTGTAGTTGACTCTGATTGGGCGAAGCGACAGAGTGTATTCCCTTGACAGATGGTATTGATATTTAAGATCTGAAATTGGACAGAGTTACAGGCTGGGCCCCAAGGGTAAATGGAGTTCCCTCTTTGGACAAATAAGACCAGCTGTTATGCTTGATAGAGATGCATGGTTGAGGTTTACCTCCCTGCCTAGGTGGGGACTTGGGTTGAGCTTTGAAGACGACCTGAGCACCATTTAAACTCCTGGGTCTGGGAAAATCCCTGCTCTTTGCCAAATTGCCCTGTGGTGAGCATCAGTCTTGCTGGGCAGAGGCTTGGAGTAGGGCTAGTAGTTGGGCCTCTTGGCTGGGATATTCAAGCCAGATCCTATAAATTATGGGAGCCACCAGCTCAGTTTTCCAGGTGGGCTATGCTGTTCACTAGTTACTCTGATTGAGCACCACCACTGGCAGGTACACAGGGCCACCACAAAGATCTGTGTGCTGACTGCTATGGGCTCTACCATCTTGCTTTGTTTCCACTTGGCCTCAGATATTCTGCCTATGCTGTTACACCTTCTTTTCCTGTACAGTGAGGCCAAAGTTGGCTTTCTGAGAAGTGTCTCAAAACATGAGAAAGACTAGATGTGGTTCTCTTTTCTCACTTTAGAAACCATGAGCCTTGGACAATCCTCTCTTTTTGGTACTATGTCAACTACAAAGACATATTTTTAAGAATCACCATAACATAATCCTGAACATTTGTAAATAAAACCTTTTTAGAAATGGTTAGGTCAAGCAGGCAAAAATGATCATTAAGAATACAGAAAATGTGAAAAATCAAGTGGTAAAATCTGAAGGCCAAGGCTAAGATTGACAAAGAGGGAGGGATTGATAAAGAGAGAAGTGGGGAGAGAGATAATGATATGATTTGTATGTTTGTCCCCTCCAAATCTCATGTTGAAATGTGATCTTTAATATTGAACATGAGGCCTGGTGGGAGATGTTTGGGTCATAGGGATGGATCCTTCATGAATAGCTTAGAGCCATCCTCCTGGTAATGAGTTAGTTCTCCTTCAGTTTGTTTACACAAGATCTGATTGTTTAAAGGAGTCTGGGATCTTCCCCTTTTCCTTTCTCTCTTTAACCCCATCTCCCATGTTCTCACTTCTGCCATATGACTGCCTGCTCCTGCTTCACTTTACACAACGAGTAAAAGCTACCTGAGGCCTCACCGTAAGCTGAGTAGATGCTGGCACCATGCTCCCTGTACAGCCTGCAGAACTATGAGCCAACTAAATTTCTTTTCTTTATAAATTACCCAGGCTCAGTTATTTCTTTATAGCAACAAAAATGGACTAATACACACACAGAGAGAGGGAGAAAAGAGAGAAAATTCACACAAGGAAAAAAGTATTTTTTTAAAGCAACATTTGTAAATTGTGGTCACAAAATACATTATAAGGTAAGGCTCATTTATTTTCTAAAGATTAAAATTTCATAAATCACATCTTCTGAGCAAAGTTCAATTGAATTAGAAAAAACACTAAACTATATTATTTTAAATTTTATAAGATAAAGAGAAAAGAGCAATTGAAATTAGAAAATACATTAATCTGAATTCCAATTAAAAACACTACATATCAAAATCTGAAATATGTAGTTAAATACTGTCAAAGAATAAGAGAGTATCCCTAAATATTCTGAGCCAAAAATGAAGCAGAAGCAGAAGAAGAAGAAAGAGAAGGAGGAAGAGCAGGAGAAGGAGGAGGAGGAAAAGGAGGAGGAAGAAAGTTATGGAGGAAGAAGAGGAGTTGGAGTAGATGGGAGAAGAAAAAGAGGAGGTTGCACTTCAGCTGTAAAGGCTCAGAAGAACAAACAGAATAAACATGATGATATTGAAAAGAAGAAAATTGTGAAATAGGAGAAAAAACATAAACTAAATAGAAAATAAAACAACAAGGAAAGTTAAAAACCATAAAATCAACTCTGGACTAACTGCAAAATAGATAACTTTTTTTCTCAGGACTAATCAAATAAAACAGATGCCTGTAATCCCAGCACTTTGGGAGGCTGAGGCGGGTGGATCATGAGGTCAGGAGATTGAGACCATCCTGGCTAACAAGGTGAAACCCCATCTCTACTAAAAATACAAAAAACATTAGCCGGGTGTGGTGGTGGGCGCCTGTAGTCCCAGCTACTCAGGAGGCTAAGGCAGGAGAATGGTGTGGACCCGGGAGGTGGAGCTTGCAGTGAGCCGAGATCGTGCAACCGCATTCCAGCCTGGGCAACAGAGCAAGATTCCGTCTCAAAAAAAAAAAAAAAAAAAAAAGGAAAAAAAAGAAAAGGTATAAATAAATAGAGGAAAAAACAAAACTTTACTAACCTGCACATTGTGCACATGTACCCTAAAACTTAAAGTATAATAATAATAAAATTAAAAAAAGATTAAAAAAATTTTAAAACATGAACAACTGTATTCCAGTTAAGTGAAATACCAAACTAAAAAACAAGCAAACAACACAACACAAATTGATTTTAGAAGAAATATACGACCTAAAAGAATTTTAATATTAATACCAGCTTCTGATGCTTTTATAAAATTTCAAAAACTAGGTAATTTTTATCATGTAAAACCATTTTAGATTAATAGAGACAGAAGAAAATTTCCAACTCATTTTAGTTATTAAAACCAAAATAGAATAAGTGACGAATGGGAACTGAAATTATGGGCAAAATTCTTGCATATGTAGGAAAAAATATTAGAAATTTCTAAATACACTAAATATGGGGTGGCGTTTATCACAAGGACATATATATATATGGTCAAGATCATAAAATATATTAATTATATCACATTAGGTATTAAAGAGTAAGTCATTTTATAGGTGCAAGTAACATACTAAAAAAATCTATACTCCTTGGTGTTTTCAAAAATTCACACAACAAACTAATAGCAGAAAGATAAACATTCTAAACGTAATGACGATTACTTAAAATCAAAAGCAAACATACACATTTTGATGCTTAGAAGCACTGTACTTTATTTCCAGTCAAAAACAAGAACAAAAATTAAAAAGGTACTACCACAAATGTATTCAATATTATATTTGAGTTGCTATGTAATAAAATGAGTTAAAAATGTAAATTAACTACATAGGAAACAAGAAGAAAGCAACAAAGTTATTCTTATTTGTAGACAATCAGTTTATTTTATCCAGAGAGGTCCTCCTGAGTGGGCCTGGCTTAATCAGGTGAAAGTCCTTAAAGAGGTACTTAGACCTTCCTGTGAAGAGTCTTTACACATTGGCGGCTTTGAAAGAGTAAGGTTTTTTGAGGTAGACATCATATCAAGAGGGCGACATGGCAAGGAACTATAGCCACTCTCTAGGAGCTGAAAGAGGCCCCTGGTGTCACGTCAACAGCCATCAGGAAGCTCAGGCCCACAGTCATTTTAGCCACAAGCAATTAATTTTACCAACAAACCAAATGAGCTTGGAACTGGCTGTGAAAACTCAGCCCCAGACAACATCTTACTCGAGCAAGACCAGTGAGATACTGAAGCAGAGGGCCCAGCTAGACATCCCAGAAATTCTGACACAGGAAAATTTAGAGACAATAAGGAGTTGTGCTGCTTTAAGAATTTATTTATGTGCTAATTTGTTATGTAGCGATGGGAAAATAATACAAACGACAGTACTTTCATAGTCACAGGGAAAAATAGGAAAGAGTGCAAGAGATGGGTTACATTTTATGTTTGGTGGTTCCTAGTGCAGGGAGCTTCTTAGCACTTCAAGGAGTGAACTGGTCTTGTTTTGAAGGGACACTGTTGAAAGTTCCAGGAAAGCCTGGCATAGGTGGAAGGTGAGCAAAGGGGAGATTAACTGCTTTTTTCAGAAGTTTGTGGTTGTTATCAGGGTTAGATCTTAAACCAGAATTTTCTGACCTCTTAATGAGTTTTAATACACTTTGATTCTCCACTCAAAAATCATAAGTATTTAAGTGGAAATATACATACATACATAGATGATACTGCAAATGCAACCATTAAAAATTCATTTATCAGTATTACATGTACCCAGATAATCACACACAGTGTTTGCTCTTCTTATTCTTTGAAACATAAGAATATCTTTCTACATTTTTTACTTGATTCTTTCTTTGTAGAGGTACCAATAAAGATTCCATAGGTTGAATTATAACATGTAAGGACATTAGAATTTACTTGAAGCTAAATGAATATACCTTATCGTTTAAGACACATTGTTAGCAATGGCCTTTCTCACCCTTCAATTGATTAATAAATTGTGCTTACTGCTACTGCTTAAGGGGCCCAGGGTACTGAGTTGACAAGGAAATCCATCTTTAGACATGAGAACACTTGGCTTTTGAGTTACTGTTAAACATTTTTTATTTTTTAGTGCACAGTTTGACAATGCATTCTGTTGCTTTCCCTGATCATTCAAAAGTTCTTTTGTAAAGTGCAGGCACATTATAAATATTGGCCTGTAATGATTCTATTATTATCCAAATAGGCTGCCACTTCACTCTCAGGAAAAGTTCTGCATGTTTGAAGAAACATGTCAAAGGAAAATTTGAGTTAGTCTAAGACTCCTCTTCTATTTCCTAAAGGTACAATTTAGTGCATGTTTAGTTTTGATAAACTAGAATGAAGGTATATTGATTCCCTCCCTTTTAATCTCTGTGAGGAACAAGTAAACAAAGATGTTTCTATAGGACATGTTTCCATAGGATGTTTCTACTGGACATGTCCTGTTTATGAAGGACATTTTACAAAGTGGAGGGTAAAAGCAGAATGGAGAGTCTACATAGATAGTATGCTGAGGATTCAGTGAGCAGAGATTGAGTCCACTTGTTTTTCCAAGGTCCCTTGGAAATAAACTAGAGTCCCTTCAGAAGGGCCAATAAGCAAACCCCTATTTGGAATCCCATACTTGTGTTCATTTTTATTGCTCTATAGTCATTTCAGGGAATCTTTGGATCGCTCTCTCTTAGAAACTGACGGCTTCTTACACTGGCTGTGAGTTGTAAGGGCTTTGGTATTAGATTCAGCAAAAACAGAAAAGGAACAGCTGGAGAGGGACTTTGTGCTAATTAGTGAACTAGGTATCACTTTGAAAGGTGGGTATTCTGAAACTCTATTTTTAACAATATGATGCTGAAAGCAGCAAAATTAAGTAAATTGAGGAAAGCCACCAACTAGATTATCGAAGAGCTCTTTCCAAAATGGGATAAGTTAGCTACATCCCAGCTATCCTAGATAGCTATTCAGGCTATTTCCAGAGAAAATGAGGCCAGGCACAGTGGCTCACACCTGTAATCCCAGCACTTTGGGAGTTTGAGGCGGGTGGATCACGAGGTCAGGAGTTTGAGACTGGCCTGACCAACATGCTGAAACCCCATCTCTACTAAAAATTAAAAAAAAAAAAATAGCTGGGCATGGTGGTGCGCACCTGTAATCCCAGCTACTTGGGAGGCTGAGGCAGTAGAATCACTTGAACCCAGGAGGCAGAGGTCTCAGTAAGCAGAGATCGAGCCACTGCACTCCAGCCTAGGTGACAGAGGGAGAATCCGTCTCAAAAAAAAAAAGAGCGAAAGAAGGAAAATGAGGCTTAAGTATTCATATTGAAAAAGTGCACATAGTTAGCAATATGACAATTAGCAATATCCTTTTGATTTGAAATACAATTTCTAGTTGGTTCTGCACTCTTGATAGGTAGACTCTCAGTTAACTATTCTGGCACCTGATTATGGGCTGTTTTGCATGCAAAGGAGGAATTCAGTGAATCTGTACAGAAAAGGTCCACTGTATGAACTTGCTCCCCAGTAAATAATTAGTCATTGTTTGGTTTCACTCATAAATGGTCCACATACATACAATATGTTAGCATATATAAGAAGGATACACAAGTTGTAAGATAATATTGTGCATACTCTATGTGTATCCAATAAAGATGTACTCAAATGTGTTCTTTCTCTTGAGGAGAGTGTTCACATTTAACTCATCGCATTGTCAAAAGCATAGAATTTTGTTGAAATTTAGTTGTAACTAAAAAATGTCATTCCCTTTCTTCATTTCTATCTCCCTTAAAACTACATAATTGATTTCAAAATGAGCATTATGGATTCAAAGAAGGACCAAATTGGTTTAATAACAGAAATGTAATCCCACAATAGAACTTGACATGATAATTATTTTCTATGCCACTCTAATTCCATTCCTGGATGCTATATTGTCTGATAATCTTTGGAGTTTTTTTTATTTTAATTTCTGCACTTTTTGAATCTTCATCAACTGCCGTTTCAATTTTTGATGACCAGTTAAAGTCCTTTGATTCCTGGACTTATCTAAATGCCCTTTGTTGTGGTGGTATCATCTGAAATCTTCACTATAAGTGTTTAACACTTCCATCCATCACAGCATGTATTGCTGGACACAAATTATGAGTCATTAAGCAAGTAATTGTGCTCTTAGACTGGTGTCACTTTTGACATTTGTTCTGAGTTCCCTAGACACATCACCACTTAAAATGCTAAATCTCAGTAATCTCCTACTTTCTTAAAAGATGAATAATATACAAATATATAAAAACAGATCTACAAGGGAAATTCAATTACAAAAGATGTTTATCTTACTAAAATAGTCCTTCTTGTGCCATTGGTATAGATAGATTCTCTGAAATGTGAAATTAGATCAGCAGTTTTTGTTGATAATGTTCATGTGAAAATTTGGCATCTGCATATTTTTCTAGTTAAATAAATAATCTTAGAGCACTAATTTACTCTAATGACAGAGACACCATTTGGCTTCACAAAAAACAAAACTAATCTAAGGTCCATTTCCTATTTATGGGGTGTATACAACATTCAGTTGTAACATTCACTGAAGTTTAAAAAATGAGTTCAAGCAAATTTAAAGCACGGGGACACTGGCACAAGAACTCTTTGCCATGAATGGTAATTTGAATTTAATTACAGATGTTATCCCTATGCATTTTCTATCAACATTTAAAAAAACACTCAGCCTTGCCTTTCTCTTCTGTAAGACTTCTACATCTTATTGGTATTCTACCATCGCCTAAACCAAACCTTCTTGCAATTATTTGTTTACAATCTTTCTCTCCCACTAGAAAGATGTTTAGGACATACCACACATGTTTCTATAGCTGTAAAATGTAGTCCAATGACTCTCCAGCATGATGTGAATAATAAGTATTTGTTAAATTAATTAGATTACTTCTGCTTTTCTAAAGCTTAATATTTCATTTCCCTTAAATAACAATTCTACTCTGTATTCCTTTGTCTGTAGATTTCCAAAAAAATCAATTTAATAACCACAAAGATAGCATTTGGTCATATAATATACATTGTTCTTTGGCTCTTTTATTATGTAATTTATTGATCCTTTCATTCACCCATGTATTAATTGACTCAATAATCAAATAGTTCAGATTTTTTTATTTTTTAAGGATGGGTGATACATCTAAAATATAGTTTTTTAATTCCCCCAAATTTCTAGTCCAGTGCTAAATGTAACACTAGTTGTTCATCCTTGAGCACATTACTTAACACCTCTGCCACAGTTTCCACTGTTATTAAGTGGAAATACAATAGCATGTTGTATTGGAAGTGAAGATTAAATTAATTACATAGGAAAGTGTAGCCATGGAACAAATACTATGTAACTGTTTGTTGTTGTTGCATTATTAGCTGACTAATAAATCCATGCCAAGTTGCTTGATAAACACAGTTTATTCCTGGAGAGCAAAGATTTTAAGAATAGTAAATTAGGATTTTTTTTTCTAATTTCTACAGTTCCATAGACTCATTTCTTCTTCTATGATTAAAAAAATTCAAAAGACAAACATAAAGCTGTATAAAACATGGTGATATATTAAAACAAAATTATGAGTAATAAACAAATGAGTCAATCCACCAAGTTACCTATCTTTTAAAAATATGCAGTAAGTTATGAATATACTGGAATGTTTTATTCTGAAACATAACCATTTTTCAACTTCTAACATGGAAAAAAATGGCCAATGCAGGTTGACTGCTGCATGCTTGTTTCAATGCTGCTTAGCACAAGTTCAGAACTCATCATCACAAGTGGTTTTAAATACTTTTAAATTGTTTTTCTAAGATAAGCAAAGCTAATTTATTAAGTTTCAGATTTCTTTATCTGAGCCACAAAAGTACTCTTAAGTTGTTCTCTGTTCATTTATCTATATTTTTGAACTAATTTATTTCCTATTTTTAACAAATCTAGCTAGAACATAGTTGGCAAAATACAGAGTTGGGAGTGAGTCGAAAGGCTCCTTGGGTCTTACATCTGCACTTTTCTCACTGTGTTCACCTGGAGCAGATCATTTGACTTCTAATCTTAGGATCCTCATTTGAAATGGTGATATGCAGAAAAATAGAAAATGTGAGTGGAGTGACTTGCACAGTGTTTGGTACAGTAGTTGCTCTGTGAAGCCTATTTCCATCATCCCCAAGCTTTCTCCTTGGAGCTATAATTTAGTTTTTCAAAATAGAACAACGTGATTTTTTTGTTACTTCTATTGGAAATCCCAGCCTTTCTTTTTCCAGAGAAGCTTAGTAATTGGCGTCATTGGCAGCCAAGTGTTATTAAAAATTTATATTTGGAAATCGTGCAGGGTCCTTAAAAAACATCTGATCCATGTTCCTTCTCAGAATATAATCATCACTGCAACAGCCCTGAATTCTGATTATTCACATCGTCCTTGAACATCTCCATCTTCCAGGAACTCCCTCTGTCCATAGATGATGCATTGTAATTCTGTCCATCTCTGCTAAGATCTAAAATTCATTTTCCTGCTTTCTCTCCATTGACGTCTCCCTGACTCCTTGAGTAACCATGTAACAGGTCTGACCTCCCTTCCTAGCCCACCTCAGCTGTGTCATCCAGCTTCCTCACTCTCCTTTTACATATTTAATCTCTCAGAGAAAGACTATTCCTTGTTCTGAGGTTTGGAGCAAGTTATTTACTATCTTTGGGCCCTCTGTTTATTTAGCTAAGGGCACAGATAATATCTATCTACTTTTCTTGGTTGTGAGAAATAAATAAAATTATATGTACTATTCAAAAAGCATTTATTAAGCCCCAATTATATGCCAGGCCTTAGTTTAGAACGTGGAGATATAACAGTGAACACAATAAACAAATGTCTCTCTTTTGTGAGCTTTCTTCCTTGTGGAGGAGGCAGACAGAACACAACCTATCATTAGCATAGTAAACAAGCAAGATAGATAATAGGTTGGTAGGTAGTGATAAATGATAACATAGAACAGTAGGACACATGTAATATTGGGGTACAAGGTAGTACATTTAGGCAAGGTATACAGGGAAGACTTATGAGAAAGGTAACATTTGAAGAGACTTGGAGGGCCAAAGGAAAGAGTTAGATGTATTTGAGAATGAGAACATTCCAGACAGTTGGAACAGCAAGTATGAGGGCCTTGAAATGGGACCTTGACATCATTTCTGTCATGAAATAAAAATCAATGAACTTAACATCAGTTTTTCTATAGAAATGTTTAATTTAACCTAAGAGAGTCTCTGAACATTCTTTTTTAAGAAAAATCTTATATTTTCTCACCACAACAGTACACATAGGGAAACTGGTAGTGATATTATCATAAGAATTAACAATACACCTATTTAGAATTTAATTTTACAGTGCTCATAAGCATTAGCTTGCATTCCCAGACTAATCAAGTTATTGGAACATTGGCCACCCAAATGCTTTTTACAATCAACATTTTTGGATATGTATTTAGCTTTCAGAGACGATCATAATGATATTTCGTCTCCAAATATCTCGTGTCTTCTAATGTGATAGAAAAGAAACAAACAAACATCTACTGCTTTTCATTTGGAAGACACACATGCCAGATGTGGTTAAAGTTTGTCCATGGAAAGTGAAATTTCAAATTGTGAACATACCCCAAAGAAAATATTAAGGACAAACGCATAACAACTAAACATTAATGAATACTGTTGTTTATTTCTTCTCCCTTTCCTTCATATTTTCCGTAAAAGTTTTAAAGATTAACATTTTAATATTTTATCAAAGGGCTCATGATTATTTGACATTGTCTGATAAGATGTGTCTAAACAAGAAATATATATATATATATTGTATATATATGCATATGCACACATACATATTTATCATGGGTGATGTATCACATGGAGGTCAAATTGTGCTCCCTTTTCTAGGAAGGGACACTTTTCCCTAAAATTTAGCCAGTATGCTGCACGTAGGCCAATGCAGCTAGAAAAAGTCTCACTCACTCTCAAGGGAAAGGGGCGGGGGAACAAGACTATTGCCAATCAAACAACACCTGTTAAATCTGCCTACTTGGGCTTACATTACAATGACCCATTAGGCATAAAGGGTACTTTTTACCGTACTTGTTTTATAGGATTTTATTATTTCTGAGCCACAATCTTTTGTTGTTGTAACACTATGGAATGTTGAATTAGGATTAAAATATCATTAGATAAATTCGAAGTTGCAGATAATCAAGTAAAATATAAACTGAAAGCAGAAAATATTCAGATAAAAATCTTAGTCTGTGTATTGTGGAAATGACTGTATGTCTGATGATTTGCTGTCAGTTTCACTGAACTGTAACATTAGTGTGCAACTCTGCTTAACATTTCCTTAAAACTTATTTCCTAATTTTTTTTTTTTCTCAGAAATCTCCAAGTGAGAAGACCTTACTTGTCTTCTGAAAGTCTGGTAACTTTCACCTGCACATAATGCTACCATCATTTCCTTTTCCTTCCTTCTTTCCACCTTTCCCTTCCATTTCCTCCCCTTCCCTCTCCTCCCCTCCCTTTCCCTTCCATTCTTTCTTTATCTTTATTGAGGTATAATCGATAAGAAACAAAACACTTTGCACATATTTAATCTATACAATTTGGTGAGTTTGGACATGCACATGCATCTGTGATATTATCCGTATAATCAAGGTACAAGTGCATTCATCACCACTAAAAATTTTCTTATGTCTCTTTTGTGTGGAGGTGGGGGGTGGGGGGGGTAAGAATGCTTAACGTCTGGTCTACTCTTTTAACAAATTTTTAAGTACTCAATACAGTACTGTTAACTACAGGCACTATGTTATACAGAAAATCTGCATGACTTATTCATTTTGCACAATTGAAACTTTACACCTTTGAATAACAACTCCTCCTTCCCCTAACCCAGACCCTGGCAACTACCACTCTCTTCTCTGATTCTCTGAGTCTGAAAATTGTAGATACCTTATATAAGTAGAATCGTACAGTATTTGCCTTTCTAAGACTGGCTATTTCATTTAGAATGGTGTCTTCCAGATCAATTCATGCTGTAACAAATGCATAATTCATTTCTTTTTAATGACTGAGTAATATTTGTATATCTTGACTGTTGTAAATAGTGCTGCAATGAACATGGGCATTCTAATAGCTCTTTGAGATTCTTATTTCAATCATTTATTGAATGTGTGTGTGTATATATGTATATATAAACAAAGACACAGAAAAGGAATTGCTGGACCATAAGATAGTTTTATTTTTAATATTTGGAGAAACCTTCATACTATTTATTTTCCAAAGTGGCTCTGCCAGTCAGCATTCTCACCAATAGTATTAAAATGTTTAAATTCTTTTCACATCCTCACCAATACATTGTCTTTTTATATATATTACAATAGCCATCCTGATGGGTGTGAAGTAATATCTCATTGTGCTTTCACTTCGCATTTGCCTAATTAGTGATGTTTAGAATTTTTTTACATGATCGTTTGCCATTTTTATGTCTTCTTTTCAGAAATACCTATTTAGATCCTCTGTCTAGTTTTTTTTTTAATCAGGTTGTCTTCTTGCTATTGAGTTCTCTGAGTTTCTAATATATTTTGGATACTAATCCCTTATCATATGTATGGCTTACAAATAAATTTTTTTTTCTATTGTATAGATTGCTTCTTAACTCTATTGTTTACTTTGCTGTGCAGAAGCTTTTTAGTTTAGTTTGATGAATTTCCATTTGTCTATTTTTGTTTTTTGTTGGCTGAGCTTTTGGGGTCAATTCCAAAAAAGCATTGCCCAGACCAATGTCATATAGTTTTTTCCCTATTGTTTTTTCAGTAGTTTTATAATTTAAGGTCTTATGTTTGTCTTTAATCCATTTTAAGTAGATTTTTGTGTATGTGAAGGGCCCAATTCCATTCTCTTGTATGGGGGTACCTAGTTTTTCCAAAACAATTTGTTGAAAATGTTCTCCTTTCACTATTTTGTGTTTTTGGCATCCTTATTGGTGATCAATTGACTGTATGTATAATGTATAAATTTATTTCTGGGCTTGAAAGACTCAATGATCGTGTTTAACTATCAGATTTAAAGCATGCATACCAAAATATTTTATATATTTTTTCACTCTTCTAAGTTATATATAGGTACCATATATTATATATAAGATAAAAGTAAATCAAAATAGAAATAAGAATAAAATAACAAATATACAAATGTTATAAATATGGAATATATTCTAAACTCATAAATATCTTCTTTTGCACTCTGAATAACAAATTGTAGGCCAGTCCTTGTAGCTAAATTCTTATTTTGAAACATTTAAAGCCATCTTTACACATTTTTTTCTTTCCCTATGTTTTTCAAGATTAATCTTCTGAAGTGGGAAAACTAGAATTATATCAGGGACTCCCCAGGGTAAAATTTGATTCTCAAATCTTTATTCTTTTTCCCCTGAAATATAAAACATGACATTATATACAAAAGGAGTCTTGCTTTCAAATCAGGATTTTTGCATTAGACTATTTAATATATCCAACATTTATTCTGCTTATTGAAACTACATGTATATGATATACCTAGGTAAATATTACAGAAGGGACTTCTTATTTTCTCTTTACAGTCAAGTGTAATATGATTAGACACAAAGTTGATATTTCTCCAGCTAGATTACTTGATGTCAGGTATTTTGAGGTCTCATGTTTCAGGTAGGGGAAAAAAATATGAAGAAACCAGGTTTTGCCGAAGGTCACCCTTAGAATCAGCGATAAAATCAAGATGTATGAGTTACTAGTCTGTATTTTACCAGAATTTGTTTTAGATAATTTCATCAAAACACTATCTAATCTATCTGAAGATAGTAAATTTCAAGAAGTAAATTAATGTATTAATGACTGTTCTGAAAATATATGTATTTTTTAACTTGTAAAATGTGTTAGAGAAAAAAATGAGACACTTAAGAGATCCTCCCAGGTATCCTCCGAGTGGGGATAAAACGTCCACTAGAGGGCATTTCTCCCTGGACGCTCTGTTGTCAAGGCTGTAAGCTCATTCCCCAAAATGCTATGAACTCATTTTATCAAATTGGGAGTAACTAACTAACTAAAAAAATTGAATGTGAAGTATTCTGATGCTTCCAGATTCACACAAATAAGATCAGAACCACCTTTCCATTTCAAAATTGACAGAATTTGAGAGGCTATCCATTTCTGATAACTCTCCTAGTGTCAAGCATGTTGCATGTGTACTTTTTTTTAACCACTAAAACAAATTTGAAAGTAAAATGTTATTATACAAATTTAGGGAGAGATGAGAAAACTAGAGTCAACTAATCTATGTGTATTGTGCTCTTATTGTCATGATTTCTATGTGGTTTCATGCCCAATGACGTCTTTGTATAAAAAATATACAGATAGATATAACTATGCTTATTTTTCTTATGTGTGTTATGCGCTGTTTAGTTGTATATGTTTCAGCTGTATGTTCTAATATCCATATACATACTGAAATGATTACCACAGTGAATCATGCTAACGTATCCATCTGTTTACATAGTTACTCTTCTCTTTTTGTGTGTATGTGTGATATAAGTGTCTGAAATCTACTGTTAGTAAATTTCTAACATGCAATACAATATTATTAACTATAATTCTTCTGCTATGCTTTAGACCTCTAGACTTATTCACCCTACATAAGTGCAAGTTTGTATCCTCAGACCTACCACTCCTCATTTCCCCTGCTCCCCATCCGTGGCTGGTAACCACCATTCTACTATCTGCCTGTATGAATTTGATTTTGTTATATTCCACTTGTAAGTGAGATCATACAGCACTTATTCTGTGACTATATTATTTCAGTTAGCTTGATTCCCTCAAGGTTCATCATGTGGTCACATATTCTATAATGTTCGGCTTTTATATGGCAGAATAACATTCCATTCCATGGCCGTTGCATAGTTTTCGGTAATTGTCTAGCCATCTTAGGTATTCCTGGTTGTTTAGAAGCATCATTCTTATTTCTGCCTTTATCTTCATATGGTGTTCTGTGTGTATGTGTGTACCTTCATGTCCAAATTTCCTTTTTACATGAGAATACCAGTCACAGTAGATTAGGGTCCCATTGTACTCTAGAATGGCCTCTTCTTAACCTACCTAATTATATCTTCAGTGACCTTACTTCCTAATTAAGGCACATTTTGAAGTATTAGGGGCCTTCAACATAGGGCTTTCTAGGGAAACATTTCAACCTACAATAGTCACTTTATGTTTTACTCTATGATTGGCACTAGACTGGGTCCTCCAATAAATAGATGAGCCATTCTTGCTCCTTGCTCTTTAGAATACTACGTGGAGTCCAAGAAGAACAGAGAGTGATTAATTGGGAAGATGTTGCTTCAGACAAAAAAAAAAAAAAAAAAAAAGGAAAAATGGCTTTAGATTGGAGAGTGACCTAATTTAAAACCGGTTCTGAGAAAAAACTTCATGTGACCTTGAACAATTTATTTTACCATTTTTTTGTTTCTTCACATAGAAGATAAAATAGAAGATAAAATTATTGAATTGGATCTGTCACTGCCCAGCAATAATGCACATTAGACATGGATTTTGTAGAAACACTATAGTAGATGATGCCTAAACCATCTTTCAATTCTAAGAGGTTGTCACATGCATCTGGAAGAGCCTGAGAATGCTTTTGAGTTATACGTTGAGCTTGACACCAAATACTGACCAACTTGGTAACATCCCCTCTTTCCTTACCTCCATTCCTTTTCAATACATATGTTTCTATGATATATTGTATGTTTTTATGATATAATTGCTAGGCCTCAAAATTTTGAATCCTACTCTAAGACATGTGAGGTGTGACTGATGCTTAGAAAATTATGCTGATAAATTATAAAAACATCATAAAACCAGGATTTATTATTGTTTTTTATTCTAGGACTATTTCATTCTAAAATTATTGTTCTTTCCTCTACTATATGATCAAGTCTCTATAGCTTTTGAAAAATTCAACCTCTCTAAATATTTTTCAATTGGATTTGGAGTGTTTTAAATGTTACTTGAGCTTCATTTTTAATTTTTTAATTTTTAAAAATGTTTTCTAACGGGCATGAAGCATAATAAGATTTTTATATTCTTTATTCCTTCCTTGTGCAGCTAGGACAGGACAGTTTTCTATATTTTTGGGAGAAAGAACAATTAGATAGATTGTCATCATAAACTCTTGTTGTCAAAGGACAGTTTAATTCCATTGTCAAGTGCTGATGTCTTTGGTGCTAACTGCTGAGCGTTAAGAAGTTCTGTTCTCACTGCCAGAGGCTTACTCATGTTAAATTCTTGTCAGCCTCCCTAATCATAAGCTGCTTAAATGAGGAAAAAAAACAGTAACAGTGCTTCCAAATCTGAACGAAGTATGCTATATAAAGTTGGTGGACATGGTAACAAGACTTGCCAAAGAAATATTCTAGCCAGCAGTGATACGGCATCCTGAGTAACGAGCTTAAGCAATTGCCTAGACCTTGGTGTGTCATCCTAAAAGTAAAATGGAAACATATACCTAAAGAAACAAAGAAATAACAACATTTAAATTATTGAAACGAGCAATAGATAAAGTGATATATTTGGATCTTCTACCCTGAAATAAGCCCCTCTCTGCCCTGGTGTCATTTCAGGCCAACGAGCTATACCTAGTGATTCCAAAGTCCACATATATTTACTCTGTTCTCACTGTACAAAGTAACCACTCTGAAGTCAAGTAAGTCATTGTCGATAGATAGTACTAATTACATTAGGTTTTATATATGTGTGTCTGAACATACTATATAACAAACATATACAGTACACAATTTTGCCTTTTATATACTTGCATGTGTGCATATATATGTACATATGCAATCATGCATAGTTAATGGCACATGTATACACTTGTGAAATAGAATACCTACCAATTGCTAATGAAGGGATTTCTCTGATACCAATTCAACTTGTATGGGGAAAGCTACTTACCTGCTTTATTTCTCAATTTTCTCATCTATGACACAACGTAAGCAGGTGCACGTTATGTGTGTTGTCTCCTAGCTCTTAAATCAGAAATCAATTTTATAACATGAATTGCACTTATCCAATAGGAGAAACACTTTCTAGCTTCAGAGTATAATTGGTATAGTTTTACATTGCAAGTAACAGAAGCCCCATGGAGCCAAATTGATCAAAATACGGTATTTCAGAAGGATGAGGTGGATCTTACCTCAGGCATAGATGCGTACATAGATTCCAATGAAAATAATGTGGCACTGTCTTCTTGTAGCTCTGCCTTTTCTTCTGTGCTGGGCTCTTATTTACCTGCTACAGGCTGATATTCTCCGTATGGTTGAGTATACGTCCAAGCACTGCGAAGCTTCACCTCTACCTGGCCTCCAACACACCAAAGAGGCTTTTAGAACTGCCGTTAGAACAGTCCTGGGAGAGCTTGGATTTCTGAGTTGAGACAAGTGTAAACCCTTAAAGCAATCAGTCAAGCTGTGTGAACAATTTTCCATGATACTCTGGACTAGGATGACCCATCCAAGAATTGGCAGGAAACCAGCTGGACCAGCCATCCTTACACAGATTTATTTCCCCATATTTCAAGGAAGTGAGCCATTTTGCTTGATCCAGCACATACTTATCTACAGTGCTTAAAACTAAGAACTCAGATACAGTGTCTTAAAGGCTTATTTCCTCTTACTCTTCAACATGAGCCTCTGCTTACCATTGTCAATCACTATGAATTTTCTTGTGTTTCATATTTTCTTGACTCTGGCTTATCTTGATAATTTCCTCCTCTTCCTAAAGCCCTTAGCATGCCTATCTTGTATACTTTGCCACCCACAACTCCAGATTTTCTCTACAAAACGTTGAAACAAATAAATACACATAGAAACAAAACAAAAATAATAACTTAGCACACCTCTCTAGTAAATATTGTTTTCCTCAATGCTGGTGTCGAGAAATATTTTCTAAACTCCCACAGTGCCCTAGATTTTTCTCTGTTATTGCACTTACTACAAGATACAGTGCTTTTTCTTTCCTACTACCAGACTCTTGCATAAATAAGGCATGTTTTGATTTAAAGAGACATAAACACAAATTGAAATATTTAAAAAGAAAAAAAACTGGAAGGATCCCAGTACTTCCATAACTACCAGAGAGTTGTCTTCATATTTCTTGTATTTGCTGACTTTGAATGTCCATTTTATGCTCTCCTTTTCCAGAAAAGCTGGGATACATGAAGACTGCCATCCCTTGAGTCACTTGCCCTGTAGCTGCCACTGTTGGAAAAGGGCTTGCTTCTGTGTCCTTGTGCCCACTTTGAAAATCCCTGGGAAGTCCTTGGAGTCAGATGAGCAGGCCTCCGCCACTCTGCCAAAAAGTCTGTTCAGTGAGTTTAGAATCATATAGAAAAGACATGGATGTGGGGGATCCTGTGCCATGTATTTGAAACAGTAGCTGCCATATAATATGCTTTCGGTATATGAATGAATTCAAAAGGATATTATCATGCTCATACCTTCTAGATCAGGAGTCCCCAACCCCTGAGCCATGGACTGATATGGAGCTATGGTCTGTTAGGAACTGGGCTGCCCAGGAGGAGGTAAGTGGCAGGCAGGCAGAGCATTACCACCTGAGCTCCGCCTCCCATCACATCAATGGCAGCAGGGCACTAGATTCTCATAGGAGTGTGAACCCCACTGTGCATGTGAGGGATAGAAGCTGCACACTCCTTATGAGAATCTAATGTCTGACGAGCTGAGGTGGAACAGTTTAATCCCAAAACCATCCTCCTGCACCCACAAGTCTGTGGAAAGATTGTCTTCCATGAAACTGGTCCCTGGTGCCAAAAAGATTGGGGTCCACTGTTCTAGAACTTAAACGGTGAAAAAGTTTCAATTGTAGACTCATATAAGTTGCCAGTTGGTGTAAAGCACTGGCTTTTCTCCCTTTTGGAGAATGCTTAGGAATAATTGACTTTTTCAGATTTCAGTTTTCTGCACTTTTCATCTGTGTAAAAGGGTATTTATGATAAGGATATGTGCGCTAAAGGCCCAGATTCCAGATTAATAGCACAAAGCTTTCTTGTGAGTTAATACTATAATTATACTTTTTTCCCTTAAGGCTGTATTTTTTTTCTGATTTTCTGATATTTTTCTCCATAGCCAAAATGGTGTTTAAGAAATTAAAGGCCAGCTTGAATGTGGAAGCTCAACTATAACTACAGGGCAAAAAACTAAATCTTGTCATAATATTCATGAGTGGTTATTAATAATGAGGACTTGCAACACTTTTATCTTGGCCATGGAATTAAAATATACAGATTACTTTCCATTAACATTAAGATACCATGAATAAAAGACCAAGTTTGTAATAATTAGAGTAGGTTTCAGAATTTTGCCCTGCACTCAACTCGTTACTTTTTTTAATTTTATTTTTAATTGTTGCAACCTCTGTGCCTCCATTTCTAATTTATTTATACAACGACGATTTTAATGCTTTTCTGACAAAAAAGTCAAAGGGGTAATGTGAAAGCAAATACATTTTCTTGTTTTAATGCATAGATAAACATAGTGCCAGTTCTCCTGTGTTAACTTTTTTTTTTTCCCCATCTTCAAGCAATGGTGCTTCTACAATTTCCTTATAGGAGGAGTGAAGAGTAAGCATTTGGATTGGACCAGGATTTGGAGAACTTGTCATGTTGCTCTACGTGCATATGAAATACATCATTGTAACTTAGAATGTGAATTACAGAACAAACATGAAAGTTAGAAAAATATTCTAAACATATTTTTATGATCTCTACTTGCAATAAGGAAACTGTTAGGCTTTTCCATCAAAGAATAAGTGCAACAAAAACAAAAATTTCTGGATGGAAAAAAGGAGATTTGAGGGGCAAGGCTAAAGCCCCCCAAACCTTCCTCAGGATGAACACAAACCCCATCTTTATTTTCCTGTTGCCACTGTTCCATGTTGCTGGGCTCTATTCCAGCAAAATTTTGGAAAGCGTTGCTACAGTTCTGCTCATTTCTTTCTCACTTCAGAACAATGATGCCCTTTCCAGATAAAGCATCTTAATTAAACAGATGACATTTGAACTAGACCTTGAAGAACAGGTCAGAGTTATATTGGGAAAGAAGTAGGAGAGGAACACCCAGAAAATAACATTTATGAACATAAAGGCACAGAATATAAATGTCTCTGACAAAGACAGAAATCAAGGGTAAATTTTAGTGTGGCATAGATTAATTCACTAACTCAATATATATATATTTACATAGAGAGCATGGATAGATACTAGAAATAAAACAATGGATTAGACATGGGCAACCTCATGATGTTTAGCAAATATTGTGTTCTTTAAGGCAGCAGTTCCCAACCTTTTTGGTACTAGGGACCGGTTACGTGGAAGACAATTTTTCCACAGACTGGGATGGGGGGACTGTTTTCAAGACAATTCAAGCACGTTACATTTATGGTGCACTTTATTTCTATTATTACTGCATTGTAATACATAATGAAATAAGTACACAACTCACCATAATGTGGCATCATTGGAAGCCCTGAGCGTGCTTTCCTGCAACTAGACAGTTCCCTCTGGGGCCAATGGGAAACAATGACAGATCATCAGGCATTAGATTCTCATGAGGAGCCCGCAACCTACATCCCTCACATGCACAGTCCACAATAGGATTCATGCGCCTATGAGAATCTAGTGTCATGGCTGGCAGATATAACAGAAGATGGAGTTCAGGCGATAATGTGAGTAAGAGGGAGCGGCCAGAAATACAGATGAAACTTCACTCACTCACTTGCCACTCACCTCCTGGTCTGCGTCCTGGTTCCTAACGGGCCATGGATAGTTACAAGTCTGTGGCCCAGGGGGTTGAAGACCCCTGCCCTAGAGTACATATGCAGTGGATGTTGAGAAACAGATTAATTCATTAATGCAGAGTCTTCATATTCCAAACAAAAGATTTGAGGGTTTTATCTGTTATAACAACACTTGTGTTTCACTAATTATGTCAGGCACGACTCTAATAACTTCAAATTTATTCACTCACCTATTATTAGAACAACATTATGATATAGGAATACACTTGATATGTCCATTATACTGATGAGGAGATTCAGACATAGAGTAGTTATTTAACTTGGGTAAGGTCTTCAGAGCTAATAAGAGGAAGAACCAGGACTTGAGCATGGGTAGGGTGGCTTCAGAGTGGTAGTCTGGCTGTTTGTTTGTAATCACCAAAATGAAGCTACAGTGATGTTTCAGTTTACATAACAGAGTCCTGAGGCTTAAAGATGCCAGGAAATTAATTTAAAGATATTGTAGTACGTATCCCTGTCCAGACTAGAACTCCAGTCCAGGAGAACGCCAGTGCTCCTTCTGTTTCACATAGAGAACACATCAGTACTGTGACACACAGAAAGGTTTTAGTGGGATGCTTGGTTAAGAGAAATACGTTTACAACAAAAGAGGTGATACTGTTGCTTGTCTTAGAAAAATATGGGAGACCTCAATCAGCTGAAGTTCAACATGTTCAAAGGTGGACAAAGTTTCTCGTTGCTCTAAGTAAGTTTAAAATTGAGCCAAAAAGGTCTTGATTGATAAGGGTGGCTGATACATTTTTGAATGTTTTCACTGGCATGATTCACAAAATTGTATAAATTGTATAGTCCCAGGCTATCCCACCATTAACTGCCTCATGGGGACTGTCTCTAACTTCCCCAGGACTTGATCCATAGGGAAATGCTTGCAAGAATAAAAAGCATTAATGAATTCAGGATTCGTTTCTCACTAAACAGCAGTTTGGGGTGATGTCACACACACACACACACACACACACACACAAAAATGGAACAAGCCAGCCCCATTTTCAGCATTGCCTCATTTAAGCTTGGCACACAAAGACAATTGATGCTGACTCAGAGTTATTTCAAGATGGAAAGAGTGTCCTGAATTATCACACCCCACGTAATCCTAGCCACCCTGTATTCCTTCTCCTTACTGTCCCATAGGTGGGTACATCCATCCCAGATAACAAGGTTTGACTCATTTAAGGCCCTTTTCCTTCTGCACAAGATCCTGAAATTTTCCCTACCGTGTGTGTTTGATGGTGCAGAAGAAATAATTCTCAAAAATAAACTAGTTTATCATTAGATGGAAGCAAGGTATCACCTTTATTAATGAGAAAGCAGAGTTTGAAGGACATAGTGCATTCCTCATGCAGCTAGACCCTCTGCTATTGGCTCCTGCCTTTAAATTAGAAAGCCTTACTTTTCCATCTGCAGGTATTGCTATCCCTTTACAAGCCTCTGCTCCCACGGAAAGAAAATTGTGCAACATACGACAAAAAGCAATAGAGGCTTCAGACTCTCCAAAAAGAAAAAGAAATTATGTCAAGAATGTAGTTTATTATTTCCCAATTGACTCTAAGATTAAATTGACTCTAAGATTAGTCAGTAACTTTTCCATGATGTAATGAGTAATGAGACAGAGAGAAGCAGAGTGTTCCACTAATTGATCTCAATCCACAAGAAAGGAAAAGTATTTCCTCCTTCCTTCCTCCACATTGTGTTCTCTTAGAACTGTGCTTTACTTGCCCAGGGAAAAGAACACAAGTTGAGTTTAAGAAGCCAGTTCTTCCCATTCCAAGATGAGGCCCCACATCCAATGCTAACACTACTTCTTGGAGTGAATACACTTTAGAACTATCAATGAATGAACTGAGCTGAACTTCCCCAACCCCTGTAGACTCTAAAATGGGTCAGAAGAGCACATTGGTTAAAACAAGTCTAAGGCTGAAAATTTAATCTCTATTTGATTTTCTGGCTTACATTTTTTTTCTCAGTAACCTTGCCAAAATAGCCTAGTAGGAGATCCATTTTGAACTTGAGTGATAACATAATTATACTCGAATCACAAAATGTCAATAATGAGATGACCCACATTTAAATAACATATTTTTTTGCTACTATAACATTACTGGGCCTATATTAAAATAGAAAGATTAAATTATTTTGCAACTTACTTAAAGTATAAATATAATGCTTCCAAAGAATTAAGGGCCAAATCATTTTTTTTCCTGATACTTGTGAGGTAAAATTTAACAGATTTTAAAGTCCCCACTCATTTAATTTTTTGGCCACTTGGTGTCAGCTGGAAGAGTTCTCAATACATTGGACAAGACAGTGATCTCTAAGCATTTGAAAATTGAGCTCTTTCTCATTGGAAGGGGTGTATTTTCTTCTTCATGGTCTCAGAGGTTGTATTTGTTTAACACTGAGTCTCTGAAGTTCTTCACTATTTAAAAAATTCCAAGAAGTTACTGTTAAAGAAAAGATTATCATAGCAATGGCATTTATTCTGAGAACTGGATAAACAGCAATCCATCACGGCTTCTAGAAGAGTTTTCACAGAGAAAAATATTTTCAACCTGATCATTTGTATTGCCAAAGACTGCGGCAGAAACTTAGTATTGTGCTAAAAGAAGATGGATATCTTGGTGGAGACCTTGCTGGCATATCATTCAGTTCATGCTATTTTTAAAAAATCTAATAATTGAAATTTTAACTCAGTTGGAAAACTTTCTCACCAAGATATTCATTCTGGAATTTTTTACTATATCAATAAAATTTACTTATAACTACTGCCTGATAAGTCAGAATGGATTTGCTTGCTTTTCCACTCATAACATTCAAAAGCTCCTGGCTTCCATGTCTGCTGAATGGGGATTCTACAAAGTAAATGGAGTTCCCCACACTTTCTTATGATAAAGAATTTTTCAGTTCTGAAATACTAAGGCTGCTTCTCCTTCATTTAATTTATCTTTCAAATTTTTAAGACATATAAAAATATCCCTTCTTTGAGAGGGTTTCCCCTCTTATAAGTAATTAAGAGATACAGAATTAATTTATCACAAGATAGTGTTGATAGCAGGAGGGTGAGTTAGTTGATACTTGACCCCATGGAAAAGCTGGTTGATATGGTTGACTGTGTTCCCACCCAAATCTCATCTTGAATTGTATTCCCCATAATTCTCACATATTGAGGGATGGACCTGGTGGGAGGCGACTGGATTATAGGAGCAGTTTCCCCCATGCTGTTCTCGTGATAGTGAGTTCTCACAAGATCTGATGGTTTAGCTTCCTTCCTTCAATTCTCTCTCTCACCTGCTGCCATATAAGACGTGCCTGCGTCACCTTCAGCCATGATAATAAGTTTCCTGAGGCCTCCCCAGCCATGCAGAACTGTAAGTCAATTAAACCTCCTTCCTTTATAAATTACCCAGTCTCGGTGATATTCTTTATAGGAGTGTGAGAACAGACTTATACCCTGGTACTGCCTCTAGACCTGCAATCTCCTTCCTCAACTTGAATCATAACTAAAATTCGGCAGCCAATTTAACCTTTTCCCTAGGCCTGGTGTTAACAGTTTCAACCTAGAACTACCCTTGTGCACTGTAACACACTCATAATTCACTTTCTTTCAGACTAAGCACAGCACATATTCCTCAACCACTGAGGCCTAAAAGTTCTTTAGTGATGATATGTTGTCTCTAATCAAACTCTTGCCTCAGCTGACCCTTTTAACTGATGCCTCTGAGGCCACCACTATTTGCATGCTCCCTGTTCTTCATGCACATAAACTAAGCACAGGTCAAGATCACAGTGCTGGGACCTGTACCCACAGGCAGTCTACAAATTTGTTGGGACTCCAGAAGCCCTCTTCACATTTGTTGGGGTGTCCTTCTATATAAGCTATCACAGAACTCTGGCCAGTGTCACAATAACCTGCAGTAACCTGCCATGGTCAAAATAGTCCAAAGATTCAAAGATTCAAAGTCCCTAGACCATGCCACACATTCATAAAGCCAACTCCACAATGAAAAACCAGCTGCACTGTGTAATGCAGGTGGCAAGTCACTAAGATTAAAAAAAAAGAGAAAAAAAAAAAAAAACAGCCAGCATGGCCTGTGCTTAGAAAAGCACAGTTTACAAGCATCTGTTCCAGCTCTGCCAAAAGCCAAAATCATTCCATGCATAACTTGTTTCCAAAATTTTACACCTTGCTCATTTCTCAAGGTGCATAGCCCACGCATCAGAGTTATTTGAGAGAAGCTAAATGAATAACATTCCTTTTGCCATGACCTGGATTACAAACTAACTGAAAAATAACGTTTCAAGCAAATAAAAGCCAAAATATACCCATTATTAATAATAAGGGTAGATTGGGATACAAAACTTACATTTGTGAGCAATTGGACGTACTAACACTAGCTTCTGAATTAGACACACTTACTGATCCAACCATAGATAATTCTGCATGGAAACAGACCTGGTAAAAGTTACAGAATGAAGGAACAACATGTGATAAATGCATCTGCTGTGAGACAAACTTTCAAGGCACACGGTTTGCACACAGAAGATCACTCTCTTCTTGGATTGGGAAAGATAGTGTTGGGCTCTCAGAAAAGGCTGGAAGATTCTTGTTGCAGCGGTTTACAAGGTTTAGTAGGAACATTCTAGATGAGAACATGAGTGGGTGGAGATTCTAGGAATACGTGGCACACTATGTTAAGCAAAGATACATGGTGTTTTTTGAGAAAGAGTAAGTCATTTATCATTATTAGAGTATAAAGCATAAAGGGAGAGGTGGGAGGCTACATGTTTAAAGAGATTAAAAGGTGCCAACTTATGAAACTCATTTAGGAGGAAATTAGGTGGTTCCAAAGGTTGTAAGTAGCAGAAATTCATGATCAAACATAGCTTGCTATTTGCCGCTTTTATATACTGTATTTCTGAAAACATAAATTATAATGCTTTTAGCACAATTAAAATTATAATAGTAAAAATAACGTTCACTAAGCACTTACTGTATACTATGACCTTTGCTAAAGCCTTTTCATTTGTTATCTCTTTTAATATCTAAAGCAACCCTGAGGGAGGGAGGAGTGTTGTCCACATGGCAGAGTGGATGATAAATGGTAGGACCACGGTTCAAATGGAAAGCTCCCCACTCCAAAGCCCAGGCTCTCAACCTTCACTCCCCATGTATTTTTAAATAAAGCTCCCTTATCTTGTCTGAAAGCAGGAAGTTTCACATCACTAGAGAAGAGAGAAGAAGGACATTTGTACTGGGAGGAGTCGACCGGTCCCAGTAAGGAGAAAGTAGCTACAGCGTCATGGGTGAGCTGGGTCCCCCAAAAAGGAACTTTAAGGGAATGGACTGAATCAAGTCTGAGATGTCCCCAAAGCAAGACCAAAGAACTGAGGAAGAGAAGCATTCATCAGAAACCAAAATTCAGCTACAAGTGAGCATCCAGATGGAGGTATTATGAAGAGGAACTGAGACTGAGGGCAAAAGGTGCCAGCCAGAATCCTGGATAGGAGAGCAAGAACCAGGACCTCATTTAAGAGACAACCTGCTTAAGGCAGAGTAAGGTGAGATTGGATTCACGCAAAGACCTGGAATTCAAGTAGGTTAATGAACAGACAGTGTGTGCCTATACCACGAATTTACAATAATAATAAGGGTGCTAATAATCACATGGAATTGTAGAGTATAATGAAAATATACACACTGGAGAGAAATTGCACGGGTTGGCATCTCAGCTTTGTCATTTACTATAACAGTGACCTTGGGCAAGTTATTTAACCACTCTCTGCCTCAATTTCCTGATCAGTAAAATGAGCTAATAATACTTTCTTTTTATTTTGAGATGGAGTCTCACTCTTTCACTGAGGCTGGAGTGCAGTGGTGCGATCTCGGCTCACTGCAGCCTCCACCTCCCAGGTTCAAGCGATTCTCCTGCCTCAGCCTCCCCAGTAACCAGGATTACAAACATGCACCACCATACCCAGCTAACATAAATATGAATATATTATATATATATTTGTACTTTTAGTAGAGATGAGGTTTCACCATGTTGGCCAGGCTGGTCTTGAATTCCTGACCTCAAGTGATCTGCCTGCCTCGGTCTCCCAAAGTGCTGAGATTACAGGCATAAACCACCAGGCTTGCACTATTGATAATTATTATAGCATAAAGTTTTTCTGAGGACTAAATGGGGCAAAATACGTAAAACACTAATTATAATTATTGGCAAATCCCATAATGCTTGTTGTTATTAGTATACTTAGAATTATTTTAACATTAAAAACTGAAAACTGAAGCTCTGAGAGTCTGTGTGACTTTGAGGATTAAAGAACTGAAAAATGGTAGAAGTAGAATTTGAACTAAGAAAGTACGGTTATTGAATGCATGGATTTAATCCCTATTAAATACTTTATCTTCCAAAATCTATGACTCTTTAGTCTTCTTTGTTAACAAAACCTACTTTACGAAATACAGAACTCTCAGTTGTATATATCAAATAATATTTGTCTGTAGCTGAATTCTGTGAACGTATCCAGTCATCCATTCCATAGTTGTAAGAGCATTACTTTTTGAGACGGAGTCTTGCTCTGTTGCCCAGGCCGGAGTGCAGTGGCGCGATCTCGGCTCACTGCAGGCTCCACCTCCTGGGTTCACGCCATTCTCCCACCTCATCCTCCCGAGTAGCTGGGACTACAGGTGCCTGCCACCATGCCAGGCTGATTTTTTTTGCATTTTTAAGTAGAGATGGGGTTTCACCGTGTTAGCCAGGATGGTCTCGATCTCCCGACCTCTTGAAACCCCTGCCTCGGCCTCCCAAAGTGCTGGGATTACAGGCGTGAGCCACCGCGCTGGGCCCACTTGCTTTAATGAATGGCCGTGTTCATATATATACATAATAAAATGTTTCACCCATGTAGTTGCCCACTGCTTCTGAAATGCCATCAATCTCTGTTGATAAGCTGCATTGATTTTGTTATAAATTTGCAACTGTGGAAAATAAACATAGACCTGTCCAGCTGTTCACTTCCTCAAGCGACTTATCTCCATCTGTTGTGATCAATCTATTCTAGCACTCCTTCAGACTCCCTGCCAATTAATTAATGCCCCTTTGTAAGGTGCTTTCTTCTTGAGTTCTTCCATGGGGCTTTCCCCAGTATAGGTGAGAGTAGTGGTGAGCCATGAATCAGAGAATAGTAACAATGGTCTGGGGTAGGCAGAGAGGGTGGAATTCAACTTGACCAGTGTGTCATCCTCAATAGCAAAGAACTCTTTTTCTCCTTTGAGCAGAAAGTCAGTGGCTCCTGTTAAGCAATCACTTGATGCCCTCTAAGATCTGAACTCTGCTTAGAGCCCCAGGTTCATCTTGCCATCCTGTACCCATCCTGGCCTTCAGTCAACTGCACTTAGAGACGTCTGAATAACCTGCACCCTCTGTCTTCGCTGTGATTTTGCATGTGCTGCTCTCTCTGGAAAAGTTTCTTTCCCCCTATTTTGTTTCACTTGATAATCTCACATCCTGCTAATGTATCATATATGCAGGCTACCTTCACAGGCGCTTCCGCCTGTATTAGTTTGTTAGTTTTACTGTAACAAACTGCCACAGACTGAGTAGCTTAAACAGCAGAAATTTCTCACAATTCTGGAAGCTAAAAGTTCAAAGTCAAGGTGTCGACAGATTTCGTTTCTTTTAAGGCCCCTCTTCTTGGATTATGGATGGCAATCTTCTCCCTGTATCTTCACGTGGTCTTTCTTCTCTTTCTGTGTCCAAATCTCTTCTTATAAAAGACACCAGTTATATTGAATTAGTGCCCACCCTAAAGCCTCATTTTAATTATCTTTTAAAAAACCCTGTCTCTGAAAACAGTCACAGTTTGAGATACTTGGGATTAGGATTTCAATGTATGAATATAAAGGAGACACAATTCAGCTTGTCACGGGCATTAACTCCAAAAGAGTCCCTTCTGCTGATATTCCTGGCAAGCAACAAGTGCCTCCCTCAGAGCTGGGCTCAGCTGTGTCACGATTATGTGTTCAGATGTCACCTACTGTAGGCTGTGATCTCTCAAGTCGTGACCTGGCTCCTGTTAGTCTCCTCTCCTCAGTTAGGTAGCAAACTTGTTGGCAGTGTAGGTGGCTAATTGGTAAATTGGCAAATGATCCAGAAAAAGAGGATCTTGTTAATGGAAATTGTAGTTATTTACTAAACATAATTATGAATTTGTCTTTTTATCTATCTTCTGTCTTTCTTCCACGTACCACTTAACTGCCATTAATTAGGAGATCGGATATGTCTATAAGTTGCTTTCTACTATAAAGAAAAATTAAGTAATTTTAATTTCTTCATCAACTTTCAAGATCACACTTAACTTTTATTCGTGCTTAAGTATAATGTTTTTTTATTTTTGTATTTCCCGATATCTTAAAGGATGCGCCTATATTATGCAATTAGCAGCAGTTAGCATATGGCTATGAGACACGGTGGCTGTGGATGATTTTCCATAGGAGGCATGCTTTAACTTGGACTTGCAAAGGTGGGGAGTGAGGTGGGATGCAAATAGGTGAACTAGCAAAAGAATATGAAAAGAATACGGAATACACTGTTTGACCTCCCGTCCAGAATTCTCTTCCGGTCATACATGCTTTAGGAAAAAAGGCCATCATTTTGCATGAGTTTCTCAACCTTTGTACTGGACATCCTTCTATTTACCTGACTTTTCATCAGTCACTAAGAGACCTTCTGAGGATACAGAAAGGACTAGGAAATAGCAACAAACAGTGGGACAAGAGGTCTGCAATAGGATGGCTAGTTTGAAAAAGTCAAGGCTGGGCCCAGTGGCTCACGCCTGTAATCTCAGCATTTTGGGAGCCTGAGGAGGGTGTATCATAAGGTCAGGAGATCGAGACTATCCTGGCCAACAGGGTGAAACCCCATCTCTACTACAAATACAAAAATTAGCCAGGTGCAGGGGCAGGCACCTGTAGTCTCAGATACTCGGGAGTCTGAGGCAGGAGAATCACTTGAACCTAGGAGGTGGAGGCTGCAATGAGCTGAGATTGCACCACTGCACTCCAGCCTGGGTGACAGAGCGAGACTGAAAAAAAAAAAAAAAGTCAAAAAATAACAGATGTTGGTGAGGTTGTAGAGAAAAGGGAATGCTTAGACACTGTTGGTGGGAGTGTAAATTAGTTCAGCCATTGTGGAAAGTGTGGCAATTTCTCAAAGAACTAAAAACAAAGTTACCATTCAACCCAGAAATTCCATTACTGGGTATATACTCCCCAAAATATAAATTATTCTTCCATAAGGAGACACGCACATGTATGCTCATTGCAGCATTAGTCACAATAGCAAAGACATAGAATCAATCTAAATGTCCATAAATGGTAGACTGGATAAACAAAATGCGCTACACATACACCATGGAATACTATGCAAACATATAAAAGAATGATATACTATCCCTTGCAGGAAATCAAGCTAAATGCTCATCAACAGTAGACTGGATAAAGAATATGTGGTACATATACACTGTGGAATATTATGCAGCCATACAAAAGAATGAGATCATGTCCTCTGCAGGAACATGGATGTAGCTGGAGGCTATCATACTTAGCTAACTAATGCAGGAACAGAAAACCAAATATGACATATTCTCACCTGTAAGTGGGAGCTATATGATGAGAACACATGGACACAAAGAAGGGAACAGACACAGGGGCCTACTTGAGGGAGAAAGGTGGGAGAAGGGTAAGTATCAGATAAAACAACTGTTGGGTACTAGGCTTAGTACGTGGGTGACTAAACAATACACACATTAAACCCCCATGACATAAGTTTGCCTATAGAACTAACCTGCACATGTATCCGTGAACCTAAAATAGAAGTTAAAATAAAAAAGTTCTGGGACGAAGCTGGGGCTGGACAAGAAGAGACAAAGAAGGTACCTGATGGATGAGATCCACTGGAGCTGTAAATCTTCAGCACTTACATCCACTGCCCTGCTGGCTCACGGCCGTGTTTGCTTCAGGTGTTTAACGAACTGCTGAGAGATCAATAGCATGTGGCAGATAACTGAAAAATTTCCCTTGACTCAATCAAGTGTCTTAAATCCTCATTAATTCTGATGACGTAAGCCCTTTCTGATTAGCTTAGTTGCTAAATATCCACTCAAAACTGTTGATAAGGGCATAAGAAACTTCATTTCCTTAGACCTCTGAACTCTATGTGGGATTAGCAGTTCATTGCTGCTAATCCCACAGAGAGTTCAGAGGTCTAAAATTTTTATTAAATGATATCTTTTCCACAAACATTACACACACAAACACACTTTAAAAGTATTTATTCATTCATTAAATATATGTATTGCATGGCTAGTATGTACCCAACGTTGAATCATTTTTCAGTACACAAAGCTGAAAACATTGAAGTCTGAATGAATTTAAAATGTGAGCAGAGAAGCATGCTTCTGACCAAGTAATTTCAGTGTAATACCAAATGTGAAACTGCTTTCATTGACCAAACTAGGCTTTCAAAGATAAATACAAAAGCTAGCTTCATTCTTTCTTCCATTGCTACTTCAAATTTACTCTCTAGAATGGTACTTTTTCTTGTTTAAAATTATAGAACAATTCCACAACTTTCCTGATTAGTGTTAGATAAGATTCCATCTCCTCATCCGTTTTGGACATTAAAAATCCAGGTAATAATAGCCAAATAACTCCAATTCAAGTTAAGGCCATAGGAATATTCAGGACTCTTAGCCACATTAAAGCCCAGGATCTGATTCAAGCTCAAATGTTTTCAGTAGGCAGTGAGTCAAAATTTGCTTCTTCTCTCTTTGACTCATACTTGCAAAGGTTGGCTACTGATGACTTTGGCTACATTTCTCTCTAGGAATGACCCTTCACTAAAGAGAATTGTTACCTGGAATTCCTCTTTCCTTGGCTTATATATAAATTAACCACCAGGTATCAGGATAAAAACTACTATATCAAAGAGTCCATTTCAAAACTCTCCAATCTAGTTATTTCTCTGGGTTATTCACCAATGATTACTGGATATTTACCAATAGCATCACCCAGGACCCCTTTGTGTGATATTGCCCCATGCTGATGTTCATAAGTGTTATACCTGTCGTGCACTTACTCTGCAAAGAGGGGA
This sequence comes from Homo sapiens, assembly GCF_000001405.40. Taxonomy (NCBI): domain Eukaryota; kingdom Metazoa; phylum Chordata; class Mammalia; order Primates; family Hominidae; genus Homo; species Homo sapiens. The sequence goes on from NC_000004.12 coordinate 11,784,133, forward strand.
GAAAAATACACCTCCATGCTTACTCACTGTATCCCCAGGATGGAGCACTGTGCTCAGTATATATTAGAAATTTGGCAAACATTTGCTGAACAACTGGAACCAAAAACAATATTGCAGTGCTTTAATTCCAGTAAATTGTTTCTTTGTTAGTTTGCCAAGAGATAGAAGGCTTCATTTACTACCAACTGATACCAACGTGAGTTAAAACTTCCTCCACAGCTTTTAGCAAGCCCTCTTAAAGACAAGAGGAAACGTAAAAATAAATGAAATAAAAACTCAAAGTAAGAAAACATCTTAACCTCTGTAATAGTACTGTCAGAAATATAACGTGTACTACAAATGCAAGCTACCTGCATATTCAGTTTTCTTGTAGTCACATCAAAAAACAGGAAAAAGCTAAAATGAATTTTACTGATTAATGTATTTTATTTAATATATTAAAAATATTATTTCACCATGTAATCAATATAAACACTGTTAGATGCTTTGAATTCTGCCTTAGTAACAGTTTTTAAAATCAAATGTACTTTATACTTACAGCAAAATATACAACATGTACATCTGCAAAATGTAAGGATATAAGTGTTACAAAAAATCTCAATTAGTAGAAGTAACATTTCCAGTGTTAAATAGCCACATATGCCTAGTAACTATTATGTCATACAGTGCAGGTGGATAATGTACTCCAACAGGGAATTCTAAGATATATTTCCCCAAACCTCACAGTATTATCTATTATTTTTATGTGTATGTATGTATATATGTAATGTTTTGTTTTCCAAAACATGTTTTGTAATTCTAGCTGCTAGCAATATCTGGGCTCCAGATTTGCATTTGGTTACTTTGAAGCAACTGTAATTTTCTCCTGCATATATTAAAGAAAACTTTTCAGACAATTTAGTTATAAGCATTGGCCAGTGTTTTGTTAGTCTTGCACTACAGATCTTTTAAAAAGCCCCCAATGACCAATTCAAAGATTTACTCTTGGTTAGTATTTCGCAGGGCAAGAGAAGGAATAGGTAACTTTGTTAGATTATCTATTAAATACCAATAATCATGTTAAATACTGGAAGAAAAGAAAGTCTCCTTCAAGGGCATTGGATTCTTGGCTAACAGTAAGCTGGCAGTCAACTGGGTTGGTGAAGTTCTCTGGATATAGCTTAATCTTATTAAAATCCAGCAGAAAATCACTTATCATTTTGTCTGGAATACTAATTTCTTCCCAGAAGAAGGGTATTGTGAACTACATTGCTCAAAAGTGTTTTTTGTTTTTTGTCTTTTCTACAGTAATGGTGTCATTACCTCCTGTTGTTTCAAATTTGGTTTTTTTAAAGAAATGAAATAGGACTAGGCTGGGCACAGTGGGTTCACGCCTGTAATCTCAGCACTTTGGGAGGCCAAGGCAGGCTGATCACTTGTGGTCAGGAGTTCGAAACCAGCCTGGCCAACATGATGAAACCCAGTCTCTACTAAAATACACACAAATTAGCTGGGGGTGGTGGCAGGCAACTTAATCCCAGATACTTGGGAGGCAGAGGCAGGAGAATCATTTGAACCCAGGAGGCGACGGTTGCAGTGAGCCAAGATCGAGCCATTGCACTGAAACCTGGGGGGATAAGAGCAAGACTTCTCTCAAAAAAAAAAAAAAAAAAAGAAATATGACTATTGATAAGTCTTAACTGTTAAAACATAGAGTGTGGGTAAGAAAGTTTTAGATAATGAGGTGAGAAAAAAAGGTTGGGCCTCTAAGTTTTTTATACCATTCTCAGGAGTTTGGATTGTATGTTTAGCCTCTGGAGAGCTATGTCCACGTCTGAAAAAGTAGAGGTAATTTAGAAAAATCTTATAATAAACCAGGATTGGAAACGTTGAGATTGCTATCAACACGTCAGCTTCCTAGACATCCTCAAGCCTTCCAGACTGGACTTACATGGAATGACAGAACTTAAATAAAAATGAATCCAATCTCATATAGAAGTAGTGGACAACTCAGCATCACTCACTAACTTCCCACTATTTTCCAGCATTTACAAGAGCTTGTATTTCTTATAATGTCTTCCTACTCAATATTTTGCTTTCTCTCAAGTCTTTAAATTTTCCCCCTTTTGTTTCTTATAGCTGTTCCCTTTTTCTGTACCAAATATTGATCCAAAGATTAAACAAAATTTATTTTACTTTGATTTTCTCAAGGCACTGCTCTGACAGGGCCATTTCTTCAAGTAGAATTTAATTAAATTTGGGAGTTAATGCCAAGTAGGTAACAGCAAAGATCCAATCAACACATAACTTATAATTAAATATTAGGTAGCTCCACCCTTCAAAGAATCCGAAAGATTTATCTCTTGGATGCCTTGTCTTCCAGAGATCCCGTGTCTCATTTTGAGTATGGCCATTTCTCTACCACTTACTCTTGCATTATTTTATTTCTGAGAGCACTTACTCTTTATGTCTGAATCCCAGGCCATCAAGATCATATCCTGAAAACTCTTTCCACACCAATGTTCCATTAAAGTGTTTGCAAAGCCATAGGTATCTTCTCCCTCAGATTTCTGCAATTAGCTCTTAAACCATCTCCTCCTCCCACCTTCCCCCCATGAAGACTTTTCAACTTCCTTAAAAATAATTTTAGGGGCCGGGCGCGGTGGCTCACGCCTGTAATCCCAGCACTTTGGGAGGCTGAGGCGGGCGGATCACGAGGGCAGGAGATTGAGACCATCCTGGCTAACATGGTGAAACCTCATCTCTACTAAAAACACAAAAAACTTAGTCGGGCATGGTGGCGGGCCCCTGTAATCTCAACTGCTAGGGAGGCTGACGCAGGAGAATGGCGTGAACCGAGCTTGCAGTGAACTGAGATTGCGCCACTGTACTCCATCCTGGGCGACTGAGCGAGACTCCGTCTCAAAGAATAATTCTAGGAAATGTAACATTAATGCCAACTAAGACAAAGAGGTAAAATCTCCACTCCCCAGAGATGGGGGAGATGGGGGAGATGGGGGATTCATGCTGTAGCAAGACACAACAGGCAGTGCTCCTATACGTAAGAGCAAGGATGCAAAATAAAAAATAAACGGCGGAAGTCTCCTCTGCAGGTGCCTGGTGAGGTCATTCTAAGCTTTCTCCGGTAAATGCAAATCATCAAGCAAAATCATGACATTTGTCAAGGAATTCTGAGGATGCCTTTTAGATTCTGGTCCACTTTCCCAATCAGACACCTCAAAACCATGCCTTCCACTTAGAATCAAAAAGATTTCTACATAATAATTCACTTAAAACAGTTCCACCTTTGGAAAGAGTGGTTTCATCTGTTACCTGTAGAATAGTCCAGATGAAAAAAGTTTTTGTAGTTATTGTAGCCCCTGTGTGAGAAAATGAAACATAGACTGGCAGCTTCATGCAAATACTGCAATTCTGCCTTTGTGTTCACAATGTGTAATCACTGTGTGCTGTGGAGTGAGCGCATGCTGCCTCTAAATGGAAGACCTCTGAAGCAAGGGGATCCTTAGGACCGTAACCTCGGCCCAGGCACATGCTCAGTTCCAACTCTGCATAATCAGCGTTGCAGCACCTTCTCTTCATTATTGAAATGGAACAATATTTTATTTTCAAACAGTATTTTTTGAAATGAAATACTGTTCGAAAAGCCTGCCCTATATTTTGCTTACCAGTTTTCTTTGTCATCCCTAGAATTAAAATAAGAAAGAATAAAACAAACAAAATCATTCTTCAACCAATCAACTCAAAATATGTTTCTATATTTAAATGTGTCTGAAATGCCCCTATTTTCTTCTGCATTTTATCATCACCTACCAAAATGTCAGGGTATAAGTGTCACAAAATTGTTTTACTTCAAGTTCAGCTGTTTTGTTGGAATTTATTAGACAAAGCTAAAGAGTTTTCTGTGTGGGAACAAAAGAGTGTTACATGCAATGTACAAAAATCCCTAAAACTTTTGGCATTTCTGCTTTAAGATGGGTAGAAATTGGCTGCAATTTTTTAAAATTATTATATAATATTTATCATTTGTTAGATTAACAAAATCATTTCAAAAGTTGGAATACCCCAAAAGTTTTATTAGGGGAAGGAGAGAAGAGTGGGAAAAAAAATAATAACATATATTGCCCAAACATTTTACGTAGATACCGGATCAGTTACTTTACATGCGTTATCACTAAATCTTCACCAAAACTTCAGGTCATAGGAGTTATGTGCCCCATTCACATTTAAGGTACATAAAGATTTAAAATTGTAATTCCATGGAAGTGAAATAGAAAATTTAGACTACATTTTGTCAAGCTGGAGAGTTATTGTGTTCCACTTTCATCAATCAGGGATCTTCCAGGAGAGGTTAAAAATAAGAGAGAAAAGTGAATGTGCTTCCAATAATTATAAGTATTTTTAGTGTAGCCAAAGAAGGCAATTAAGAAGAGATTTCATATGCATTTGCTCAAAGCATGTTGTGAACTCTGCATTTGGCCCTGACTTCAGACTCAGGTTAGAAGCCGCAGAGCAAAATAAAGCCTCATTATGTTATAGTACCACGGAGTCACTGATTTCAAGCAGTGTCCACAGCTTCCCATCAGCCATCTTCATTAGTCTTGATTCCAAACGCTTTTGGCAGTTTCGAGATATTCAGTCAACTTCCAAAGGACTAAGATTTTGCCAAGTGTTGTCACTGGTTAGCATAGAGAAGAGTCAGCACCAAAGGTAGTTCCCCAAAAACGGCAGTTTCAGAGTTCTTTTTAGTAATGGCAGCCCTGTTGGTATGAATGGAGCGCTGCCTACAGGGACAGTTAGGAGATAGGAGTGCAAATTCTCAAGCAGCTGGTTAAAATTAGCACTTTCTTCAATCATGAATACCTCCGCATGACCAAATGTGTCAACAAAATATGCTTATTTTAGGAGTTTACTTATATGTAACTGAAAATATAACTTAAACATCAGGTGATTTTATTCAGTAATAGATGCAGATATTTCAGATTATATAAAAGTACCTTATGATATAAACTGTTAGGCTAAAAACTTTAAATACATGAGTACGTATGTATGTGTATATATGTGCATATATAAATATATATGTGTATATATATTTCAGATTTTTTAACATTTGTGTGTGCATAATATGTATGGATGTGTTTCTAGAAGCCAGATGGTTATAATTCCAGTGATGCAGATATAATATGATATCAATTAACTTGGCAATATAGCCCAGGGGAAGGAGGTAAACAAAAGTCACAGCTCTGGTAAAAAGAAAAATAATATTTACAAACTTCTGTTTAAAATACAAAGGTGAGATGATCAATTAAGGAGCCAGAAGTTCAGGAAGTTAATTGAGATCCAGTCCACTAAGAGCTTTCAATGTCAAAGTAATATCTTAATTATAAACCTAATACAATTTTCATCTGTTTGATATCTGCTGCCAAGGACAAGTAATGTATAATTTTATCTCATCAAAATATCCCAGCCAGTTCAAGAATCAGAGGTGTTATAGCTTGAGAAGATTAATGTCTATAGATGGGACACAGTTTGGCTATTTGTATTATTATTTTTTGAATAGCAATTTTTTTGGCAATGTTCCCTGGTTGTTTTTCATTTATTTCTCTTTTTTTTTTTTTAACAAATTAGCACAAATGGGCACTCAACATCAATGAAGTAACAGCAAAGTCACATAATAAAAGCATGGAATTAAGACAAGCTGAAGATTCGGATGCAATAAAACAACCACCCATTATTATCTCAGTGGTTACTGTGCCTCATTTAATCTAATTCTACTTTGTTCACGTGAACAAATTAACTTTTAAAAATTAACTTTATTGAGGTAAAATTTACATAGGATCAAATCCAGTCATTTAAAATGCTCAATAAGTTTTAACAATATATATACCTATGCAACCACTTCATACGTATTTTTACACACTGCATGTGTGTACATATATGTACACTCACACTACATATTTGTGTACATTCAAATACACATACTACATAAATATAAGTAACTATATACTATGTATACACTATATATATATATAAACTGCTTATATGCTTGATTATATAATAAGCAGTGAAACTCCAATTTCCAAATGACACTGTGGTATAGTGGGAAACGCATTTGACTATAAATCAAGAAATCTAAATACTGGTGTTTGAGGGAGTCTGCTAAATAGCACTTTTTCTCTCTCAGCTCTGCACGCATTGAGGAATGAGGTAAAAGACTAAGATGGGAAAGAGACAGTGATGAGCTGAATCTGTCTTGTGTAACCTTATGAGAGCTAATTGTGTGCATGTCTTTTCAAGTCCTCATTCATTGACGTCACGGTCATAGTGAAATGAGTCTAGGTGGAGGTATTTATACCACAGAAGTCTGCAGATGCTGCAAGTCTGATATTTTTTTCTTAGAGTCAAGTGTTAGTTTATCAGCATGATCCTATTAAGATATCAAAATATTACTATTACTAATGGAGAAAATATTGGTCAAGTGGGCCTCCCAGTGCTGAACTTGGAATTTAGAGTTTTCATTCTCATCCTGGCACCATAGTCCATTCCCAGACTACCTGGTCTCTGGAATGAGCTCCCTGCATAGCCAACAGCTATAAAAACTCATGCCTTATGTAAGGAGGTCTTCCCCAAAGAAAAAGAAAGGAGCACCTTGGCTATATATGCCCTGGCCTTGCTTTTGCATAAACTAATTAGATAAGCAATCCATCTCCCATGGGAGGACAGATAGGGGCAAACAGAGGCAGGGGTTTTATACTGATGGAACCCCTTTACTTTGAAGAAAATCTCAAATGTGAGGGAGAATCTGCCCATATTTTCCCTGCACCCCCAAAGCTGAATTTAGGACAGTTCTGTTTCTAAATATTTCTTGGGCCCATTATTAATGCTTTTGTAAGAATAGTTTCCACCACTATAAAATAATTTTTAAAATAGCTTCAGATAATTTCAAAGGGGCCTCTGATGCCACATTTCTATTATTTACAATTCTAGGTTTCTGTATCTGTAATGTACTGCAGCAAAAGTTTGAATTCTATTTTAGTGCATTTATAAATTCTAAGGAACTGATCCTTTCCACTCTGCAACCCCACCTTTCATCAGGTCATTTTTGAAAGCTTTTAACAGAGGGCAAATGGGAAGAGTGCTTTGACCTTCTTCGACATGAGACCAAAGTCAGCGTGAATAAATGAGCTGCTATTCTAATATATATGATGGATCTATTTCATATTATTATCTAGCAGCTGAAGTGAAGTTTTCTTTTCCCTTCTGAGTTTATTGTTGAAAATAACTGCCTTTTCACCTAAAAAGAACTCTAGCTGCAGATTCTTGCAGATTTGATCTTACTCAGTGATTGTCAAGAAGTTCATAGACCTTCAAATATGTGATTGCCCGTGTTGTGTGCTTCTACTTCTTTTATGGTTCTTATTATTCTCTGATATAACTTGTTTTTAATCAACCTATGAGTTCCTTGAGTCTTTCATCTGTATCCTTAATGTCCAGTGGAGTGATTGGAATGACAGTAGTTTGCAATATTTACTAGAGGTTTCAGGAAATGTATGATGAGCCAAGACTGTTCTGAAGTATTTATCTAACTCATGGTCAAAAATACATATGCATACAGCAGCCAGTTCCAATGCCTGGAGATGCAGGGATTTCAGATGAAAATGTCTAACAACAGGAATTCAGTTGTTTTAGTCTGTTTCGTGTTGCTATAACAAAATATCTAAGACTGGGTAGTTTATAGGAAGAGTTTTATTTGGCTTATGATTCTACAGACTGGAAAGTTCAAGACTGGGCATCTGCAGCTGATGAAGGCATCAGGCTGCTTCAAATCATGGTGGAAAGCAAAAAGGGAAGCAAACTGGCATATGCAAGGAGGTCACATGGCAAAAGAGGAAGGAGGAGAGAAAAACTGAGGAAGTCAGCCTATTTTTAACGACCTGCTCTTGCAGGAACTAATTTATTTTAGTGAGAGTGAGAACACATTCAATCCTCATGGGTGGGCATTCATCTATTAATGAAGGATCTACCCTCATAACTCAAGCACCTCTCCCTCGGCCCCATCTCTCAATGCAACGCAGCCACATTAGGTATCAAATTTTAACAGGAGTTTTGGTGGGAGCAAAGCAAACCTTAGTACCAATCAAAAAAGCAGTCATTGTGTGCTTCAACTAAATGTGACCCTTTGATCCAAACTCACTTCTCTATTACAATATACCACCATGTATGCTATTAATTGAATTACTTCTAACATCAAGGGAAAATCAGAACTCAAATGAGCATGATGACAAAGACTGATGTGGAGGTCATTTTGTTTGATCTTCTAAATCAGCAGAGTAGGAGAGCAAATCCCCCCTGCAGGAGGCAGGACATCTTTCCCTGCTATCAAATGAACAATCATAGACAACACAATGACTTGCAAAACCTAATTTTAATTATAAAAAAAAATCCAAATTGGAATGATGATGCTTGAATTACTTCAATGTCTTTTCAGAAGCAAAGTTAACTTTAAAAATAAACCATTTACTTATAAAATTGCCAAACAAATATTTGTAGATTGCCCTGTGTACGTCAAGGGTTGCTCAAAGCAGGGTAGAGGGAAAGTATACAGATAACCTATGCAAAACAAAAATTTGAGGGGAGGAGCCAAGATGGCCAAATAGGAACAGCTCCAGTCTACAGCTCCCAGCCTGAGCGACGCAGAAGACGGGTGATTTCTGCATTTCCATCTGAGGTACCAGGTTCATCTCACTAGGGAGTGCCAGACAGTGGGCGCAGGTCAGTGGATGCGTGCACCATGCGTGAGCCGAAGCAGGGCGAGGCATTGCCTCACCTGGGAAGCCCAAGGGGTCAGGGAGTTCCCTTTCCTAATCAAAGAAAGGGGTGACGGATGGCACCTGGAAAATCGGGTCACTCCCACCCGAATACTGCGCTTTTCCAACAGGCTTAAAAAACAGTGCACCACGAGATTATATCCCGCACCTAGCTTGGAGGGTCCTACCCCATGGAGTCTCGCTGATTGCTAGCACAGCAGTCTGAGATCAAACTGCAAGGTGGCAGCGAGGCTGGGGGAGGGGCGCCCGCCATTGCCCAGGCTTGCTTAGGTAAACAAAGCAGCTGGGAAGCTCGAACTGGGTGGAGCCCACCACAGCTCAAGGAGGCCTGCATGCCTCTGTAGGCTCCACCTCTGGGGGCAGGGCACAGACAAACAAAAAGACAGCAGTAACCTCTGCAGACTTAAATGTCCCTGTCTGACAGCTTTGAAGAGAGCAGGGGTTCTCCCAGTACGCAGCTGGAGATCTGAGAATGGGCAGACTGCCTCCTCAAGTGGGTCCCTGACCCCTGAACCCCGAGCAGCCTAACTGGGAGGCACCCTCCAGCAGGGGCACACTGACACCTCACACTGCAGGGTACTCCAACAGACCTGCAGCTGAGGGTCCTGTCTGTTAGAAGGAAAACTAACAAACAGAAAGGACATCCACACCAAAAACCCATCTGTACATCACCATCATCAAAGACCAAAAGTAGATAAAACCACAAAGATGGGGAAAAAACAGAACAGAAAAACTGGAAACTCTAAAAAGCAGAGCACCTCTCCTCCTCCAAAGGAACGCAGTTCCTCACCAGCAACGGAACAAAGCTGGATGGAGAATGACTTTGACGAGCTGAGAGAAGAAGGCTTCAGACGATCAAATTACTCTGAGCTACGGGAGGACATTCAAACCAAAGGCAAAGAAGTTGAAAACTTTGAAAAAAATTTAGAAGAATGTATAACTAGAATAACCAATTCAGAGAAGTGCTTAAAGGAGCTGATGGAGCTGAAAACCAAGGCTCGAGAACTACGTGAAGAATGCAGAAGCCTCAGGAGCCGACGTGATCAACTGGAAGAAAGGGTATCAGTGATGGAAGATGAAATGAATGAAATGAAGCGAGAAGAGAAGTTTAGATAAAAAAGAATAAAAAGAAATGAGCAAAGCCTACAAGAAATATGGGACTATGTGAAAAGACCAAATCTATGTCTGATTAGTGTACCTGAAAGTGACGGGGAGAATGGAACCAAGTTGGAAAACACTCTGCAGGATATTATCCAGGAGAACTTCCCCAATCTAGCAAGGCAGGCCAACATTCAGATTCAGGAAATACAGAGAACGCCATAAAGATACTCATCGAGAAGAGCAACTCCAAGACACATAATTGGCAGATTCACCAAAGTTGAAATGAAGGAAAAAATGTTAAGGGCAGCCAGAGAGAAAGGTCAGGTTACCCTCAAAGGGAAGCCCATCAGACTAACAGCAGATCTCTCGGCAGAAACCCTACAAGCCAGAAGAGAGTGGGGACCAATATTCAACATTCTTAAAGAAAAGAATTTTCAACCCAGAATTTCATATCCAGCCAAACTAAGCTTCATAAGTGAAGGAGAAATAAAATACTTTACAGACAAGCAAATGCTGAGAGATTTTGTCACCACCAGACCTGCCCTAAAAGAGCTCCTGAAGGAAGCGCTAAACATGGAAAGGAACAACCAGTACCAGCCGCTGCAAAATCATGCCAAAATGTAAAGACCATCGAGACTAGGAAGAAACTGCATCAACTACTGAGCAAAATAACCAGCTAACATCATAATGACAGGATCAAATTCACACATAACAATATTAATTTTAAATGTAAATGGACTAAATGCCCCAATTAAAAGACACAGACTGGCAAATTGGATAAAGAGTCAAGATCCATCAGTGTGCTGTATTCAGGAAACCCATCTCATGTGCAGAGACACACATAGGCTCAAAATAAAGGGATGGAGGAAGATCTACAAAGCAAATGGAAAACAAAAAAAGGCAGGGGTTGCAATCCTAGTCTCTGATAAAACAGACTTTAAACCAACAAAGATCAAAAGAGACAAAGAAGGCCATTACATAATGGTAAAGGGATCAATTCAACAAGAAGAGCTAACTATCCTAAATATATATGCACCCAATACAGGAGCACCCAGATTCATAAAGCAAGTCCTGAATGACCTACAAAGAGACTTAGACTCCCACACATTAATAATGGGAGACTTTAACACCCCACTGTCAACATTAGACAGATCAACGAGACAGAAAGTCAACAAGGATACCCAGGAATTGAACTCAAATATACATTTTTTTCAGCACCACACCACACCTATTCCAAAATTGACCACACATTTGGAAGTAAAGCTCTCCTCAGCAAATGTAAAAGAACAGACATTATAACAAACTATCTCTCAGACCACAGTGCAATCAAACTAGAACTCAGGATTAAGAATCTCACTCAAAACTGCTCAACTACATGGAAACTGACCAACCTGCTCCTGAATGACTACTGGGTACATAACGAAATGAAGGCAGAAATAAAGATGTTCTTTGAAACCAACGAGAACAAAGACACAACATACCAGAATCTCTGGGATGCATTCAAAGCAGTGTGTAGAGGGAAATTTATAGCACTAAATGCCCACAAGAGAAAGCAGGAAAGATCCAAAATTGACACCCTAACATCACAATTAAAAGAACTAGAAAAGCAAGAGCAAACACATTCAAAAGCTAGCAGAAGGCAAGAAATAACTAAAGTCAGAGCAGAACTCAAGGAAATAGAGACACAAAAAACCCTTCAAAAAATTAGTGAATCCAGGAGCTGGTTTTTTGAAAGGATCAACAAAATTCATAGACCGCTAGCAAGACTAATAAAGAAAAAAAGAGAGAAGAATCAAATAGATGCAATAAAAAATGATAAAGGGGATATCACCACCAATCCCACAGAAATACAAACTACCATCAGAGAATACTACAAACACCTCTACACAAATAAACTAGAAAATATAAAAGAAATGGATAAATTCCTCGACACATACACTCTCCCAAGACTAAACCAGGAAGAAGTTGAATCTCTGAATAGACCAATAACGGGATCTGAAATTGTGGCAATAATCAATAGCTTACCAACCTAAAAGAGTCCAGGACCAGATGGATTCACAGCCGAATTCTACCAGAGGTATAAGGAGGAACTGGTACCATTCATTCTGAAACTATTCCAATCAATAGAAAAAGAGAGAATCTTCCCTAACTCATTTTATGAGGCCAGCATCATTCTGATACCAAAGCCGGGCAGAGACACAACCAAAAAAGAGAATTTTAGACCAATATCCTTGATGAACATTGATGCAAAAATCCTCAATAAAATACTGGCAAACCGAATCCAGCAGCACATCAAAAAGCTTATCCACCATGATCAAGTGGGCTTCATCCCTGGGATACAAGGCTGGTTCAATATACACAAATCAATAAATGTAATCCAGCATATAAACAGAACCAAAGACAAAAACCACATGATTATCTCAATAGATGCAGAAAAGGCCTTTGACAAAATTCAACAACCCTTCATGCTAAAAACTCTCAATAAATTAGGTATTGATGGGACATATTTCAAAATAATAAGAGCTATCTATGACAAACCCACAGCCAATATCATACTGAACGGGCAAAAACTGGAAGCATTCCCTTTGAAAACTGGCACAAGACAGGGATGCCCTCTCTCACCACTCCTATTCAACATAGTGTTGGAAATTCTGGCCAGGGCAATTAGGCAGGAGAAGGAAATAAAGGGTATTCAATTAGGAAAATAGGAAGTCAAATTGTCCCTGTTTGCAGACGACATGATTGTGTATCTAGAAAACCCCATTGTCTCAGCCCAAAATCTCCTTAAGCTGATAAGCAACTTCAGCAAAGTCTCAGGATACAAAATCAGTGTGCAAAAATCACAAGCATTCCTATACACCAACAACAGACAAACAGAGAGCCAAATCATGAGTGAACTCCCATTCACAATTGCTTCAAAGATAACAAAATACCTAGGAATCCAACTTACAAGGGATGTGAAGGACCTCTTCAAGGAGAACTACAAACCACTGCTCAAGGAAATAAAAGAGGATACAAACAAATGGAAGAACATTCCATGCTTATGGGTAGGAAGAATCAATATCATGAAAATGGCCAAACTGCCCAAGGTAATTTACAGATTCAATGCCATCCCCATCAAGCTACCAATGCCTTTCTTCACAGAATTGGAAAAATCTTCACAGAATTGGAAAAAACTACTTTAAAGTTCATATGGAACCAAAAAAGAGCCCGCATCACCAAGTCAATCCTAAGCCAAAAGAACAAAGCTGGAGGCATCACATTACCTGACTTAAAACTATACTACAAGGCTACAGTAACCAAAACAGCATGGTACTGGTACCAAAACAGAGATATAGATCAATGGAACAGAACAGAGCCCTCAGAAATAACGCTACATATCTACAACTATCTGATCTTTGACAAACCTGAGAAAAACAAGCAATGGGGAAAGGATTCCCTATTTAATAAATGGTGCTGGGAAAACTGGCTAGCCATATGTAGAAAGCTGAAACTGGATCCCTTCCTTACACCTTATACAAAAATCAATTCAAGATGGATTAAAGACTTAAACGTTAGACCTAAAACCATAAAAACCCTAGAAGAAAACCTAGGCATTACCATTCAGGACATAGGCAAGGGCAAGGACTTCATGTCTAAAACACCAAAAGCAATGGCAACAAAAGCCAAAATTGACAAATGGGATCTAATTAAACTAAAGAGCTTCTGCACAGCAAAAGAAACTACCATCAGAGTGAACAGGCAACCTACAAAATGGGAGAAAATTTTCACAACCTACTCACCTGACAAAGGGATAATATCCAGAATCTACAATGAACTCAAACAAATTTACAAGAAAAAAACAAACAACCCCATCAAAAAGTGGGCGAAGGACGTGAACAGACACTTCTCAAAAGAAGACATTTATGCAGCCAAAAAACACATGAAAAAATGCTCATCATCACTGGCCATCAGAGAAATGCAAATCAAAACCACTATGAGATACCATCTCACACCAGTTAGAATGGCAATCATTAAAAAGTCAGGAAACAACAGGTGCTGGAGAGGATGTGGAGAAATAGGAACACTTTTACACTGTTGGTGGGACTGTAAACTAGTTCAACCATTGTGGAAGTCAGTGTGGTGATTCCTCAGGGATCTAGAACTAGAAATACCATTTGACCCAGCCATCCCATTACTGGGTATATACCCAAAGGATTATAAATCATGCTGCTATAAAGACACATGCACACGTATGTTTATTGCGGCACTATTCACAATAGCAAAGACTTGCAACCAACCCAAATGTCCAACAATGATAGACTGGATTAAGAAAATGTGGCACATATACACCATGGAATACTATGCAGCCATAAAAAATGATGAGTTCTTGTCCTTTGTAGGGACATGGATGAAATTGGAAATCATCATTCTCAGTAAACTATCGCAATAACAAAAAACCAAACACCGCATATTCTCACTCATAGGTGGGAATTGAACAATGAGATCACATGGACACAGGAAGGGGAACATCACACTCTGGGGACTGTTGTGGGTGGGGGGAGGGGGGAGGGATAGCATTGGGAGATATACCTAATGCTAGATGATGAGTTAGTGGGTGCTGCACACCAGCAAGGCACATGTATCCGTATGTAACTAACCTGCACAATGTGCACATGTACCCTAAAACTTAAAGTATAATAAAAAAAAATAAATTAAAAAAATAACAGTGAATAAAATAAAACTAAATTTCAGTGAAACAAACAAACAAACAAAAAAAGAAAATGTGGCAAATATACACCACGGAACACTATGCAGCCATAAAAGATGATGAGTTCATGTCCTTTGTAGGGACATGGATGAAATTGGAAATCATCATTCTCAGTAAACTATCGCGAGGACAAAAAACCAAACACTGCATATTCTCACTCATAGGTGGGAACTGAACGATAAGAACACATGGACACAGCAAGGGGAACATCACACACTGGGGACTGTTGTGGGGTGGGGGGAGGGGGGAGGGATAGCATTAGGAGATATACCTAATGCTAAATGATGAGTTAATGGGTGCAGCACACCAGCATGGCACATGTGTACATATGTAACTAACCTGCACATTGTGCACATGTATCCTAAAACTTAAAGTATAATAATAATAAAAAAATAAAATAAAAATTAAAAAAAAAAAGAAAAATTTTGCACTGAACTCATGTTTACAACATGAGACAAATTTTCCTCTGGTTATTGCAGTAGGACAGAGAGAGGTTACTATAAACTGAGCTTAACTTCATTGAAACAACAGGCAAGAAGGAGGCTTTTAAAATGCTGTTGGAGGGTGGCCAATGTGACTCCGAGATCTGTGTTTGCTAAAGGTGTTTATTGAAGTTAGGCTCCTACCCTGTCACAGAGATTGGGAGACAGGGTTTCCATCTGTTGTGATAATTACATTTCAAAAGGATGGCTTCCAGGTTTTTGAGAAAGACATTCTTGGGTTACAGGAGATGCATCTCAATGGAGCAGAGAAAAGATGTTAAATTGTAAGTTTTCTAAAGAAAATGGGAAGTCAGCCCATGTTCATATATTGAATAGAACAAACAGTAAACTCTTTGACCATTTTTTCAGGCAGGACTTCAAGAGGTGGGGGTACACTGGGGTCACCCTAGGAACATAGTCTTGGTCTAATAAAAGGCATGTTGGGGTCTGAACACTTCTCCTAGTCAGGGGAAGGAGGAGAGGTAGGTGGACTAGGAGGAGTTGTTTATTTGAAGAGTTTTGTGGGGTTTTATTTTTCTAATAAGAAAAGCAATTGAAGATATCTCTTCTGTACATTATATATGTTTTTTGAAGAAAAACTAGTTGCCACTTTTATTCTAAATAATGATAGAGAAGAAACCATGTAAGAGGCTACCACATAAGCATCCTGGTTTTTGTTTGTTTGTTTTCATCATTTTATGTATATCTGTGCTAATAGGGATTCCTCTAAGGTCTTTGGCTTCACTCTTACTTCCTTGGGGATATGTATGATTATAATAATTATTATTTTTATAGCTGTGTCAGACATGGACTTCCTTCTTCTTTCCTCCTTTGAAAATAGCATCACATAGAATGTGTTGGAGATTGACACTTGCCTTCCCATCCAATAAATGAGCAGTCCTTGTGATTCAGTCTGTGAAATGCTTCTTGGGTTCAGAGCCTCAGCCCTGCAGTCAGTACCTCTCCTTGAGCACAGACTCCCTTCTATTCCCTTGTGCTTCTCTTTTCTACTACTCAGGAGCTAGTAGGGTCTTTGTAGAGTTTATCTGTAATTAAACACTCTAGGGACTCCTCATTACCTAAAAGATCAGAGGATTCATTTCTAAATCATTTATTGAACACCTGTTACAGGTTAGGTACTGCACAATTCCCCTCAAATTCACACAGTCATAGTAATCTAATTTTAGACTTTCCTAATGATATTTCTTGACAGTCTCAGCCACTATGAACTCTATTCACTATTTACATAGAAATACCAACTGTTCCCTTTATGCACTGAACTGCATCTTACCTCAATGTCTGCATATTCAATCCATCTGCTGAGAATGCCATTATGTAGTTTTCATCTGGTAAAATCATATTCAACTTTATGGTCCAACTCAAATATCAACTTTTCTTTATAAACCTATCTCACTACCTCTAGGCCTACTTAAGGTATCTCTTTTGGGTTCCTGCAACTGTTCATTAATTTGTATAAAGTCACACATCTGATTACATAAAAATTAAAGATTCATGCCCCCCCCCACAGCAAAAGAGTTTCTTTACAATAGAAAGTCTTATTTGATTGTATTTATAATTTTAGTATTCTAATATTATTGAAACTTATTTCTTCTTTCACTTGTTTCTTCACGCAGGAAATATTTACCAAATATCCCAGACCAGACATTCAATACATCTAATATTCCTTAAATATTACATGAGAAAGAAAGTCCATAATATGTGAAAGTCAGTAAGGATAAGCACTGAGATTAGACAGCCTGGATTCAGTTTTGGCTTTGCCATGTTCTATCATTCTTTAGAGAGATTTTTTAGTTTAATCTGGTGTTTGTTTTGTTTGTGTGTGAGTCTCTTACTCCTAATAAAGACATACCTGAGACTGGGTAATTTATAAAGGAAAGAGGTTTAACTGACTTACAGTTCCACATGGCTGGGGAGGCCTCACAATCATGGCAGAAGGCAAAGGAAGAGCAAAGTCGCGTCTTACATGGTGTCAGGCAAGAGAGAGCTTGTGCAGGGGAACTCTCATTTATAAAACCATCAGATCTCATGAGACATATTCACTACCAAGAGAACAGTATGGGGGAAACTGCCCCCCGTGATTGAATTATCTCCATCTGGCCCTGCCCTTGAAATGTGGGGATTATTACATTTCAAGGTGAGATTTGAGTGGAGACACAATCAAACCATATCAGTTTGCTTTTTAGCTAAACTATATAACCAATATAAAACACAAAGTTTGGGCCTGACATAGAATAGATCATTCAGAAACACTGATGACTGAATGGAATAGTTAATGAACTCTGGCCCACCAGTTGCATGATAAGCTCAGTCTGATGAGCTACATTGTTTCATGTTTATCTCAAATACCTACAGGGAAAGCAAACTGGTTTTACTGTATCGTTTTTAGTTCCCCTCAGAAAGGAAAGACAAGGGTAGATTAAGTAAATAATTAATAGAAAAAAAGGGTTTTTTTTTCAGATAATGTAGGTGATGACTTATGTGAATGAGAATCACTTGCTTACTCCTGTACATGGACGTTATAAATCATTCACTTAATTTTCTTTTCCTGTTCAGGACAGCGCTAATTTAAACTATAAAAGCAGATTGCTCTGCCTTTTGGAGGCCTCTGCTTTTGTACATGGCCTGATTTTCCCCCTTGCAGTGTTTTCTCTTTTATATCCAAACAAAGGAAATGGATATGGACTTTGGATGCACATTCATTCCAGATAACCGAGGGAGGATCTTACCATAGTGGCGAAGTCATAATAAACTCCTGGTTACATATCAAAATATTTATTACTGTTCGACTGGGATAAAGGTGTGGTAGCTTTATCACCCCATTACAGGTTTCCTGTGACTCTGGAAAAGGAAGCATTCTTCTGCATTTACTGTTTTCATTAACTTTCCCTGTTTTTTTCTCCTTGTGTGTGTGTGTAGGGTATTTTTCCTCTGGAAATGAGCTGACTAGGCACGCTACTTCTACTTGAAAAAGACTGATGCTTGTCTTACACCATTTTGAGGTCACCACAGTACATGACTCAGAATCATTAGACAAATGTTGATTGAATATCTCCTACATTCCAAATACTGTGTTGAATGTGGTTAAAGCATTAAATGTTAATGGAATATTTTGTACAGTCAAGAAGTGATTGCTGTCATAGAAGAGACACAACACACTGGTAGAA
Organism: Homo sapiens; assembly: GCF_000001405.40. Classification (NCBI taxonomy): domain Eukaryota; kingdom Metazoa; phylum Chordata; class Mammalia; order Primates; family Hominidae; genus Homo; species Homo sapiens. Next base: position 11,802,476 of record NC_000004.12, read on the forward strand.
CACAGCAATGAAATTTGACTTGTGATGTATGTCCAGAAAAAGATAGATAACACATTCTCTAAAAGTTTAGAAGAAATTTTTGTCCCTTGGATTGTAGTCTTGACTGATTAAGAAACAGAACAACTTAGTTGAATACTGAGCATTGATTCGCAATCTAATGGTGCCTGGGGATGCCACCTGTTTTCTCGCAATTAAAATTTAAAAACAAAATTATACAAAGAGCAATTGGAGTTTAAAACAACTGTAAAGAAAACAATTAGAACAAAAATCCATTAAATTGAAAATAGTAAAACAAAGGGAAAATGAACATAATAAAAAACTGTTTTTATCAAAAGACTAATAAACAATTTTGATTGAAGACACAGGTTACCAACATCAGAAATGAAAGAGGAGATGATCACCAATCATCCTGAGACATTAAAGGATAAAAACAGAATACTATTTGTAACTCTATGCCTACAAACTTGACAACTTTCATGAAATGGACCAATTCTATGAAAGGTACAAACTACCAAAATTCCCAAGGAGATATAACTAATTTGAATAAACCTATTTATGTTAATAAAATTGAATTGATAATTAACAACCTTCCATAAAAAGAAAACACCAGGCTCAGATGCTTTTAAATTGAACCAAATATTTCAATAAAATAATAAAATAAACTATACCAATCCTCTATAATTTTTCCAGAAAATTGAATTGGAGGGAAAACATTCTAAATCACTCATTGTGTGAGGCCAGCATTACATTAGTACCAAAATCAGAAAGAAAATTACAAAAAAGAAAAACTATAGCCTAACATCTTTCATAAACATAACAGCAAAAATCCTGAAGAAGTATTAGTAACTAGCATCTAACAATATATAATAAAACTATACACCATGATGAAGTGAGCTTTAACCCAGGTAATGAAGACAGTTTCAACATTTGGAAATCAATCATTGCAGTTAACTTCTTCAACAAGCTAAAGAAGAAAAATAAGATGATCATATCAGTTGTCTCAGAAAATGCATTTGACGAAATGTAGCACTCATTCATGATACAAACTCTTAGCAAATTAAAAATATAGGGGCACTTCCTTAACTTCATAAAGAACATCTACAAAAGTTCTTTGTCTAATATGTATTCAATGGTGAGAAACTTAATTGTTTCTCCCAAGACTGGGTATAAGGTAAGAATGTCTTCTCTCTTTACACCTATTCAACACTGCGCTAGAAGTCCTAGCTAGTGCAATGAAATAAGAAATGGTAAGTAAAGTACACAGATTTAAAAGGAAGAAACAAAAAGAAATCTTTATTCACACATGACATGATTGTCTACGTAGGGAATTAGGAAAAGTGGACAAAAGCACTCCTTGTAACTAATAGACAAATATAGCAATCTCACAGAATATAAGGTTAATATAGAACATTCAAGCCATCTTTTTGCTTCCATCCTTGCCATGTGACATACTGTTTCCCTTTCACCTTCTGCCATGATTGAAAGCTTCCCAAGTCCCTCAACAGAAGTAGATGCTGGCACCATACTTCCTGTACAGCCTGTAAAACCATGAGTCAATTAAACCTCTTTTCTGTCTATGTATATTCTCTCTATATGTATATATATATATATATATATATATATATATATATATATATATATATATTTCTATGTTCCTTCTATATGTATTTGTGTATATATTCTTTATATATATTTATATACAAATATATAATTCAATCAATTGCCTACATATCAAAGAATTATTTAGAAATCAAATTAAATTTGAACTTTACTTTAAAGAAACCAATAGCAATGTTACATCTGGAGCAATTTGAACAACAAAATAAAGTAATATTAAATTATAGCTCAAAGTATAAAATAAATATCTTTGAGTCCAACTGATATAAATGTGACTGACTAAATAAATAGAGAGGGGACAAATGTCTCATGCAGAAGAATTCCAAATAATTTTTGTAACTATTTTATTCTTAGGAAGGGGAGCATAACTCCTCATTCCTTAAGTGTAGATCCCTCATAATCACTTCCTTCCAAAGGGTATACCATGGAAAGGGAATAAAAATGTAACTTTACAGTGGAGAAATCTGACAAATGCCATTTCAGCCAGGTGATCAAAGTCAACATCAACAGTGATAAGTCTTGCTGGAGTCTGAGAAAGTGTTACAGCCAGGAAGAGCCTTAGAAGATTAAATATGATAAGGCATCCTGAAACAGAAAAAAACAGGCCTTAAATAAAAAGTAGGAAAATCTGATTAAAGTGTGGACTTTAGAAAATAATAATGTATCAATATTAGTTTATCAGTTGTGACTAATTCCCATGCAAAGGTAACACAGTAACAATAGGAAAACTACGTGGAAAGAGTAGATAGAAAGAAACTCTCTGTATTATATTCCCAATTTTTCTGTAAATGTAAAGTTGGTCTAAATATAAAGTATAATTTGAATACATATGGGATGTTTCTGAGACATAATCACAGCTTAATGCTGCAAATAAGGATTTGAAAGAATGCTACATTTTGCAGTAAAAATAGTCCAATTTTTTTTCCTGTTTTGTTCTGTAGAAGCCTGATGACCTTGACAAAGTCATTTAACATTTCAAATATCACTTTCCTCATCTCAGAAATAACTACAGCCTTTCTTCCCCTGCTTCATAGGATTGTTGTGAGGATTAAGTTATTCAATACATGGGAAAAAAGATAGATATTGTCATGTGCAGACAGGGAGATATGACAGAATACAAAACATTCAAGGAGAATTAAGAGATAAGGACATAACAGAAGCACAAAAGAATTAATGTGAATTAAGTAGAGAGACATTCTAGTCCTAAAAGGAAAACAGAAAGAAACTCCCAAGCTACTGTTTATATTTAAAAATTATTGAACGGCTTGGTGACTGAGCTTGTTCTAATTTAACTTCTACTCCAGACCACCTTTTTTGTGACCTTCAACAAATCACTTGTCTTCTTTTATTTTGCTTTTCTCATCTGTAAATGAGACATCATCATATTTTCTCCCTAAGTTTGTTGTCAAAAAGCCAGTCACATAGCATTTAGGTAGCAATGGTAGATCTTGATTCAACAGTAAAATCTGTCCCCACCCATCTTATAAAAATTTTCTTATTAACCCAAGCCTCTTAATTCCTAATGAATCATGCTAATTTCCTCAAGGTTATCACTGCTGTACTTCAGTTGGCTGATGTTTATGGATGACTAAAGACTTTGCTGATAACTGTGAAAAACTGTAACAATTATCTTTGACCCATAAACTTAAACAAAACTGCATACTTTATTCCATTTAATCAAAATATCTACTTTTTCCAGGTGAATTAATAAGTTTTAAACACCTATGACAATAAGATGCTTTTACAACATTTTGCTTAATGAAATCAATCCTGTAATATTCTCCCATTTCTCTGGTAAATAAAACTCTATTCGTCCTTCCAGTTTGAGCTTAAATATCTTGTTCATGAAATATTTTTCAAGTACCCCAGTAAACTGACTTCCTTATTCACTGCCTGTTGCAATCACATTTAAATTTCTAACACATTGCTCTAAGCTGCCATGCATTATCTGTATTCTCCCCACTAGGTGGCAATTCAATAGCAGGGTGTGTTAGAACTATTTCTATGCTCTCCTTAGCCTCATCTTCCCACACAAACTATGCCTACCACTATGTTTTCCACATATGGGGTGTTTTGTTTGTGGCCTTAGTGCTTGTTGAATTTCATTAATGTCATCTCTCCCTGCTAGACTGTGAGTCCCCTAAAGAACTCACAATGGCAGAAATTATACTTTTATTTATGTGTTAATTTGTGTCAGGCCTCTGAGCCTAAGCTAAGCCTTCATATCCCCTGTGACCTGCATGTACACATCCAGATGGCCGGTTCCTGCCTTAACTGATGACATTCCACCACAAAAGAAGTGAAAATGGCCTGTTCCTGCCTTAACTGATGACATTCCACCACAAAAGAAGTGAAAATGGCCTGTTCCTGCCTTAACTGATGACATTATCTTGTGAAATTCCTTCTCCAGGCTCATCCTGGCTCAAAAGCTCCCCTACTGAGCACCTTGTGACCCCGACTCTGCCCGCCAGAGAGCAAACCCCCTTTGACTGCAATTCTCCTTTATCTACCCAAATCCTATAAAACGGCCCCATCCTTATCTCCCTTCGCTGACTCTCTTTTCGGACTCAGCCTGCCTGCACCCAGGTGATTAAAAGTTTTATTGCTCACACAAAGCCTGTTTGGTAGTCTCTTCACACTGACGCGCATGAAATTTGGTGCCGTGACTCGGATCGGGGGACCTCCCTTGGGAGATCAATCCCCTGTGCTCCTGCTCTTTGCTCCATGAGAAAGATCCACCTACAACCTCAGGTCCTCAGATTGACCAGCCCAAGAAACGTCTCACCAATTTCAAATCCTGTAAGCGGCCTCTTTTTACTCTCTTCTCCAACCTCCCTCACTATCCCTCAACCTCTTTCTCCTTTCAATCTTGGAGCCACACTTCAATCTCTCCCTTCTCTTCATTTCAATTCCTTTCATTTTCTAGTAGAGACAAAGGAGACACGTTTTATCCGTGGACCCAAAACTCCGGCACCGGTCACGGACTGGGAAGGCAGCCTACCCTTGATGTTTAATCATTGCAGGGATGCCTCTCTGATTATTCACCCACATTTCAGAGGTGTCAGACCACGCAGGGACCGCCTGCCTTGGTCATTCACCCTTAGTGGCAAGTCCTGCTTTTCTGGAGGAGGGGCAAGTACCCCAACCCCTTCTCTCCATGTCTCTACCCCTTCTCTGCTTTTCTGAAGGACAGGCAAGAACCCCTCAACCCCTTCTCCTTCACCCTTAGCAGCAAGTCCCGCTTTTCTAGGGGGCAAGAATCCCCAATCCCTTATTTCCATGCCCTGAACTCTTATCTCTGTGCCTCTACCCCTTATTTCCGTGCCCCAACCCCTTTCCTGCTTTTCTGGATGGTAAGAACCCCCGAACCCCTTCCCTCTGTGTCTCTACTCTCTCTTTTCTCTGGGCTTCCCTCCTTCACTATAGGCAACCTTCCACCCTCCATTCCTCCTTCTTCTCCCTTAGCCTGTGCTCTCGAGAACTTAAAACCTCTTCAACTCACACCTGACATAAAATCTAAATGCCTTATTTTCTTCTGCAATGCTGCTTGACACGAATACAAACTTGACAGTGGTTCCAAATAGCCAGAAAACGGCACTTTCAATTTTTCCATCCTGCAAGATCTAAATAACTCTTGTTGTAAAATAGGCAAACAGTCTGAGGTGCCTGACCTCCAGGCATTCTTTTACACATCAGTCCCTCCCTAGTCTCTGTGCCCAGTGCAACTCATCCCATATCTTCCTTCTTTCCCTCCCACCTGTCCCCTCAGTCCCAACCCCAAGTGTCAATGAGTCTTTCTAATCTTCCTTTTCTATAGACTCATCTGACCTCTCCCCTCCTCGCCCGGCCGAGCTAGGTCCCAATTCTTCCTCAGCCTCCGCTCCTCCACCCTATAATCCTTTTATCACCTCCCCTCCTCACACCCAGTCAGGCTTACAGTTTCATTCCGCGACTAGCCCTCCCCCACATGCCCAGCAATTTGCTCTTAAAAAGGTGGCTGGAGCTAAAGGCATAGTCAAAGTTAATGCTCCTTTTTCTTTATCCCAAATCAGATAGCGTTCAGCCTCTTTTTCATCAAATATAAAAATCCAGCCCAGTTCATGGCTCATTTGGCAGCAACCCTGAGATGCTTTACAGCCCTAGACCCTAAAAGGTCAAAAGGCCGTCTTATTCTCAATATACATTATATTACCCAATCTGCTCTCGACATTAAATAAAACTCCAAAAATTAAATTCCAGCCCTCAAACCCCACAACAGGACTTAATTAACCTCGCCTTCAAGGTGTACAATAATAGAGTAGAGGCAGCCAAGTAACAGTGTATTTCTGAGTTGCAATTCCTTGCCTCCACTGTGAGACAAACCCCAGCCACATCTCCAGCACACAAGAACTTCCAAACACCTGAACCGCAGCAGCCAGGCGTCCCTCCAGAGCCGCCTCCCCCAGGAGCTTGCTACAAGTGCCAGAAATCTGGCCACCAGGCCAAGGAATGCCTGCAGCCCAGGATTCCTCCTAAGCCTCCTCTCGTCTGTGCAGGACCCCACTGAAAATCACACTGTTCAACTCACCTGGCAGCCATTCCCAGAGCCCCTGGAACTCTGGCCCGAGGCTCTTTGACTGACTCCTTCCCAGATCATCTCAGCTTAGCAGCTGAAGACTGATGCTGCCCCATCGCTTCGGAAGCCCCGTAGACCATCAAGGATGCCGAGCTTTAAGTAACTCTCACAGTGGAGGGTAAGTCCATCCCCTTCTTAATCAATACGGAGGCTGCCCACTCCACATTACCTTCTTTTCAAGGACCTGTTTCCCTTGCCTCCATAACTGTTGTTAAGTATTGACGGCCAAGCTTCTAAACCTCTTAAAGCTCCCCAACTCTGGTGCCAACTTAGACAATACTCTTCTAAGCACTCCTTTTTAGTTATCCCTACCTGCCCAGTTCCCTTATTAGGCTGAGACACTTTAACTAAATTATGTGCTTCCCTGACTATTCCTGGGCTACAGCCGCACTGCATTGCCACCTTTTCCCCCAGTTCAAAGCCTCCTTCACATCCTCCCCTTGTATCTCCCCACCTTAACCCACAAGTATAAGATATCTCTACTCCCTCCTTAGCAACCGATCTTGCACCCCTTACCATCCCATTAAAACCTAATCACTCTTACCCCACTCAATGCCAATATCCTATCCTACAGCATGCTTTAAAAGGATTAAAGCCTGTTATCACTCACCTGCTACAGCACAGGCTTCTAAAACCTATAAACTCTCCTTACAATTCCCCCATTTTACTTGTCCTAAAACCAGACAAGACTTACAGGTTAGTTCAGGATCTGCGCTTTATCAATCAAATTGTTTTGCCTATCCACCCCACGGTGTCAAACCCATATACTCTCCTATCCTCAATACCTCCTTCTACAACCCATTATTCCATTCTAGATCTCAAACATGCTTTCTTTACTATTCCTTTGCACCCTTCATCCCAGCCTCTCTTTGCTTTCACTTGGACTGACCCTGACACCCATTAAGCTCAGCAAATTACCTGGGCTATAAAGCCGCAAAGCTTCACAGACAGCCCCCGTTACTTCAGTCAAGCCCAAATTTCATCCTCATCTGTTACGTATCTTGGCATAATTCTCATAAAAGCACACGTGCTCTCCCTGCTGATTGTGTCCAATTAATCTCCCAAACCTGAATCCCTTACAAAACAATGACTCCTTTCCTTCCTAGGCATGGTTAGCGTGGTCAGAATTCTTACACAAGAGCCAGGACTGCACCCTGTAGCCTTTCTGTCCAAACAACTTGACCTCACTGTTTTAGCCTAGCCCTCATGTCTGTGTGCAGCAGCTGCCGCTGTTTTAATACTTTTAGAGGCCCTAAAAATCACAAGCTATGCTCAACTCACTCTCTACATTTCTCATAACTTCCAAAATCTATTTTCTTCCTCATACCTGATGCATATACTTTCTGCTCCCTGGCTCTTTCAGCTGTACTCACTCTTTGTTGAGTCTCCCACAATTACCATTGTTCTTGGCCTGGACTTCAATCCAGCCTCCCACATTATTCCTGATACCACACCTGACCCCCATGACTGTATCTCTCTGATCCATCTGACATTCACCCCATTTACCCATATTTCCTTCTTTCCTGTTCCTCACCCTGATCACGCTTAATTTATTGATGGCAGTTCCACTAGGCCTAATTGCCACACACCATCAAAGGCAGGCTATGCTATAGTACAAGCCACTAGCCCGCCTCTTAGAACCTCTCATCTCCTTTTCATTGTGGAAATCTATCCTCAAGGAAATAACTTCTCAGTGTTCCATCTGCTATTCTACTACTCCTCAGGGATTATTCAGGCCCTCTCCCTTCCCTACACATCAAGCTCGAGGATTTGCCCTGACCCAGGACTGGCAAATTAGCTTTACTCAACATGCCATGAGTCAGATAACTAAAATACCTCTTATTCTAAGTAGACACTTTCACTGGATAGGTAGAGGCCTTTCCTACAGGGTCTGAGAAGGCCACCGCAGTCATTTCTTCCCTTCTGTCAGACATAATTCCTCAATTTAGCCTTCCCACCTCTATACAGTCTAATAACAGACCAGCCTTTATTAGTCAAATCAGCCAAGCAGTTTTTCAGGCTCTTAGTATTCAGTGGAACCTTTATATCCCTTACAGTCCTCAGTCTTCAGGAAAGGTAGAACAGACTAATAGTCTTTTAAAAACACACCTCACGAAGCTCAGTCACCGACTTAAAAAGGACTGGACAATACTTTTACCACTTTCGCTTCTCAGAATTCAGGCCTGTCCTCAGAATGCTACAAGGTACAGCCCATTTAAGCTCCTGTATAGACGCTCCTTTTTATTAGGCCCTAGTCTCATTCCAGACACCAGACCAACTTAGACTGTGCCCCCCCAAAATCTTGTCATCCCTACTATCTTCTGTCTAGTCATACTCCTATTCACTGTTCTCAACTACTCATACATGCCCTGATCTTGTTTACACTGCCGGTTTATACTGTTTCTCCAAGCCTTCACAGCTGATATCTCCTGGTGCTATCCCCAAACTGCTGCTCTAAACTCTTGAAGTAAATAAATAATCTTTGCTGGCAGGACTATGCTGAATCTCCTTAGGCACTCTCTAATCAGATGTCCTAGGTCCTCCCAATTCTTAGACCTTTTATACCTGTTTTTCTCCTTCTCTTATTCCATTTAGTTTTTCAATTCATACAAAACCATATCCAGGCCATCACCAATAATTCTACACAACAAATGTTTCTTCTAACAACCCCACAGTATCACCCCTTACCACAAAATCTTCCTTCAGCTTAATCTCTCCCACTCTAGGTTCCCATGCCGCCCCTCATCCCACTCGAAGCAGCCCTGAGAAACATCGCCCATTATCTCTCCATACCACCCCCAAAAATTTTCACCGTCCCAACACTTTACCACTATTTCATTTTATTTTTCTTATTAATATAAGAAGACAGGAATATCAGGCCTCTGAGCCCAAGCTAAGCCATCATAACCCCTGTGACCTGCATGTGCGCAACCAGATGGCCTGTTCCTGCCTTAACTGATGACATTGTCTTGTGAAATTCCTTCTCCTGGCTTATCCTGGCTCAAAAGCTCCCCTACTGAGCACCTTGTGATTCCCCACTCTGCCCGCCAGAGAGCAACCCCCCTTTGATTGTAATTTTCCTTTATCTACCCAAATCCTATAAAATGGCCCCACCCTTATCTCCATTTGCTGACTCTCTTTTCGGACTCAGCCTGCCTGCCCCCAGGTGATTAAAAGCTTTATTGCTCACACAAAGCCTATTTGGTAGTCTCTTCATAGGGATGTGCATGAAATTTGTTTGTGTGTTTGTTTTTGTTTATTCATTAATAATCCATCAATCTATATCAAGGACATATAAGGAGATAGAAAAGAGAGAGGAGAGTGAAGAAGAGGAGACTAGAAGCAACAAGAAGCACTTGCACTGGAAATAATCCCTCTTCTGCAACAGGCATAGCATTGAGGTATCGAGGACTAAATAAAGGGATCTGTTTTGATCTTCAGTAGGAATGAGATTGGAAACACTGACTTTCTAAATGTGAAGCTATAGTGGGAGAATTAACAGAAGAACCAACATTTGAGGAACAAGTCAAATAATCAGGGCTGACTTTCACAATGACTGGAGAAGCAAACCTGTCATAAGAAGGGCAAACACACAAAACCAAGCTAGAATCTCAAAAAGCCAGGGACAAGTGAATATTCTGAACAGGTCATGGCACAGGGCCTGTGACAACCCTGAGCTAGTCTAAACAGCCTTGCACTTATTATCACTCGTGAAGCCTAGGACAGGACACCTTAAATTAGGTGGTACTAGGTGGGAAATAACAGTGATATTGACAAGACAGAATGTCAAGATCTAAGTGAATAGGAAGTATATGGAGTAGTGGTTACAGTGATTAGGGTTGGAGATATGACAGAATACAAAACATTCAAGGAGAATTAAGAGATAAGGACATAACAGAAGCACAAAAGAATTCATGTGAGTTAAGTAGGGAGGCATTCTAGTCCTAAAAGGAAAACAGAAAGAAACTCCAAAGCTACTGGTTATATTTAAAAATTATTTAACAGCTTGGTGAGTGAGCTTGTTCTAATTTAGCTTCTACTCCAGACCACCTTCGGTGGAGGGCGGTGGGCAGCATAATGCCATATACCTACGTCATAGCCACTAGAAGATTATAATAAACTTAACCTTCAAACAACTGATAATTAACTTTGAAGTGATGTACCAAAGGCAATATATGTTTCACAGACTGAGAAAGAGTGGCTAAGTACGTATGCCTCCTGTATCAAGATGAAGTAACTACCCTTCTCATCAGATCTGGAGAGGTCTCCAAGCTGTATCTGCCACCTTCTAGAGGGATCTAAAATAAAATTAGCATTCTAAACCAAAGTAGGAGAGTCAAGGACAGTTAAGAAGCCAAACAATTCACAGGACCCAAATGTTAGGTTGTGCTGTTCTGAATTCTCTTCAAGGACGAATGAGGGCTTGTATAGAAACTAGATGGCCCTGAGGTGAAGTTTATCCACACCCTCAGATGCAGGTGACTGGAAAACAGAAGCTGAAAGATGGAAATGTGGCCATGTCCCCTCAGTGTTTTTGAGATAAATGTATTTTATCATCTAACTCATTTAACTCATTTATTTCATAGAATACTCATCTAACTCATTTATTTCATAGAATACTCATTAAAAGCAGAGAAAACAGGAATGGTCCTGGGCCAGAAGATTTACTATCTTGAACACATTCAGTTTGCTAATTAAATACGCATCCATCACCCAAATCTATGAAGATTCTACTTGGCAAGGCCATTAAAATATGCAAATAATTATTCATCCAGACTTAAAATGTTTACCCCATCTTAGCTTCAGCAGTAGAACCCTCTAAAAAGACAGATCTAAGACACCCTTCCATCCTTTTTCTCTATTTTTATACTCCAACAAATGAAGAAAGTGTTCTGAAACATAACTCATTGTTTTTGTAAAGACGACTGAAATACAAACCTTGGTTTTTCTACAGGTTCTATGAAAAGCTTGACTATATCTTTTCTTTTATTTTTTTCTTTTCAGCTTGATGAACACCTGTTTTCGAAGTCCTGAATCTGTAGTCATAAGATTCAGCCCTGTTTCCTTCCAAATCTTGACTTCATATTCAAACTAGAGAATAAAAATTTAAAAACAGGCCCTTGTGCCTAGGATGTAGAAAAATTACTAATTGTTTTCCTATGTCCCACGTAAAATACCAAACAGTTTTTAACCATTATGAAAATGTATCGTAAGACAGCTTCAAAATAAAGTATTTTCATGTAAGTTTAAATATTATGGCTATTTTTCTTCTTTAGAATAGTCTTATGTTACAAAGAAACCTTTTGGTGCTGTAAGAATGCAAGGGAAACATAAAACTAAGAGGAAAAATACAAGCAATTTTTTCCACTGCACTCAGTTTAAATAACAAATCAGCTGCAGAATAAGAGCAGCTTGTTATAACCCTCCTATTGTTATATGTGCTGCTGTAAAATCCTTCTTACATAATTCAAAACACATGACACATAATTGACAGACAGATATAAAACATATTAATAACAACGGTATCACTAACAGTAACAGGAAATATGGAAATCCCTCTCTCAAGCTTGACAAGGCACTTCTCTGCTTAGTGTTTAGAGACTCCCTTGGAAATACCTGCAAAGATTTTGAGGAAAACAAGCTTCACATAATAAAGTAGTAGGTGGTAGGTAATCTAATAAAGTGTGAAGGTTCATACAGCTACTTGGGAGGCTGAGGCAGAAGAATTGCTATAACCTGGGATGCGGAGGTTGCAGTGAGCCGAGGTCGGGCCACTGCATTCCAGCCTGGCAACAGAGGGAGACTGTCTCAAAAAAAAAAAAAAAAAAAAAAAAGATCCTGTAGGAAACTTAGTATATTGAAAGACAGATACTCAAATACGTGTACATAAAATGTTCATAGCAGCACTACCTACAATATCTAAAAAGTGGAAACTGCCCAAATGTTCATCAACAAATAAATGGGTGAACAAAATGTGATAAGTACAAACAATGGAATATTATTAAGCCATTAAAGGATATGAGGTATGGAAACATGCTATACATGGATATACCTTAGGCACATTATGCTAAGTGGAAAAGCCAAACACAAAAAGCCACAGATTGTATGATTTCATTTGTATGATTTCCAGAATACGAAAATCCACAGAGAGAGAGAGAGAGCAGATGGGTGGTTGCCAGGGGCTAGAAGTGGGGGTGAGGAATGGCATGTGACTGCTTAATGGGTATAAGTTTTTCTTTTGGAGTGAAGAAAATGTTTTGCAAGCTGACAGAGGTGGTGGTTGCACAATATTGTGGATGTGCTGAATGCTGATGAGTTATATACCCTGGTGTTTTATTGCACAGCCCAGTAATGATAATTAATAGCAGTGTTTGAATTTTTCGAAATAGCTAAAAGAGAGAATTTTAAAGGTTCTCAACAAACAGAAATAATAACTTTTTGAGGTCATGAGTATGCTAATTAGCCAATTTGATCATTTTGCAATATATACATGTACTGAAACATGATATCCATAAATTTATACAATTATTATCAAAAATATTCTGAACTTCTTCCCCCCAAGTTAGTAATAAATAAAAAGCAAATAATAAAATACAATGGTTAATTTTATGTTATATGAATTTTATTTCAATGTAAACATCTCAAGAGTAATAATGCTATTGTAATGTCTGCATAGGCTGAGAATATAAATTACTTTGCCAACTAAAGAAGATCATCACACAATTGATTTGATGGAGGCAACTGTCAAGAGGGCAGAATCATTAAATAGCCAAGTCTAGTTGGGTAACCATGTCTAGACACAGTCCCAGTCAGAGGTTTCTTTACTTCAAAATCATTACCATGACAGTTGTTTTAGGGTTTTGAACCTGACCTTCTGTTGACTAAATTTGCATGGTGAAGGGAATGTTGTACAGGATCCAGGAGACAGCAGTTTAATTCTGATCAACTTCAATATTTCAGCTTGACTTACAGCTTGAAGAGAAGAAAGATTAAAAAAAAAAAAAACCTATAACATAATCTGAGAAGCTTTCAAATCTCTAGTTTTAAGTAAATTAACAAGCTATTCATCCTAAACACTAAGTAAATATACATAGGAGACAAACAATTTTTAATTGGAAATGTAAAAGTCACCGATTAATCTGTCTTTAGCCACATAAATCAGATAATTGATTGTTATTTCTTCTTAATGCGTGAACTCACAAGGTCTATAAAGTCAATGTAGTGTCTCCCTCACAGGGACCAGATGCATGTAATAAATGAGTAAGTTCTTGGAAAGGATATACCTCTGTCAATCCAGAAAATGGTACTTAAAATCTAAGTTTCTTAAGAGATAGGAAATAGTAGAAGAGAGGAACTTTAGAGGTCAAATAAAAATTGAAAAATAAAACAGAAATAGGTCTTACTCTATCTCTACTTTATATTTCTCTTAGTTTCACCAAATTAGCCAAAAATTATATCTAAAAGCCATTTTTATGCACTTAAGATCAAAATGTAAACATCCTCCATATCCCTGGTTTTTCTTGACTACTCACTCCCATATACCAGGAAAATCAATCCTAAAGTCAATATTTTTTAATTTTCTAAATGAATCTGTCATGCACTCTTATCTTTTTATTGCATTATCATCATGGTAGGTAAACGATCCTTAATTGTAAATTAAGTCAGGGCTAAAACATGTCATGATTCATGTAAATTACATCACCTATTGCTATGTTTTATAATACATAAATTTATTTTGTCTGTAAACTGGTGGCATGTACTTACTTCACAAGAATTTTTTATAATGCTGAAGTTCTTAGAAATTATAATGATGAAGTTTTTGGAAAATGACATATATTATTCATTACACTTCAGTAACACCAAAAAAGTAGGTTTCTAGAGCAATATTGTATTAGTTATCTGTTGCTATATTAAAAACTCCCCCCAAAAGCAGCTGTTGAGAACAACATACCTTTCATTATCCAGTTTTTATGAATCAAGAATTTGGGAGTAGTTTAGCTGGGTGGTTTTGGCTTAGGGTCTCTTAAAATTTTCAGTCAAGATATCAGCCCTGGGCCAAACACGGTAGCTCAAGCCTATAATCCTAGCACTTTGGGAGGCCAAGGCAGGCGGATCACTTGAGGCCAGTTCAAAACCAGCCTGGCCAACATTGTGAAACCCTGAATCTACCAAAAAATACAAAAACAAAATAGCCAGGCGTGGTGGCACATGTCTGTAATCCCAGCTACTTGGGAGGCTGAGGCAGGAGAATCGCATCAACACAGCAACACAGAGGTTGCAGTGAGCCAAGATCCCACCACTGCACTCCAGCCTGGGCCACAGAGCACGTCTCAAAGTAATAATAATAATAATAATAATAATAATAATAATAATGATGATGATGATGATGAAAGATATCAGCCCTGGCTGTGGTCATCTCAAGTCTCTACTAGAAAGAGTTCTATTTCTGTGGCTGTTGGCAGGCCTTGGAAAATCTTTACAACTTCACTCTCTTGGTTAAGAGAAAAATGTCAAAAGATCTCCTGAGTTCACTCATGTAGGCCTCTCTACATAGCTCTGTCATCACAGGGAAGCTGGCTTCCCCCAGAGCACACTATTGTAAAATCTAATCTCAAAGATGAGGAATCCATCACTTCTGCCATATTCTATTTATGAAAAGTGAGTTATTTAGTCCTGTGCACATTCAAGTGGAGGGGATTACACAATGGTGTGGATATCAGGAGATGGGTTATTGGATACTCTCATGCAGGCTACCTACCAGAAATAGCAAACATGTGCTCTCAATTCTCATAGCTCATAGTTAGAGGAGTCCGGTCTTTCAGTACAAATCTGGCCACTTAGTGTCTTCTGAAAACTCAGGTCATTTTGTTAAACTCTTAGAACCTCAGTTTTCTTCTCTTATAAAATAGAATGAACATAACAAACCTTATAGAGTTGTTGGGAAAATCAAATGATGATCGTCAAGGCAGATGCCATGAAGTGATAGCAGGGGGCAGTCACAGTCAATCAGCTCCAAACCGGAGAGAGGCGTTTTCTTATCGAAATCCCTAAATGCTTCTAGTATGCACAAACTGGCATCCTCAAGGGGAGAAGGGCAAAATGCTGCCCCAACCACTGACTACTGGCTGCTGAATTAGATAAGCCTTAAGAAGCGTCATTCTTCACCATTTCCCTTGATCTTTTCTCAGTGGATGCCCTTAATCTCCATTTCACTTGGCTGCTGAAGCATTTTAGATAGGCTATTGATTAGTGGAAAGACATGTCACACACACACGCATACTTATACCTTTTCAAATTTTAAACAAAGAATATTGAAGACATAGGTGTTAGTGGATTCTCTGTGCAAAAATCATCTTTAAGTATATTTTTTTAAAAACTGACCTATAATTGTACTATACCAAGTATGGCCATTTTAAGCTCAGAGCTTACAGTACCCATCTAATTATTTCTTTTAAAGGAATTTTTACAAGTTCTATGTATGCGAAGGCATGTCTTTATCTAGATGGAAAGATGCTAGGGGAATGTGTGAAGAAACCTAGTTTGTAGGTAGTACTCAGGTGGATTTAATATGTTATTTTCCTTAAAGAATATCTTTGCCTCTAAGTTTCCCCTATCATTGCAAACACTGTGATTTAAAATTCTCCTGTTTCTAAATGTCTATCACCATTTGGTTTGATGAGCTAATTCCTAGCATTCTTGCACTTCACTGAGATGTTGCTTCCTGAAACAATTCTTCTTTTCTATGAACTTCAGGGATTTTATTTATTTATTTATTTATTTATTTATTGAGACAGAGTCTCACTCTGTCACCCAGGCTGGAGTGCAGTGGTGCGATCTCGGCTCACTGCAAGCTCCTCCTCCCGGGTTCACTCCATTCTCCTGCCTCAGCCTCCAGAGTAGCTGGGACTACAGGCGCCCACCACCATGCCTGGCTAATTTTTTCTATTTTTAGTAGAGACGAGGTTTCACCATGTTAGCCAGGATGATCTCGATCTCCTGACCTCTTGATCCACCCGCCTCGGCCTCCCAAAGTGCTGGGATTACAGGCGTGAGCCACCGCGCCCTGCCCACTTCAGGGATTTTTATGAGGTTCCTCAATCCATGTTTTGCCCACCCTTTGGCAAATATGCCTTGCCAAGAAGTACAGCACAGGTGATCCTGATTTATGTGGACTAAGAATCTCTGGGGCTAGATTTCTGCTGTGTCTGTAGATGAGGCTTGAGGTAAGGAGGTTTTTCGTTTTTCTGCTTTTATTATTGTATTGATCCAACTGTACCTGCAGACAAAGGTAGCATGAGGAATTCAGGGTTATGTTGTTCATGTACCTGTTTCTCCTAGAATCCAAATTTCCTGCTCCAAAGTTGATGCTAATTTATCTCTAGATCTTTCATGGTGGGCACTTAAGAAATGTTTGGAAAACATTTTGTTGGCTCTAAATATGTATTGACTAAAATATAGCAGATGAGTAAAAGAAGTTCATTGAGAATTGTGAAATATGGAAGATCATGGAAGGAGAAATAGATAAGACACAGGAAGGCTTCCATGAGGACCAAACAGAATAGAATTATCACTCAACCCTGCCATGCAGGGTTGTTGTGAAGATCAACAAAATAATGTGGAATGAGTGATTCTAAAGCTTAAAAATCAGTGTTGTTGATTATTTTTCAACAACAAAAACTGCTAGATTTCTCCACTAAAATTTTCCAGTATATATTCATAAGCAAAACAATGGATATGAAGCCATATTACAAGTTCACATTATTATAATAGTTTACCATTAGTTAACCCAAAAATGTTTGTAAGCATGTAGTATTGCTTTTAAATTCTCCTAGTAGAGCAATAGATGAGAAATATACATAGGAAATAATCTCTGTCTTCAAGAAAGGAATTCTTCTGTATCACCTAAAAAACAACGAGTATGAAGATGACAAAGAAAAAGAAGATGCAAAACTTGTAGTAGCATGAAACTACTTGCATAAATTGACCAATGTGCTAAGGAATTTATATGACATGAATAAACTCACAGTTATTCTATGTTGAATATACTATTTTTGTCATAACTTATGTTCTATAAAATGTGTGAGAATAAAGATGAAGCTTGGATGAGAGAAAAGGGAGAGCCCTAATCCCATTTTATCTCCTAAAAGCCACTGAAGGGGGTGACCTTCTTTACTAGGTTTTTGAGTTTTGATATATGAGGTTTTTGTTTGTTTATAGCTTATAATCATATCAAGTGGTTTCTGTAGAAAGGTCAATCATCAGGGACTTCCTCAGGAGGGAGGAGTATCTCCTTTGTAGCCAGCATACTTTTTTCACAAAAAGACTTTTTTTTTTTCTTTTTGAGACAGAGTCTTGCTCTGTAGCCTAGGCTGGAGTGCAGTGGCGCAATCTTGGCTCACTGCAAGCTCCGCCTCCTGGGTTCACACCATTCTCCTACCTCAGCCTCCCAAGTAGCTGGGACTACAGGCGCCCACCACCACACCTGGCTCATTTTTTTTGTATTTTTAGTACAGATGGGGTTTCACCATGTTGCCAAGATGGTCTCGATCTCCTGACCCCGTGATCTGCCTGCCTTGGCCTAAGACTTATTTTTTTAGAGCAGTTTTAGTTGCACATCAAAATTGAAAGGAAGGTACAGAGACTTTCCATGTATCTGTGCACAGCCTTCCTCATTATTGACACTTCCCAACAGTCTTGCATTATTCACAATTGATGAACCTACATTAAGATATTATTTGTATCTCTAATTCAATTTGTATTCTCTTAATTTAAATTTAAATTGGGTTAACAAGTTCAAATTATTTGGTCACGGTCAGTGTTCGTATTATGATATCAGAATTTGATTTCAGGATGTCTGAGTCTCAGAGGCTGGATGGATAATATGATCATTTTACAAATTACTCTAGTTTTTATTATGTGGCTGAAGAAACTGAAACCCAACACAAATACTCCAGTTCAAAACTTCTAGGAAGTAGAAGAGGCGGTGATGGACATGGCTCCCTGGGACTCCCAAGTTTCTGCTCCCTCCTGACATGCTGTCACCTCGCCTTATGCCAGGGCTGCTTCCATTTCATTTGCCAGTGGCCTGGTTATAAGTTCATTGCTGACTATCCTTTCCATTCATACCCTGGTGCTTTTACAGTTTTAAACGACCACAAGACAAGAAGGGGAATTGTATCTGTAGTGGTGGAAGAAATGTTGGCTTTGGAATCAGAATTTGCTTCAAATTTTGACTAAGCCATTTAGTAGCTCTGTGAACTTGAACAAGTTATTTACATTGCCTGCACTTCTACTTGCTCAGTTCATTCATTCACCAGAGTTAACTGCTGCCAATTCTCTAACATCATGCCTCTAGACCTCAGGGAGCTGGCAGTAAACATAGCAAGGCTCTATCCTCGGGGAACAGATATTCTTATGAGGCACAGAAATGATGAAAACAAACACATTTAATGTACAGAAATGTGTAAAATAAAGAACTAGGGATAATTGAAGGGACGTGACTTAAATACAAGTTGCCCATAAGATGTGGCCGTTGAAATACCATTATTTTATGTTGATAAACCATTTTCGATATTTTCCTCTGTTACACAGTTTTCTCTGTTTCCAAACTTGGCAGCCATCATGTAGATTGGTCAGCTAATGTTTTCCAGGAAAGATAACAGTTGGATTGAGAGATACTGGGAACCAAGGGATTATATGTGGGGAGAAGGATGAGCAGGTCATGCAGAAGAAACAGTAAATGCATAGACACTGGAGTTTTTGCAAAAAGATATGAGGTTCTAACCATGGGTAACAGAGGGTAAGAGGGCAGTGAGAGGATTGGTGTATGAAGTCAGACAGATGTACAAGTCCCAGTTGGCCATACTTAGGATTTTAGTCTACACAAAATAAGAAGTCACTGAAAGGTTTTGAGCACAATGGTGGCATCATCATATTTCTTTTTTTTTTAATGTCTCATTTTACAGGGAGTTGATTACTAGCTACCTAACGTATAGGATGCATGCGTGCAACGATTATTTGACACTAACTATAAAAAATGCTCTAGGCACAATCCTTGGGAACAAAGTAGATTTCAACAAATATTACCTGTTACTTCGTTCCTTTTCTTATTTAATACAGAGATTCAGATTTCTGCAGACAAGAAGGGCATTGTTAGAAAGGGGACTACTCGGCAGCAGCCCTGTTTCCTTGGAAAGTAGCTCATTCTTCTTTGTTCTTTGGCCAACAATTGGGCCTGGGCCTGAAAAAAAGTTGTCTTTAAACACTGACTCTTGTGAAATGCCTGTGGAGGTCTGCAAAGGCAGGGCCAGAACAAGAACTAAATTTGAAGGGGGATTTGATCCAAGTGGGAGGCAGATAATGAGTGGATTAACTCAGGTCAAGGGAAGAAAAAAGTGAAGGAGAAAAATAGATGAAGTAGTTGCATATTGGAATAACAAGTAACTAGAGGTGACCTTTTTGATGTAGATGGCAGAGCCAGCTAACAGGGAGCTTTGCAGCAGGCAGGGAATACTCCTGAAACTGCAAATGTCCCAGGAGGGAGGTGAGAGAGGCTTCCAATGCTGAGCACAGAGAGGTCTGCTCAGTCCTCCTGCAAACAGCTGATGAGTGGCAAAACTTGCTTTCAGAATTGATAAAAGCACCCCTAAGGGAGCTGATGGCTTACAGAATTACTTCCAAGAGGAAACTCTTTCACTCAGATGACTGCAAACTGGATCAAACTGAACTCCACAAGCACGCTGCATTTTGAAAAGTAATTGTGCTCAGGTAAGAGCATTGCTTACATCAGAGTTTGCAAATTCATTAATTTCTTCATTTATTCTTCGAGAACCTTCTGTGTACTGAGGACTTTTTAGGTGCTGGAGACCAAATATTGATCAAAATCTGTGCTTTCTTAGAATATAATTTATATAATTTGGGGGGTGAGGGTGGAAACAATAAACAAAATGTATGTTAAATGTAAGGTATGTCAGATAGTAATAAATGTCAGGAAAAATATAAAAGGCATTAAGAGGATTAAGTGTGCAAGGTGGAGGTGGTTGGGTGTGGCTGCAGCATCAAGTGGGGAGGGCATAGTGAAAGGCTGTATGAAAAGGCAGCAGCAGAGCAGGGAGGAAAAGGAGTTAGATTCTTGCTATCTGAGGAAAACCTTTCTTGGAAGAGGGAAGAACAGAAAAGCCAGCACAGCTAAAATTAAATGAGAAAAAAA